>NC_000005.10:42640749-43273274 GCF_000001405.40 Homo sapiens
TTATTCCATATCATATATGTGTGTGTGTGTGTGTATCTTTTAATTGCCATGTATTTCTACCAAAAAATACAAAACTTAATTTTGCGTCCTGAAAGACCCTCGTTTGAGAATCCCTGCTTTTATGTTCTGCTTTAGTCCAGGCAACAGATAGCTTAGGTTGTCACTTTACAACTGGAGCAGCAGGTAGGGCTGAGAGGCTCGCCATACTCCAAATTACCAGTGCCAGTCCCATGGCACCAAGACAGGAAAGGCAGGCACTCAAACAGAAAGGTAGTGCAATTAATTGCTTCAAATTCTTTACTCAGGGCTGCCCTTAGTCATGATCAAATAAAATGTACACATTGTTTGGCACTTGGTAAAATGTTGTTTCCTTTCCTTCCTCCTTCCCCTGATAGACTCTCCTTAGGTACAAAAAAGATGAGGCTGTACACAGAGCTAAAAGTGTACACCTTTGAAAAAGGTGTCTTTTTCAAAGAGCACCTTCACCCCTTACTGGACTAAACTCAATCCAAAGCTCTTTTCTCTAAGCTTTATAACACTTACTGCCTGGATGAGTCATTTGTCAATAAATACAGAATGTTTGTATAGGTGGGGTTCTTGTATATATGTACGAGCCCCTAGAGTCTCTAACTTAAAATTTATTTTTGCTTTAGAAGTTCAGGAATAAGGAGGCTTTGATGATCAATTTTAACAACCGCAATATATAATACAGTAACTAATGGTTAGGTGTCCAGGCTAGCCCAGGGCAGCCTGTGTGATTCATGCTGCTGGTGAACCATGGCTGGCTGGGCGAACTAGATCTGGAATTCTGTGGTGCCTAAGGGAGGGAAGGGAATATTTCCCACACTATCTCATCCTGCCCTCACTATCGCTACCCCCAATCTCTCTCTACATTCTACCCCACCTACTTTGCTTTTTCTGTGAAAGACCAGCTGGGGCAAATATTTTGGATTAAGTAAAATTTGTCTTGGGTAACTTCCCTAAAATTTAGTTTTTAATTGAATAATCTTGGTTAATCCATGAGTAAATAAGCTTGTAGAGTATAGTCAGCCTCACTGTGAGAAGCTGACAAACCAGAAAACCAGAGGAATATACACCAATTCCTTCCTGTCCTGCAAACCTCTGCTTCTTGAGGTTTTTAAAGAGTGGGTGCCTAATTGATTAGTCATTAGTTATTGACAGGACCAAAGAGATATGCCTGGCTCCTCTTGGAAAAACCAAAAGACTGAGAGGGAAAAGTACACCAAAAAGATACCTAAGGAGGCAGACTGCTATAAAGAAAATAATTAGGAGAAGAAATCATATGTTTTCAGATGAAAAGAATCTGAGGATGAAAAAAGCAGCCTTTTCAGGCCGATGATGGAAAGATAGAAACTAAATTCAGAAGGATCAGAAGACGATTAGAAGGGCAAGAAGTCATAGAAGACCAAGATTTCCCAAATTACCAAAAGAAATCAAGCCCAGTCTTGTTCAGGCTGCAGAATGAGAACGCCCTTCTAGTAAGATCCGTACAATGAATTTCACAAATGTTGATTTCTTTCTGTCCTCTTTGAGCCCATAATCACCTCCTTCTACTTGCACAACCTTGACCATCACCACTACCTATAACTAATAACCAGTTCTTATGTTCCCCTCAAGGCATAACACAAAAATATTTTCTTTATGATTACTTTCTCTACAAAAAAGAGGGAGAGAGAGAGAAACAAGTCAGGGGACTTCGTTGGTGAGTGTAGACCACAGCAAGAACCTAAAATCCTAGTGGGTTGTTAGTATAGACAGGCTGAAACCACTATCCTGAAGTGGTGGTTCTAGGTAGGTATGCCCATCAGAATCATCTGTGGATAAGTATTTTCAGTAAATACACATGCAGGACCTCTACCTCAAATGTACTGAATTGAACTTCATTGCTGGAGCTTAGGCATTTCATATTTGTTTCCTAAGCTGCTATAACAAATTACCACAAACTTGGTGGCTTAATAAGAGAAATGTATTCTGTCACAGTTCTGGAGGCCAGAAGTCCAAAGTCAAGGTATGACCAGGATTGGTTCCTTCTGGAGGCTCTGAGGAAATTCTGTTCCATGCCTCTCTCCTAGATTTTGGTGACTGCCAGCAATCTTTGGTGTTCTTTGATTTGCAGAAACATCATTCCAATCTCTGGTTCTGTCTTCACTTGACCTTCCCTATGTCTGCGATTGGTCTCCTTTCTGTCTCTTTTAAGGACACCTATCACTGAATGTAGAGCCTATCCTAATGCACAAGGAGCTCAATTATACCTTAATTATATCTGTAAAGACCCTTTTTCCAACTAAAGTCATATTCACAGGTACCAAGGTTTAGGACTTGGGCATATCTTTGGAGGATACAGTTCAACCCATTACACATATGCATTGAAGGGAAAAATTCACGCCACAACTGATTATCCTATAAAGAATGTTGGCTTAACTTAACGCATTTAACGCACCATTTCTCCAGCACTTAGGAAATGCTAGGAGATGCAAAGCTGAAGCTAAATAGGCTTCTTTATTGCAGAACCTCTCAGAGGCTCTCATCTGTTTGTGTGCATTATAAATGTCCAAGAGAAAGAAAAGAATCACAACATTTCCTGGAAATACTTGACCAGGGAACTTCTTTTCAAGGGATTACCTGTTAACTACCTCAATGGACACTAATGACTAAAGGAATACATGCTGCTGGTGATCATGGCACTTCCAAACTATGCTCAATGGTGTGGGCATGAGTCTACCACAGTGTCTAAACACTAAGATTGTTAATGTCTACACGACCTCTCCCTGGATATGAGCACACATCCTTCATCAAATATCCACAGTGGTTTCCCTAGAGGATTTGCATATGTGCATGGATTTTTAGATGTCTAGTCTCTACTCTTGTCTTCAGCCATTTTTGTAGAGAGAAATTGGCAAAATATTAGCATGAATGGAAGGGAAAGGTGGCCAAGATAATACATTATGCCTTTTTTTTTTTCCCTGAAAACAGCCCAGAATATCTGAAAAGGGAGAAGTGACTTAATCATTTCTATTCCCACAATTCTGGTCCTACAAAATTGATATCAGTATATGATTCATCCAGAGAAGTTCACAGTGGTATTTTTTTAAAAAAAACTTTTAGAGGTTACCAGGGCATCTCACTATTTTAAAATTTAATACCTCAAGGGAAATAAGCAACTACCTTGAATTTTTGCATGAATTGCATTTGAGAATAACTGAATAGTTGGTGGAATAAAGTTGTTTTTTTAAAAGTAGGCATATTCTAGTTAATAAATATAAAAGAAATGGTAGGATTAGAAAAATCACTACATTACAAACTCTAATGACATAATAGATTTAAGCAAGATGATCAGTGAATGATAAAATATTTAGGTATGCTGTCTTCTAGGTGAATCAAGCTGACAATACCTTGGACCCACGTTAATCTTACCACATGATATTATATGTCTCCTGATACTTAAAATAAATATCAAATAAATCTTGATAATTGTTGAAAATTGTTGATGAACATATAGTTCACAGCACCACCCATGATGTATTCTTTCCATGAGAATTGATCTGAATCAAAGTAAGCCTCTAGGTCTAACTGCCAGTGTGTAGGAAATACCAGGGATAGAGAAACATTTTTAAAGTCTTTAAGATTGCAGTAAGCTGAAAGAAATTGTCTGGTTTCTGCAATAACAGCAACAAAGTTATGTAATAAGAAGAGAGAGGGAGAATCACGGATTTATACAAACTTAAGAGACACTGTGTGAATCTAGTTTGTATCCTGATCAAACAAATTAACTGTCAAAAGATGTCTTTTGAAACATGATGGGAAATTTGAGCATAAACTAAGTATTCTACGATATTCAGGAATCATTACCAATTTGTTAGATATGATGTTGGTATGTTTTTTTAAATGAGAAAGTTTTTAGCTTTTAGAGATACATACCTAGATAGTTATGGGTGAAAGCATATCATTAAAAAAAAGATAGTGGAAGTACACAAAACAGGATTGCTATATGTTGATAATTGTTGAACCTTGGTGATGAACATATAGGAATTAATTAAACCATATTTTCTATTTTTATGTTTATTTTGCAAATTCCAAAATAAAAATAGAATAATCCCTCATGAACAGATGGTCTCAAATTTCATCCTCAAGTAAACACAATTCACATTCTCAGGGGAACCCATGAGAATATTATGAAGTATATGTCTATCTCATTTCATTATATATGGAATCCTACCATTCCTTTTGTCTTTATTACTAGTGGCCAGAGTTCTATCTTGAAAGGTGGGAAATGTCCTTATATGAACAGATTAGTTTAGAGAATTATTGTGAGAAAACCAGAAAATATTTGAGTTCTAGCTAACTGGATATTGAATGAGTTGTGCTGAAGTATGTGGTCATAAAGGGTTGATAATGAAATACTTGCTTTCCAGTGGCAAGGAAAAATAAATGTCTTAGAATTTACAAGGTCATTCTTGAAATCAATCAACGTGGGCTGAAGATCTCATTGCTTCTGTTATCTGGCACGATGGTATTTGTTTGTGCACAGCTCTGTTGATGTGAGCTATCAAATATTTCTTAGAGCTGAAATCATCTAATAGCAAACATTGCTATGTCCCAATGGAGATTCCAAGACTCTTTGGCCATGGAACATTTACATTCTATCCCCTTTCATCACTCCTGAACAAACAAAAACAAAAAAAGGAAAGATAACCAATAGGCTTTTTATTTAATTGAAAACCAAAGAGAGAGAGAGGAAAGAACCAGTTAGTTGCCATTTTCTAAATGCAGGCTTTTGTTTGTTTCTGCCTTCTAATTCTTTGCTCTTGAAGCTATAGCTTTCAAGCTTGTGTATACAGGCCCAGAGAGAACATTTGAAATGTGGCCACCCTACCCATGTCCATGCCACTCTTCCTGCCTTTCTCTCTGCCTACTTCTGCTCCACCATCCCAGGTCAGGGGCTTGGAGGCTGACAGCATTACAAGTAATATAGTCGTTCAAGCTCATATAAACAAGATGAAATCCAAATAATAACCAAAATGTATTTTATTTCAAGGACTGGACTACTCAGTTCCCTCAGTTTCGCTGACCGATTTCTAGGAGCCCTAGGCTCAGCTCTTGGTTGTCTCAGAACTGAGGAGAGTACTCATTTGCACCATATGCATCTGCTTGTTAGCCTGTGCTACCAAAATTGATTCATTACTTGGCCTTCTCTGAAAAGAAAAATGAAAACAAAAATGCACTCTTAAAAATAATTATTAAAATACAACCAGGAGGTATGTGCCTAGACATGGCTCACCTTCTACCAAATCATACTTTATGATTTTCCACAATATTATCTTCTATTCCTCCTGCCCCTAAGGTTCCATGGAGCAGAGCAAGTTGAAGAATGTTAAGGTTTTACTAAACTTTTAGAACAGAGGCTTTGGGGAAGCAAGAGAGAGGTACACTGAAAATGAAGTGTCTGTCTCTGCTTCTATTAATGTCATAGGACTAGAAGTTGACCTCATAGCTGATTACAAATGAACCCTGCAAATTGAACCCCAGCACATGCCTCTCATTATCCATTCTTCTCTTTGCAGGATGGGGTCCATGCTCACATATCAAGAAAATGGTGGGTTTCAGTCTGGCTCACTGGGTGAGGTTTTGGCATGAAAACTAATACGGGTTAGTGTACATCACCCATAATAAAAGTAAAAGCTTTTTTTTTTATTTACCCAGGTAAATAAGCAAAAGGCAGATCTAAAATACATTAGAGTTAAGTTCCATGGGGACAGAAATGTCTGCTTTGTTTGTTGTTATACAATTGACACCTAGAATGGTGGCTGGACCATAGTGACTACAAATAAAATATTTCTTAAGGGAATGAATGGTTCTGCAGGATAGATGTTCTCTGCATTTGGATAAGTGATGATACTATAGACTCAGAGCCTAGATAGAAAATATTGTCCCACTTTCAGTTCTGCAAACTGACTTGAGGTGCTTGGTGACGTCCTGCAGCAAGCAAACCAAATGAAGGCATCTCTGAGACCCCATAGTCACCACCAGCATGCTAGCCTCCCATTACCTTGCCCACCCTAGATTTTCAAATTGGGAATCACTGTGGTACCAGACTGGGAATCGTGACTTGCATACTTTCTCATATTGGGGCTTGGGATTTTGAGATCTTATTTCCTTTTTTGGCTTCTTGAGATCTGAAATTGTTGTTCAGAGAAGGATATTAAGACAATGACTCTTCCATTACCATGCATTTCTGTTACCAACAGAGGAGGTAAGTGAATCACTTAAAATGATACAATTCCATCCACTTCAGTACACCATAAACATATCCTTAGCTTTGACTATAATTATAGTATGTGGGTGATGCCGCTGAGAAAATGGTATAATTATAACATTATGGTTGAGAATTGTCTGAGTAGAAAACACTGAGCTGTACTGTGCAAAGTTTAAGGCGGAATTGTGGGTCCCTTTTCAATATGAATAAAATTGATTAGCCAATTGCAACTGAGAGCTTTGTGCAATGATATTAATAATATAAAAATCGGCCGGGCGTTGTGGCTCACACCTGTAATCCCAGCACTTTGGGAGGCCGAGGCGGGTGGATCACGAGATCAGGAAATCGAGACCATCCTGGCTAACACAGTGAAACCCCTTCTCTAATAAAAATAAAAAAATATAGCTGGGCGTGGTGGCAGGTGCCTGTAGTCCCAGCTACTCTGGAGGCTGAGGCAGGAAAATGGCATGAACCCGGGAGGCAGAGCTTGCAGTGAGCTGAGATCCTGCCACTGCACTCCAGCCTGGGCGACAGAGCAAGACTGCGTCTCCAAAAAAAAAAAAAAAAGTCAAGGGCCAAAGTAACAATGTAGGAAAAATTTGATGACTTTAATTTCATTTACTTCTAGGAGTCTTACATGCAAGCCTAATGCAGAGTAGAGAAGCTCACCAACTTGAAGGAAGCATGAATGAAATTACAAGGAAATCTAGCTTAGAAAAATTAACCCTGTAGCTTGGTTTTTCCACTCTTTGCTCTTGGCAAAAGGATCTTACGTATGTATACCAAATGTCTATTTGAAAATTTTGTTTCTCTGAATATAGCTTTCTTTTCTCTTTAACACACTGGTCCAGTGGTTCTAGATTTTATGCTCCCATAAATTAAGTAAGACAGCATTCTATATCATGACTGAGGTGTTAATGACATTATGCAGTTGTCACATTTTGAAATATAAACTTAAATGCGAGCTTTTCACTGTGTGTAAAGTTTCTCTGTATTTTTTTAAAAAATTTTTAAAGACCAGAGATTTTCAGCAACAAGAAACATAAAGAAGTAAAAAGAGCGTAGAAACCCTGCCCTAGAGGACCTGCTCCACCACTTAAAAGCCATGTACCTCTTGAAGCCTGTTTCCTTTATTTCCAACACAGGAATTTTTATATTTACACCCTAACCATCACATGGGTCACATGTGATAACAATGTGCAAGTTTCTTACAAGTGTTCTAGGAATCTGTAAGTCTTAGAGTTCTGAGGTTTATTCCCAAAGGACAGGAAATTGTGGGTTACACCAAACAGTTAAACAGGGTGGCAGGGAATCCCTGTCACGTACCCAGGCCTTTGGGTTATTTTCTAGGGTGAGGGGACATGGCCAGTAGTACAAAGAGCATGTGAACGCATGGATGTGGGTGTGTGAGGTCATGAGTGGGTGTGTATGTTTATGTACAACACATGTATTGGAGGATAAAAGGGAAAATAATTTGTCTTCCTGACTTCTTCTCTATTCCTGGCTTTTCTTAGATTGTTATTCCTCTCTAAACAAAGCTTCAAAACAGAAACCCCTCCCCTTCTTTATTATATCGGAAATCTGGGAATTCAGTTATCCTTGTCTTATCCTACTCCCTGTTCTGTTCTAAATATATAATAACAATAAGTAATAGTACTACTACTAGTACTAGTAGTAGTAGTAGTAGTAGTGGTGGTGGTAGTAATGGTAGTAATAGTAAGAGGATGAAAAGATGGAGGAGGTGAATTGGAAATAGGGAGGTTTCCTGTAGCTGACTGACAGTTTATATAGCAACCGCCTGCAGATTTAGGTTTTTTCTGACTGCGCTTATTTTATAGCAACCTCAACAAGCTGTGACAACCTGCAATATCTTTAGCCCTTAAGATACTGTCTCTTAAACCTGACCAATATTTCTTATTTCTCAAAGAGTAATGATAGTCTTTTCTGTCTGATAAGTTCAAAAGGCACAACTGATTTTCCTAACATTTTCCTCAAATGAAGGGAGTATTTGAAAAATGGAACTCAAATGAGGAGCCACCTCAGAAGCCTAACTGGAGCATTCAGACTGCATCAGACAGACTTGGCTTCAGTTCTGACACTGATACTTACTAGCTGTGGGATTTTTGGACAAGCTTCTCATCTGTAAACAAGTATAAATACTACCTACTTTATAAGCTCGTATGAAAATTCCCACAAAGTTTGATGTTAGTTTCCTTTCTTTTTGTGCTCAGCTCTAAAAATATGCAGTGTAGTGAGTCACTAATATTTCATTAACATAAGGGAAAACTATATACCCAACCCAAAAGCTGAGATTCTTCAGAACATTTTTTAAAGAGGTTCTAATTAGGAATTTTATAAATGGAATACAGAGTACTTTTTAAATAATAATAACAATGATTAATTTAAGTTACTAAACAAAATACCTTAATGAATTTGAGAAAAATAAACTGAAGATAAATATTAATTATTAAAAGAGAAAATTATTAAAGTAATAACATGCAAGTCACTTGATACTTGCAAAGTAACACAGAATTAGACATAAAGCCACATTTAAGAGGCAGCAAAGCCAAAATGGCTGGCCCCCTTTAAAAGGCTCTTGGCAACAGACATATGGAAAACTGTCATCTCTTCCCTGGGCCTTTCTTCCTACTCTGGATAAGCAGCATCCTTCACACAAAAGAACATCCAGGATAACTAAGAAAGAGATGAAATGATTTATCGGAACTAGTTAAAATAATTAAATCTTAAAAGCATGTTCTCCTGGGCATAGAGTGGGGTGATTTCTGCAAACATTTTGAAAATAAAGTACCCCTAAAACAAGGATTTGGTTTAACTGCTAGAAAACAAGGTGACAGGTTGAGAAAACTGAAAATTTTCTTAAAATCTTGTTTACTTGAATGGTGAGCCAGCCACCCAGGGAAGAAACCAGAGCTCTTTCCTTTAAGAAATATAGACTTCAGTTGGAAGAAAAAATTAGTAGGTTTTAACCTTCAACCTTCTAGTGAAGTGAGAATATTGATTGAGCACCTATTATTAGAATAAATTTATCTTAAGTGACCCAGGGAAGGGTCGTGGGTGACGGGAACTGTCAAGAAAGAAAAAAAATATGGCTGTGGATCTTAAGTACTTAAAATCTACTGAGGGCTCTTGTCTCCATTTTCCTTAGACCGTGATGTTGCTCAAAGTCACATAAGAGGGCACATAAATTTACTGAATAGTATTACAGAAAGCAGCAGTGACACTGAAATGCTTGCATTATATTCACTATCCCAGTCATCTGCAGTTGCCTGAGGGATTTGCAAGCAAGGACAGGAAAATGCTAGTACCAACCAGTTCTAGATAAAGAATTTATTTGCTCCAAAAACTTTCACTGTATTAAATTAAATTAGATTGGCTGGAATTAAAAGGTAATAAGGCCCATTTTCTTATGTAGGTCATCAATTAATTTAACTCTAAAGATAATTCCAAAAGAAGAGGTTTAAAAATTGTTTGAGTAGTAGTAACATCATTGGAATTTATGTAAAACTTCCCAATGTACTCACTTTTACAGATAACATATATATATATATATATATATATGTATGTCTATGACTGCTGGCATAATGATCAAAATGATCAGTTTTATTACTTTGTAATCACATCAGGCGGCACTGATGGTTGAAATAAAATGTGTTAGATGAGTGAATGCAAAGATAACATATAGCAAATGAAAGTCTTTGTCTATGAAGCACATGATTGTTATAATTGTTGCTGCCCTTTTGGGATCCTGAACCAGATTCCCCAAATAAGTAGGTAACACAGAATTTGTCTTGAGCACTTTTTCAAGCATTGTAATCCATGCATTGAAGTAGGCTTTATCAGCCTACAGCTATAAACTCCAAGGTGATTTTAAAGTCTGAAGGTTTATAGGTCTTCATTAGGATAAGCTGGGCTTACCATATAAATCTATGAGGACTTTGCTAGAAAAATAGTGGAATTGTTGAATAGGGAAAAGAGATAATGGTAACGGGATTTGCCTGATGTCTTCATCCTAGAAAAAAAGATTTCTGCTTGGGCATTAAGGACCCCAGTGATGATTCTGGGAGACTTTCAGGAATGCTGACAAGGCTGGAGCTACTCAGGATTTGATGCCAAAGAAGCCACACTGCACATGTGTTCCTCTAAGGTGTACTTGGTTCTCATCTGAGAGGCAAAGGCTCTACTTCTTTTTAATTGTTTGGTCCTAAGTTACCTTCAAACTCCACCTAACCACATCTCTAATCCTGTGTATAGCCTTTCCAACATCTTGTAAATTCCAAGGGGTTGGGGGAACCTTTAGGTTCCAAGGCTGAGCTAAGTTATAAATGAATACCCTGTGCAGTGTTGAGAATGAAACAGAAGCTTTGGTGCGTGGTAGCCCACTGTGAGTGGGGTTTCAAAGGAGCAGTCCAGGGGCCCTACATGAATAGGCATATATGGGCCAAGAGACAGGCTTCTCTCAGCCATACCATAGTATACTGGAACAATGAGAAATGGGAGAGGACATACTTCTTAAAGTGACACACTGACCTGTTTTCATTCTCTCCTCTCTCTGCTTCTCCATTTCCACTTATTGCCCCTATTGCATCTGTCCAGTAACTGTTTCTTTAACAGTTTTCCAAACTGACATTATTAATCCAGAAGATGGATGGTGGTTTTTTAATTAAAAGAGAAAGCTGATTTTATTTGGTGAGACTTCTGCTATCATCTTCAGTGTTATATCCCAATATGAGTACTTTTTTTAATGTTCTACTAAATCCAATAGTATATTCACCTCACTCTCGAGTTAAACTCTTGGCTTTAAAAAAATTAGCCAGAAAAACTTCTTAAGAAAAAATACAGTATTTTAAATTCTATAAATGAACTATATCTTAAAATATTTGGGGGCATAATTCAATTGTATCCATTTTACTTTAAGATCATGCAAAAAGGGAAAGGTATAGATGCTATTTTATTGATATGCTGCTCCATGGATTTCAAATTCAACATCATAAGCCAAGATTTGTGGGACCAGAGGAATGTTCAAAAGTATAATCTGATACATTATCTGCTGCAGGAATTAAGTAAAATATTGCATACATCTCACTTCCTATACCAAATAGAGAGAATGAAAGTACTAGATTTTGTATTACAGATAGTTTAGACAACTATAGGGAATTCTGAACTTTCAAACTTTTATATCCTAAACTCAAGATTTGGGCCTTGAAAAATAAAACTGATAAAACTGCTACAGTGTAGATTTTTAAAATTACATTCATGTGGTGAAGTTGACACTTTCTGTTGGTATGGCTAGAAGTCAGATAGATGCTTAATTTGAAAGACCATGTTTTTATTTCTTCTCTTTTTCTTACCCTATGATTTCATTGACCTGAAGTGGCTTTTAGTGCCATTCAATTCACACAGAAGCCAAAATTGGTTACTGTGTTAAGAAGAAACCAAGATGTTTTATTTAGTTTATGAAACACTAGCAAAATTACTATTTGATGCAAAACTGTGAGGAAGTTTTGTAGTCATTGAAAGGAGCAAGAATATAGACTGCTTGCAGTTCCAGTGTCGAGACATTCATTATCAGATTTACCACTTGAAAATATTATCAAGATAGTATTTATATTGTGTTTACCAGGTAAACTAAGCACTTTAGTTCTGAGCACTTTACATATTTTAAATCATTAATAGTGCTGTAACAAGCCTCTGAGGTAGGTACTGTTATCCCTCTTTAACAGATAAAGAGACTGAGGCACAAGGAAGAGAAGTGACTTGCTGAAATCACACACAGCTGAATGTGGACCCTGATTCAAATCCACACATCCTGACTCAAGCATCCTTGCTCTGTACTACTGTGCTACAGTGCCTCTTTACATCCTCCTGATGTAGAAATCTTCTTCTAGAATAATGAGAAGCAGTGTGAACTTTGAAGTAGGACTTCCTGGGCATGGTGCTTTCCATCTCTGGGCCAAAGTTTTCTCATCTTTACAAAAGGATTACGATCAACCCCCATCTCATACTGTGGTTAGGAGAATTGAGCAAGACCATATACTAAAAGATGTCAGAACAGGGCCTGACAGATCATAGTGCCCAATAAACATTGGCTCTTGTTATCATCATAAATATGTTAAAATGAGCTTTAGTATGTGGATAATAGTAGCAGAATTTCCTGAATGAGACATGTTAAACATTTATTAAGCAGGCACTTTTTGGAGTTTATCTTATAATAATTCAGTAAGGTTACTCTTGTCATCCCTATTTCACTGAATTTGAGGAATCTCAGGCTGCAAGATAACGTATTAGTTTTCTAGAATCAAATAAGCAAGGATTCAAACTCAGGATATATTGACCCCAAAACCTCAGATCTTTCTGCCATCCCTATCTTGTTCTAAACCCCAGGTTTGCTCATCCGGGCCCTAGTCATTGATCAAAAAGCACCAATACAAATCAGAGTAGAGAAAGTCATATTGAGCTTGTGAGGTTGTATTATGGGCATGGTAACAAATGTAATTCAGCTGTATTGGCACAGTGCATAACAACCACACTTAATTTCTGTCCTAAGACCTGTCTGAGCCCATAAATAAAGTTACATTAATAATTACGGAATGGTAAGGGACCACTCAGAAAATCTTGGTTGATATAGGAAGTGGCATCTGTGGCTTCTAATTGAGAGATATTGCTTCTTGAATCAGTGCTAGACCATTGCTCTAGGGGGATATTAAGCCTTCTCTGTCCATGGAAGATGTGAAATTCAACAGCTGACCTGACTGCTTGTCGCTGTTGATGATCCTATAAAATTTCCTCTAAGATACGAACTCTGTGTTCTAGTCCAAATCAAGTGAATATTTCCTGTTGGTTGACCTACAACTTCAAGGGTATGAGGTCATAAGTTTAAAAAGATTCCTTTTCTCCCCAGTGTTGTAAGAGTTATTTTAGTTCTATCAAATGCTCCCAGTGAGTACTGCATATTTCCTTTTTGCCAGATACATTAGCTATTCACTCTTTTTTCCTATCTCTTCTATGCTTTTATTTTTTCCCTCATCTGTTTAACCAATGGTACCCTGAATTTTAGAACCAGACAGGTAGTAGGACAAGGCAGGTGAAAATGCACAGGTTGTAAATTTCAGAATGCACATTCAAATTCCATCGTTGTCTCTTACTAACTGAATGAATGTAGGTAAGATGCTTTACCTCTCAGAGTCTTACTTACCCCATCTATAAAATGAGAATAATACAAACTGTCTTCTGTGGTTTTCTTGAGCATTAAACGTCTCTATTTATGGAACATAGTTTCACATAGTAACTGATTCTGTACCAATGCCCTGCCCCCCATGTAGGCAAATGCATGTCCCGAAAGACCCAAAACAAGTTGTCCCTCTTTTCAAGATGAAGATTTGTAATCTCTCCTTAAACTTATCCAGTTCTGGTGTTTAATTTCCTTTATAAGCCAGAAGTTGTTTTACGTCTCACCAAATCTTATAACATGAATATTACACTGTCTTCCAAATGTGAGCCTCTAATTACCTTAGGCCAATAGCAGAGCCTCTGATCTTGTCTTTTCTCCTTTTCCGCTTACCAGACAGCACATTCTGCCTGAGAGTTGAGACCCAAAAAGATATAAATCAACTAGGGGGCAAAAATGGAGTTTCCTAAGCTTGTCCCAGAGTTTGACTCAGTAGCCTGAGGTGGAGTTCAGGGGCTTGATGTTAAAAACAAGCTACCCCAGTGGTTTTGCTGCAGGTGGACCAGACTCCCAAGACCACATTTTGCAAGCACTGGCATTTAGGAAGAGCACGTACCTACTCTAGCAGAGTTTATGCAGACTATGATTGCAGCCTAGTTTGTGCAGACTATTGATTGCAGCCACTTGGCAAGGCTCTATAAGAAAAAGCGAGCCAACATGTAAGTAAATTATCATGGCCTTGAAACTCCTCATCTGAAAGGGTTTCCTCTCATCCCCTCATCCCCTTGTGTCTGCCCCTGAATGCCAGACTATCTTCTCCAGCCCCAAGTCAACCTCTCATTTTTAAGCCATTCCTCATTCTCCTATATAGTCCAAAATAGCGAATACATTTTTAGGAATTCTCTTGCTTTATGGACGTTCATCCAAAAATATTTCATTATGAGAATAAGTGCTTAGCTTATCCTGTAGTGTCTTTCTGCTCTAATATTTGGGCCCTTCCTTTCCACATAGTTGCATTTTCTTTGACGGGCAGATGCTGCTCCTTTAATATTTTTCACACCTTTGTGCTTCTAACAGAGCAATTATTTCAGGATGAGGGCACTTGGAGAGCTGTAAGAGGATAAGGAGCCCAGGGCTCTGCCTTGGATTTGTGTACCTAAATGTTACCTAATTAGATAAACCTGAGGAAGATGTGGAAGCAAAGTAGAATGGAACAGAAAGTGTTTGAATAATAAGAATTTGGACATTGCTGCTCCGTGGTGACATTGGCAGACTCTAAGCCTCTTGCCTCATTTTATTCATTCATGTATGACGGGGTTATGCTCAGTCATAAGTCACTAAAATTTGTATTCTACATCCCATTAGTAAAGTAATTTTTGAACACATGATACATATGTTTACATATTTGTAAGTTATATATATGTACAAGGTTCTAATATATTCTGTTCATTGTCAAACATAAAATATATATAAATTTGGTTTAATATAAAATATAAAATTGGCATTAGTAGACACTGTCTACCGAAATGAGACACTGTCTCATTTCTGAAAAAAGCACAATGTATACTAAGTTAAAGGTTCATTCTTAACAGCAGTAGGAGTAGATCTTTATTTCAAATAGTCTTTGGGATAATTTCCTATTTTGGAAGACAGCTTATCAGATTTGGTTAGAGTTGATGAAAGCTTATTCTAGGGTTAAGAAAAGTATTAGCCCAGCCATTTTCTTATTGTTGATTTGGGCTTGCATAATTAGTTTTACCTTCAGTATGAAGTTTCTTTACATGAATCTTTTTAACTCACTTATTTGTTATACAATTATTAGTTAAATCAATTTTAAATCAGTATAATCTATCCACAAAATCAGTCATACAGAACCTGCAAAAAACATGTTCTAACATGTTACATGAAGAGGTAACTAAAGATACTACAAACAACCCCTCTGAACGGTAACACTCCCACTCTTCCTGCAAAATTCCTCTCATAGCAAATGCAACATGTGACTCAGACACAGGCTGACTGAAGGCTTTATGCAACTCTTACATGCTCAATATTAGAAAACTTTCATTTGTTTCCTATTTTATATAAACAACACATATAAATAAACATTTTAGTATCTTCTCATTACCCAGTGGATTGTCTTGCATGGTCCATTTTGAAGACAGTAAACTGTAGCCTCTATTTTTATTTAATTTCAAATACCTGTTTGCCAATATTCACAGCCAGCTCTTGTTAATGTTCTTTTCTGTCCTGTGAATCCTGATGTCGTATCTTGCAACATCACCTCTAAAGCCTATCTTTGCACTCCTGTCCATCCCCCATTCTCTATTATTATGCTGCCTCTGATGGCCAGAGAAAAAAATCTTGAAAATATATATTGTATTGCCCTACCTGGCGAGGAATCAGCAGTTATACAATTCAAAGTTGCAGCAATTCACCACATTGTTTAGCACCCTACTATGTGTAAGGAGGAAGCTTGATTTAAAAAATATATACAATCATGCCTTCTTCAAGAATGTTTTGGAGCATGCAAGAGCTTAATGCTCATGGACATTTACTTTATTCCAGCAAATTTAGACCCAATCTCTGTGTAGTTTCATTTTGTTTTCCATTTCCTGATTAACTGACTATATATCTAGCTACTTATTTGCTGCCATCTAGTGTAATAAAGTATGTTGATTATACAAGGAATTTTGAGCCCATTATGTAGTTGAATATCAGTACTCAAAATGATTCTTTTTTTCTGGTTTCTTATAAGTTTACAAAATGCCTAGTCAGGGACCTTTCTTATCACTGTAACCCTGAACATGGTCTTAATCTTGTGTCATAGAATCTAGGGCTCAGGATCAACCTTCGTTCATTTTCTATAAATGTGACATTTGGAAACTGGGTAGGGGCTTAGCAGTTGGTGGATATGAAGTAAATATATAAGAGTAATCATTAAGAGATCATCTCAGTTTAGTGACCATGATTTTTTCCTCATGGAGGCAGCAAAACACAGCATGGATTCTTACCAGTAGTGTGACCATGGGCAATTTATTTCTCTCTTGGAGGCATCATTTTCTTCATATCTAAAATGAAATGGTAGGTCCAGGTGACTGTTAAGGTCTCTTCTAGCTCTAAGAGTCTGTGTCTACATATAAATGATTTTCTCTGCCAAAGTAGTGTTTTTAGAGTCCTTTTTAATGCCAGAAATGAATACGGCTTCTCTAGTTCTTCTAAGTGGCCATCTATCCTTTGGTGATGGTTAGAAGTAAGCAGAGATCCTGGCTAGAAAGAGAGAGAGGAAAATGTGGACCATGATTTTATTCCTTTTATTCTTGAGAGTTGTCCAATGGGATATTGTCCACTAGTGGATAAGTAGATACTTGCCAATATGCACCTGACCTCTTCTCTTCACTCATAATGGGAATTTAGAAGTATAATACCTGTTATAATCAACTTCCTAATCTCTATCCCTTTTTTGTCACTCTATTTCCTACTGTAACTTCTCTATGAAGTACTATAAGTCTACAGTAACATACTGGTGTTTCCCTTTCCTTATGAAGTTTTATATAGCTACTCCAGTATATCCTAAAATGTTCCTTTTTCTTGCTTTTATAGTGGAGTCTTGCTTGTTGGCCAGGCTGGCCTCAAACTCCTGAGCTCAAGTGATCCTCCCACCTAATAGTAGCTGGGTATTCTTCTGAGTAGGTGGTCCTAAAATGTTTTATTTTCAGCTTATTTCATAGGTATAAGTCTTATTTTCCCAACCAGGCTGAAAACTTTTCAGAATCAGGACTTGTCTTTAGTTTCTCATTTTTTATGAGGGGATGTGGCATTATTGCTTAGGGAATTCAGATATTTCTGATAATAAAGATGCTTTTCTGTTTGTTCATATAAATTAGGGTAAAAGAGGAAGTACAAAACTATCTCAAATCAAGTACAGGACTCTTAATTATTACTAGCTATCTAACAGCTCATAGAAACCGATAAGTTTCTGAACCTAATGCCAAAAAAAAGCAACCTTACCATAAAAAGAAAATCCAAATAAAACTGAAAGAGGCAGTGGGCAGTGCTACCTATGGGAAGAAAACTTTGAAGTGGGAAAAATCTGGATTCACATCCCAGCTTTGCTACTTATTACCTTTGTGTTTTGGCTAAAAATTATCTAACTTTCCTGAAGTTAAGTTTCCTTCTCTGTAAAATGAGGGTTATAATAATATATACAGCATACTCCACAGAAGAGTTGTGAAGATGGAATGAGAAAGCAAATGGCAAAAACTTAGCACAAAGTAGGAGCTCAATCAATCATGGTTAAAAAGAACTTTTATCCATTGTTATTTTTGCTTATATACAGTAAGAATTATCCAATGCAAATGTAATCAGAGCATCTGCAATTGAGCTTTATAAAGTGAATTATAATTCTCATACCATAGTGGTTCTCATCAAGGGTGATTTTTTTCCCCCCAGGGGACATTTGGCAATGTCTAGAGACATTTTACTTGTCACACTGGAAAAGAGGGGGTGCTACTGGCATCTAGTAGGTAGAGAGTAGGAATGATGATAAGCATTCTCTAATGCACAGGACAGCATTCCACAGCAACAAATGATCTGATCCAAAATACCAATAGTGTGGAAGTTGAGAAACCCTACCATAAAGCCTAGGGAGTCCATTACTTCTGACCTAAATTTGTTTTATATTTAAGAGTGGATGTGGATTAAAAGTAGCTTCCATTTTGGTAGGTTATGAAGAGAGTTGTCTAATCTGTGCTTTAGATTCTAATTTTGAGGCATATTTTTAGGCTAAGGCATTGCAATATATAAGGCTTTCTAAGTTTCAGACATTTTCTTGGAGGTCAACAAATGAAGGCTTGGGGATCTATTAACCCACTAGAGTAGTGTAATAATGGTGGTGGTTGTTTATTGAAGACTAACCAAGTGCCAAGTACTCTATAATAATCTGATTTATTTTTCAGCAACTGTATAAGCAGGTATTTTGCTCTCATTTTACACAGGGGAAAACTGGAGCTTAGAGAACTTATGTAACATTACTAGCAAGTTGCACAGCTGGGATTCAAACTGAAATCCAGCTAGCTTCAAAGACTGTGTTCTTTCTGCTGCTGCATACTACCCCTACCTACCAAGGCTCTGAGATTAGAAAGCAGGATGGGTGTGTTTTAAAGGAAATAAGGTAGGAAAGTTTTCAAATATTAGAAACTCTGCACAAGAAGATTAGGTCAAGTTTCCCACTGAGGGGCCCTTGAGTATCTATGAACTCGATGAAAACTCTGAGCTTCTCAGGAAGGTAGACCAAAGGGAAAGGATTCATCAAAATGGATGTTAGCACTATGCCATGTGTATTACTCCATCCTCACACGGCCAAAAGGACATACCTGAGACTGGGTAATTTGTAAGGAAAAAGAGGTTTAAAAAAGTTCTCTTCGATGGCCAAATAGGAACAGCTCCGGTCTACAGCTCCCAGCGTGAGCGACACAGAAGACGGGTGATTTCTGCATTTCCATCTGAGCTACTGCATTCATCTCACTAGGGAGTGCCAGACAGTGGGCCCGGGACAGTGGGTGCAGCACACTTTGCAGGAGCCGAAGCAGGGTGAGGCATTGCCTCACTCAGGAAGCGCAAGGGGACAGGGAGTTCCCTTTCCGAGTCAAAGAAAGGGGTGACAGATGGCACCTGGAAAATCGGGTCACTCCCACCCTAATACTGCGCTTTTCTGACGGGCTTAAAAAACGGCGCACCAGGAGATTATATCCCGCACCTGGCTCGGAGGGTCCTACGCCCACGGAGTCTCGCTGATTGCTAGCACAGCAGTCTGAGATCAAACTGCAAGGTGGCAGCAAGGCTGGGGGAGGGGCGCCAGGCATTGCCCAGGTTTGCTTAGGTAAACAAAGCAGGCGGGAATCTCGAACTGGGTGGAGCCCACAACAGCTCAAGGAGGCCTGCCTGCCTCTGTAGACTCCACCTCTGGGGGCAGGGTACAGACAAACAAAAAGACAGCAGTAACCTCTGCAGACTTAAATGTCCCTGTCTGACAGCTTTGAAGAGAGCAGTGGTTCTCCCAGCATGCAGCTGGAGATCTGAGAACAGGCAGACTGCCTCCTCAAGTGGGTCCCTGACCCCTGACCCCTGAGCAGCCTAACTGGGAGACACCCCTCAGTAGGGGCAGACTGACACCTCACACGGCCAGGTACTCCTCTGAGACAAAACTTCCAGAGGAACGATCAGGCAGCAGCATTCAAGGTTCATGAAAATCCGCTGTTCTGCAGCCACCGCTGCTGGTACCCAGGAAAACAGGGTCTGGAGTGGACCTCTAGCAAACTCCAACAGACCTGCAGCTGAGGGTCCTGTCTGTTAGAAGGAAAACTAACAAACAGAAAGGACATCCACACCAAAAACCCATCTGTACATCACCATCATCAAAGACCAAAAGTAGATAAAACCACAAAGATGGGGAAAAAACAGAGCAGAAAAACTGGAAACTCTGAAAAGCAGAGCACCTCTCCTCCTCCAAAGGAACGCAGTTCCTCACCAGCAACGGAACAAAGCTGGACGGAGAATGACTTTGACGAGCTGAGAGAAGACTTCAGACGATCAAATTACTCCGAGCTACAGGAGGAAATTGAAACCAAAGGCAAAGAAGTTGAAAACTCTGAAAAAAATTTAGAAGAATGTATAACTAGAATAACCAATACAGAGAAGTGCTTAAAGGAGCTGATGGAGCTGAAAACCAAGGCTCAAGAACTACATGAAGAATGCAGAAGCCTCAGGAGCCGATGCGATCAGCTGGTAGAAATGGTATCAGTGATGGAATATGAAATGAATGAAATGAAGTGAGAAGGGAAGTTTAGAGAAAAAAGAATAAAAAGAAACAAAGCCTCCAAGAAATATGGGACTATGTGAAAAGACCAAATCTATGTCTGATTGGTGTACCTGAAATTGACGGGGAGAATGGAACCAAGTTGGAAAACACTCTGCAGGATATTATCCAGGAGAACTTCCCCAATCTAGCAAGGCAGGCCAACATTCAGATTCAGGAAATACAAAGAACGCCACAAAGATATTCCTCGAGAAGAGCAGCTCCAAGACACATAATTGTCAGATTCACCAAAGTTGAAACGAAGGAAAAAATGTTCAGGGCAGCCAGAGAGAAAGGTCGGGTTACCCAGAAAGGGAAGCCCATCAGTCTAACAGCTAATCTCTTGGCAGAAACTCTACAAGCCAGAAGAGAGTGGGGGCCAATATTCAACATTCTTAAAGAAAAGAATTTTCAACCCAGAATTTCATATCCAGCCAAACTAAGCTTCATAAGTGAAGGGGAAATAAAATACTTTACAGACAAGCAAATGCTGAGAGATTTTGTCACCACCAGGCCTGCCCTACAAGAGCTCCTGAAGGAAGCACTAAACATGGAAAGGAACAACAGGTACCAGCCACTGCAAAATCATGCCAAATTGTAAAGACCATCAAGGCTAGGAAGAAACTGCATCAACTAACGAGTAAAATAACCAGCTAACATCATAATGACAGGATCAAATTCACACATAACAATATTAACTTTAAATGTAAATGGACTAAATGCTCCAATTAAAAGACACAGACTGGCAAATTGGATAAAGAGTCAAGAACCATCAGTGTGCTGTATTCAGGAAACCCATCTCACGTGCAGAGACACACACAGGCTCAAAACAAAAGGATGGAGGAAGATCTACCAAGCAAATGGAAAACAAAAAAAGTCAGGGGTTGCAATCCTCGTCTCTGATAAAACAGACTTTAAACCAACAAAGATCAAAAGAGACAAAGAAGGCCATTACATAATGGTAAAGGGATCAATTCAACAAGAAGAGCTAACTATCCTAAATATATATGCACCCAATACAGGAGCATCCAGATTCATAAAGCAAGTCCTGAGTGACCTACAAACAGACTTAGACTCCCACACAATAATAATGGGAGACTTTAACAGCCCACTGTCAACATTAGACAGATCAACGGGACAGAAAGTTAACAAGGATACCCAGGAATTGAACTCAGCTCTGCACCAAGCGGACTTAATAGACATCTACAGAACTCTCCATCACAAATCAACAGAATATACATTTTTTTCAGCACCACACCACACCTATTCCAAAATTGACCACGTGGTTCGAAGCAAAGCTCTCCTCAGCAAATGGAAAAAAACAGAAATTATAACAAACTGTCTCTCAGACCACAGTGCAATCAAACTAGAACTCAGGATTAGGAAACCCACTCAAAACCACTCAACTACATGGAAACTGAACAACCTGGTCCTGAATGACTACTGGGTACATAACAAAATGAAGGCAGAAATAAAGATGTTCTTTGAAACCAACAAGAACAAAGACACAACATACCAGAATCTCTGGGACGCATTCAAAGCAGTGTGTAGAGGGAAATTTATAGCACTAAATGCCCACAAGAGAAAGCAGGAAAGATCCAAAATTGACACCCTAACATCACAATTAAAAGAACTAGAAAAGCAAGAGCAAACACATTCAAAAGCTAGGAGAAGGCAAGAAATAACTAAGATCAGAGCAGAACTGAAGGAAATAGAGACACAAAAAACCCTTCAAATAATTAATGAATCCAGGAGCTGGTTTTTGGAAAGGATCAACAAAATTGATAGACCACTAGCAAGACTAATAAAGAAGAAAAGAGAGTAGAAAAATAAAAAATGATAAAGAGGATATCACCACTGATCCCACAGAAATGCAAACTACCATCAGAGAATACTACAAACACCTCTACACAAATAAACTAGAAAATCTAGAAGAAATGGATAAATTCCTCAACACATACACCCTCCCAAGACTAAACCAGGAAGAGTTGAATCTCTGAATAGACCAATAACAGGCTCTGAAATTGTGGCTATAATCAATAGCTTACCAACCAAAAAGAGTCCAGGCCCAGATGGATTCACAGCCGAATTCTACCAGAGGTACAAGGAGGAACTGGTACCATTCCTTCTGAAACCATTCCAATCAATAGAAAAAGAAGGAATCCTCTCTAACTCATTTTATGAGGCCAGCATCATCCTGATACCAAAGCCTGGCAGAGACACAACCAAAAAAGAGAATTTTAGGCCAATATCCTTGATGAACATTGATGCAAAAATCCTCAGTAAAATACTAGCAAACCGAATCCAGCAGCACATCAAAAAGCTTATCCACCATGATCAAGTGGGCTTCATCCCTGGGATGCAAGGCTGGTTCAATATTTGCAAATCAATAAATGTAATCCAGCATATAAACAGAACCAAAGACAAAAACCACATGATTATCTCAATAGATGCAGAAAAGTTCTTTGACAAAATTCAACAACACTTCATGCTAAAAACTCTCAATAAATTAGGTATTGATGGGACATATCTCAAAATAATAAGAGCTATATATGACAAACCCACAGCCAATATCATACTGAATGGGCAAAAACTGGAAGCATTCCCTTTGAAAACTGGCACAAGACAGGGATGACCTCTCTCACCACTCCTATTCAACATAGTGTTGGAAGTTCTGGCCAGGGCAATTACGCAGGAGAAGGAAATAAAGAGTATTCAATTAGGAAAAGAGGAAGTCAACTTGTCCCTGTTTGCAGATGACATGATTGTATATCTAGAAAACCCCATTGTCTCAGCCCAAAATCTCCTTAAGCTGATAAACAACTTCAGCAAAGTCTCAGGATACAAAATCAATGTGCAAAAATCACAAGCATTCTTATACACCAATAACAGACAAACAGAGCCAAATCATGAGTGAACTCCCATTCACAATTGCTTCAAAGAGAATAAAATAACTAGGAATCCAACTTACAAGGGACATGAAGGACCTCTTCAAGGAGAACTACAAACCACTGCTCAATGAAATAAAAGAGGATACAAAGAAATGGAAGAACATTCCATGCTCATGGATAGGAAGAATCAATATTGTGAAAATGGCCATACTGTCCAAGGTAATTTATAGATTCAATGCCATCCCCATCAAGCTACCAATGACTTTCTTCACAGAATTGGAAAAAACTACCTTAAAGTTCATATGGAACCAAAAAAGAGCCTGCATCGCCAAGTCAATCCTAAGCCAAAAGAGCAAAGCTGGAGGCATCACACTACCTGACTTCAAACAATACTACAAGGCTACAGTAACCAAAACAGCATGGTACTGGTACCAAAGCAGAGATATAGATCAATGGAACAGAACAGAGCCCTCAGAAATAACACTGCATGTCTACAACTATCTGATCTTTGACAAACCTGAGAAAAACAAGCAATGGGAAAAGGATTCCCTATTTAATAAATGGTGCTGGGAAAACTGGCTAGCCATATGTAGAAAGCTGAAACTGGATCCCTTCCTTACACCTTATACAAAAATTAATTCAAGATGGAGTAAAGACTTAAATGTTAGACCTAAAACCATAAAAACCCTAGAAGAAAACCTAGGCATTATCATTCAGGACATAGGCATGGGCAAGGACTTCATGTCTAAAACACCAAAAGCAATGGCAACAAAAGCAAAAATTGACAAATGGGGTCTAATTAAACTAAAGAGCTTCTGCACAGCAAAAGAAACTACCATCAGAGTGAACAGGCAGCCTACAAAATGGGAGAAAATTTTCGCAACCTACTCATCTGACAAAGGGATAATATCCAGAATCTACAATGAACTCAAACAAATCTACAGGAAAAAAACAAACAACACCATCAAAAAGTGGGCAAAGGACATGAACAGACACTTCTCAAAAGAAGACATTTATGCAGCCAAAAAACACATGAAAAAATGCTCACCATCACTGGCTATCAGAGAAATGCAAATCAAAACCACAATGAGATACCATCTCACACCAGTTGTTAGAATGGCGATCATTAAAAAGTCAGGAAACAACAGGTGCTGGATAGGATGTGGAGAAATAGGAACACTTTTACACTGTTGGTGGGACTGTAAACTAGTTCAACCATTGTGGAAGTCAGTGTGGCGATTCCTCAGGGATCTAGAACTAGAAATACCATTTGACCCAGCCATCCCATTACTGGGTATATACCCAAATGACTGTAAATCATGCTGCTATAAAGACACATGCACACTATGTTTATTGCGGCACTATTCACAATAGCAAAGACTTGGAACCAACCCGAATGTCCAACAATGATAGACTGGATTAAGAAAATGTGGCACATATACACCACGGAATACTATGCAGCCATAAAAATGATGAGTTCATGTCCTTTGTAGGGACATGGATGAAATTGGAAATCATCATTCTGAGTAAACTATCGCAAGAACAAAAAACCAAACACCGCATATTCTCACTCATAGGTGGGAATTGAACAATGAGAACACATGGACACAGGAAGGGGAACATCACACTCTGGGGACTGTTGTGGGGGTGGAGGAGGGGGAAGGGATAGCTTTAGGAGATATACCTAATGCTAAATGACGAGTTAATGGGTGCAGCACACCAGCATGCCACATGTATACACATGTGACTAACCTGCACATTGTGCACATGTACCCTGAAACTTAAAGTATAATAATAATAAAAGAAAAAAAAAGAAAAAGAGGTTTAATGGACTCACAGTTCCACATGGCTGGTGAGGCCTCACAGTCATGGTAGAGGGTGAATGAGGAGCAAAAGCATGTCTTGCATGGCGGCAGAAAAGAAAGCATGTGCAGGGGAACTGCCCTTTATAAAACCATCAGATCTCATGAGACTTATTCACTGTCATGAGAACAGCACAAGAAAAACCTGCCCCCATGATTCAATTACCTTCCACCAGCTCCCTCTCATGACACATGCGGATTATGGGAGGTGCAATTCAAGATGTGATTTGTATGGGGACACAGCCAAACCATATCACCATGACATACAATTTGCCGATTCAGCAACAGTTTTCAGGTCTTCTATTTTTAAGCCTAATGCAATATATTTTATGAATTCTTCCTATTTATGTTTTTCCTTTTAAATAAGTTCTACTATCTTAACTATCACTTTCAAATATAATGCAAGCTACATATGCCATTTTAAATTTTTTAGTAGTTACATTTAAAAAGAGGGTGAAATTAATTTTAACAAAGTAGGTTATTTATCCCAATATATCCAAACTATTATCATTTTGACATGTAGTGAAGCTAATAAAAGCATTCATTGTTAATGATCTATCTCTTACATTATTTTTTCCTAATAAATCTTCAGAATCTGGGTGTGCATTTTAACTTTCCAGCACATCTCAACTGGGATGTGAAATTTTCAGCAATTAAAGTGAAATATAGCCCTATCAAAACTATTAATGTTGCATTTAGGAAAAAGATATTTTTCACTCTTTTTATTTTTAAATTTGAGTTTAAATTAATTAAAATGGAATAAAATTTAAAATTCAATTCTCTGTCACACTAGCCACATTTCAAGTGCTCAATACCTACGAAAGACCCATGGCTACCATATTGGACAGCACAGATCTAAGCTCTTATTGCTCAGAATGTGGTCCCCAGAGCAGAATCAACAGCATCTGTGAACTTATCAAAAGTGCAGTATTTCAGTTCACACCTACTGAATCTGCATTTTAACACAATCCCCAGGTGATGCTTGTTCACATGAAAGTTGTGTCTCTCTAAATCGCAGATCTTTTCAACAAAGAGCCCAGAAAAAGCACATGAATCAATAACTGTGAGGAATAAGGAAACTTGCCACAGGAGAATGGTGCCAGGGTTGGCATTAATGATGTGCTCTGGTGAAAAGTCGTAGGTTTCCCACAAAGGCAACCATGGCTATTCTATTGTTTGAACTGACACAGAGCCATTCTAGAGCTTGGAGTTGGCTCTGCTCCCAGAATCTACATCAAAGAATCTAACACTAACTTCCATGACTACCACAATTAAGGCAGCTGCACACCCCACCACTATATATATTTGAAATTGCAACTTTAGAACCCCTGTAACACAGCCGTGAGCATGTTTCTGCTATACACAAGTGGAATTTAAGGTCGAACCTCCCTGGGAGACCCCAGGAAGATCACCCACAAGAGTGGCTTTTGTTGTCTGCCTCACTGTCATCCTCTGAGAGCTAACACAGACACAGTCAACATCCTCTTATATGGAGGTTGGCCCAGATGCCCCTGGGGATTCAATGTATTCTGCTTCACCTCACTAATCCTTATTTGGTTTGTTTTTCACAGAACTCAGTATTTGATGGGCCTTTCAATATTTTCCTTTAAGGAATTCATTGTACTAATATAACATAGAAGCTCATTGTTCTAATAAGTGGTCCCCAATGTTGGCTGCACATTAGAATCACCTGGGGCATTTTGAAAAATACCAATGCCCAGGCATCACCCCAATCTAATTAAATTAAACCTGTGGAAGGTATTTTGTTAAAGATCCCCAAGTGATTACAATGTGCAGCCAGAGTTGAAATCCACTGGTCCAATTAGAAGGAGGCCTTAGCTAGCGGTCAGGTGCCCAAGGAAAGGCATCTCAAGTTTTAATGCGCATACAGATAGCTTGGGATTTGTTAAAATGCAGATTCTGATCCAGTAGGTATGGGTGGAAATAAACCCATGTTTGTGTACAGATGTTTCTCTTGTGGTATGTGGTTGGTAATCATCCTCAGTATGTTTCCATTTCCGGCAAACTGGGTTGAGTTGATGACCCTATTCTTACTCCTCCCTGAAACCTTTGTCTCTCCCTCAGGCTCCCAGTTCTCATTAATCACTACTTTCTGTGATATTCTGAAGCAATTATTATCTTTAACTGCCTTTTTTCATTAGCTACTTCTCTATCTGCTTATGTACGTGAGTTATTTCCTCTACTGGATTACGATCTTCAAGGTAGATCCAAATATCATGTCATTTTTATAATTCTCACTGCACCTAAAGAGTGCCTTACACACAAATGCCACTTGTTGATTAATTGAAACAGGGAATAGCTGATGTGATCATCTCAAAAAATATCCAAAAGACTTAAAAATGCAAGATATTTTTCTTTGTTGGACAGAAAAAGAAAGTTTAGATAGGCAAGGGGGTAGGAGATATTGAGGCTTTCAATTTTTATTTCACTCGGTACATATTTAAATTTTGAAGAATTATTTTGTAATTTAGTGATTTTAATTATTTGTTGGGAATAGGGCACTATTGACATTTTGGACTAGATCATTCTTTGTTGTGGCTGTCATCCTGTGCATTGTAATATGTTTCACAGCATCCCTGGCCTCAACCCACTAGATGCCAGTATCACCCTTTACCCCAGTCTTGAGAACCAAAAATGTCTCCAGTCATTGCAAAATGTCTCCTGGGAAACTCATTCATGGTTGAGAACCCTTAGTTTAGAAAAATGGAAGTGTGACACAGCTGTCTTACCGCACTAATATAGACCTGAAAAAAATAAAAAATTAAAAACATGCACATAAGAGAATGACAAGCTATGTTCTGAGCAATATGTGTATATATAAATATTAATATAAAAATGTTCTCTGTTCCTGCGTTTTGGAGGCCATGTGCTTGTAGACCATATTTATCTTTGTATTTGTCATCTTGGTCATTCTCTTTATAAAAATAGAGGTATATTGCATGCCAATGCTCCTCAGCTTATGAGGTTACATCCCAATAAGCCTGTTGTAAATTTAAAAAATCATAAGTTAGAAATGTCAAAACTTGAAAATGCATTTAATACCCTGATAAACACATCATAAAGTTGAAAAATCCTAAGTCAATCCATCATGAGTCAGGAACTATTTGTATATGAAACATTTTTAAAATCTGAACATAGACTTAGGAATTTTAATATGTAGTGGTAGTAATTCCACCAAGCAAGAGAATACATAGAGCAAAAATCATTAAGAAACAGTGACTGAGATGATTCTCATTCTCAGGAAACTGGTCCAGCCCCTTTACATAAAATATTCTGTTCAGTGTGCTGTGATCCTTGGACTGAATATACTGTTTTAGCAAGCAGAGTTGTTAAGCTAAAGCCTGCACATCAACAGGTGTTCAATGTCTGCTGAATAAATGAAGAATGAATGAATATTAACTGCACCTCTAAACCCTAAAATTAAAAAGCTTTAATGTGCTCATCACAAAAGACCCTATTTTGTTGCATTTGAAATTTCAAGCTTCAAAAATGAAATTACATGCAAAAGTATATTATCATCAATGAGAATAAATGGCCTCAACAAAATTACAAGATAGAAAACAAAGTTTCATTTGTCAGTTGGTTTCTTCTGGCAATAGAAGGCTCCCCTTAGACTTCATTAGCTTCAGATATTTCAGTGACAGAAATTTAATGTTGGCAAAGCATTGCTATACTTTCAGGCTTGGATTGGAATGCCCCACATTTACTTTTTCCTACCATTCCTGGCTAAAAACTTGAATGTGAGAACCAGACACAAGGCTCTAGTGGTAGCAAGCAGAATGTCTCCTAAGCTCCAAGGGGAAAAAATGATATAAGTCAGTGGTTCCCAAATTAACCATCAAATGCTACCCATTAAAATCACTGGGGAACTTTTAAAAATTAAATGCCCAACTAACAACAAACTGTATGAAAAAGAAATTTAGAAAACAATCCTATTTTTAAAAGCAGCAAAAAAGTAAAATACTTAGGAGTAAATTTAACCAAGGAAGGGAAATATCTGTTTACTGAAAACTATGAAATGTTGATGAAAGAAATTGAAGATGGTAAAAATAAATGAAAAGATAAATATGTATGGATTGGAAGAATTAATATTGTTAAGAGATCTATACTACCCAAAGCAATCTATAGATTCAATGCAATCCTATCAAAATTCCAAAGTCATTCTTTATAGCAGTAGAAAAAAATCATAAAATTCATATGGAACCACAAAAGACTCTGAATAGCCAAAGCAATCTTGACCAAAAAGAGCAATGCTGGAAGCATCACATTATCAGATTTCAAAATATATTACAAAGCTACAATATTCAAAATAGCATGCTACTGGCATTAAAACAGATCTATCAACTACTGAAACAGAATAGTGAGCCCAGAAATAAACCCACACATCTATGATCAATTGATTTTCAACAAAGATACCAAGAACACACAATGGGGAAAGACAGTGTCTTCAATAAATGGTGCTGAGAAAACTGGAAATCCACATGCTGAAGAATGAAATTAGATCCTTATCTCATCCCTTATACAAGAATCAACTCAAAATAGATTAAAGACTTAAACATAAGCCCTGAAACTATAAAACTAATGCAGAAAATATAGGGGGAAATCTACATGATATTAATCTAGGCAGAAGTTTCATGGATATGACCTCAAAAGCACAGACAACAAAAGCAAAAATAGACAAATGGCATTGCATCAGACTAAAAAACTTCTGTACAGCAGATGAAGCAACAAATAGAGTGAAGAGACAACCTACAGATTAGGAGAAAATATTTGCAAATCATATATTAGATAAGGGGTTAATATTCCAAAAGGTACAAGGAAATCAAACTACTCAATAACAAGAAAGCCAATTACCCTATTAAAATATAGGGATAGCATTGGGAGATACACCTAATGCTAGATGACGAGTTAGTGGGTGCAGTGCACCAGCATGGCACATGTATACATATGTAACTAACCTGCACAAGGTGCACATGTACCCTAAAACTTAAAGTATAATAATAATTTTTTTTAAAAAAAAGCAAAAATTAAAAAAAAAAAAAAAATATATATATATATATAGGCAACAAACTTAAATAGACATTTCTCAAAAGAAGCAAGTATCACCCTGATTTAAAACCTGGCAAAGACACAATGAGAAAACAAACTACAGGCCAACATCTCTGATGAACATAGACACAAAAATCCTTGACAAAATACTAGCAAACTGAATACAGCAGCACATCAAAAAGTTAATTTGCCATGATAAACTAGTGTGTTAGGGTGTTCTAGCATGCTATTAAAAAATACCCAAGACTGAGTAATTTATAAAGAACAAAGGCTTAATTTGTTCATGGTTCTGCAGCCTGTACAAGCATGGTGCCAGCACCTGGCCAGCTTCTGGGGAAGCCTCATGAAATTTTTATTCATGGCAGAAGGTGAAACAGGAACAGGCACATCACACAGGGGAAGCAGGAGTAAGAGAGAGTGTGAGGGAGGTGCCACACACTTAAACAATCAGGTCTCACAAGTACTCACTCACTACTGCAAGGACAGCACCAAGCCATAAGGGCCCACCCCCATGATTCAAACACCTCCCACCAAGACCCACCTCCAACATTGGGCATTATATGTCAACATGAGATTTGAACAGATACAAATATTCAAACTATATCAAGTAGGCTTCCTTCTTGGGATTCAAGGTTGGTTCAACATACACAGATCAATAAATCTGACTCACCACATAAACAGAATTATAAACAAAAACCACATGATTTCAATAGGTGTGGGAAAAGCTTTTGATAAAATCCAACCTCCCTTCATGTTAAAAAAAAAAAAAAAAACCTTAAGAAACTAGGCGGCCGGGCGCGGTGGCTCACACCTGTAATCCCAGCACTTTGGGAGGCCGAGGTGGGCGGATCACGAGGTCAGGAGATCGAGACCATCCCGGCTAAAACGGTGAAACCCAGTCTCTACTAAAAATACAAAAAATTAGCCGGGCGTAGGGGCGGGCGCCTGTAGTCCCAGCTACTTGGGAGGCTGAGGCAGGAGAATGGCGTGAACCCGGGAGGCGGAGCTTGCAGTGAGCCGAGATCCCGCCACTGCACTCCAGCCTGGGCGACAGAGCAAGACTCCGTCTCAAAAAAAAAAAAAAAAAGAAACTAGGCATTGAAGGAATATTTCTCAAAATAGTAAGAGCCATCTGTGACAAACCCACAACAACATAATAATAAATGGGCAAAAACTGGAAGCGTTCCCCTTGAAGACAAGAAAAGGATGCCTTTTCTCACCTGTTGTATTCATGACAGTACTTGAAGTGCTAGCCAGAGCAATCAGGTAAAAGAAAGAAATAAAAGACATCAAAATAGAAAAAGAAGAAATCAAACTACCTCTCTTTACTGACTATATAATTCTATGCCTAGAAAAACCTAAAGGCTCCACCAAAAAAGCTCTTGGAACTGATAAACAACTTCAGTAAAGTTTCTGGATACAAAATCAATGTGCAAAAATCAGTAGCATTTCTATACAGCAATAGTGTTCACATTGAGAGCCAAACCAAGAATGTAATCCCATTTACAGTAGCCACAAAAGAAATAAAGTACAACTAGGGATACATCTAACCAAGGAGATGAAAGATCTCATAATGCTGCACAAGTACAGCCATTTAATCTTCAACAAAGATGACAAAATTAGCAATGGGGAAAGGACTCTCTAGTCAGTAAATGGTACTGGGATAAATGTAAATGTCAGTAAATGGCTAGTCAGTAAGTGATACTGACTAGCTATATGTAGAAGAATGAAACTGGACCCCTACCTTTCACCATATACAAAAATTAACTCAGGATGGATTAATTATTCAAATGTAATATCTCAAACTATAAGAATGTAATATTCAAATATATCTCAAATGATATACAAACTATAAGATATATATTATATCTCAAGCTATATACAAACTATAAGAATGTAATATTCAAATGTAATATCTCAAACTATAAGAATCCTATAAGAAAACCTAGGAAACACCATTCTGGACATCAGCCTTGGAAAAGAATTTATGACTGAGTTCTCAAAAGCAATTTCAACAAAAACAAAAACTGACAAGTTTTTCTGTGTAGAAGCTCTTAGTTTAAGAAAAAGAAACCAGCAACAGAGTAAACAGCCTACAGAATGGGTGAAAATCTTCACAAACTGTGCTTCCAACCAAGATCTAATATCTGGCGTCTGTTAGGAACTTAAACAATTGAGCAAACAAAAAACAACCCCATTTAAAAATGGGCAAGCAGCATGAACAGACAGTTCTCAAAAGAAGGCATATAAACAGCTAACAAACATGAAAAAATGTCTCACATCACTAATCATCAGAGAAATGCAAATCAAAACCACAATAATATGCTATATCACACCAGTCAGAATAGCTATTATCAAAAAGTCAAAAACAACAGACGCTGGCAAGGCTGCAGAAAAAAAAGTGAACGCTCATACACGGTTGCTGGGAATGTAAGTTAGTTCAGCCACTGTGAAAAGCAGTTTGGAGATTTCTCAAAGAACTTGAAACAGAGTTACCATTCAACCCAGCAATCCCACTGGGTATATATCCAAAAGAAAGTACATTGTTTCTTTTGGATATTGTTCTACCCAAAAGACACATACACTCACATGTTCATTACAACACTGTTCGCAATAGCAAAGACATGGAATCAACCTAGGTGCCCAACAAAGGTGGATTGGATTAAAAAATGTGGTACATGTCCACCATGGGATACTACACAGCAATAAAAAAGAATGAAATCATGTCCTTTGCAGCAACATGGATGCAGCTGGAGGCCATTATACTAAGTGAGGTAATACAGGAACAGAAAACCAAATACTGCATGTTTTTACTTATAAGTGGGAGCTAAACATTGGGTAAACATGGATATAAAGGTGGCAACAATAGAAACTGGGGACTAACAGAGTAGGGAGGTAGGGAGCAGAGAGAGGACTAAAAAACTATTAGGTACTATGCTCATTCCCTGGGTGATGGGATCAATCATACCCCAAACCTCAGCATCGTGTGATATACCCAGGTAACAAACCTGCACATTTGTTCCCTGAATCTAAAATAAAAGTTGAAATTACAATTTTTAAAAGGATAGAAACTAGTCATCAGCGTGTTTTTTAATTTTCCAGGTGACTCTAACATTCAATAATTATTTTAAATAATTATTTCTGTCTGTAGACCTTCTGCCAGCTACTAAGTTTCAGGAATTTTGATGGTCTCATTAAAGAGAACCTGACAACCCCACTTACAAGTGCTTCAGCTAAGTTTCATTTATAATATTTTCATATTGCCAAGGATCCAGTAGTGTCTTTTTTACAGTGAGTTACAAATTCCTGTTTTTGTGACAGTGACAGGCCAAAATTAATGAGCTGTGATTTTTAAACTGAAAAAGTGACTGTCCAATAGAGGCTAAAAAGAAAACTAAAATTATATTTTGTCAATTTTAGTGTTAAGTGTGATTTTTTGCTTTGTATGTTTTAGATAGTTTTTTTATTGAGATAAAACCCAAATAGCATAAAATCCACCTTTTTAATCTCAAAGTGGTTTTTGGTATATTCACAATGTTGTGCAACAATCACTACTATCTAACTCTAGAACATTTTCATTACTTCCTCATGGAACCCTGTACCCATTAGTAGTCACTCCCAGTTTCCCATTCACCTCATTTCCTGGCAACCACTAATCTACTTTTCTGTCTCTCTGTATGTGACTATTCTTAACATTTCATGTAAATCAGATACTATAATATGTGGCCTTTTATGTCTGACTTCTATCACATAGCAACATATTTTCAAGGTCATTCGTGTTGTAGCATGTATCAGTATTTTATTCCTTTTTAAGACAATACTTTATTATAGGATTATACCACATCTTTTTTATCCACTCATCAGTTGATGGACCTTTGAGTTGTTTCTACTTTTCTGTTATTTTAAATAATGCTGTTATGAGCATTCTTGCACATGTTTTTGTGTGATCATATGTGTTTGCTTCTCTGGGCATATACCTAGGAGCAGAATTGCAGGGTCATATGGTAACTCTGTATTTAACATTTTGAGGAACCCCCAAATTGCTTTCCCCAGTAGCTATACCATTTTACATTCTGAACAGAAGTGTGTGAGGGTTTCTATTACTTCACATCCTCTTGCTTTCTATTTTAATTATTTAATTATTTAATTTAATTATCTAAGATGCCTTTTACCCTAACCAACCAGAAAATAAACTTGACTGAATTTAGTGCTAATTGTTTTTGCATAGTCATTCAGTATAATTGTCTTTGACATCTCAAAACACTGCTTATGCAGAATACACTTTTTTAAAACAGTGAAATCATAGCAATTCTATTTCCTAAGTCAGTTCTTCTTCAGGGTAGTAAGTTATAGGTCTTTGAGGTCATGTTCCTGTTTCCATCTTCCAAAAGGCAACATTATTAAAATCTTGTTGCTGTATCTGCCTTGGCATATCCCCCTCTCTATCCAGAGAAAAGATCACTGACAGAATAGTGTCCCCACCTTTCTATCTTAGAGGTCTCATTACGAGTCAGTATGCTTTTAAAAGAATTAATGGATAAAGAGCTAGACATCAAGAAGAAGAGAGAAAATTTTAAATAAGACAGAGGAGTGTATGATCACTCTTTCTAAGATGATTAAATGAAATAATTTGAAAGGCAATAAACTAACTGCACCAAGTAAATCTTGTGAAAGCGAAAGGAAAGAGGAGAAGGAAGATTTGAGTGCTGAAAACCAGGATAAATTGTATTCAACCACCAGCATTAAGGGAAGTTATACAATACATTTTATGAAGAAAGTGTTCCATGAAAATAAAACAACAAAAAGAAAGTTTGGTGAAGGTTTAAATGATAAATGCCAATAGTAGTATATGTGCAATTATCTACTGACACTGCTATACAAATGAGCTATCTATATAGGCTGTGACCACATAACCTCACCTGCCAAACCACAGTACTATAAATAAATACTTTTCCCAGACACTACAGAGCTCAGTTGACTTGAGATTCATCTTATGGTAACTGGAAATGTAGACTGTGCCTTTATTTGGGTCAATCCTACAATTTTCTTTAATGTACCAGCAATTCATTATTTAAAGTTTACTAGAGTTTAATTTAAAATTATAAAAAAGGAAGAAATTGGCTGGGTATGGTGGCTCACGCCTGTAATCCCAGCACTTTGGGAGGCCAAGGCGGGAAGATCATGAGGTCAGGAGATCGAGACCCTCCTGGCCAAAATGGTGAAACCCAGTCTCTACTAAAAATACAAAAATTACCTGGGCATGGTGGCACACGCCTGTAGTCCCAGCTACTCAGGAGGCTGAGGCAGGAGAATCGCTTGAACCTGGGAGGCGGAGGTTGCAGTGAGCCAAGATCTCACCACTGCACTCCAACTTGGTGACAGAGCGAGACTCCATATAAAAAAAAAAGGAAGAAATTAATAGTTCAGGTGAGAACTTGTGAATTTTTATTCTCAACTCTAAGCTAGTAAGTGCTTAAATAGAAGACTTTACAACGAGCTGTACCTTCTTAATTCTACAGAGAATCATGAGGAAAATCAAATATAAATGTGAATTTCTTATGTTCAGTATTGTCCAAAAAGAAAATATTTTATTAAATTTTTTGTCAGTTGCCATCATTATTTAAAGCCTTCCTGCCAGTAGCCTATACTATTTTTGGAATGGAGTGTTTGCAGTTTCATAACCACTTGATAACACCATAGGTTAAAAAAAAAGTCTACCAGTCTTTTTCAGATGGCCTCTTTGACAATGCATTATTTATAGGGAAGTTCAGTTACTTTTAACAATAAAGACAAGCCAAAAGAAATTACAGATCTCTTTTACCATATTTTGATATACTAGCAGCATCCACTCAGGACAGGACCTTTATTAAAAGGGGGCTTAAGGTACTTTTAATTGGAGGAATTACTGAATTCCTGAAGCTCTTCAAACAAAATAGCACTTGGGATATGACAAGAGTACTTTGGAGAAGGCTGCTTGGTCCCAAAGCAGAGATTCAAGAGGAGGACTCCAGCTAGCTGGGTAAGGGGTTCCTTCCTCTCAACCTAAGTGTTTATGTAAGCCTGCTGGGGGCCAGGAACTGCGTAAAACTCAGTAAGCTCAGTACTTCTCAGCACAGAATCCAGTCCCAAGGAAGCACCCAGCAAAAATTTAGGTTGAATTTTCTTTAAAATAAAATAAAGAAAAAAGTAAAATTAAAAAAAAAATACAATTCAACTACTCAGCCCATTCCATTCCGGGTAGTTTTGGCTCAGAATGCTGGAAGAGTTGGATAGGCTATTAGTGAGAGAACTCAAAACTCCCCAAACTCCACTTCATTACTCTTCCTTTATATTTTTTCTGAAAAGAGTATTGCCAATATATCAATAAAGCTTTTTGCTATGACTTCAGAGTGCCCAGGTCACTAGGGAAAAGTATCAAGTAGCATCCTGAATCCACAAATCCTTTGAGAGCCAGCCACACAGTATCTGCGTGAGTGTGGTAATTCTCTACCCTTACGAGTGTCATCACAGAATTGCAGCATTCTCTTTTCATTGTTTCTCAGGAAAACATAGACAAAGGCTCTGCTTGGATTTTTTTAATTTAACACTAATATGTAATAATATAGCAACATCTCCTAGTTATCTAGAACTCAGGCTTTGATAGCTGTGACTGTCTAGAATACAACCACAGAAAATCACCTCTGAACAGTGAGGGAAATAGCTGCCACAGTATCACCACCTACTCCAAGCTTGAACCTCTCAACCCGCAACCAACAGACTGCAAGTAGTTCAGTACAGCTTTGAATGCAGCCCAAGACAAACTCGTAAACCTTCTTAAAACATTATGAAATTTTTTTGCAACTTGTTCATCAGCTATCGTTAGTGTTAGTATATTTTTTGTGTTGCTCAAGACAAGTCTCTTCTTCCAGTGTAGCCCAGGAAAGCCAAAAGATTGGACACCTATACTTTGGATGTTTCATCTAGTACCGATATACTTATAATTACATGTTTCAACTAGTACTAATGAACTTATAGTTACAGGATGAAATTTCAAATTAGCAATGTTCATCATTTGCTCTTCCTAGGTAACAACAGTTAACAAATCATAGGTTGACAATCACAACTGATTGTGAGGATGGAAATAATAACAATGAGCATTTATATAATGCTTACTCTATACCAGGCACTTTTCTAAGAACTTTACATAGATTAGCTCACTTAATCTTTACAATAACCCTGTGACATACCATTATTATCCCCATTTTACAGGTGAGGAAACTGAAGAAGTTAAGTAATTTGCCCAAGATTACAGATTGTATGTGATTGAGGTAGGATTTGAACTCAGCAGTCTGGCACCAAAATCAGCACTCTCAGCCTCTACCCAGTATTATCAAAAGTAATTTCCTGGTAGCTTCTTTCAATTGTCATGGCAACTCTCAAGATAAAGAATTATTGTTTTTAATAAATAATGTCATTCCCAGAAATGAATTATGTGTGAATCATACTAAGCTGCAGTGAGAGAATGAATATCACCATCACAGTGGTGAATCTACTTAGTGTAGGGGTAAAAGGCCAGTCTCTCCCAGCAGCCCTGCACATAGGTACACCGTAATTCACTAGGATAATCCCTGATCGCCATGCTGTCATAAAAAAACGTTAAATGATGTTTAACAGGTTTCATTAATGATTCAGAGAATCTTATAATATGTCTTAGGAAAAATAATTTCAGGAGTAACTTTCAGTTAGCTAGACAATACAGTTCTGTTGAGCATCTCATAATCTATGCCAGACAAAGGAAACATTCTTGCCTTTCTTTGAGGGAATTATAGACCAACAATTTTATTAATTTTCAACTTTCATCGAGGCAAGATTAGCTTCATGAACAATGTTTCTCAAACTGAAAGTAGTGACCTGTATTAGTAAATCAATTTATAGGGTTGCAAGCAGCATCATTTATAAACTGAAATCAGAATTCATTGCAGGCAGTAATTTTGAGACATTTTATTTTACATGTGCGTGTGTATATCTATCATATAAATAAGTATGTGAGAACATTTTAAAACATTTAAAATATATTTATATATCTAAAGTTTAAATGTAAATATATATTTATATTAATAATATAATTAATATGAATTAATAACATATTAATTCATATTAACTTATATTAATTTATATTAACAATATGTAAACAATATATTAATTAGTAATATATTATACTAATATTAGTATGTATTAATATATTATTATAATATATTATATATTAATTAATATATTATATATTGTATATTATATATTAATTAATATATTATATATTGTATATTATATATTAATAACATACTATTATTAATATTTTAAATATATTTTAATATACTTAAATTTATACTTAAAATTTACATATACATATAAATAATTTTCCTGAAAGTCACTTTCAAAAACTTTGAAAGCCACCAGTGCAGTGGTTAAGAATACAAATTTTGGGCTGGGCATGGTGGCTCACACCTGTAATCCCAACACTTTGGGAGGCCGAGGTGGGTGGATCCCGAGGTCAAGAGATTGAGACCATCCTGGCCAACATGGTGAAACATTGTCTCTACTAAAAATATAAAAATTAGCTGGGCACGGTGGCACGCACCTGTAGTCCCAGCTATGCAGGAGGCTGAGGCAGGAGAATCACTTGAACCCAGGAGGTGGAGGTTGCAGTGAGCCGAGATCATGGCACTGCATTCCAGCCTGGCGACAGAGCGAGACTGCATCTCAAAAAAAAAAAAAGAATACAAATTCTGAAGCACAGCTGTTGAGTTGGAATCATGGCTGTGCCACTTAATAACCAAGTGACTTTGGGCCAGTTATTTTACTTCTCTATGCCTCAGTGTCATCTATTCAGTAGTGAGAATAATAGTACCTAACTCATTCTAGTTTTGAGAATGAACACTTTTTATATTACATATAAAATGTGTAGGACAGAGACCCCAAAGAAGCCGTAGTTGCTGTCATATTGTTATTCTGTTCCTGCTTAAGAAGGGGACTTGGAAAAATAATGATGTTGAATGCAGTAACTTCTTTCACTCATGGAAGAATTACATATTCACATCTTCTTTGCTCATCAAACCTTTGAAGATCATGCATGTCTCATTCTGTAACATCGCCTTAACCAAATATAAAGGCTAAATACAAAGGTGTTTTTAAATAACTGATACATTTAGGCCAGTCACACAAAGATTTTACCCAAAGCCTATGCAGGCATAGTCCAAGAAGTAGACTTGTTCTACTGCAATCACCATCTCTTGTTTATTATTTGTGAAAGGAACATTATGGTTTCACCACAGTTGGCCTGGCCAACGTGCTTATGCAGTCCTCAGAACATATGAAAGTGATTTCGGCTGACAATAAGTATTTCCTCACTTTGGCTTATGTTCAATAATAGCCATTCTTTATCCAGATCAGGGTGACTGAGCATGCTGTAACCATTCTTCTCTTCTAAAACTGACCCTTGTTTGACTGCATATGCAGATTGCTTAGCAGAACCCATATCCACCATAACGGGCCAAAAGTCATTTGATCCAATGTGCTTTTCTTTTTTTTTCTTTTTTTTTTAATTCCATGAAATTTTATTAAGATAAATTAATTATAAACATTGCAAAACACTTTTTTTTTTAGACAGAGTCTCACTATGTCACCCAGGCTGGGGTGCAGTGACACGATCTCAGCTCACTGCAACTTCCGACTCCCAGGTTCAAGTGATTCTTGTGCCTCAGCCTCTCTGAGTAGCTGGGATTACAGGTATGCCCCACCAGACCTGGCTAATTTTTGTATTTTTAGTAGAGACGGAGTTTCACTATGTTGGACAGGCTGGCCTCGAACTCCTGGCCTCAGGTAATCCACCCGCCTCAGCCTCCCAAAGTGCTGGAATTACAGGTGTGAGCCACTGCTCCCAGCCCCAAACATGATTTTTTGATTGAATGCTTAATGTCTTTCTATTATTATTATTTTTTTTTATTATACTTTGTTCTGGCATGCATGTGCACAACGTGCAGATTTGTTACATAGGCATACATGTGCCATGTTGGTTTGCTGCACCCATTAAAAATTAATTCAAGATGGATTAAAGACTTAAATGTTAGGCCTAAAACCATAAAAACCCTAGAAGAAAACCTAGGCAATACCATTCAGGAAATAGGCATGGGCAAAGACTTCATGACTAAAACACCAAAAACAATGGCAACAAAAGCCAAAATTGGCAAATGGGATCTAATTAAACTAAAGAGCTTCTGCACAGCAAAAGAAACTACCAGCAGAGTGAACAGGCAACCTACAGAATGGGAGAAAATTTTTGCAATCCGCCCATCTGACAAAGGGCTAATATCCAGAATCTACAAAGAACTTCAATAAATTTACAAGAAAAAAAAAAAACCATCAAAAAGTGGGCAAAGGATATAAACAGACACTTCTCAAAAGAAGACATTTATGCAGCCAACAGACACATGAAAAAATGCTCATCATCACTGGTCATCAGAGAAATGCAAATCAAAACCACAATGAGATACCATTTCACACCAGTTAGAATGGCGATCGTTAAAAAGTCAGGAAACAACAGATGCTGGAGAGGATGTGGAGAAATAGGAACGCTTTTACACTGTTGGTGGGAGTGTAAATTAGTTCAACCATTGTGGAAGACAGTGTGGCAATTCCTCAAGGATCTAGAACTAGAAATACCATATGACCCAGTGATCCCATTACTGGGTATATACCCAAAGGATTATAAATCATGCTACTATAAATACACATGCGGCCGGGCGTGGTGGCTCATGCCTGTAATCCCAGCACTTTGGGAGGCTGAGGCAGGCAGATCACAAGTTCAGGAGATCGAGACCATCCTGGCTAACATGGTGAAACCCCATCTCTACTAAAAATACAAAAAATTAGGCAGGCGCAGTGGCGGGCGCCTGTAGTCCCAGCTACTCGGGAGGCTGAGGCAGGAGAATGGCATGAACCCGGGAGGCGGAGCTTGCAGTGAGCCGAGATAGCGCCACTGCAGTCCAGCCTGGGCAAAAGGGCAAGACTCCGTCTCAAAAAAAAAAAAAAAAAAAAAGACATATGCACACGTACGTTTACTGCAGCACTATTCACAATAGCAAAGACTTGGAACCAACCCAAATGTCCATCAGTGATAGACTGGATAAAGAAAGTGTGGCACATATACACCATGGAATACTATGCAGCCATAAAAAAGGATGAGTTCACGTCCTTTGCAGGGACATGGATGAAGCTGGAAACCATCATTCTCAGCAAACGATCACAAGAGCAGAAAACCAAACACCACATGTGTGTTCCAACTTAACTCATTGTTCTTAGTGATAATTCACTTAGGGGCAAAGTTAGGCTCTCTTGTTAATTGCAACATTCCTTTCAGAGGTGCTATAAATGGATGTTGAACTATACTATTTTTAGATTTAATCTTTAAAAATCATAAGAAAGCAAGAAATATTACTAGTTCAGAAATGATTTTCTGTTCCTGGCTAATCAGAGAAGACCTAAGAGTCTATAGTAGTCATTTGTTGTCTTCGTAGTAAAAGTAAGATTCTAATAGGATTTTTAGACATAGTGAGAAAGGTGTTCATTTTAAGATTATGGTAGTTCCTCTCAGATTTAGAAAGCCTTAAGATGACACTAAGGAGTTGGACTTTAGGAATGCTGAGTGTCTTCAGCCACAGCGGCACAATGGTACTAGATGTGACAGGATGTGATTAAGGAGAAACTAAACGGCCAGGCACAATATAGTTCTTCTTGCCTCCAAAAGAGGAGTCACCCACTTTCTCACACTCACTGTGATACATTCCATTTGCTAAGAAAAGTGGCTTGTGTCATTCTTGAGCACTACTTTTAAGTTCTGATATATTAAATTCATTTACTCTGTATTAATAGCATTCAAATATTTAGTAAAGTTAATATACCTCTCACACTTTTTCCAAAGTAACCCACCAGCTGTGTCCTGTGCTTCAAGCTATCTTATAAGACTGCAATCAAAGTGTCAGCCAGGGCTGTGGTCTCATCTGAAGGCTGGATAGGGAAAGATTGGTTCCCATGCTTATTTACATTGTTGTTGGCAGGATTCAGTTCCTCAAAGGTTTTTTTTATTTTTATATATTTTTTTTTGAGATGGAGTCTTGCTCCATCACCAGACTGGAGTGCAGTGGCGCAATCTTGGCTCACTGCAAACTCCGCTTCCCAGGTTCAAGCAATTCTCCTGCCTCAGCCTCCCAGGTAGCTGGGATTACAGGTGCATGCCACCATGCCCAGCTAATTTTTCTATTTTTAGTAGAGATGGGATTTCACCATGTTGGTCAGGCTGGTCTCGATCTCGTGACCTCATGATCCACCTACCTCAGCCTCCCAAAGTGCTGGGATTACAGGCATGAGCCACCGCGCCCAGCCAGTTCCTCAAGGGTTTTTATACTGAGGGCCTCTACTTCTTGCTGAGTGTTGGCCAGAGGCCATGCTTAGTTCTCTGCTGTATGGTTCTCACCACACAGCAACGTACTTCATCAAAACCAGCAAAAGGGTGAGTCTGCTAGTTAAAAAGAAGTCTCAATCTTTTGTAACCTAATCATAGAACTGCCATCCACTCCATGCTGCCATATTCTTCTGATTAGAAGCAAGTTACTCAAGGGAAGGAAATACATAAGGCTGTGAATGAGAGAAGACAGGAATCATTGGAGGCTACTTTAGGGGCTGTCTGCCACAGCACTTAACAGCACATACCCAGCCATAAAATTTAAAAAAGCCGGAAAGAGAGAAGGAGGGTGCAGGGTAAAATAAAGAAAAGAGGAAGGTGGAAGGGAAGAAAGGAAGGGAAAGAAAGACATTTAAAAAGACAAGAACAAAACAGCTCTGCTGCACAACATCTGTATCGGAGTTCCATGTGCAGACACACACGTCATCACATCAGCACCACACCCATAAATTTCCTATTTCTTATTTACAATGAGAAGGTAATAAGGACTTTCTATGCATCTGGAGTTAAAAGGAAACAATAAATCTAAGAATACTAAGTTTAAGTAATCAAAATGTGTTTCAGATTAGTTATTTTTTCTTTTTAAGTTTTTTTTTTTGTTTCAGCTGACAAAGTTTTTTATTTCTTTCTGTTTCAAGTTTTGAAGTTGAGTTTATTATTCTTGCTATTATGTAACAGGCATATTTTACAGAGAATATAGGAACCTGATTGACATTTGTATTTGGTGTTCTATTGTTGTTTCAATTCAAATGCCAAAATTATGTTTTTGTTGTGTACGTTATTGTTCATAATTATATATGCCTCTTAATTGTAAAAGCGAAGCTGTAAAATTGTAAAGTACTTTGTGTCTCATCTATTCCAGGCATTCTACTAAGGAAATCAAGACCAAATGGCTTGGGAAGGTCAACGTTAAATAGTGTCAGAGCCAGAACTAGAGTACACATCTCTCAATTTCTAATCTAGTGCATTTCCTTTTCTTATTTCTGTGCAAACGAACAGTTAGAATGTGAAATAGTCTCCTCAGATATACCAGCATTAAAACAGTTGTGGTTTAAATATTTAGTTTTAATAATTACTAACTTTGTAGAAGGACCTAAAATAGTGTTTGTTTTCAGTGCTTCAACTAATAGTAAAAAGGAATATTTTCAGTGCTTTACTGTATGAGAGGTGCTTGCCTAACGAAATACACATCTTTTTCACTGTACTCATTTGTAACAGATAATGTGGGCTCGTACACCTCAGTGTTCTGAGAGGGGTTGGTAAACACTGACCACATAGAGAGAGCTGCCCATCTGCCCTCAGTACCAAGGCACATCCCATCCATGCCCTAAAACTCTTGTAAATTTCTCCATTCATACAGGAAAATGAGTATTTCTTACAACAATATGACCGTGGAATTTGATTACAAAAACACTCCTGCTATCCCCAACCTGTGCTCCCAGGGCTAAAGACATATTTGCAACTCAGGATTTTCTGAAGATTCACTTGTTTGTACTATTGAGGGCAACAGTTGTTCTCAAACAAGGATGCAGTTCCTTTCTTCTTACCCTGCTTATTTTTCTTTTTATTATTATTATTATTATACTTTAAGTTCTGGGGTACATGTGCAGAACGTGCAGGTTTGTTACATAGGTATACATGTGCCATGGTGGTTTGCTGCACCCACCAACCCGTCATCTATATTAGGTATTTCTCCTAATGTTATCCCTCCCCCAGCCCCACAGCCCTCAACAGGCCCCAGTGTGTAAAGTTCCCCTCCCTGTGTATGTGTGTTCTCATTGTTCAACTCCCACTTATAAGTGAGAACATGTGGTGTTTGGTTTTCTGTTCTTGTGTTAGTTTGCTGAGGATGATGGTTTGCAGCTTCATCCATGTCCCTGCAAAGAACATGAACTCATCCTTTTTTATGGCTGAGTAGTATTCCATGGTGCATATATGCAACATTTTCTTTAACCAGTCTATCACTGATGGGCATTTGGGTTGGTTCCAAGTCCTTGCTATTGTGAACAGTGCTGCAATAAACATACATGTGCAAGTGTCTTTATAGTAGAATGATTTATAATCCTTTGGGTATATACCCAGTGATGGGATTGCTGGGTCAAATGGTATTTCTAGTTCTAGATCCTTGAGGAATTGCCACACTGTCTTCCACAATGGTTGAACTAATTTACACTCCCACCAACAGTGTAAAAGCGTTCCTATTTCTCCACATCCTCTCCAGCATCTGTTTTTTCCTGACTTTTTAATGATCGCCATTCTAACTGGTGTGAAATGGTATCTCATTGTGGTTTTGATTTGCATTTCTCTGATGACCGGTGATGACGAGCATTTTTTCATGTGTCTGTTGGCTGCATAAATGTCTTCTTTTGAGAAGTGTCTGTTTATATCCTTTGCCCACTTTTTGATGGGGTTGTTTTTTTTCTTGTAAATTTATTGAAGTTCTTTGTAGATTCTGGATATTAGCCCTTTGTCAGATGGGCAGATTGCAAAAATATTCCCCCATTCTGTAGGTTGCCTGTTCACTCTGCTGGTAGTTTCTTTTGCTGTGCAGAAGCTCTTTAGTTTAATTAGATCCCATTTGTCAATTTTGGCTTTTGTTGCTATTGCTTTTGGTGTCTTAGTCATGAAGTCTTTGCTCATGCCTATTTCCTGAATGGTATTGCCTAGGTTTTCTTCTAGGGTTTTTATGGTTTTGGGTCTTACGTTTAAGTCTTTAATCCATCTTGAGTTAATTTTTGTATAAGATGAAAGGAAGGGATCCAGCTTCAGCTTTCTGCGTATGGCTAGCCAGTTTTCCCAACACCATTTATTAAACAGGGAATCCTTTCCCCATTGCTTGTTTTTGTCAGGTTTGTCAAAGATCAAATGGTTGTGGATGTGTGGTGTTATTTCTGAGGCCTCTGTTCTGTTCCATTGGTCTATATATCTTATTTGGTACCAGTACCATGCTGTCTTTGTTACTGTAGCCTTGTAGTATGAAGTCAGAGACACAATAAAAAAAGAAAATTTTAGACCAATATCCCTGATGAACACTGATGCAAAAATCCTCAATAAAATACTGGCAAACCTAATCCAGCAGCACATCAAAAAGCTTATCCACCCCGATCAAGTCGGCTTCATCCCTGGAATGCAAGGCTGGTTCAACATACACAAATCAATAAACGTAATCCATCACAGAAACAGAACCAGTGACAAAACCACATGATTATCTCAATAGATGCAGAAAAAGCCTTCGACAAAATTCAACAGCCTTTCATGCTAAAAACTCTCAATTAACTAGGTATTCATGGAATGTATCTCAAAATAATAAGAGCTATTTTTGACAAACCCACAGCCAATATCATACTGAATGGGCAAAAGCTAGAAGCATTCCCTTTGAAAACCGGCATAAGAAAAGAATGCCCTCTCTCACCATTCCTTTTCAACATATTATTCAAAACTCTGGCGAGGGCAGTCAGGCAAGAGAAAGAAATAAAGGGTATTCAATTAGGAAAAGAGGAAATTCAATTGTCTCTGTTTGCAGATGACATGATTGTATATTTAGAAAACCCCATCGTCTCAGCCCAAAATCTCCTTAAGCTGATAAGCAACTTCAGCAAAGTCTCAGGATACGAAATCAAAGTGCAAAAATCACAAGCATTCCTATACACCAGTAACAGACAGAGAGCCAAATCACGAGCAAACTCCCATTCACAATTGCTACAAAGAGAATAAAATACCTAGGAATACAACTTACAAAGGATGTGAAGGACCTCTTCAAGGAGAACTACAAACCACTGCTCAAGGAAATAAGAGAGGACACAAACAAATGGAAAAACATCCTCATGGATAGGAAGAATCAATATCATGAAAATGGCCATATTGCCCAAAGTAATTTATAGATTCAATGCTATCCCCATCAAACTACCATTGACTTTCTTCACAGAATTGGAAAAAAACTACTTTAGATTTCATATGGAACCAAAAATGAGCCTGCATAGCCAAGATAATCGTAAGCAAAAAGAACAAAGCTGAAGGCATCACGCTACCTGACCCAGCTTATTTTTCTACATAGGATCCCCACATCCCTGCTTTTGCTAGAATGGAAACTAGACAAGGACCAACTTTTATCAACTTGTTCATTTCTCTATTCCTAGAACACAGCCTGGTACAAAATTTGCGTTTAATAATGTTTGTTGAATGAATTTGAATGATGGATTTGTTTAGAAGGTTTATAACATCCCATGCCTTATGAGTTTGTTGCCAGAGGAAAAAAGAAGCCTGTTTTTGGTTCATAACATCAGGTATGTAACCTGGAATTTGGAATCATGAGTTTTTATGCATTTGCTTCATATTATTTATTTTTAAGAGATCTTTCAAAGTATTGACAAAGATACTTTAAGATTGAGAGCCTCCCTGATAACCCAGGAATGAGAGTTTTAGATTAAGTTTACAATATGATTGAAGGCTAATCATATAAGGAGAAAAAAATAAGAAAAAGAAGAGAAATTTGAAAAGAAATCTCCAAAATGGCCATGGACATCAGAACACTGAGAATTCATACACAAAAATGTGTTTTGCTTCATACCTGTCTGTTGCACATCTATACATTTCATAGATGCAGAGGAATTTTGGCTAAATTCCTAACACATGAGAGGCATTCTGCACTTACTTCTCAAATTAGAATTAACACATGAGTATGTATAAGTTGTTTAGAGTGGGCATCTATTTAATGAGTTTACTGGCTGAATCTTTTAAAAGAATGCAAACATAAGTGCCTTTTATCAAAAATCAATGAAAAGATAAAAGGCCCTGTAGTGCATGCTGTGGTTCCCACACTACATCCCCCACATCCACCTGATGTCATCACAACTGTCTATGGTGTCCATTTGCCACTATGCACCCTGCCGGGCAGACTCAGGTGCCTGCCTCGGCAAAGACCCTCAGCTCATGTGCAGGTACAGCCTAGAAGTGCATGGGGGTGAACATCTCTGAGGCACCCTTCAACCAGTGAGTACTGGGAGCGGTAGATAAATATCCTAGCCTCTCATCTTTCTACACAACAGTGGTGGTGCATATTCTACACAGCTTCTCAAAGGAGCCTCAGAGGGATTGGGCCCCATTAGCCACTGTGATAACCAGCTCAGAACACACACATATTAGTTGTTCTCCCTTTCCTTCCCACCCTCCCCATTCCCTGACTGCTAGATCCAGAAGTCATCTTCCAGATGAACTACCTATATCCAAATCCTAATCTCTAGCTCTGGTTTCTTAAACAGGTCCTATGAAATGCTTGAAATAAAAGGCAAAATGGTTTGTGTCTAGAATCAAAGGCTGACAATGGCAAGCAACAGGCACTAAAACTATGACCCAGGAAAAATGCTTTTCTGGAAGACATCGGCATTACCTCCTAGACACGGAATACACTGGCTTCATCCCAGTAGTTTCTTCACACACTTTAGATACGTGTCTCATTAGGATCACATATGACTCACCTGATTTCATGCCTTGCCTTTTCTTTTTATTCTGCAGATTCTTCTAAGGAGCCTAAATTCACCAAGTGCCGTTCACCTGAGCGAGAGACTTTTTCATGCCACTGGACAGATGAGGTTCATCATGGTACAAAGAACCTAGGACCCATACAGCTGTTCTATACCAGAAGGTGCCACCATCATGCCTTTCTGATTTTCCTCTCCATGGATGTACCTACTAAAGTACACTGAGTCAGATGTACTGTGGGAATGGAAGTGATTTGTTGTGATTTATGCAATCAATGAATATTCATTCACTCATTTATTGAAAAAAATATTAATCAAGCCCATCCTATGTGCTGAGTACTATTTTAGGCCCTGGAGATATAGCAGTGATTACAAAAGACAAAATCCCTGGTCTCATGGAGATTTCCTTCCAATGCAGGGAGACAGGCAATAAAAATTGAATTAAATGTCAGCTAGTAATATAGGTTATTAAGAAAAATAAAGCCAGAAAGCAGCATATCAGCAGTGTGTGGGAGTTTGTGTATGTGCATGAGAATGTGTGAGAGTGTGTCAAAGTGTGAGTGAGAGCATGTATGGATACACGTGGGCATGTGCATGTGGATGAGAGTGTGTGTAAAAGGCTTGAATGATGCTGAAATGCGTGGTCCTAGGAGGCCTCTCTATTGTGGTGTCCTAGACCAGAGACATAAGTGAAACGGGACAGGCCACGTGAGTATCTGGGGGAAAGGCTATGCAGGCAGAGGAAATTGCAAGTACAAAGTCCCTGAGGCAGTCTTGGCATATTTGAGGGATGAAAAAGGCCAGCACTGAAGGCACAAGATTGAAAGTGAGGAGAGTGATATGGGAAGGGATCAGAGAGTTACTTAGGGACTGACCATGCCAAACCTCATAGGCAAGGGCAAGGCTTTGAATTTTACTTTATTTGTGGTGGAAAGCTGTAGGTGTTTTTGAAAAGATATATGCTTTAAAAGATGTAGCTTTGTTTCTAACCAGATAATACACTCCTTCTCTTAAATATATTCAGTAAAAGACTGTAGTACTTTTTCATTTTTACCAGTGACCCTCTAAAATAACAGAGGAAGGGTGAAACAAAGACCTCTCAATATAGGTACCATCCAAGTTGTTTATTTCTTCCCCTTCACCTGGCATTATTTTCATTTTTGTTTACTCTCACTGTGTATATTTTTCCCTTTTTTACATTTTAGGCTTAAACACTTCATTATCTCCTGTTTTCCACCCAACCCCCAGAGAAGGCCTAAGCCAAGATGCAGGGTTAGTGAGGACCCTTTATCCTTGGCTCAAGGTGTTCGTTAGTCAGAGGATGACATTGTCTATCCAACCGAAGAGCTGGAATAGGGAAGGAAGATGCAGCCAGCAGTTAAGGGTATGAGCTCAGGGCTAACAAACCTGCACTTCAGTGTAGTTCTGCACTTTCTCACCAAGGAATACTAGGGAAATTAGCCAGTTTGTGTACAACTCAGCCTCCTCATTTGCAGAAAGGAGATAATGGACTTGCCTCATGACTTCTTGTGAGGATCATATGAGATAACCCATGAAAAATACTTGGCAGAGTACTTGACACATAATAAGTACTCACTAAATGGTAGCTGGTATTCTTCTTATCGGTAGTATAGTGATAATTTTAAAATAATTATGATATAGAAATCCAGTTCCTGGACTATAAAATGACTATAAATTGTATAAGACCATTTATACCAGTAAATTGTTATAATTATTTTAATTATTGGTATAAGAGCATTTTAATGCAGAGCTGCTGCTTAATTTGCAGATAAAAAAATACTTGGAGTTAGCAACCAAGCAGACCTTCCCCACCTTTCAGTATAAGAGAGGTCTCTTGGATGAAGTGAAGTGAAGATGAAATGTTTGGGCACCAAGTATACTATATTTTTCCTTAAGGCTGACACCACAGAGAGGTTGGGGCCAGTAAACAGAGTTGATTTCTATAAATACATTCAGACATGAAGTTAGTATGTTTGATGACACTTTTGAAATGTGTGGAATCATTAAGTTATTTGTACAGGCACAATTAGCCAAACTGTAAAGAAAAGTAGCAGAATAACCTCTTAAGCTGGGCCCACTTTATGAAAATAATTTTTTGCTACCTCAATATTTACCAAATTTGATGAGCAAAAAGAGAAATCCAAAGGAATGAAGCCTTGATAAATATATATCCCTTGCCCTCATCAATCAGGGTCACATAACTCTGTCCACAGGCATCTTATGCACACTCCAGTCATTTCAGCATCTCTGGTTCAAATCCAGGATCTACACTACCAAGGATGCTGCTGAAAGTGTGACTGGGTAAAGGGAAACGTTCAGACATATTCAGAAAGATGTCTTAGATTTTGCCCTGGTAGTGTTTGGAATCCCAGGAGGGTAAGTACAGCTTCATGATTAAGTGCCAACCCAAACTTACAAAATTAGATATTTGTGTTTTTTCTATAAAATATAACTATTTTGAATATCTTAGCCAAACTACTATGAGCCCACAGCCCAGTTTATCCAAGAAGGATAAAACTGAGGGATTAGGAGTATCAGGACTGGACTGGACTGATTAGTGTACAGTTATATTTGATTTCTCATTGCCCACTTCACAGAGAAGACAATACAAATGCACTTTCTGACTCTTATCACTGTTTCTTAGAACTCAGTTGCCAGGCAACTCCTGAAACTATAGAAACATGCTTCTCATCCCTGACACATAAATAAAACTCTGAGATGATTTTATCCAAAGTCAGAGTCAGTGGGCAGTGCAGTTGTTTCAGTTTGCTGGCCTGGCCTCAGTATCTAAAGCACAACAGAACGTGAACATGTCAGGCTGTCAACAGGACAGTTCAGGCACAGCCCTACAGGCAGTTGTGTGTTTTGCCTGGCTCTGCTCCTTGCCAGGTGGCTGGCAGAAAAGGCAGCCTCCACATGTTAGAGCAGCAGATTCAAAACAGTGTCTGCCATCCTGTGATGACGATAGTGCCAAATTCAGCCTCTGAGCTTGCAGGGGACTCAGGATGAATGCACATTACAGGCATGGTAAAAAGAGGCTCTGGGAAGCATGTTCGAGCTGCTCTGCTCTCAGCTCCTTGCATGTAAATGCTGTGTTTTTAAAGGAAGTGGGCATGTGAACACTCAGTCCTTAAGGCTGTATCCCCCACCTCTTCCATACCCATTCAACCCCACTTCAAAAATTACCCTGGTCTTAAGAGAAATTTCATTTTCTATACAAGGTTGTGTGGAAAATCAGTAGGGAGAAAGGGCATTATTACTTTCATTTTTCTTTAACAAAAGTATTAAATTTAAAGCCAAAAACGTGCGCTTTCTGTCATGAAAACAGCTGCCCTTAAAAACATAAATGATGTTTTATTTTTATTACTTTTATCTAGTTGGTTGTCTTTAGATGAAAAACATTTCTTCTGCTCTTTATTCTTATTTTTAATGATAGTCTCTTTCTATGGTTCTCACCCCTTCCATTTCACAAGATAGTCTGGGAGCAAACCTAAAGCACTTAACTTTTGGGAGTAAGAGCAGAGGGGAGCTTCCATACATTGATTTTGGTCATCTGTAGAGACATTCAACCCAGAGAAGGCAAGTGACACAGTATCTGTTTTATGAGCTAATTTGGGTTCTTGTCTACATTTAATAGTTTAAAATATAAGTTATAAATATTTATTTAAAATGAAATTCAACATTGGTTCATGAAGAAAGAGGTTGGAAGTAGTGTTTTGAACTAGCTGTTTCTGATCCATCATGCTTAAAATAAATGCTCTGTTTGTCCTGTGGAGTTCATGGATTTGGGATAATCTAAACAGGGTTTTTTAAACAGTCCTCATGGGGAACAAGGTACTGACATGCACTGTTGAGAAATTCTGTGAATCATGAAAGAGCTAATCTTTTAGAAATCCAGACCTGTTAAGCACTAATCTACATCTTTGGAATATCTTAATACTTTGAGTTTTCTAACTTTTATACTATCACTTATGCTAAGTACATTTGATATCCCTTCTATTATGTGAAAGCCTCATTTTCTGGGCAATTTTCTTACAACTACTCTCTTTAATGCACTCTTACTTAATTTGAAAGTAAATATCAAATTAAGCATACTATAGTTCAATGAACCACCCACCTATTCCTAATTTTTTTAACATTTCTCTTCTGACTCTACATACACACATACTTACACACACACACACAAACACACCTTATCTTTTCTTCTGCCTTTTGCCCATTTACTTTTTGCATCAGAGATGAATCTCTCATTCAAGCATATGCAACTTTTTTTTTTTTTGAGATGGAGTCTTGCTTTGGCACCCAGGCTGGAGTGCAGTGGCTCGATCTTGGCTTACTGCAAACTTTGCCTCCTGCGTTCAAGCAATTCTCCTGCCTCAGCCTACCTACCGAATAGCTGGGATTACAGAAGCATGCCATCATGCCCAGCTAATTTTTGTATTTTTAGTACAGATGGGGTTTTACCATGTTAGCCAGGCTGGTCTCAATCTCCTAACCCATGATCCGCCTGCCTCAGCCTCCGAAAGTGCTGGGATTACAGGCATGAACCACCGTACCCAGCCAGCATATGCAACTTTTAAGAGTCTCAACCAAAGCAGCAATTCACTGTCTCAGACCCTGGAGTCTCTGCCATTTAAATCCCAATTTCCTTCCAACAGCTGAGGAGCAGCTGTCTCAAGGACCCTCTGATACTACACAAGTTTTCTCCTAGTGCCAAGCAGACCAGCCTGAGAAACAGCTATAAGAAGGAAATAGGCGTCTTCTCCCAGCTTGGCATCCTTTCCTTCCAGGCCCTGCCTTCCCTACAACCTGCATTGTCTTCATTGTCCACTGCTGCCCAGCACCCATCCCACAGAGGGATGGTCCCAAACCTCCACAGTCTGGCCTGTGAGCCACAGGCGCCTCTGCCTGCACAGGGCCATTCCTACCTCATCTTCCACAACCACAGATTACATGGTTTTATGTCCCTTTGACTTATATATTGTCTTCTCAATTAATAGGCTAGTGAATAACATGGAGATGATGAACTACCTCACCCAAGTAGCAATTCTAATTTAAGAAAATTTTCCTGTCATTCCATTGCCTTTTACTTCCATTACCACACTCATGCCCATACTTCCTTACCTCAATCCCTTTGACCTCTCTGTTTATTCCCTTCCTTGCCGTATTGCCATCTATTAAACTTTTACCCATCCTTCAAGAATGCTAAAAACATACCTCCACCTTGAAGCCTTCCATGAAGAGCCAGAGCAATCATTCCCTCTTCTGAACTTTTAAGGACCCTAGAGAGCACTACTAATGAGCACTTACCCACATTGCTTTGTAATATGGTTTTTTACTCTTTCCTTCTGAGGCAGGAGGAATTCCTTAGACATCTATGAATCCCATAGTGTCTGTCATTATGTTTTAGACATAACCAATTCTCATTAAATGTCAATAGAATGAATATAAGAGGCCCAAAAAACTACTCAGATGGGAATTTGAGTCTTATTTTAGCCTGAAATTAGGGGACCACATCTTACTTATCTTTATATCTGCACAGCGTTGGTGCTGGATATAATGCATCACTCTGCCTGGAGCACACATCAACTTGTCTCCTCAGTTTCTTTCACCATAGGCTGGTGAAACAGCCAGGTCTAAACCTTCACTGTTCTCTGGGAATCTCTAGTTTGGGGGTGATTCTCTGTACTGTTTTAATGAACATTTTTAAAATGTCCCTAAGTCTCAGAACCTTCATCTATACAACTGGCATAATAAAGTACCTACCATAGGAATCGATTTATGAGCAGGCATAGCATATTCATTCAATAAACGGAAGTTTTACCATAGGCAGAAGTACCAAACGGCCTCGTAGCAGTCGTCAGACACTGATGATACTGTCCACTGATGTGATATGTCTCGGAAATGATGTTACTAAAATACCTCTTCACAAAATATTTGTCTTCCAATTTATTGAATCAGACTATCAAGCACCTTACTTGGACTTAAGCTACAACATGATTTTTGGAACAATTAATCTTTTTTTAACCCTTCATTTTAGGAACACTCAAGAATGGACTCAAGAATGGAAAGAATGCCCTGATTATGTTTCTGCTGGGGAAAACAGCTGTTACTTTAATTCATCGTTTACCTCCATCTGGATACCTTATTGTATCAAGCTAACTAGCAATGGTGGTACAGTGGATGAAAAGTGTTTCTCTGTTGATGAAATAGGTAAATCACAGGTTTTTGTTTCATTTGACATAGTTTTAGACTAAATAAATGGGGAAGCCTGCAAGGTCCAAGTATAATCAAGTAGGAAGACTTTGTAACAGTGTTCTATAGATACATGGAGATCTGTTTTACAGGAGATGGGATCAGCTGGTGAACAAGAGGAAAAGGGCAGGGGGAACTTAAGTTGACTTTAACATAAAGTAGCCTGGCAGTAAATGTTGTGAAGAAGAGAATAGGAACCTTGTGGAGTCTTTTCCTTTAGGATATCTTTGAAGCTGCGTTGTGTTTTTATGTTCCACTGCAAAGGGTGAACTTAATATATTCTTAGGATTTCTTACTTCCTAATTATTTGATAGGATCCTTATATTCAAATTCACTGAAATACGTTGGCCTTTGACCTCTACCATTGCTGTAATCAAAGCCTAGATTTTCTTTATCACAAAGCATAATCATTCTGGAATTTTACATTTACAAAACAGCCACAGTTACTTTAAAGACATGTTTATTAGATCTCAGAACAAATACTGGAGACAATCAGCTCAGTGAACTAAGTGAAAGATCCAAACAGAGGATCCTTTGCCCATCATATGGACACAAGGTGGAAACAAAACAAATAAAACAAACAATTGTAATTAGAATAGTCATGTTTATACCTTAATAGTATAAATAGCAAAATAGAAAGAATCAAAGAAGGACTTTGAGTAGCTGAAATTAGTGCCTCAAAATCTATCCACAAAAGCTCATTTGTTGCTTATAGGAATTTCTCGTTGCTTCTCCCAAATGTATTGTTCTTTTTATGTGGTTTTCTAGGCATAAGCTGACTGGAAGACATAGGAGTATGTGGCTAGAACTTACAGATAGAAACAAATAAAATCTAATAGGCTGACTTTAAGGGAGAAGATTAAGAGAACTGTATCAAGCAGTAAAGATAACCCAATTGCTTTGCAAAGACAATTTAGTATGTGTCCTAACATCACTGGGTATAGCTGTTGAGTTGAAACTAAATGGGATAGCAGAATGGGATAGTAGCAAGAACACTGGGTTAAAACCCATGTTCTAGCCCTGTTCTCTGCCAATAGCCAGTCCTACTCATTTACCTGGCTGACATGCCTGTCATGTGTCACGCACTGTTCTGGTGGTGGTGGTTATAGAATAAGTACAATACAGTCAAAGAGGGAAGTCAGGCATGTTCACAAATAATTGCAGTGCAGCGTGATAGGTGTTAGCCTGGAAATACGTGGAATGCAGAGCTGCAAAGGTGGTGGCCAAAGGCGTGAATGACTGACAGGCCTGAGGGATGAGGAAGGGCTGCACAGAGATGGTGACAGTTTAGTTACCTCTGAACTGGAATTGGACTCTCCCTATTTTTAAAAAAGTGATGACCCACAGTGGTCAAAAGCATGAGTGAGTATTGTCAGGTACCACAGTGGACTTGCCTTTCAGTAACTACTAAGTTCCAACAGTAACTTAGTAGTTACTTAGTAATTACAACAGTAACTTAGTAGTCCCAACATGTTCAGGGACTCAGGAGCAGTTAGGAAGCCCTCCTAGTCAGCTGGAGAAATCATCAGTAGTTGTTTGTGCCCCAAAAAGGAATTTGGACTTTAACTGTCACGAGGTACCTTTGAGGATGTTTAAATAGGGAAATTACTTGAGGATACTAATAGTTAACAGTCACAAAAGTCTTACCATGTGTCAGGTATAAAAACCATCTTTTGCAATCACACTTTACAGATAATGAAACCGAGGCACAGAGCAGTTAAAGGACTAGTTCAAGTCAAACAGCTAGTAGATAGAGCTGGGATTTGAACCTCCAGCCTCCATGCTCTTACTCTTGAGGCTTTGCAGTACCACTTGTCTCTTTATTAATGCTCAGAGAAATTAATCTTGTTGCAATGTGAAACGTAGATTGGAGTGGGACGGACTAGAGGTAGAAGAGGTTAAAAGACTGAGATGATCAAGGTAAAAGATTATGACAGGTAGCTACAACTAGCACAATAGTTGTGGGGCAAGGTGCTGAGAGTGAAAGAGAACAAAGAACTAATGTAACCCTGGTAGATCTTGAGAAAGTTGTCAATCATTATAAGCCTCAGCTTCCTCATAAAATATGTATGTATGGTACTACCTCACAGGGCTATTCTTTGGATTTGAAGTACTATATTAGTTAGACATTTGTCATTCATTCAATTCATTCAGCAAATATTTATTATGCTCTTCTCTCAGGCCAGTCAATGTTCTCCATGCTGGGGATAGAAACTGTCTTCCCTGGTGGGATTTAATCCCAACGAGGATGGAAAGCGACAATGCTATGGAGAAATATAGGAAAGGAGAATAGGAGTGTTGGAGAGGTTGCAGTGTTGAGTTTTCAGGATTGGCATCCCTGAGGCAGTGGCATTTGAATAAAGAAGGATTGGAGAGGATAATTATGTGTGTGTCTCAGGGAAGGGCATTTCAGCAAGGGGGCACGCCAGAAGAAAGATCTCAAAGTAGGAGCATGCTTTTCCTCACTCAATGAACAGCAGGCCGGCGGTGGAGTGGGCACAGAGTGAGCGAGGAGACTGGTATGAGACCAAATCGCACAGACAAGACAGTCAAATCTACCCAACCATTGCCAAAGACTTTGGCTTTCACTTGGAGTGAGGTAGGCAGCCTTTGGAGGGTTTTAGATGATGAGCGATGTGATCTAACGTAAGTGTTAGGATAATCACTGTGTCAGTTCGCTTGAGGATTGCATGGAGAATAGACTGGAGGGGGACAAAGACCAAAGGGGTACAGTGGGGAGACAAATGAAGCAAGAAGAATGAAAAAGGATAATGGCCAGGACCAGGTTATTAGTGGTGCAGGCGGTGGGACATGGTTGGATTCTGTTATATCTTGAAAGTACAGCTGACGGAATGTGGATTAGTGAGGAAAAGATGAGCCAAGGACAAGTTCATTGTTTTTATCCTGAGCAACTAGAGGAATTGAGTCCTCGTTAACAGAGATGGAAAAGAGGAAAGGAGAGCAGGTTTTGGAGAGGAAGAGCAAGGGTTTGTTTGGGGATATATTAAGTTTCAGATATTTTTTAAATATCTCACAGGAGTTGTCAATATAGCATGTAGATTTATGTATAGAGATAAAGGAGAGGTCATTATTATGCCTGTAATGGTATCTCACAGGAGGTCATTGTTATGCCTGTAATGGTGGTACCAAATCTTTTCCAAAAGGACCTTGTCTCATATCCTCTATTTTTCAAATGCAGCATAAGTAATGAGTTATAGAAAATCTTCCATTAAAAACAATTTTATAGTTTGGTCACTTTAAACGGTTAAGCTTTGATTATCAGGATTCCTGAATCTCCAACAAATCCAGAAGGGTGAGGAATTATTGCCATTATATCGGCATATGTAGTTTGGCCATTTTGCATATCCTTCCAATTTAATTTTCAAAATGTAGTCATGATTCATCAAATTTTGACTCTCCCTGTTTTTAAAAAGGTGGTGTCGACCCCACAGAGGGCAACAGCATGCTCCTCCACCATAAGGCCTGTTTTCACTGTGGGTGCACACAAGAGCTTCCCTCTTTGGCCAACAGATTTGACAGCCAGTAAGAGCTCCTCACTGTGTATATCTGTAAAGTTATCTCCAGTCAACGCTAGGGATGCACACTCTGCAACACTCTAGGTGGCCTTCTGTATATATGGCAGAAAAAGAAAGTAAATTTTACTCTGTATCTGCAAGTGATTTTCAAAACCCTCAGTAATGAGATCCAACTAGCAAAAATTTACCAGGAACTCTCTAGAATATAAATTTAGACATAGTTCCTAGCTTTGGAATCCATATTTTTCTTCATCAGCCTCTGAGAAATTGTGGTCTTTGAGGTCCTACTAAGCAGAATGCAACAAATTTTCGTGGAACTGTAGAGTATATCAATAGAACCTGAGGAAAACAATGTTTCAAGTTGTTCATGTGACAGTCAAAAAGACAGAAAACACTGAATTGTCACCATTTGTGAGACTAGCATAATGCTTTCTTCCTTCTTATGTCAGAAGAAAATATCACATGTGGCTAGGAAGATCACAAAGCTAGGGAGCATTAGCAGAGTGTGCAGGAAGATTGTATGAGAAGATTGAAGAAGAGTAAAAAAGGATAATGGCTAGGACCAGGTTATAGTGGTGCAGGCGGTGAGATATGGTTGGATTCTGTTATATCTTGAAAGTACAGCTGACGGAATCTGACGGAATATGGATTAGTGAGGCAAAGATGAGTCAGGGAACAACACAGAAATGAGGTAAACAGGGTCTCTGCCCCCAGGCCATACATAGTTGCAAGAAAAAAGGTTTCTCTACCCCTAGTTCCGAAGCAGCCCCATGTCTAAATTCTGTAAGTCTTTCTGACTCTCTGTTTTTTCAGTTTCAAGTGAAAATAAATTCCTTTGCCAAAATCCTGATGCATTTATGATATCAGAGCAAAAAGAAATATACAACATGGCAGATCTTGTAAATAGTGATCAGATGTTTTACTCCAAAAGGAATTTTTGTAAGGGCTTATTTAGAAGTTAAAAACAAGTCATCCTTGAGTTAAAAAAAAAAGTTACTCTCTTATAAAGTGAAAGTTATAATAAGAAAAATATTGGAAGAAATAAGAGCATGAATGATCAAAAATGTAGAAAGTAATTTGGTCTTCTGAGAAGAATGCCTTCCATTAATATTAAATTGTGTCTGTCTGTGTACTAATGCTCTGTTGAATTGCACAGTGCAACCAGATCCACCCATTGCCCTCAACTGGACTTTACTGAACGTCAGTTTAACTGGGATTCATGCAGATATCCAAGTGAGATGGGAAGCACCACGCAATGCAGATATTCAGAAAGGATGGATGGTTCTGGAGTATGAACTTCAATACAAAGAAGTAAATGAAACTAAATGGAAAATGGTAAGATGTTGCTACACCTTACACTTTGACTTTTCTTTCTATTTCAACAAACTCTCTCTCATTTATCATTAGACTTTCCTTTGACCTAATACCACATGTTCATGCTGTATGCTCCATAATTTCTTAATTGAGAAAACATTATTTAACCGGTAAAATATTGTCTTGAAATTCTGTAAGACAGGAGATGCTTATGTATATATGGAGGCCTGTGGAAGGAAAGGAAAACTATTTCTCCATTCATTCTTGCTGTCCAGTTTAACTTTAGAGCAAAATTATAGACTGGCCACTTAGCTGTCTTTGGGGATGTGGATAAAAATGGGAAAGTTTGTGATCCAGTCAACAGTGACTATGGCCAAATATTTTCCCATGATTTCAGTTGCTGCTACTCAAAGGACTCCCACTAAAACAAATTCATACGTGTCTATAGGAAAACAGAGGGAGGGAATTTGTCTCTTAGAGGTTTCAGAAGGATGTTTTGTTACATACCTCAGAGAAGAATCAAGCTGAGATTCTTATGTAGGCAATTAGAGAGCATGGTACCAGTTGACCTCTGAATCCCTCTCTTCCTTACCAAGCATATGGAACTCAGCATTTTGATAAATTTCACATGGCACATAACAAGAGGAAAAACAGGAGTATCATGCTGCTCCCAATATAACTAATTCTAAATCTGTCTAACCACAGCCACAGCCACAGCCACAGCCAAGCCAAGCAGTTTCTGGCCACTCATCAGGTGATGCCCAGCAGCCTGGCACAGATCACTCCCAGAATTTTGAGACACCAGGACATTCAGTGAGCCACTGAAAAAGATGCCAATTTTGTCATTAGAGGAAAGTTAAGTTTGGAGGAAATTTGAGTAGTTACAATACTGGGCTTTGAGGCTCTATTTTCTGAATCATTTTAATTTAGATATCTGTTCTGTAACTTGGTACAAATAAAATGCCTGATTGGATGCTAAGTCAAACAAGACTGTCTAAATCCAAGCTACAATCAAACATTATTTAACAACAGGTACTGAAATAACTACTATGCAGAAGGCACTGTGCTAAATGCCTGAGGTGGCGGTTCTCAAAGTGGGAGCCACAGACCCTTGAGGGTCCCTGAGACCCTTTCAGGGAGTTCAGTACTATTTTCACAATACACTAAAATATTATTTTATTAACTATGTTGAAATTTAACTTAATGGCACAAAAGCAATGCTGGAAACACTGCTGGCACCTTAGCATGAAGCAAGGCAGTAGGATCAAATTTTACTAATAGTCATGCACTCCCAATGAAGAAGGAAGAAAAAGCCAGTTTCACGTTTGAAGTTCTTGATGAAGCTGTAAAAATTGTTAATTTTACTAAACCTCGACCTTTGAGTACATAGCTTATTAATATTCTGTGTGACATATGGGAATTACACATTAAGCATGTCTGCTGCGTACTGAGGTATTGTATTTGTCTTGAAGAAAAGCGCTTAAATGACTGAGTTGCCAGCTGAACTAGTTGCTTTTATTGCTTGGAGCACCATTTTTACTTGGAAGAGCCATTGATAAACTGGCAGATGGTTATTCATATTTGAATTGGCAAACATTTGTCAAAAAAGAATGAGGCAAGCTTGTCGCTTCAAGAAAAACAACTGACAGTATTTTTTGCAATGGAAAAAATTTGACTTTTCAAAGCAATTCATTTTGCCTTTTTCGAAAATTTGTGTCTCCAACCGTGAGCTTGATAGTGTTTTAATATTTGAAGACTTTTCTTGAAGAGATTGATGGTGATATTAATGAAAGTGACTTTTTAATTATATTGTGTAATAAAATGTATGAACATTTAGAAAAATCTACAACTCAGTTAACCAATATTTTCCAAATTACTAATACATGATGTAATCAAATCATGCATGGGGAAATGATCCATTCAAAGTACTAGATAGAATCGTGAATTTTTTTAATGATCAAAAATTTTTTTGTATATTTATTGTGTACAACATATTTTTTTGAAATATGGATACATTGTAGAATGGTTCTATCACACTAAGTAACATATGCATTACCACACATACCTTTTTTTGTGTGTTGAGAACACTTAAAATCTACTCAGAGATTTTCAAAATACAATACATAAGCATTAACTATAGTCACCATTTTGCACAATAGATTTCTTAAACTCATTCCTACTAACTGAAAATTTTAATTCTTTCATCAATATCTCCTTAACTCTGCACCCTGCCCACAACCCCTGATAACCACCATTCAACTCTCTGCTTCTGAGTTCAACTTTTTTAGATTCTGCATATAAGTGAGATTATGTGGTATTTGTTTTTCTGTCTCTGGATCATTTTTCTTAATATAATATCCTCCAGGTTCATCCACATTGTCACAAGTGACAGGATATCCTTCTTTTTTTAAGGCTGATAGCATTCCATTGTATATACCTACCACATTTTCTTTATCCACTTATCCATTAATGGAACATAGGTCGATTCTATTTCTTGGCTGTTATAAGTAATGAACATGGGAGCCCAGATATTCTGGCTCAACATACTGATTTCATTTTCCTTGGATATATACTTAGTAGTGGAATAATATAATGGATCACATGGTAGTTCTATTTTTAATCTTTTGAGGAAGCTTCATATTATTTTCCATAGAGGGTATACTAATTTACACTCCCACCAATAGTGTGCAAGGGTTCCCTTTTGTCCACATTCTCACCAACACTTGTTATCTCTTCTTTTTTTGAAAATAGCCATCCTAACATCTTTGTGCACTCTATGCCTTCTGTGAGCTGATAGCTCATTGTGGTTTAAATTTACATTTCCCTGATGATTAAAGATGTCAAGCATTTTTCATATACCTGTTGGCCATTTCTATATCTTCTTTTTAAAAATTTATATTCAGGTCCTTTGCCCATTTTTTAATTGGGTTATTTTCTTGTTATTGAATTGTTTTAGTTCCTTATATATTTCAGATAGTAACTTCTTATCAGATGTATGCAAATATTGTCTCCCATTCCATAGAGTGTCTTTTTACTCTGTTGATTGTTTCCTTGGCAGTGCAGAAGCTTTTTAGTTTCATGTAATCCCGTTTATCTATTTCCACTTTTGTTGCCTGTTCCCAATGGAGTCATATCCAAAAAATCATTGCCCAAACCAATGTCATGGAGCTTTTTCCTATATTTTCTTCCAGTAGTTGTACAGTTTCAGGTTTTACATTTAAGTCTTTAATCGATTTTGAGTTTATTTTTGTATATGAGGTAAAATAAGGGTATAATTTCATTCTTCTGCATATGGATGTCCAATTTTCCCAACAACATTTAAAGACAGAGTCCTTTCCTTACTGTGTATTCTTAGCACCTTTGTGATAAATCAATTTACTGTAAATGTGTGGATTTATTTCCGAACACTTTATTCTTTTACATTGGTTTATGTCATTTTTATGCCAGTACCATGCTGTTTTGATGACTATAGCTTTGTATTATGTTTTGAGGTTGGTAGAGTGATGATTTCATCCTTGTTCTTCTTGTTCAAGATTGCTTTGGCTATTCATAGTCTATTGCAGTTGCATACAAATTTTAGAATTGCTTTTTCTATTTCTGTGAAAAATGACATTGGAATTTTGATAAGGATTGCATTGAATCTGTAGATTGCTTTAGGTAGCAGGGACATTCGAACAATATTAATTCTTCTAATCCATGAACATGGGCTATCTGTTCATTTATTTGTGTTGTCTTCATGTTTTACAGTTTTCAGTGTTCAGATCTTTCACCTTTTTGTTTAAATTTATTTCTAGGTCTTTTATTTTATTTTTATTTTTATAGATATTGTGAAAGGGATTTCTTTATTTCTTTCTCAGATTGTTCCTTATTAGTGTATAGAAATGTTACTGATTTTTGTATGTTGACTTTGTATCCTGCAGCTTTACTGAATTTGTTTATCTGTTCTAGCAATTTTTTGTTGAAGTCTTTAGGGTTTTCTATATATAAAATCATGTCATCTGTAAGCAAGGACAATTTAACTTTTTCCTTCTCAATTTTGGATGCCTTTTATTTCTCTCTTTTGCTTAATTGCTCTGACTAGGATTTTGAATCGAGTAGAATAGAGTAGAGGAGTTACATTGAATAAAAATGGCAAGAGTAGGCATCTTTGTCTTGTTCCTCATCTTAGAAGAAAAGCTTTCCACATTTCACTGTTTATTATGATGTGAGTTTGTTATATATGGCCTTTATTGTGTTGAAATACATTCCTTCTATATCTAATTGTTAAGGGTTTTTATCATGAAAGGATATTGAATTTTGACAAGTGCTTCTTCTGTATCTGTTGAGATGGTTCCATGGTTTTCGTCTCGGTTCTGTTAAAGTGATGTATTATGTTTATGTATTTGTGTGTGATGAACCATCCTTGCATCCCTGGAATAAATCCTACTTGATCATGGAGAATGTTCCTTTTAGTGTGCTTTTGAGTTAGTTTCCTAGTATTTTGTTTAAGATTTTTACATCTGTATTTATCAGAGATATTAGCCCATAATTTTCTTTTCTTGTAGTGTCCTTTCATGGTTTGGGTATAAGGGTAATGCTAGCATCAAGAAATAGTTTGGTAGTATCCCCTTTTCTTCCACTTTTTGGAAAAGTTTGAGAAGGATTGGTGTTCCGGTGAAGCTTCCAGTGAAACTGTCAGGTCCTGGACTTCTCTTTGATGACAGACTTTTTATTACTGATTCAATCTCCTTACTTATTATTGGTTTATTAGATTTTCTATTTCTTCAAGAAAGTCTTAGTAGGTTGTTGTGTGTAGGAATTTATTCATTTCTCATGCATATAATTTTTCAGAATGGTCTCTTATGAACATTTGTATTTCTATGGTATTGGTTGTAATGTCTCCTCCTTCATTTCTGATTTTGTTTTTAATTTGGGCTTTCTCTTTTTTTATTATTTAGTCTAGCTAAAGATTGGTTGATTTTGTTTATCTTTTCAAAAAAACTTGTTTCATTAATCTTTTCTACTGTTTTAATGTGCTAACTGAAAAGCACATTAAAAGGATCATTCTCCATGATCAAGTAGGATTTATCCCAGGGATGCAAGGATGGTTCATCACACGCAAATACATAAACATAATACATCACATTACTAGAACCAAAAACAAAATTATGGAACCATCTCAATATTTTCTATTCTCTATTTCATTTATTTCTGTTCTGATCTTTATTATTTCCTTCCTTCTATGAACTTTATGCTTAGTTTATTCTTTTTCTGGTTTCTTCAGGTAAAATGTTAGGTTATTCATTTGAGATCTTTGTTTTCTGATGGAGGCATTTATTGCCATGAACTTCCATTGCTCTTAGAACGACTTTTACTGCATTCCTTAAGGTTTGCTATGTTGTTTCCATTTTTGTCTCAAGATATTTTTGATTTTATTTTTTACTTTTTAACTATTTTTTTAGGTTCAGAGATACATGTGCACGTTTGTTATATAGGTAAATTGCATGTCACAGGGGTTTACCATACAGATTATTTCATCACCAGGTAATAAGCATAGTACCCAGAAGGTAGTTTTTTGATCTTCACCTTCCTTCCACCCACTACCCTCCAGTAGGCCCCAGTATCTGTGGTTTCAGTCTTCGTGTCCATGTGTTCTCAATGTTTAGCTCCTACTAATAAGTGAGAATATGTGGTATTTGTTTTCCTGTTCATGCATTAGTGTGCTTAGCATAATGGCCTCCAGCTCCATCCATGTGACTGCAGAGGACATGATCTTGTTCCTTTTTACGCCTGAGCAGTATTCCATGGTGTACATATACCACATTTCCTTTATCCAGTGTACCATTTTCTTTATTCCATGTCTTTGCTATTGTGAATAGTGCTATGATGAACACACGCATGCATGTGTCTTTATGGTAAAATGGTTTATATTCCTTCAGGTATATACCCAATAACGGGACTGCTGGGTCAAATGACAATTCTCTTTTAAGTTCTTTGAGAAGTTGCTAAACTGCTTGCCACAATGGCTGAACTAATTTGAATTATTACCAGCAGGATATAAGTGTTCCCTTTTCTTTGCAACCTCACCAGCATCTGTTATTTTTTGACTTTTTGATAATAGCCTTTCTGACTGCTGTGATGTAGTATCTCATTATGGTTTTGATATGCCTTTCTCTCTAATTATTAGTAATGTTGAGCATTTTTTCTTACACTTGTTGGCTCATGTTTGTGTTCTTTTGAAAAGTGTCTGTTTATGCCTTTTGTCCATTTTTTAATGGGACTGTTTGTTTTTGGCTTGTTGATTTAAAGTTCCTTATAGATTCTGGATATTAGACATTTGTCAGATGTATAGTTTGCAAATATTTTCAGCCATTCTGTAGATTATCTGTTTTTTCAGTTGTTTCTTTTGCTGTGCAGAAGCTCTTTGGTTTAATTAGATCCCATTTGTCAATTTTTGTTTTTGTTGCAATTGTTTTTGGCATCTTTGTCATGAAACCTTTGCTAAGGCCTATGTCCAGAATGGTATTTCCTAGGTTTTCTTCTAGGGTTTTTATAGTTTGGGGTTTTGCATTTAAACCTTTAATCCATCTTGAGTTGATAGTCGTACATGTTGAAAGGAAGGGGTCCAGTTTCAATCTTCTGCATATAACTAGCCAGTTACCCAGCACCATTTATTAAACAGTGTTTTCCTCATTTCCTGTTTTTGTCAACTTTGTCAAATATTAGTTGGTTGCAGGTATGAGGCTTTATTTTGGGGTTCTCTGTTCTGTTCCATTGATCTATGTGTCTTCTTTTTTAACCAGTACCATACTGTTTTGATTCCTGTAGCCTTGTAGTATAATTTGAAGTCAGGTAATGTGATGCCCCTGGGTTTATTCTTTTTAGTTAGGATTGCTTTGACTATTTGGGCTGTTTTTTGCTTCCATATGAATTTTACAATTGTTTTTTCTAAATCTGTGAAAAATTACATTGATAATTTGATAGGCATTGCATTGAATGTGTAGATTGGCTTGGGCAGTATGGTCATCTTAACGATATTGATTCTTCTAATCCATAAGCATGGAATGTTTTTCCATTTGCGTTATCTGTCATTTTCTTTCATCAGTGTTTTATAGTTCTACTTATAAAGATATTTCACCTCCTTTGTTAAATGTATTCCTAGGTTTCTGTGTGTGTGTGTGGCTATAATAGGCTATGTTAACCTGATAACAATTTAACTTTCTTGCATAAAAAACTCTACACTTTTACTCCACATACCGCCCCCCCAAACACATTTTAAATTTTTGATGTCACACTTACATCTTTTTATATTGCATATTTCTTAACAAATTATTGTACCTAGTATTATTTTTAATAATTTTATCTTTTAACCTTCATTCTAAAATAAAAGTGATTTGCATATTACCATGAAAATATTAGACAGGTAATGTGATGCCCCTGGGTTTATTCATTTTAGTTAGGATTGCTTTGCCAATTGGGCTGTTTTTTGCTTCCATATGAATTTTACAATTGTTTTTTCTAATTCTCTGAAAAATTACATTGATAATTTGATAGGTATTGCACTGAATGTGTAGATTGGCTTGGGCAGTATGGTCATCTTAACAATATTGATTCTTCTAATCCATAAGCATGGAATGTTTTTCCATTTGCGTTATCTGTCATTTTCTTTCATCAGTGTTTTATAGTTCTACTTATAAAGATATTTCACCTCCTTTGTTAAATGTATTCCTAGGTTTCTGTGTGTGTGTGTGGCTATAATAGGCTATTTTAACCTGATAACAATTTAAGTTTCTTGCATAAAAAACTCTACACTTTTACTCCACATACTCCACACACACACACGTTTTAAATTTTCGATGTCACACTTACATCTTTTTATATTGCATATTTCTTAACAAATTATTGTACCTAGTATTATTTTTAATAATTTTGTCTTTTAACCTTCATTCTAAAAAGTGATTTGCATATTACCATGAAAATATTAGACTACTTTAAATTGGACTGTGTACTTACTTTTACTAGTGAGTTTTATACTTTCATATGTTTTTATGTTACTCATTAGCCTCCTTTTCTTTCAGCTAAAGACCTCCCTTTAGCAGTTCTTGTAAGATAGGTCTGTTGGTGAGGAATGGTTAATTTAAATATAACAAAGTACAAAAAGTTCATCAGTAGAGTTTCAGGTTTCATTTTTCCACTAACCTGTAAGAATTTATCATTTGAGTTTTAGTCTATTGTTAAACAGAAATGTTCACAATTATGTGAAAAGTTTATTAAAATATTCCTCATTTTCCTCATTATTTATCTGTGTGAGGCCAGGTTTTATTCATTTACGAAAATAGCACATTCTAATAGATTTAATTCAGAAGCAGTTATAAAAATACAGTCATCTTCCTTTAAGTCTGACATTAAATAAATTTGCAAAAATGTAAAACAGTATCACTCTTCTCACTCTCTTTTTTGTTGTTTGGGAAAGTACAATAATTTTTATGAAAATATATTATTTAACAAAATCAATTTATTATTTTCAGTTTAAAAATAAGGATTTTAAAATTTTTTCATTTCAATTTCTAATACTGTAAATAGTGATAGGTATAACCCAACTAAACCAAACTCTTTAAGATTCTCAAATTTTTAAGAGTGTAAAGGAGTCCTGAAATAAAAAAGTTAAACAACCTAGAAAAAAACAAAGATATAAATCAGCATGTTAGCATTCATCAATTCAGTTACCATCATTTCATCCCTAAAAGCCATGGCATATAGTTACGTCTCACTGAGCCACCACTTTGAAACTCCCACCCTGTGCCAGGTACTTGTGAGCATGTAACTTTGTTAATCAACTGTTCAGGGCTATATCCCAACATGGCTTTGTTGCACTTTTCGTGGCACCTCTGCTAAATCTCGTTAGGTAGACCAAAGGGGTCAGTTAACTTTTTCTTTATACCTTTTATTCATGATATTTATAAGTTTGGTAATTTACAAAGGTCTTGGACAAAGACCAGGGGCTTATATATAATAATTTATTTATCTCTTGAAGAAACAAACAATATAATTGGTTATGAAGCACAGGCGTCATAAGCAGAAAACAGGTTTATAGGTAAAGGGGGAAGACCTAGTGTGTGTCGCTTGCATCAGGAATTCATGTTACCATTTGGCAATATGAATTTGCTTAGCAGTGTGCTTTTTTTTCTCCCCCCCACAGGATCTTGCTCTGTCCCCAGGCTAGAGTACAGTGGCCCAATCTCGGCTCACTGCAACCTCCACCTCCAGAGTTCAAGTGATTCTCGTGCCTCAGACTCCTGAGTAGCTAGGATTACAGGCGCAAGCCACCACACCCAGCTAATACAGCTAATTTTTGTATTTTTAGTAGAGACAGGGTTTCATCATGTTGGCCAGACTGGTCTCGAACTCCTGACCTCAGGTCATCTGCCAACCTCGGCCTCCCAAAGTGCTGGGATTATAGGCATGAGCCACTGTGCCTGGCTGCCCTTTTTAGTAAATACATTTTGCATGACCATGTGGTTGTTTACAGCTATTTATCTAGTAAACCAATAACTTACAGCTTTTTAAAGGCTTAATGAATAGCATGGAATTATTCATGATATCTGTGCCATATCTTGAGGACCCACTGTATACCTGATATTGCACTGGACTTTGGAAATGAAAAATAATGAGTGATCTTGGGGAATTTACAATGTAACATAGAAAGGTGTGTATCACTAAATTTGCACAATGAAACATAATTAATAATAGAAGAAGTATATTATCTGGCAGAATAGAGTGGGGAAAAGTACCAGCAAAGACTTAGAATACCAGCTCTCCTCAATACTTGCACTTAGACTTGGATGAGAAACAGTTCCCCGCACAGGCAGATGACAGGGTTAGGTATGATAGGAGCCACGTAAGTAGGAGCCACTCGAAATCTGAGTTTGGTGTGGCTGGTGTGGAGGGTTGAGGGAATATGAAGAGAGGACCACAACTTGAATCACTGAGGGCCCTTTTTTGATCCTATTAGTGAAATCTTTAAAGAAATTGTATTGGTGACAATAACAGAGAAATAAGGGCTTTGAGGATGAAAACATAGGCTTTAAAAAAAAAACTTAAGAAAAAAATAATAAAGTAAGTTCAGTATTCAGTGTCCTGCCTTAAAGAAAGCATTTTAGGCATGCAAATATCCCATATATTCAGAGGCTTCTATAAAAAATACAAACAAACCCTGTCATATACACATGAGGCAAAAAAAGATACTTTGTGAGTAGAAACTATTGAGGTAAAAGAAAAACTTGTTTTAGAAGCTGAAGGCCCAGCTGCTGACTTAATAAAACAAATTATGAGAATTTTGTTTATGCGAAAATCCATGCTGTTGAAAACGCGAGTGTTTAAAGTTTTCTATAAACAGGAACAAGGTGTTCTACCAAAAAAAAGTATAAAAGCACATTGAATAACTGCTTTGAGTATTTGACTTGGAGGAAACTACCATCACTAGTTGAGTATACCTCTTTGATAGCAATATGTGTTAAAAGTCTAACAGTCTCACTCTACCCCTCCCCGAGAAGGTAAAGGAATATCCTGACCTTAAGGGTTGTGAGACCTAGATGTTTCTTACCAAAGAACTCCGGTGACTTTTCTTTGCAGATTTTAAATAGCAAACTATTTTATGGTGGCTTTAAGCCTTCCAGAGCAAGCAGATTAGGTATGTAGTTCCTTTTAATAAAAGTATTTGGAAGTTCAATAAAGGCAATTATGATTTTTCTAGGACCTTTTCCAATTCTGTGATTATGTGAATGACTACCCGGAATTTCCATCAAACACTGATATACAACTTGCTATGGCTACAATTTATTTTGGTGTGAAAACATGTTTGCTTTTCTGTTCTTATGTCTCCCTTCATACAAAAGTATAATATCCCAGATATGTAGGCATATAGTTCTGCCATTCAGAGTAATTCTAATATACTTTAATCTTATTAACTATCTGGAAGACTAATGCACAGTTATAGCTGCATTTCTTTAAGCAAGTCTATCATATCTTTGGGTTTATGCCAAACTAAATTTGTGAACTATTATCCATTTACAAAATGATTATTTACATCAATCTTCCTTTAAATAACAAATGCTCACAATGCATTTTAAAATATTACCTACTTTATAAAAATCCATTCTGAATAAAAATGGGAGAATACCTGTAGTGTTCATTGCATTGAGTTGTTGACTCTTTGGCCAATATGCGTTTATATTTTGTCTTGAAAGATGGACCCTATATTGACAACATCAGTTCCAGTGTACTCATTGAAAGTGGATAAGGAATATGAAGTGCGTGTGAGATCCAAACAACGAAACTCTGGAAATTATGGCGAGTTCAGTGAGGTGCTCTATGTAACACTTCCTCAGATGAGCCAATTTACATGTGAAGAAGGTAAAAGAAATAAAAGATTAAAATAGTAGCTAACCTGGCTTTTGTCAATATAACAGTTGATTCACCCCTGCACTGGTAGTGTGTTGTCCAAATCAAAATATATTAACATCAGATATCAGGATGAGAGACCTTGAGCTCACTATCTGTAACAGATATTGTTCATTGCAAAAGCAGAAGGAAGATTTAGTTTCCAAATTTTTCATTCAGGAGAAGTCCGGGGGGCAGGTGGAAGTTTAGAGACAGGAATTTGGTGGCAATCTCCGGATGGTAGAATTCAGATGATTCTTTTCTTTATATATTTTTATATTTCTGAAATTTTCTATAGTAAGTTTGTTTTGAATTTATAATCAGGAAAAAAAGCTGTACTGATGGTTAGGGAAGAAAGTATGTATCTATATGGATGGATAGATATGTGACATCTAAGAGGAAACCCAATATTGAGTCAGCATAGGTAGTCAACAGCAGGTGCATACGGTTTTAGAAAGCGGAGGTGTGGCTTTTACCTAGAGGAATGCCTAATAAGTAGTGTGGCAGTCATACTTAAAGGAGACGTGGAACATTTGAAAACCCTATGTAGGAGAATCACAACAATGATTAAAGTTTTTAAAAATGGGACCTATGAATTTAGAATAAAAGAATTAAAACTTTTAGATACAGAAATAAAGAAAACTGATTAATGATGAGCAGAAAGTATAGAGTATTATTATTCTCAAATGGGAAATGGCTCTATTCCATCTTCATTGAAAACAGAAGTTTACAGGGCTATATGTTTGTTAATGAAACAACCACAAGCTACATAGAAAATAAATTTATATTTCTGTATTTACTATACAGGTAGAATCTCATGATACTAAATAGCATTAGGATGAAAATTTCTATAGCACCATTTTCTCTATACTCTAGTTAACTGAATTCTTGTTTCCAAACTATTTGATATTATGCAATTCTGGCCTTAAAAGTACAATAGCTATACACCCTTAAGCTTAGTGTAGTGGCATTTAATTCACTTAACATATATTTTTTAAACTGCCTTTTCCTTCTGTTACTAACAAAAAAGAAGCTCTAACTTTATGTTATTTTCCTGAATATGTCATTGATATGAAATTATAGACACTACAAGACAAAAAATGATTTTTTCTCCCCCACCAATTCTTTAAAATGCTTATAATATCTCCCTAGGGGATTTTAATAACTTTTTAAATAAGAAAAGACTATTTCAGCATAAAGACCTACATTTTAAATGGCAATGTTAAGGTAAATTTCATCTGTCATTTTTATAAAAAAGTGGTTAGCCTCTGCCTCTGTGGTAAGAATACTGGGTACCAACTGCAAAGTAGCTGGCAGGTACTCAATCTTAAGGAATGAAATAGAAGTTTTACAAACAGGTTCCCCCAAGTCTCATACAAAGTATACTAAAACCTGAAGATGGGAGCCTCAGTAGTGATCTTTCTGTCAATTTTATGTATATAATATACATGAGATATATTTATTATATTTTAATAATTTAATTTATTGATATAAATACGTATATTTATAGCTGTAAAATATATGTTATTTGTGTCTAAGAAGTTTCTGTCATGATTTATCAATAAAAACTCTGCCTTCATCTTTTTGATAAATCTTCAATCTGGAAACTAAGAAAATCACCACACTTAAAAAAAAATAGAAAAGAAACCGAGTGGGCATTATTTAGGTAGTGTGTTAATAAGCAACACTTTTTTACTGAAGCTGAAACCTTTATGATACTCCCTGGACACATAGTATGCTTAAAGCAGATTGTTTGTTTTCATAAAACACACATTGATTTTGAACTATATGCTGTTTCTTTATTTTGAAGTTTTTTTTTAATGTGAGGAGATTTGAAAAGTGGACAGAGATGTTCATAAAACAGAAAAAAACTAAGTCGTTGCATTCTGTTTCAGTGGTTATCAAGAGAAATCACTGACTTTATTAGATGAATACAAATTATGAATTTTTTGTGAAAAGGGAAAGGGAAATGTAAACTGTGCTTCAACTATTCGTAATTCTGAAAGCGAAATATTCTTGTGTGTTTCAGATTTCTACTTTCCATGGCTCTTAATTATTATCTTTGGAATATTTGGGCTAACAGTGATGCTATTTGTATTCTTATTTTCTAAACAGCAAAGGTAGGTGTGGAGTAGTATTCTTTGGTATTTTGTACCAGTTGTTTAGATTTCCATATGTGTTTCTATTTGTTATTTGATATTTTCTTTGTCAAATTATGAGTGGAAATTTTAGTTAACCTAGTACACTTTTATCTCCAGTTATATATTTACCATTCATATAAAACTCAATTTGTTGTATTTATCTTAGACAATTTAGAGGTTTAGATTCTATCTGGAGACTTGTACAGGACATTAAGAGGCTTAGGCTGGTGACTATGCATACCTTGTGATATGTACCTCTTTATCCAAGAGCTAGCTCTTTCCCTCAAGTCCTCAACAAGTTGACCCATTCATTCCAGGACTTCAAAGTATCACTGAGCCTTTGGCTGAGTCTGATACAGTCCTTATATACAGACAATTTTTTTTTTTCCTTGAGACGGAGTCTTACTCTGTTGCCCAGGCTGGAGTGCAATGGCGCAATCTTGGCTCACTGCAACCGCCGCCCCCCAGGTTCAAGCAATTCTCCTGCCTCAGCCTCCAGAGTAGCTGGGATTACAGGCATGCGCCACCAAGCCCAGCTAATTTTGTATTTTTAGATACAGTTTCACCATGTTGGTCAGACTGGTCTCGAACTCCTGACCTCAGGTGATCTGCCCACCTCAGCCTCCCAAAGCGCTGGGATTACAGGCGTGAGCTACCGCGCCTGGCCCCATTTAAGGTATTTTTAAAGTCCCAATGGTTAATCTTGTTGCTTCTCCTAGAATTAAGGTGACTAACACTCCCAGGTTGCCTAGAACTCTCCTGGTTTTTAGCAATGCAAGTCCGGTGTGCCAGGAAATCCCTCAGTTCCAGGTAACCAAGACAGTTGATCCCCTTACCTAGAATTGAAAATACGTTCTCCAGCTGAAGCCAAGAGGCATCTATAAATCAAAATGAGATCTATGTTAATATATTTTAAAAGATTTTACTTTGTTTTGTAAGGTAGTATAGCACTTGTAAACTTCAAAACAGAATTTTGTTAGGAAGAAGAATTATTGGGACGCTAGATTTCTATAGTGTCAAGCATGCTAAAAGTCTAACTGAATGCAGAAAGGGTTATTTTCAGTAGAGCTTCATGTCCAATTTTATAATATAAACCAATTGGAAAGTAAAATTCATTCTGAATTCCATTTTGCACCTAACTTTCTGGCAACATTCCTGTTTTCCAAAAAAGCAGCTATCATAAATCACAACACAATTTTCTATTGTTTCAGGAAAATAAATAAATATATTTTTAGAATTTTAATTTGTGTATTTAAGTAATGCCAACAACAAAAAAGCCAAATTATTCTGTTGATTAATTTCAGTTTATTAATCTATATATTTGGTGGGAAAATTTATACATAACTTCAGTAGATAAACTCACGAGGTATGTAAAGTAATTAGCTCTTAGTATTAGCTGTGAATTTCTAGCCATTGTGAAGGCCAAGTCAATTTGTTATGTTGTTTAGTTATATTAGTTAACAATATTAGGAAGAAAAAATTATCCTCTCAAAAAGTAGGATTTCCAAGAAAACATATTACTTCTAATACAGTGCTTTTTATAAATAATGAAATGCTTAACTATAATGTTTAGTCAAAATCACCAAATTCTACAATTGATTTGAAATCTTTATTGTTCTCCCAAATTTCCTGCACTAAATTGAATTTTCTGTAGGAAAGAATTAACTTTATTTTTTATTTGCCCATTAAAAACGCTTATCATTGTCTAAATTTGCATGTTCTACTGAAAGTGGGAAATAGTAGCAAATATTTGTCAGCAAGTATGGACAGAACATGTAGTTCCAACAATTAAATTGATACTGCAAAGAACGAGATTTTTCCTAGAACTGTAGGGCTGTAAAGTGGCGTCAGGTCCTACATGCCTTTGAAATTTTCTGAGTCCACAATTCATTATCCAACCCACTTCACCCTGCTTTAATCCAGTTAATTGAGTCAACTCTAGCAAAATTTATAATTTTATTTGTATCTGATACAAAACCACAAACATAGTTTCAAGTCAGGCTATTATTATACTGGTTCCTACCACACAACCCTCCCAGCCTTTGAGCTGTTACCAATTGAGGAAAGAAATAACTGAATCAGCCTAAAATAGAATTTCCAAACCAGTAGCGAAATTCAGCCTACAGATTCATATTTTGTTATTTTATTTTAATTAGTTTTGATTTCAGAGTGAAGATTTTCCTACAAAGTGTTTGTAAAATAGAGAATTTTCACACAAAAATCCAGATTTGGGGATTATCTTTTAAAAAATGAAAGATGTAGTGAAACTAAACAAGGCAGCATATGCTGCAGCAGACAACCAGCTATCCTATTTGGGATTGGCTCACATTCTTTAATTTGCCACCATCCTCATTCCTCCTAATGACTTTGCAACTGGCTTGCTTTATTCCTCTGCATGACCTGCTTGGGCCTCTTAGATTTATGCTCTGCCACTGTGGCATAAGGTCACTACAACCACTAGAAAACCACTAGCGCATGCCTGAATGCATCATCCTATTTAAAAAGGAAAAGCACACGTCACAAAGTCAAACATCAGCCATTTGGAAACCTTTGCTTCCTGTAATTAGAATTATGTTCCATCTTTTTATGTTTTTGGGAATTTGAAATACCAATTTCGAGATGCAGAATCAAAAAAAAAAAAACAAAACAGCGAAACAGCAGCATGACACAAAGAACCTGGGTTTTGATTTGGAGTCAGGTTCTCTGGGTTTGAGCCCCAACTGTGCCAACTATGAATGCATGATTTGAACATGTTGCTTAATTTTCCAAGTTTTTGCACAGATATATCATCTGCCTCCCTGGGAGTCATAAGGATTAAGTGAAATGTTTAGTGCAGGGGTCACAAACTTATTTCATAGAGTTAGAGTACATTTTTAGGCTTTTCAAGCCATACAGTCTCTATCACAGCTACTCAACTCTGCCACTGTAGCACGAAAGTGGCCATAAACAAAATGGAAATGAATGAAGATGCTTGTGTTCTCATAAAATTTTATCTACACAAACATGTGACAGGCCAGATTTGGCCCACAGACCTTAATTTAGTGACCCATAGTTTAGTGCAAAGTATATCCCACAGTGTCTGATTTATCAGAAGCACTAAAAAATGATAGTAGTTATTATTAATAATTTGTATTACTTATTTCTATATCTGTAATTCATCAGTAACAATATGCTTTAACATTTGCCCCACTGAGTAGTAGAGGCTACTTAATGCAATTTATAAAATGGATTTTTGCTTATTACTTGGATTAGGTAAAATAGCAAGTGGAAATACTGAGAAAATGTACTCCTTATGGAATGGACTGGACTGACCATTCACACTGAGTGGAATAGTAACTGATATCCAAAAATCTGGTTACCACCTCTTCATGACAGTGTCATCTCTGAATAGTCAGGAGTTTTTTAAAAAATTAAATGAATTGTTTGGAATAATCTCTGAGCCTTTTTCCAGTGCTATAATTTGATTTTAAAAAATAAACTCCAGGCCAGATACAATGGCTTATAGCATATAAATCCAGCACTTTGGGAGGATGGGGCGGGAGTATTGCCCTGAGGCCAGGAGTTCCAGACAGCTCGGGCAATGACTAGAGCAAGACTCCATTACAAAAAATGAAACAACAAAAATTAGCACACCCTGTAGTCCTAGCTACTTAGGAGGCTGAGGCAAGAATATCGCTTGGCCCAGGAGTTTGAGGCTGCAGTGAATTATGATTGCACCACTGGACTCCAGTGTGGGCAATGAAGTAAGACCCTGTCTCAAAAAGTTTTAAAAAAAATTAAAAACACCATAAATTCCAATTACACTATTAATTGTACAAAATAGATACATGATTTATTCATTTTTATGACCAAAAAATAATTTAAAGATTTGGAACAAAAAATGTAAGTGCATCCTAGAATTGTATATATAAACCCATACTGATTAGTTAGAGATAGTTAAAATTTAATCTGTCCCATCTGAAATGAACCCTGTAGTAAAACCCTGGTTAATAAGATCATCTTAGATAATTTCATAATTAATATGAACTATATGGCTAACCTACCCAAGTCTACCCTTTTTCAAGGGTGTAAGTAATCTTGGCTCCATGTGGATTGACTCTTTTTTCTTTCTTTCCTGTACAAATTACTGATGAGATGTACACTAGAATTGCCTTATAGCTGAAATGGAAATCAGCTTTAGATGAAATTAAATTTCTTTCTTTCAAATACTAAATCTGGCTGAAAATAAAAAGCATTAAGAAAAAAACAATTGTGGGAAAACCACATTTTCTTTTAATAGACTTCAGATGAGGCTTTTTGGGTTTTTTAGTTGTTCTTTTTTTTCCTTCTACAGTTTTTCTTTCTCATTTACTGTCTAATATTTTCTTCTGTTTCTCACACTCCAATTATATAAAGTACCAGAATATTTGGAAAAAGTAATAGTATTGCCAATATTTTATTTCTATCTTTTGCTATAATTGAGAATATGTAGCTTTTAAGATGTCAAAACCAAAATTTTATATGTTTTCAAGGATTAAAATGCTGATTCTGCCCCCAGTTCCAGTTCCAAAGATTAAAGGAATCGATCCAGATCTCCTCAAGGTAACTAATAATTTTATCTAAATTGTAGCTAGTACTAATTAACACCTGAAGACTCCTGTCATATGTTGAAGGTTTTCTGTAAGCTATATATATCACATTCAATTTTCTTGTGTCTCTTCTCCTGGAGAAAATTTTTTTAAATATTCTATTTCTTAAAAATAAGAAAACGTCATATGTATTTAAAAAGTTACACACTAATTTATGTTTTTTTATATGTTTTGTTACTGTTGTTCTTATTGTAACCATAATTAATCTCTGAACATTATTTGCTAATTCATTTAATTATTATGAGTTTCTTTTCATAGATCTTCATTTTCTTTCTATTTTCTAGGAAGGAAAATTAGAGGAGGTGAACACAATCTTAGCCATTCATGATAGCTATAAACCCGAATTCCACAGTGATGACTCTTGGGTTGAATTTATTGAGCTAGATATTGATGAGCCAGATGAAAAGACTGAGGAATCAGACACAGACAGACTTCTAAGCAGTGACCATGAGAAATCACATAGTAACCTAGGGGTGAAGGATGGCGACTCTGGACGTACCAGCTGTTGTGAACCTGACATTCTGGAGACTGATTTCAATGCCAATGACATACATGAGGGTACCTCAGAGGTTGCTCAGCCACAGAGGTTAAAAGGGGAAGCAGATCTCTTATGCCTTGACCAGAAGAATCAAAATAACTCACCTTATCATGATGCTTGCCCTGCTACTCAGCAGCCCAGTGTTATCCAAGCAGAGAAAAACAAACCACAACCACTTCCTACTGAAGGAGCTGAGTCAACTCACCAAGCTGCCCATATTCAGCTAAGCAATCCAAGTTCACTGTCAAACATCGACTTTTATGCCCAGGTGAGCGACATTACACCAGCAGGTAGTGTGGTCCTTTCCCCGGGCCAAAAGAATAAGGCAGGGATGTCCCAATGTGACATGCACCCGGAAATGGTCTCACTCTGCCAAGAAAACTTCCTTATGGACAATGCCTACTTCTGTGAGGCAGATGCCAAAAAGTGCATCCCTGTGGCTCCTCACATCAAGGTTGAATCACACATACAGCCAAGCTTAAACCAAGAGGACATTTACATCACCACAGAAAGCCTTACCACTGCTGCTGGGAGGCCTGGGACAGGAGAACATGTTCCAGGTTCTGAGATGCCTGTCCCAGACTATACCTCCATTCATATAGTACAGTCCCCACAGGGCCTCATACTCAATGCGACTGCCTTGCCCTTGCCTGACAAAGAGTTTCTCTCATCATGTGGCTATGTGAGCACAGACCAACTGAACAAAATCATGCCTTAGCCTTTCTTTGGTTTCCCAAGAGCTACGTATTTAATAGCAAAGAATTGACTGGGGCAATAACGTTTAAGCCAAAACAATGTTTAAACCTTTTTTGGGGGAGTGACAGGATGGGGTATGGATTCTAAAATGCCTTTTCCCAAAATGTTGAAATATGATGTTAAAAAAATAAGAAGAATGCTTAATCAGATAGATATTCCTATTGTGCAATGTAAATATTTTAAAGAATTGTGTCAGACTGTTTAGTAGCAGTGATTGTCTTAATATTGTGGGTGTTAATTTTTGATACTAAGCATTGAATGGCTATGTTTTTAATGTATAGTAAATCACGCTTTTTGAAAAAGCGAAAAAATCAGGTGGCTTTTGCGGTTCAGGAAAATTGAATGCAAACCATAGCACAGGCTAATTTTTTGTTGTTTCTTAAATAAGAAACTTTTTTATTTAAAAAACTAAAAACTAGAGGTGAGAAATTTAAACTATAAGCAAGAAGGCAAAAATAGTTTGGATATGTAAAACATTTATTTTGACATAAAGTTGATAAAGATTTTTTAATAATTTAGACTTCAAGCATGGCTATTTTATATTACACTACACACTGTGTACTGCAGTTGGTATGACCCCTCTAAGGAGTGTAGCAACTACAGTCTAAAGCTGGTTTAATGTTTTGGCCAATGCACCTAAAGAAAAACAAACTCGTTTTTTACAAAGCCCTTTTATACCTCCCCAGACTCCTTCAACAATTCTAAAATGATTGTAGTAATCTGCATTATTGGAATATAATTGTTTTATCTGAATTTTTAAACAAGTATTTGTTAATTTAGAAAACTTTAAAGCGTTTGCACAGATCAACTTACCAGGCACCAAAAGAAGTAAAAGCAAAAAAGAAAACCTTTCTTCACCAAATCTTGGTTGATGCCAAAAAAAAATACATGCTAAGAGAAGTAGAAATCATAGCTGGTTCACACTGACCAAGATACTTAAGTGCTGCAATTGCACGCGGAGTGAGTTTTTTAGTGCGTGCAGATGGTGAGAGATAAGATCTATAGCCTCTGCAGCGGAATCTGTTCACACCCAACTTGGTTTTGCTACATAATTATCCAGGAAGGGAATAAGGTACAAGAAGCATTTTGTAAGTTGAAGCAAATCGAATGAAATTAACTGGGTAATGAAACAAAGAGTTCAAGAAATAAGTTTTTGTTTCACAGCCTATAACCAGACACATACTCATTTTTCATGATAATGAACAGAACATAGACAGAAGAAACAAGGTTTTCAGTCCCCACAGATAACTGAAAATTATTTAAACCGCTAAAAGAAACTTTCTTTCTCACTAAATCTTTTATAGGATTTATTTAAAATAGCAAAAGAAGAAGTTTCATCATTTTTTACTTCCTCTCTGAGTGGACTGGCCTCAAAGCAAGCATTCAGAAGAAAAAGAAGCAACCTCAGTAATTTAGAAATCATTTTGCAATCCCTTAATATCCTAAACATCATTCATTTTTGTTGTTGTTGTTGTTGTTGAGACAGAGTCTCGCTCTGTCGCCAGGCTAGAGTGCGGTGGCGCGATCTTGACTCACTGCAATCTCCACCTCCCACAGGTTCAGGCGATTCCCGTGCCTCAGCCTCCTGAGTAGCTGGGACTACAGGCACGCACCACCATGCCAGGCTAATTTTTTTGTATTTTAGCAGAGACGGGGTTTCACCATGTTGGCCAGGATGGTCTCGATCTCCTGACCTCGTGATCCACCCGACTCGGCCTCCCAAAGTGCTGGGATTACAGGTGTAAGCCACCGTGCCCAGCCCTAAACATCATTCTTGAGAGCATTGGGATATCTCCTGAAAAGGTTTATGAAAAAGAAGAATCTCATCTCAGTGAAGAATACTTCTCATTTTTTAAAAAAGCTTAAAACTTTGAAGTTAGCTTTAACTTAAATAGTATTTCCCATTTATCGCAGACCTTTTTTAGGAAGCAAGCTTAATGGCTGATAATTTTAAATTCTCTCTCTTGCAGGAAGGACTATGAAAAGCTAGAATTGAGTGTTTAAAGTTCAACATGTTATTTGTAATAGATGTTTGATAGATTTTCTGCTACTTTGCTGCTATGGTTTTCTCCAAGAGCTACATAATTTAGTTTCATATAAAGTATCATCAGTGTAGAACCTAATTCAATTCAAAGCTGTGTGTTTGGAAGACTATCTTACTATTTCACAACAGCCTGACAACATTTCTATAGCCAAAAATAGCTAAATACCTCAATCAGTCTCAGAATGTCATTTTGGTACTTTGGTGGCCACATAAGCCATTATTCACTAGTATGACTAGTTGTGTCTGGCAGTTTATATTTAACTCTCTTTATGTCTGTGGATTTTTTCCTTCAAAGTTTAATAAATTTATTTTCTTGGATTCCTGATAGTGTGCTTCTGTTATCAAACACCAACATAAAAATGATCTAAACCACTCTGTATACTGTGAATTATCATTGTAAGGAGAGCTTAGCACCACTGGATCAAATACATCAGCATTGGGTATGGAGATTTTTATGTGCTGAGATATAGAGAGGGAAACATATCCCCCTTCCCTTATTTTTTGAGAAGACAAAAGCCCAACTCAGAAATATCCCACTGGCTTGGCCCTCCCCTTAGGCTGTGACTCCCCATAGGCAAAGGTTCATAGAGCTGTGTATTTGATGCATCATGGAAAATAAATGACATGGGTGTTGGATGAGGGAGAGTGATATGTGAGCATTATCTTTACATTTCCAGCTTGAGCATGTTGTCTGGAAGGAAGGAAAGCAGCTCTTCCTCTGCCATTCACCCATTGGCCTAAGTCAGTTTATTGGACTAGCTGCTTGTTATCATGGGAATCAGCTAATAAGTCAGGCTTGGGAGGAAGGCTGATTAGGTAAGTTGTGTAGGAGCCTGAGAGAGCCATGAAGTTTAGATTCCTACAGCAGGAGGCAGGATGCAGGTGAGGTAGCTGCTGAACCCTAGGCTCCTGAGCAGGCACTGGATTCTGAGATGTAGGAATCTGGTGAGGACATTGATAAACCTACTAAACAATGACGTATTGCTTCAGCAAGTCAAATGCAAAGTGCCACAACTTTTTATAATACTCAAGTGTTATGTTAAAAAAAAAAAATGTCTTCACCTGCTGCCCTCTGCCCTGTGAGCAGCCATTACCTGAAAGAACCATGGAGTGAAGCCTCAGGGCTTCTTCATATAGATGCTTTAAGATATGAGGAGTACAGGGAAAAGAAAGCCTGCCTACTTCCATGGATTGAAATAACACAATTCTATTTCAGAAGATTAATGGTGTGTTGAAAATGGCTACACACATCTTTCAGCATTTCAATTTCTCAAAGTTTCTACTAACACTTTATTCAAGTGCTATAATATTTACATATTTACATATTTGTATACCAAAATATGTCTTGTTATGTGCTTGTTTTAGGGTAAGAAATAGTGACCAGAAAAACCAGAAGTTACTTAAATCTAAACTTTTTAGTTTGGAATCCAAGATCCCACATAATTTGCCCCAGTCTCCTTTGAGAGTTTAAAATTTAAGACCTAGATGTAAAGGGCACAGCTTCTGAATAAGAATTTGATGTTTGGTTAACATTCAAACTCTATTGCTGTGGAAATCTAATGAGCATATGATGTCAGCTATGTTACACGGGAAACATTGCTCATAGTTTAAATGATCTCTGACTGATAAATGACATCTGGATAGGGAGAAACTATAACCACCTGGAGATAAGTTATACTTTGGACTTGAGTGTAGTGACTTGTAATTAAGCATTTCCCCTATAGAAACTCTGGAAGCTATGTTTCTGGAGATGTAACAAGAGTAACTGGCTCCAGTGAGGCATAGAGCTTCTAAGCCTGGGAGACTCCTTTACCTGCCCAATACCTTCTCTGAATCTGAGCTGCCAGTTGTAGGAGGAGAGGAAGGAAAAGACCTTCTGGATAGCTATATAAACAGCTGTTTAGATTGCTTCATGCACTGTTATCATTACTGTGACTCTAAAGCAGAAAGCCTGATGCTGTATCCCTTCTGTCCTACATCCCTCTGAGTAGACTGGAACCAAGTATGGTGAATCTGGGGAATGTGTGGTTGAGCCTAAGAAGATCCCCTTGCATATGTAGCAAAAGACACTTGCCATTTCTTGAACAAAGTTTGTGCTTTCCCATCTCTATGTTCTTGGTCATGCCTCCTCCTTCAACTAAAAAGCTCCCACTTACCAACCCTGCCTGTCAAGATTCCCTTCATCCTTCATGGCCCAGCTCTAATGCCTCCTTCATGAACTCTCCTCTGATTCCCACCATCCAATCAGTGATTTTTTCTTCTGAACCATGTTTAATGGTGTTTATCACATTACTTTGGTAGCTCACCTGACAAACGGCTAGTATAGATTTACCAGTATGTACGCTGGTGAATATCTATCTCCAAAATGCCCTTGAATGGATAATTTTGTGGTCAAATAAATTTGGAAAACATCTCATACTACACTCCCATCTGGGAGAGTCATAGTGCATCTTGACATTTTAAAGCTTCTACAGTTTAAAGAAATCCATTTAAATTTAACACATTATTTCCTAATTAATAATGAGAAATAGTTAAAGAATACCCAGTATTATATTATTAACACTTAGGAAAAACCGTATAAGCAGAGTAACACACCTGGCACAAAATAAAGTTATATTAAATTTCAGATGAATGTGAATTTGAACAAAACCTTTTATATGATGTCATTAAATTTTTACTCTCAATAAAACTTCCTAAAAATTGAATGCGAAGGAGCTGCATGATTAAAATAAACACAGATTCTTCTCAACTCAACTCAGATATGACATTTTTCTGAAAGTCTGGATGTCTTAGAGCATTCATTATCTTCTCTATGACAGTGACTTTTTATATGCTTGCTGAAACAGATTTTAACTTTTTCCCTTTTTCAGTCCAAAGAATGATTGACATATGGAATGTACCAATATTAAAAAATTCTGATTCTTATTTAGGACACCCATTTTTCTATGAAATCTGAGCTTATAACACCAAGAAATGCTTATATCACTTCTCATAAGAAGGAGCATATGTTGCTGTGAAACTGCAGAATAATATTTATCTGTTATTATCTGAACAAAAATAACTCACTCCTAATGCTGCCTGCTAAGTTAAAAAAAAAAACTTCGAATATAATAGATTTTTTCACAGTAGTCCCAGGAAGCAGTCTTTGTAGGAATACATAGAAATCAATTTTGTTGATCTCTTGTTAGAAAAGAATCCTTACACAATTGTTCTGTGGGCATTAAGAGATGTTACCAGCTTTTTCTATAAGGATAAAATAATTTGTGAAGAAATTATACTCACTTTGGCTTTGACAATGGTACTGTAGTCAAAAATTCAAAGTCGAAAGATTTTTATTGTTACCTTTCCTTTTATGGTACCATATGATAAAAAAAAACTTGCATATAAGGACTTTATAAAGTACTTTCAAAGGTATTATTTCATTTAAACTTAAGAAATCTGTGTTGTAGGCTTGTCAGATATTATTCTTAATATTTTATTGGGAAAAAAGGCTCGTAAAAACTAAGAGATTTTCCCAAAGTTAATAAACTAGTGAGTGATGAAGTCAGGATGAAAACCCATGTTGACTAGTCCAGAGTTCCCAAAACAATGCAACCTATAACATTACTGGATGGGGGAAAAGCTTTGGATCCTATTCACAGTCTGAAGAAAATGGAAAGTTAATTGTTTTGTAATAATTATTATTCAAAGATAATAACTAATCTTTGAATAATCTTTGGTAATAATAATTCTTTGAATCCTTTGGTAGAACTCAAAGAATCACCTGCCAAAGACAAAAGATTCTTCTCTGATAAACATAACCAGCTAATAAATGTCTAACAACCAGTTCTGGAGTCGGGGGGATCTAGATTTGTAACATTTGCCAATTTCAATGGTGTGAATACACAAATATGGTGATTTTAAGCTATTATCTTATCACTCCGCATGAAGTTGGGAAAAGATGGCACAGTCAGCTCTCATAACTGTACAGAGCAGCTCCAGGAAACCACTGAGTCTACACAACCTTACAATTTCATCTAATGCTGACATTTTTTATAATGGCTAGGTGGCATTTTTAGCTAACATTTATCAAGCACTTACCATATGCCAGACACTCTTCTAAGCACTTTACATTGATGAACTTATTTATCCTCACAACAATCTCATGAGGTAAATCCTATTTCCCCAGTTTACTGATGTGGAAACTGAGTTATAGATCATTTAATTAACTTGACCAAAGTCACAAAATTAATCAATATTAGAGCCAGAATGCAAACACAAGCACTCTGGCTTTAGAGCTTGTGCTCTACATTTAGTGCTATCCTACCTTTGAATAATAATTGTGTCCAGATTGGATGAACATAATGACAACAAAAGGCAGCTGATTGCTGAGCACTCCAGGCAGGCAGTTCATATTCAGTATTGCTAATTTTTATATAACACAAGCATTATCTTTCCATGCCTTCAAGACAACTATCTAGATTCGTATGTGGGATAAACAGAGATTACCAAATGTCTGCTTCTGAGTCTTCCACAATGCCATGGAGACTTCATTGCATGCTTTCCCCTTGGCTCCAAGTGTGCTGCTGGCCACTGAGCAGAACCGGACCACAGATTTCTCTAAACCAGTGATACAGTGCATCCAGGTCAGCCAAACTCCTCGATACTCCTTGTTCTCTTTATTCACCCAGACACCCCCAAACAAGGCTGTGCAGACGGGCTGTGAATAACTAGAGAGAATTAAAATATGACTGGGGAAATATCATTTTTACCCACAGGACCATGTAAACAACCATGAAAAAGTCAACCCTTAATAGGGATTCCTCTCACAGACACACCCCAAATCTCTGCCTTCCCCACTTCCCATCCCCAGGCTCACCTTTCTCTCTGAGAACCCCTCCTTCTCCAAACCATCAAAATGTGATCATTTCACTTCCTTAGAAAAACCTTATCCCACTTCCACAAAGGTGGGTTTGTCTCATCCCTCAAATCTAATCCCAGATAACTGGTGATACAGTACAAGATAAGTGTTATCCTCCTTCATCATTGAAAAATAGACATTGAGTTGAATTTCAGAAGGTTTCTTGATGTATAAAGCGTTCTGGTAAGAGGCAGAAGCACGATTTTCCCTCTGTCTCCAAAACCAGCCTTGTTACTAAACCATAATTCCTCCTGTCATGCCTCCCTGATCCCAATGACAAGCATATTCACACATATTCATCTAGGAGCTAATACCATAAAGAGGTTTGAAGAATAGTTACCAAGCACCTACTGTGCACCAAGGATCTTCTAGATGAAGAGAATGTGGGTACAACATAGGCTCTGCCTTCAAGATTACACCTAAGGCAAGGTCAAATCCTTGTGATATAGTGACAAGTCAGTATTAACACTATATGCTGTGTACAAAGTGGGAAATAATCTGTCTGGGGCACTCGAGAAGAGTGGTAGGAAGTGAAAAAAAGGGGGCAACCAAATGTACTACTCACCTTACTGCCCATTGGAAGGATTTTTCTTCATCTTCGTCTTTCTGGGATGCCCCTGATTTGATTATAAATGTAGCTGGTGCCAGCATGTTAGGCAAAACCATTTGTACCAGACTGCATTTTTCCCTTCTAAGTCAGTTGATTGTGAGAAAATGCCCATGAGGCCATGAATGCAGACTCAGGAACAGGAAGCAATGTAGAAAGAGAAGCTATTGTAGGAGTCAGCACTATCTGTTCATGCAGATTCCTTTTGTATTCCATATTTCTTAGAACCTAATCTCTTTCCATGTGTTGATGGATTGTTGCTGCATACTCCCACCCTTATAAAATGATGAGCTAATTAACATATAGATCATGACTGGCAACTTAATTGTATGGTCACTTGCTGTCCCATGGTTAGGCATTCAGATTCTGCCAGTGTCCAATATCAAACCAGAACTATTTCTAAAAGACTAGTTATCTGCTGAAGAGAACATGGTTTGCTCCAAAACTCTAGGGGTCTACAGTGTGATTCCCTTATTGGGGCTATCCAGCAACTTCTTACAGAAGCACTAATTACCACAGAAATGTCGAGTGTTGAATTTGCTGGGTCATACTCCCAATGGACATAGTGTGTCTGTGCTCCCAATGGACGGAGCAGCTTGTATTGTATCCTAGACTTGCTAGAGTATATTTTCTTACTCTAGGCTCACTTAAATCCAGCAGTCTTATGGGTTACTAATAAATATTTTAGAGCAGCATATTCAAATGTAATGTATATTGTCTCCAAAATCCAAATACCATCAAGTATTTTAGTGCTCACAGTTTAATGTGCAAGTATTACACTTTGGAAGGGATAGTTTGACATATTCCAGATATATGGACCTCCAAAATCTGCATCTCTTATGTTCTCATTCAGCCCATCCAGGCTAAAGAATAATGCAAAGTGACATAAAACATGGAGATGTGACTCTTAACACACATTTGTCCTGGGACTGTTTTTTTGGACTCTTGGCTACATGAATTATTATTTGATCTCTCTATATGTGTTTTACTTCCTTCTCTCTTAGTTAACCTCATTGGTCCTTTGTCGTAGATAAAACTCTTGGTTTAAAGTAACAGAAACCAAAAATTGGCTTAAGAAAAAAGGAGAATGTATCTATAAAGTTATGGTAGTGTCTCACAAAAATGCAAAAAGAGGAATCGGGAACCTCGTGATGAATTGAAATGAGAGATTAGAAAGTAGCCAAAATGCTGGAAGAAATTTCACTCTATTGTTTGGCTTTATTGGCTTTAGTCTCTTTCTCTCTCTCTCTCTCTCTCTCTCTCTCTCTCTCTCTCTCTCTCTCTCTCTCCCCCGCATACACCCACTTCCCTATCCCCAGTCCCTCTCCACTGAGAACTTGATTTTTTCTTTTCAGTGCAATTGGAAGAAAGAAAGCAGCCTCTATACAGCTTCCCAGTTGATATCAACTTTCATTTTCAGTTGCTCTAAAAGAATAATTGATGATGCCCAAATAAACACCTCTTTCAAATATTCAGGGAGGAGAATTGATTTAGCTCAGTTTGGATGAAGTTTCCATGTTCATCCAATCAACTGTGTTGATGTAAAGAGGGGAGAGTCACATATCACAAAGAAGAATGCTGAGACCAGCCCTGTGATAAGAAAGAACATTTTCAGAGAAAGTAGGTTGGGGTGACATCAAACCAAATTACCTATGAGAATCTTTTTCCTCAGTGAAGAAGTTTCTTTTTTATTCTAGACTTTCTTTTTTTTCCTTTGTTTTTCTTATTTCCTTTAGATATTAAGCAGACATCTATGCCCAGCTTATTTTAAGTTTATTACGTTCTGAATTGACCCTTTGGATATTTACAGAAGGGATTTATGTTGGAAGAGCAAATGATTACTAGGGTCAACATGTGGAAAGGAGTGCCCACTCACCAAGGTTGGGCTACTGATACTGGACCACCAGTTTAGAAAATGAAATCCAGCCAGTTGTTGTTGTTGTTGTTTGGTGGTGCAGCCAAAAGGTATTGATCGAGATATGTCTGCTCAATTTTAGCTGATTGGAGTACATAATGAAATGTATTTCTTTCCTGATTAACTTTCAAAAGTTAAATTCTTTAGTTAAAAATAACGTTAATTTGTATAGTTTAATTTACACAGTAAGTTATTCACCTACCAAATATTCTGCATCACTATTTAGTCTGGCAAGAAGCATTTCAGAAGAAATTATAACTCTTACAAAATCAACATAGTGACAAATAAAATCAAAGGAAAAGTTGGTGACTTTCAGCTAAATGTGGTATGAAAAATAATCTAAATTTTTGTGGTTTGGGTGGACATGACAGGATTTGAGTGCTCTACTTGTCATCTCATCTTTGAAGAACACATATTTGAGAAGTTAGATGCAATCACTGACAAGAAGAATAACAAAATTAATCTGGCTTATGGAATGATGGACACATCTCAGACAGATCTGTTTGACAGAGTGTGTGAATTATTTGAATCTCTGAGTACCTGAAGCAGTAATCGATGCCAGAGAATTCATTGCTCTGGGCACGAACTTCCAAAGTACAGTAAATAGGAATATTTTCATGATATTTTACCTGTATTTTTACAACTCTAATTTCTTATTGTAATTAAAAGGCAACATAGAATAAGAATTTTTTTCTGTTACTAGCTTTACTATTTTAATTCATCTTATGTGACTACTGAGTTTTATAATCCTAAAAATATGTGGTCTTTATTTTGATTAAACTATTAAAATGATAAATATTAAGGCAAAATGAATATAACACCTTACACGACTATGAACTTGTATTTGTTTACTAACTTTATCCAAGTGTGTTCATATAAAGCTTATTTTCTACTTATATATAAATTAGGTAAAAGGGTTATTATACGGGCCAGGCATGGTGGCTCATGCCTGTAATCCCAGCACTTTGGGAGGCTGAGGCGGGCAGATCATGAGTTCAGGAGATCGAGACCATCCTGGCTAACATGGTGAAACTCCTTCTCTACTAAAAATACAAAAAATTAGCCGGGCGTGGTAGCATGCACCTGTAGTCCCAGCTACTCAGGAGGCTGAGGCAGGAGAATCGCTAGAACCTGGGAGGCAGAGGTTGCAGTGAGCCAAGATTGCGCCACTGCACTCCAGCCTGGGCAACAGAGCGAGACTCCGTCTCAAAAAAAAAAAAAAAAAAAAGAGTTATTATACCCATTTCAGGGTTGAGACAAAGAACTTAACTTCCTAGAGCCATTCCACTAATTAGAATATCTGATACTAGACCTCATGTCTCCTTACCACAAGCTCTGTATTCTTTCTTCATTTAAACTCTACATTTTCTACATTAAACTATTCAACTTATTCAGACTGAAACTGAAAAAGTTGTGAATGTCCTGTCAATAACAATAATCAAATGTGAATGTGCACAGAAAAATATGTAATCTCTAAGTGAATTATTAATTTCAAAAAGAACTACCAACCTATGTTAATTGAATTTTTTTAATTTGTATCATTTAAAAGTATAAGTCTGCATATAGGCATTATAACATTGTATGAGATGTTAAATCTTTCTTCTGATTAAAACTGGAAGAACAAAACTAAAAAAATATATACCTTCATCATATTCCTTTCTAAGCAGAACAGGCTATGTCTTAATTAGTCTGCCACTAAAATAATGCTTTTAAATAAAAATAGAGAAATTTGACTTTATTCTCTGGAATAATTTAAATAACAAAGGACTTCTTTAAAGTTATGATAGACCTTGACCTAATACATTTATGGGGACAGATAGCTAACAAAGCTTTCGATTTCTTGTACTTTGTTGAACTAGTAAAATTAACAACTGCCTCTTGAGTCAATGTTACTTTTTATACTTTTCTAAAAGTCATTCCTTCCGTTATGTACATTTTCTCACTTATTCTACAGGCATTTTGTTCTTTCTTTTTTCTTAGTTGAACTTGTCAGACATTTGTTTATTTTACTGCTCATTTTGAAATTCCATTTTAGGCTTTAATAAAAATTCTAATTTTTTGTTTTGTTGGCTAATCGAATTATTTCTTTGCTGCTATTTATCTCCTCCTCTTCATATTGTTTCTCTTTTTCAAGCTTATTGATTTAAATGTTTCCTGAGCTGAATACTTGGTTGACTTATTTTCAATCATTTTTGTTTAAAAATAAAATAAAGAGTCTTTGCTTGCCTATGGGCTGTGGTCCCACATGCAGTGTTTTTATATATAGTGTTCTACTTTTCAATAATGCATGTATAACCTATAATCTCACTTTTGAATTCTTATTTGGTTGAATAATTATTTATACTGTTTTTCTTAAAGTTCCAAGTAACAGGAGATATTTTAAGTTAAATTTTCATTATTGGCATCTAAATGTATGACATCATGAGCAAAGAAAATTGATAAGAGCACCAAATTTTTAGAACTTACTGAAATTTACTTTGCATACTAACACGTGATCAAATTACGTAAATGATATTTGGATGTTTAAAAAAAATGTGCATCAGACCAGGCAAGTGGCTCATGCCTGTAATCCCAGCACTTTGGGAGGCCAATGTGGGTGGATCACTTGAGGCCAGGGGTTTGAGACCAGCCTGCACAACATTGTGGGACTCGGTCTCTACTAAAAATACACAAATTAGCCACTCACAGTGGTGCACCTAGGAGGCTGAGGTGGAAGGATCACTTGAGCCTGGGAGGTGGAGGTTGCAGTGAGCTAAGATCACACCACTGCACTCCAGCCCAGGTGACGAGTGAGACCCTGTCTCAAAAAAAGGGTTGGGGGGAGGTGGGTGGTATCATTTATTTTTAGGTACAAAGTTAAAAATATAACTACTAAAGATTACTAACAGCCTCATTCAAATCTAAATGCTTGGTATTTATTCACTTGATCTCTCACAACCTGAGAGAAGTAGATTAAAATTCTTCACCATGCTTATGATTTCTTTTGGTCAATTCATTTATATATTCTGATGTTGAATTCCTAAAGGCATACATTTCATTACTGTAACAAGCAAAAGAACTAATATATTAAGTAGGTCACTTTTAATTTCAAATAACAGAAGCAGATAATGCTATAGTAGAGTGCCCTGTACACAATTCAAAGTCAGAGAGATGGCTAGACCTCAAGAAGGTAATAGAATCAAAGACCTATAGCTACACAGAATTTATTTTTGCTTCTATCAATCTATTTCACTCTTCCATTTCTTTCTGCATGTATATGACATTACATGATGATACATGTGGCATGTGTACAGCACATGGAGGATGCTCCACTCACCACAGCTCCCAAGCACCAACCCTTCTGAAGTTACCTGTCAAGCTGTCTGAAACATAATCACTTCTTCTTTTTTGTAGTCTCGGAACAGGGATGCTGACTGACCCATCTTGGGTTAATTACGCACTCTGGTCCAATTAGCTGTGGCAGTGAGACTGGGCAAAATCACACTGTTCAAAGTAATTGCTGTTACCCAGTCTTGTCCATGGAAAGAGGAAGCCGTTGCCGGAGAAGAAGGGCTGGACAAACAACCGCTATGTGTGCCCTAGAGTAGGAAACCACTTTGAAGGCCTAAGATATATCCAAGGCATATAGTGAGAGTAATAAATTAAGTACATTTAGAAAAATGAAGATAAATATTATTCCAGAGCTGTCACTGACACTTCAAACAATGCAACTCAAAATATTTCTATGGAGAACATTTATAGTGATTCATATCCTCTCAACACAGTGGACAGCAAAAGAGAAAGAATAAAACAGAAAATAGAAGGGATATAATCACAGGAGAATTCTAAACACAACCAAAGAAAAGTTAGGAACAACACTATCTTGTAAATATTTCAAACCAGGCACACAGGCAAAGTAGTAAAAATAAATGACATCAGCAGTTAAAAGGAGAAAAGAATGGTAAATGTTTGTGTCTTGCAGCTAATTTTATAATTTGGAATTTATATCAATTTTATTGATCTCATAATGCTGGCAAAATACAAGTCTTATAACACCTATATAACACCTTATAACACCTATATAACCCCAGGTGTTATAGTCTTATAACAGCTATAAAACTCCAGAAGTTGATTGTCTAAAATCTCACCCACACAGGGGCAAAGATTTATATCTATATCCCAATAGATATATTTCTGAATGGTGCTCAGATGGGCTTAAATGAAAGATGACTTATTTAATAGTACTGAGTTTTATTATGCTACTAGTCTCTGACTAGCATTCATACTGAATTTAAAATAATGGACTATTTCCTTTTAGATTAGTATCAGAAACATAATTTATTGACTTGTAGATGACTCATTACAAATAATAAATTTCAGTTGTAATAAATATAGTACTAGAGTCAGAAAATGAACTTTTTAGCTTATTAATATTTTATTTCTTTTTATAAATCTACAGGGAAGATGTAACTAATTTTTCAAAAATAGAAAAAGCAGAAGAAAATGAAAAACAGAATATATTTTCCTAAAAACAAGCATTTCAATAGCTCAATGGAATAAGGTAGCCTCCCCATGAGTGTATTGTGTCCGTTTATTAAGATTGAATATTCAAATAAGTTAATATAATTTAATTACATAAAATTGGTTGCATTTTAAAGTCTAAAAATAACATAGAGCAGACTCTGAGCAGAGTTTATCACGTAGAATATTTATTGGAGAATGTCCTTAGGATCAACATCTGTGGCGGGAAGGGAAGGAAGCAGGATTGGGCAGAAGGAGAAGTCAGGAGAAAACTCAAGAAAGCCTTGACTGACCCCACAAGATGGTTTTGGATCTGGAATGGCCTTCAGAATTACCCTGAATTGTCTTAAGATGTCCAGGCCTTCATACCCCTGCCTCAATTAGGGGGCAATATATTTGCAACAGCCATTCTGGAGAGCAATTTAGCAGTATTTAATAGAACTGAGTAAGCACATAACTCTGTGACTTGCCATACTACTTGTTTGTGTGTGCTCCAGGAAAACTGAAGGGAATTGGAGTTTATTATGGACTGAATGGCTTTCCCCTCAAAATTAATATGTTGAAGCTTCAACCTCCAACATGACTATATTTGGAGACAGTGCCTTAAGGGGGATAAGGTTAAATTAGGTCATATAAGTGGAGCTCTAATCCAATAGGACAAGTGTCCTTATAAGAAGAGGAAGAGACACCAAAGATCTCTCTCTCTCGCTCGCTCCGTCTCTCTCCCTCTGTGTCTGTCTCTCTCCCCTCTCTGGCTTGTAGAGGTCTCAGGTTTCCAATGAGACCTCTATAAGCCAGAGAGGCCTCAGTGGAACCACCCCTACTGAAATCTTGATCTTAAACATCTAGCCTCCAGAAATGTGAGAAAATAAATTCATGTTGTTTAAGCCACTCACTGTGTAGTATCCTGTTAAGGCAGCTCAAACTGACTAATACAGCATCTATGTGTTGTCCAGCATTAGGGAACTGGATGAACAGAATGGGGTGGATGCATATGACAGTCCAATTCAGTGGTCAGAAATGATGAACTAGCTGATGATGATAGCAATAGCGGCAAACGTTGAATGCACTTCTAGGAAATGACAATAATACAACTAATATTTACTGAACACTTATTATCTGTCAAGCTTTTTTTTAACCTGCATTATTTTCATTCAGTCCTATGTTGTCTCCATTATAGTGTATCTAAATGAAGAAACAGATATTGAGAGGTGTAATAATTTGTTCATAATAACATGGCTAAAAAATCACAGAGCCAGGTTTTGAATGCAAGAATTCCAGTCTTGGGAGGAGGAGCCAAGATGGCCGAATAGGAACAGCTCCGGTCTACAGCTCCCAGCGTGAGCGACGCAGAAGACGGGTGATTTCTGCATTTCCATCTGAGGTACCGGGTTCATCTCACTAGGGAGTGCCAGAGAGTGGGCGCAGGCCAGTTGGTGCGCGCACCGTGCGCGAGCCGAAGCAGGGTGAGGCATTGCCTCACCTGGGAAGCGCAAGGGGTCAGGGAGTTCCCTTTCCGAGTCAAAGAAAGGGGTGACAGACGCACCTGGAAAATCGGGTCACTCCCACCCGAATATTGCGCTTTTCAGACCGGCTTAAAAAACGGCGCACCACGAGACTATATCCCACACCTGGCTCGGAGGGTCCTACGCCCACTGACTGTGCTAGCAATCTCGCTGATTGCTAGCACAGCAGTCTGAGATCAAACTGCAAGGCGGCAGCGAGGCTGGGGGAGGGGCGCCCGCCATTGCCCAGGCTTGCTTAGGTAAACAAAGCAGCCGGGAAGCTCGAACTGGGTGGAGCCCACCACAGCTCAAGGAGGCCTGCCTGCCTCTGTAGGCTCCACCCCTGGGGGCAGGGCACAGACAAACAAAAAGACAGCAGTAACCTCTGCAGACTTAAATGTCCCTGTCTGACAGCTTTGAAGAGAGCAGTGGTTCTCCCAGCACGCAGCTGGAGATCTGAGAACGGGCAGACTGCCTCCTCAAGTGGGTCCCTGACCCCTGACCCCCGAGCAGCCTAACTGGGAGGCACCCCCAAGCAGGGGCACACTGACACCTCACACGGCAGGGTATTCCAACAGACCTGCAGCTGAGGGTCCTGTCTGTTAGAAGGAAAACTAACAAACAGAAAGGACATCCACACCGAAAACCCATCTGTACATCACCATCATCAAAGACCAAAAGTAGATAAAACCACAAAGATGGGGAAAAAACAGAACAGAAAAACTGGAAACTCAAAAACGCAGAGCACCTCTCCTCCTCCAAAGGAACGCAGTTCCTCACCAGCAACGGAACAAAGCTGGATGGAGAATGACTTTGACGAGCTGAGAGAAGGCTTCAGACGATCAAATTACTCTGAGCTACGGGAGGACATTCAAACCAAAGGCAAAGAAGTTGAAAACTTTGAAAAAAATTTAGAAGAATGTATAACTAGAATAACCAATACAGAGAAGTGCTTAAAGGAGCTGACGGAGCTGAAAACCAAGGCTCGAGAACTACGTGAAGAATGCAGAAGCCTCAGGAGCCGATGCGATCAACTGGAAGAAAGGGTATCAGCAATGGAAGATGAAATGAATGAAATGAAGCGAGAAGGGAAGTTTAGAGAAAAAAGAATAAAAAGAAATGAGCAAAGCCTCCAAGAAATATGGGACTATGTGAAAAGACCAAATCTACATCTGATTGGTGTACCTGAAAGTGATGGGGAGAATAGAACCAAGTTGGAAAACACTCTGCAGGATATTATCCAGGAGAACTTCCCCAATCTAGCAAGGCAGGCCAATGTTCAGATTCAGGAAATACAGAGAACGCCACAAAGATACTCCTTGAGAAGAGCAACTCCAAGACACATAATTGGCAGATTCACCAAAGTTGAAATGAAGGAAAAAATGTTAAGGGCAGCCAGAGAGAAAGGTCAGGTTACCCAGAAAGGGAAGCCCATCAGACTAACAGCGGATCTCTCGGCAGAAACCCTACAAGCCAGAAGAGAGTGGGGGCCAATATTCAACATTCTTAAAGAAAAGAATTTTCAACCCAGGATTTCATATCCAGCCAAACTAAGCTTCATAAGTGAAGGAGAAATGAAATACTTTACAGACAAGCAAATGCTGAGAGATTTTGTCACCACCAGGCCTGCCCTAAAAGAGCTCCTGAAGGAAGTGCTAAACATGGAAAGGAACAACCGGTACCAGCCGCTGCAAAATCATGCCAAATTGTAAAGACCATCGAGACTAGGAAGAAACTGCATCAACTAACGAGCAAAATCACCAGTTAACATCATAATGACAGGATCAAATTCACACATAACAATATTAACTTTAAATGTAAATGGACTAAATTCTCCAATTAAAAGACACAGACTGGCAAATTGGATAAAGAGTCAAGAACCATCAGTGTGCTGTATTCAGGAAACCCATCTCACATGCAGAGACACACATAGGCTCAAAATAAAAGGATGGAGGAAGATCTACCAAGCAAATGGAAAACAAAAAAAGTCAGGGGTTGCAATCCTAGTCTCTGATAAAACAGACTTTAAACCAACAAAGATCAAAAGAGACAAAGAAGGCCATTACATAATGGTAAAGGGATCAATTCAACAAAAAGAGCTAACTATCCTAAATATATATGCACCCAATACAGGAGTACCCAGATTCATAAAGCAAGTCCTGAGTGACCTACAAAGAGACTTAGACTCCCACACATTAATAATGGGAGACTTTAACACCCCACTGTCAACATTTGACAGATCAACGAGACAGAAAGTCAACAAGGATACCCAGGAATTGAACTCAGCTCTGCACCAAGCAGACCTAATAGACATCTACAGAACTCTCCACCCCAAATCAACAGAATATACATTTTTTTCAGCACCACACCACACCTATTCCAAAATTGACCACATAGTTGGAAGTAAAGCTCTCCTCAGCAAATGTAAAAGAACAGAAATTATAACAAACTATCTCTCAGACCACAGTGCAATCAAATTAGAACTCAGGATTAAGAATCTCACTCAAAGCCGCTCAACTACATGGAAACTGAACAACCTGCTCCTGAATGACTACTGGGTACATAATGAAATGAAGGCAGAAATAAAGATGTTCTTTGAAACCAACGAGAACAAAGACACAACATACCAGAATCTCTGGGACGCATTCAAAGCAGTGTGTAGAGGGAAATTTATAGCACTAAATGCCCACAAGAGAAAGCAGGAAAGATCCAAAATTGACACCCTAACATCACAATTAAAAGAACTAGAAAAGCAAGAGCAAACACATTCAAAAGCTAGCAGAAGGCAAGAAATAACTAAAATCAGAGCAGAACTGAAGGAAATAGAGACACAAAAAACCCTTCAAAAAATCAATGAATCCAGGAGCTGGTTTTTTGAAAGGATCAACAAAATTGATAGACCGCTAGCAAGACTAATAAAGAAAAAAAGAGAGAAGACTCAAATAGACACAATAAAAAATGATAAAGGGGATATCACCACCGATCCCACAGAAATACAAACTACCATCAGAGAATACTACAAACACCTCTATGCAAATAAACTAGAAAATCTAGAAGAAATGGATACATTCCTCGACACATACACTCTTCCAAGACTAAACCAGGAAGAAGTTGAATCTCTGAATAGACCAATAACAGGAGCTGAAATTGTGGCAATAATAGTTTACCATCCAAAAAGAGTCCAGGACCAGATGGATTCACAGCCGAATTCTACCAGAGGTACAAGGAGGAACTGGTACCATTCCTTCTGAAACTATTCCAATCAATAGAAAAAGAGGGAATCCTCCCTAACTCATTTTATGAGGCCAGCATCATTCTGATACCAAAGCCGGGCAGAGACACAACCAAAAAAGAGAATTTTAGACCAATATCCTTGATGAACATTGATGCAAAAATCCTCAATAAAATACTGGCAAACCGAATCCAGCAGCACATCAAAAAGCTTATCCACCATGATCAAGTGGGCTTCATCCCTGGGATGCAAGGCTGGTTCAATATATGCAAATCAATAAATGTAATCCAGCATATAAACAGAGCCAAAGACAAAAACCACATGATTATCTCAATAGATGTAGAAAAAGCCTTTGACAAAATTCAACAACCTTCATGCTAAAAACTCTCAATAAATTAGGTATTGAGGGGATGTATTTCAAAATAATAAGAGCTATATATGACAAACCCACAGCCAATATCATACTGAATGGGCAAAAACTGGAAGCATTCCCTTTGAAAACTGGCACAAGACAGGGATGACCTCTCTCACCGCTCCTATTCAACACAGTGTTGGAAGTTCTGGCAAGGGCAATCAGGCAGGAGAAGGAAATAAAGGGTATTCAATTAGGAAAAGAGGAAGTCAAATTGTCCCTGTTTGCAGACGACATGATTGTATATCTAGAAAACCCCATTGTCTCAGCCCAAAATCTCCTTAAGCTGATAAGCAACTTCAGCAAAGTCTCAGGATACAAAAATCAATGTACAAAAATCACAAGCATTCTTATACACCAACAACAGACAAACAGAGAGCCAAATCATGAGTGAACTCCCATTCACAATTGCTTCAAAGAGAATAAAATAACTAGGAATCCAACTTACAAGGGATGTGAAGGACCTCTTCAAGGAGAACTACAAACCACTGCTCAAGGAAATAAAAGAGGATACAAACAAATTGAAGAACATTCCATGCTCATGGGTAGGAAGAATCAATATCGTGAAAATGGCCATACTGCCCAAGGTAATTTACAGATTCAATGCCATCCCCATCAAGCTACCAATGACTTTCTTCACAGAATTGGAAAAAACTACTTTAAAGTTCATATGGAACCAAAAAAGAGCCCGCATCACCAAGTCAATCCTAAGCCAAAAGAACAAAGCTGGAGGCATCACACTACCTGACTTCAAACTATACTACAGGGCTACAGTAACCAAAACAGCATGGTACTGGTACCAAAACAGAGATATAGATCAATGGAACAGAACAGAGCCCTCAGAAATAATGCCGCATACCTACAACTATCTGATCTTTGACAAACCTGAGAAAAACAAGCAATGGGGAAAGGATTCCCTATTTAATAAATGGTGCTGGGAAAACTGGCTAGCCATATGTAGAAAGCTGAAACTGGATCCCTTCCTTACACCTTATACAAAAATCAATTCAAGATGGATTAAAGATTTAAACGTTAGACCTAAAACCATAAAAACCCTAGAAGAAAACCTAGGCATTACCATTCAGGACATAGGCATGGGCAAGGACTTCATGTCCAAAACACCAAAAGCAATGGCAACAAAAGCCAAAATTGACAAATGGGATCTAATTAAACTCAAAAGCTTCTGCACAGCAAAAGAAACTACCATCAGAGTGAACAGGCAACCTACAAAATGGGAGAAAATTTTTGCAACCTACTCATCTGACAAAGGGCTAATATCCAGAATCTACAATGAACTCAAACAAATTTACAAGAAAAAAACAAACAACCCCATCAAAAAGTGGGCGAAGGACATGAACAGACACTTCTCAAAAGAAGACATTTATGCAGCCAAAAAACACATGAAAAAATGCTCATCATCACTGGCCATCAGAGAAATGCAAATCAAAACCACTATGAGATACCATCTCACACAAGTTAGAATGGCAATCATTAAAAAGTCAGGAAACAACAGGTGCTGGAGAGGATGTGGAGAAATAGGAACACCTTTACACTGTTGGTGGGACTGTAAACTAGTTCAACCATTGTGGAAGTCAGTGTGGTGATTCCTCAGGGATCTAGAACTAGAAATACCATTTGACCCAGCCATCCCATTACTGGGTATATACCCAAATGACTATAAATCATGCTGCTATAAAGACACATGCACACGTATGTTTATTGCGGCATTATTCACAATAGCAAAGACTTGGAACCAACCCAAACGTCCAACAATGATAGACTGGATTAAGAAAATGTGGCACATATACACCATGGAATACTACGCAGCCATAAAAAATGATGAGTTCATGTCCTTTGTAGGGACATGGATGAAATTGGAAATCATCATTCTGAGTAAACTATCGCAAGAACAAAAAACCAAACACCGCATATTCTCACTCATAGGTGGGAATTGAACAGTGAGATCACATGGACACAGGAAGGGGAATATCACACTCTGGGGACTGTGGTGGGGTGGGGGGAGGGGGGAGGGATAGCACTGGGAGATATACCTAATGCTAGATGACGAGTTAGTGGGTGCAGCGCACCAGCATGGCACATGTATACATATGTAACTAACCTGCACAATGTGCACATGTACCCTAAAACTTAAAGTATAATAATAAAAAAATAAAAAATAAATAAAAAAATAAAAAAAAAAGAATTCCAGTCTTGAGAGATCATGCTTTTTATAACTACCTCAGGCATAGATCCTTTAATGGTTAAAAAAAAGAAAAAAAAGAAGAATGAAAGAAAACAAGATCTATCATAATACTCTTTGTATAAATGTAAAGCACAGTAGTATATAAATTAATATCATATATATTTGAATGATACTGGCTGTGTCGGTTAATTGTATATGTCAACTTAATTGAGCTAAGGGATACCCAGATAGCTGGTAAAACATTATTTCTGGGTGTGTCTGTGAAACTATCTCCAGAAGAGATTAGCATTTAAATCAGTAGACTGAGTAAAGAAAATATGTCCTCACCAATATGGTGACATCATCCAATCACTTGAAAGCCCACCCAAATAAAACAAAAACAAAAACAAAACAAAAAAAAAGAGTGAGGAAGAGCAGATTTTTTTTCTCTTTCTCTCTCTTCTGGAGCTGGAACATCCATCTTCTCCTGTCAAATACCATGAGCTCCTGATCTGGGCCCCCTCTTCTGCCTCACTCTTAAAACCCTTTTCTCTCTCCCTTAAACATTTTACAACATTTTCCCAACAGTACCTTCCTTCCCAGATCATCTTTCCTCATTCTGAATGTCTGCTTCTTCTTTCCTCAGCTTGGCTATGTCCTGCCCATTCTTCAGTCTGTGCTGAAACATCCTTTTTTTCGGAGAGATTATCTTGGCTCCCAAACCAGGTTAGCTCTTCATAGCATTTATCACAATTTTATTGTGTCTTTTTTGTGCCATTATGTGTTTTCCTGTCTTTCTTCCACCTAATCTGAGGGCATACATTTTATCTACCACTTCACCATCTCAAAGCCTAGCAGAGTGTTTAACATGTATTAGCTGCTCAGTTAATATTAAATGAATGAATTCCATAGTTGTAGTTTTTAAAAAATAGATAGAAATATTTAGGCACTTTTCCCTTTAAGAGGCAGAATCTACGCTTTCTCCCTTTGAGTCTGGTGAGCTTGTGACTGCTGTGACAAAGAGTAGAAGTGACACATATGATTTTGAAAGCTAAGTCATAAATAGTAATGCACCTTCCTTCTGGCTCTCATGGTGTACTCTCTTTGGAGGAACTCATTCACTATGTGAGAATGCTGAAAACACTGTAAACACCATGCCTAAGAGGCCTTGTGTAGGCACCCTGAAAAACAGACCTGGCTAACTCCAGCCTTCCACACAACTCTGCCAAGAAACCAGAGGATCAGTAACACCATAGTCGGCCCTTCACACCAGGCCATCCACTGGCTGAGTGCCACTAAATGACTCCAGTTGATGCTACAAAGAGCAGAATAATTGCTTAACTAGCCCTATCCAAATTTCTGATCTGAATATGTGTGCTATACTAAAAATGTTGTTGTAAACATCAGTAAGTTTGGGGTAGTTAGATTTGCAGCAATAGCAACTAGAACACCTGGAGACTAGAGAAGAGTGATATAAAGAAACCCTGAAAATTGAGAGCACCTGTGTGTACCACCATCTGAAAAATAAAAGAGAGTTACACATATACAATACAGCTACACATACTCTGGTAAAATTTTCACATTTCAAAGAAACCTAAAATTGCCAGGATTTCAGGTATAAGTCTGTCTCCTGCATTATAGAATGTTTAGCGCCTCTGGTTTCCAGATACTAATTCTAGTAAAGCCAGCAGGCATTGTGACAATCCATAGACATCCTTACACATTTGAAACTGTACAAATAATAAAACTCATTTTTCACTAATCTTACAAATTAAATTGCATTCTTTCTATAAACACAAACATTTGAAAAAGATATTACAAGAATATGACATCATAGAATTTTCCAGCTATCTTAACCAAAAGCTTTTTGCAGCTTTGAAATTTTTAACACTTTGTTTTAGAAACTTCTTAGAAGAATTTTAAACTTATATCAGGACCTTGAGTGTGGTATCAGTGTATAGGTTCAGAATTGCAAGCCCAGGCAACTCCCTTTGGGAGATGAAGAGGGAAAAGAAAAATCTCTACCATTAGGAAGGATTTTTTGAGGTGCCAAATCCTGGTAATTTTCTTCTCAGCTTCATCTTGAAAAAGGAATACATTCTCATTACTACTTAATTTTATATTACAAACTTGCAAGGTTTCAAAGCTATCAGAAATGCTCTGTAAAGCAAATCTCATTGCCACTCTAAGGAATATGCAATTACAGTAAAATTCAATAAAACTTGTTTTAAGCTGGAGGCATCATGCTACCTGACTTCAAACTATACTACAAGGCTACAGTAACCAAAACAGCACGGTACTGGTACCAAAACAGAGATACAGACCAATGGAACAGAAGAGAGGCCTCAGAAATAATACCACACATCTACAACCACCTGATCTTTGACAAACCTGACAAAAACAAGAAATGGGGAAAGGATTCCCTATTTAATAAATGGTGCTGGGAAAACTGGCTAGCCATATGTAGAAAGCTGAAGCTGGATCCCTTCCTTACACCTTATACAAAAATTAACTCAAGATGGATTAAAGACTTAAATGTTAGACGTAAAACCATAAAAACCCTAGAGGAAAACCTAGGCAATACCGTTCAGGACATAGGCATGGGCAAGGACTTCATGTCTAAAACACCAAAAGCAATGGCAACAAAAGCCAAAATTGACAAATGGGATCTAATTAAACTCAAGAGCTTCTGCACAGCAAAAGAAACTACCATCAGAGTGAACAGGCAACCTACAGAATGGGAGAAAATTTTTGCAATCCACCCATCTGACAAAGGGCTAATATCCAGAATCTACAAAGAACTCAAACAAATTTACAAGAAAAAAACAAACAACCCCATCAAAAAGTGGGCGAAGGACATGAACAGACACTTCTCAAAAGAAGACATTTATGCAGCCAAAAAACACATGAAAAAATGCTCATCATCACTGGCCATCAGAGAAATGCAAATCAAAACCACTATGAGATACCATCTCACACAAGTTAGAATGGCGATCATTAAAAAGTCAGGAAACAACAAGTGCTGGAGAGGATGTGGAGACATAGGAACACTTTTACACTGTTGGTGGGACTTTAAACTAGTTCAACCATTGTGGAAGACAGTGTGGCGATTCCTCAAGGATCTAAAACTAGAAATACCATTTGACCCAACCATCCCATTACTGGGTATATACCCAAAGGATTATAAATCATGCTGCTATAAAGACACATGCACACGTATGTTTATTGTGGCACTATTCACAATAACAAAGACTTGGAGCCAACCCATCAATGATAGACTGGATTAAGAAAATGTGGCACATATACACCATGGAATACTATGCAGCCATAAAAAAGGATGAGTTCATGTCCTTTGTAGGGACATGGATGATGCTGGAAACCATCATTCTGAGCAAACTATCACAAGGACAGAAAACCAAACACCGCATGTTCTCACTCATAGGTGGGAATTGAACACTGAGAACACTTGGACACAGGGTAGGGAACATCACACACTGGGGCCTGTCGTGGGGTCGGGGGAGGGGGGAGGGATAGCATTAGGAGATATACCTAATGTAAATGATGAGTTAATGGGTGCAGCACACCAACATGGCACATGTATACATATGTAACAATCCTGCATGTTGTGCACATGTACCCTAGAACTTAAAGTATAACAAAATAAAAATAAAAAATAAAAAAATAAAAAATAAAACTTGTTTTTACCAAAATTGAGGAAATGGGCAATTCTGGATAGAGTTCTGTATATCATATTATGTATAGTGTAATACCTTACATTATTGCAACTTTTATCAGGACATTTTGGTCATCATATATCTCAGCTATATTCTAGTCCCTTTGGCCTTATTTAAAGAACAAAATGTCCTTATTGGACAATATCTGTTTACTTTTGCTTGAAAACTTCAAGAATTATGATAGGCTAGATCTCTAATGATGTGGCTGCAAATTGTGGAAGTCAAGAGTATAAACATCTTTGTTACTGTCTTGCTGTGTATTAGGGAAACCATCCCACCTCCCCCAAACTCATATCTTCGGACAGAAATTTTATTGGATGATTTGTTCTTTCTCTAGTACTCCTTATATCAAATAATAACATCAGCATTAGAGATGGTCCAAGTTACAAAATATGAAATCCACCAAAGTCCGCTCTCCCTGACCTCCAAATATTCATTCTATCACCAAGATTCAGCTTCTGCCTATCCCTAAAATTTTCTCTTCCTTTTTTAAAAGTTCAGACGTTTCACAACTACCCCTTCTATAAGCTCTGGTCCCACCAAAAGTTTCTTTCTAAAATACATACCTACTCATGCCAAACCTTTGGTTAAAACATGTTGATGCCATCCTACTGCCATAAAAGTAAAGTCTATACCCCTTAGCCTGATATTCAAGGCTCATCACAAACCTGTCTTGTGGTCCTAGTCTTGTAAAGTTTACTTTTGGGCACTTCTAACCTTATCATCACCTACAATCAACCCTTAATCAAAACTCTGAGCTTTAACTTTGGCACGATGATTTTGATGGACTTTGTGGATTTTATTTTTAAGGAATTGACTTAGTGGACTTAACCCTGTTTTGTATCCTGACTTTTCCTGGCCCCATCAAATCTGACCAATAGAAAGAGCCATGCCTCCTCCCTTGACCACAAAAAAGGCATTTCTGAAATAACCAAATTCATCTGTATTCTTTTGAATAACCATTCACACAGCTTTTTTCTGAGCTCATTTTAAAGAAATGTTTACACTGGTCCATGGTTATAAAAACAGCGGACGTCAGTGAGAAAGCACAAGAGAGATCCTGAGAGATGCCTGCCTTCTCAGGAGTTTGTACAAAATTTTGATGCAGTCAATAGGGGGCGCTGCTCCTCTCTCCTCCTCGGCATCTCAAGCATTCCCAGCATACAAACTCTTGTCCCTAAACTTCCAAGCCACACAAATAACAGGGAAGCTAGAAAAAGGTAAAAAATTGTCAGGGTGAGAAGGCAGGAGTCAGAAGCAGGGCCAGCTTCATGGGTGTGTGATAGCACAGAACCCCTACATAGAAAGGCTATCTAAGTCCATTCTGGCTGCTATAACAAAATACTGTAAACGGTGTAGCTTTTAAATAACAGAAATTTATTTCTCACAGTTCTGGAGTCTGGAAGTTCAAAATCAAGGTGCCAGCAGATTCTGTATCTCTATATCTGGCGAGGGACTGCTTTCTTATTCAGATGGCGCCTTTAAGTTGTGTCCTCACATAGTCAAAGGGGAGAACTTTGGTCTTTTCAGCCCCTTATAAGAGCACTAATCCCATTCATGAAGAAGAACCCTCATAACCTAATCCCCTCCTAAATGCTCCGCCTCCTAATCCCATTAAATTGAGGATTAGGTTTCAACATATGAATTTGGAGGAGAACACAAATATTCAGGCCATCTGCAAGGGCCCACAGTTGATTGTATGTTCTGCTGTTCCATCATGAAATTCTTAATAATTGAATAGGGGTCTCACATTTTTATTTTGCACAGGACTCCACAAATTATGTGGCCTGGCCAGCTCTGGTCACAGGGTTTGGGGCCCAGCACTTCTACCCACAGTTAGCCTCCAATAACAAAAGGTTTGATATTGGATTTTCTTTGTCAACTTCTTTTTACCATCCAGGCTCAGATATAAAACATTTTAATCCCATCTACCCCTAAAATTGGTTATAAGGTATTTTGTTAGTGCTCATTTTATATTACCACTTCCTAGCTCAGCAGCTGATTTTCTGCCCAGAGCCTTCAGTCAAGGGAACAGGCTGTCATTTCTTTCTGTTTGACCTAGATTCTTTCTTTAAAAATCCTAACATAAACTCTTTCAAGATGACTATAATGACTTAAATGGAACTGGAAATCACCTTTCTGCAGCAATATCACTCAAGACATGGGAATAAGGTTTTTATAAAGCACATTATGTAGCTGAGGAGACAGTGACACTAAACAAATTGAGAAGCATTCAATGCCATATGAAGTCAGTGGATGAATTGTTTGGTAAAAGTTATAAATGATATAAATTAATAAATTACTATTTATATCTTTAATTCTCTTTAAACTATATACACAATTACCTGGGAGATTCTGATCTCTGCTACTATGATCATTTTTAGTAGTAAAAAGTCAACATACTTTAAAAAGGGAAAAAGAAATAACTGAAGGATTTTCTGCCTTAGTTGAAGAATATTGTAAACTCAGTGAGATTAGATTGATTATTCAAGCCCAAGAAGCCCTGAAGTTACTTCCAGTGGAGGCATGTCTTCTGAGGTTACAACTCTGAATTTGGCAGCACTTATATTAGTAACAATATGAACATCTTTGATCAAGAATACACTAGACCTTCTCAACAAATAACATAAAATAGAGCTCCCTGAAGTTTCATTTCATTCGGTGATGATGGCTCTCCTTCAAAAACAGACATTGTCATTCAATGATGCATCAAAATATCTCAAATCCTAAGTGACTGTCAAAAAAAATCCTCTTAAAAGAATCTCAGAAGGATGGAGTCCATTTTAGAGGAAAATGAGTTGTGTGGATGAAAAGTTCATCTTTAGGAAAACCTAAAACTGCTTTCCCAAGAAGCCAGAAGGTGAAAATAGCAGTGCAGGAACCAAAGGAACAAATAAAAATGTTTAACAACTCTAACATGCAAATGGAACAGGTTGTAAGTAACTGAAAACCACTTATGGTCTCTAATTAGATTAGATTACTAGCTCTCTTTAGAATCAGAAAATGGAAGCCACTATTGATAATCTTTATCAATCAAAAGTCGACTTGAAAAAAAACCTCATTGATAGTGTTAACTTAAATGTTTCCTTTAATAAGGCTTGAAGAAGAAAAACAAAATATATTTTTAAAGTTTCTGTGAAGAAAATAAAAGAAGCACTTAGAGTTCAAATGGAAAGTTTCCAAACTGGGCAAACATTTATAGTCTGAAATGCACAGCTTAAAAATGAAATTCAAAAGCCTCAGCTCAAACTTCAGATAGTGCTTGAACTGCATCAAGAACACGTAATGCAACTTTGCAGAAAATTAATGGAGGAAGGAATTTACCACTTACAAGAGAGAAACCAAAAAATTTCCCAAAATATATAAAAACATGGCCACATACATCTGAAGACAGCTCCTACAGGGAGATGGCTGAAAGCCTGGGGTAAGAATAAGCTCCTTCTATCAAAGGAGTATTCTCTGCCATGAGGAAAAAACTCTAGAAAGATCGTTGGAGCTTTGTGAACTAACAAGATATTCAAAGAGCCACGAAGAGAAAATGGTCACAACAGTCAAAATTTGGTAGAAGTAGAGTTTAAGTTTCAGTTTTTTCCAGGTGGCCCCTTTTGTCATTGCTGTTCCACATACAGTCCCAGGCAGAGGCCAGAGAGGATCAGGAGATCCGCTAGACTCTCAGGTCCTCAGAGAAGGAGGATTGCATTGTGAGGACTCAGGGATCTGGTGTCACATACAGGCTGACAGCTTTCACAGCTGCCGACTCTGAACATCTACAAGACATTTGACTGTGTTTTCTCCCTTAAAAATAACTTTATTTCTTTTTTGTTTAATTTCAGTTATTTAATTAATGCTACATTTGCTGTTATTGAAGTTTGATAGAATCACATTTTCCCAAAATACTGTTTTGTGAATATAGGTGGTTTAAATGTAATGCTTATGAACATATTATTTCAACTTTCTTGAACCCTCTAGAATTAAACAGTTTAATTGCATTAAACAGGCCACTACTCCTTAAACCGCAAACCACTATTACATGACCAGGTGGAGCCATTTGAAACAGCAAACCATTTTTATATGCTAAGAGATGTTATTTAAAATATCTAAAAATAACAATATCTACCTCAATAAGTTTTCATTGGTTTTAAAAGCAACACGCACACATGCAAACACACACACACACACACACACACTAGTTAAACAATTTTTGTTGGTTTAGCCCTAAATCCATAGATTAATCTGGAAGACTGGACATTTTGCAAGCATTTGCTTTGTGTTTTGTAATTTCCTTTTAATCTTTGTTATTTTGTTTAGGATACCCTATACTGTTTAAATATTTCTAGGTATTATGAAGTCAAACTAAGAATTTTCACTTAAAAATTAATCGAATTTACTTATTTTATATCAAATGAATTCATCCCAGATTTTTAATTTAGTTGTTAAGCATTCTGGATGTATTTTTCATAGGAACACTATCAGATCACCACTTGAAAAGAACACAGTTTTGAAATTATCTTTCATTTCATGTTGGAGAAGAACACTTGACCAGAAGAGAACAAGGAGGCAGATGGTGGCTTCTGTGAGAATGATGAAGAAGACTCACAGACACTTCCAAGGTCTGCAGCATTGGTGTAGTGGTTTCCTATGTCATACTTTCTTTTATGTGAGTCACACTGCATTTATTTGCCATAATTTCATTTTCATAACATAGGAATGGATCCCAGAGAGAGAGAGATAAAGATTCCTTAAGACTAGTGGGCACAACCTGTGTACAGTAGAAAGATGTGGTTATAGTGGTGAGAAAGCAGTTGCCTGAGGTAGAATTAACTGAATAGTGAAAGTAAAATGGCAAAGAGTAGGCCTCTCACTGAGGGTTTGGGCTCATCAAACAAAATCTTGATCCTTTCTGACCTCATTAAGTGTCTTTTCAAGAAGATATGATATCCTCAACGTTTATAGACACTCTGCTGTGCCTTATACTGCCTATTCATATATCTAGCTTCAATTTGTTCATTTTTTGCTTGTTTTGGTTTGGTTTTTACTATAATCTTTTCTGGAGACACTAATGGCAGGGCTATGAATTACTTTTTTTGTAGGAGTCAGAGGGTGAAGCACATCCAAATTGGATCTGTTCGCTGTGGTTTTCTTTTTCTTTTTTTTTATTACTATAAGTTCTGGGGTACATGTGAAAAATGTGCAGGTTCGTTACATAGTTATACACGTGCCATGGTGGTTTGCTGCACCCATCAACCATCATCTACATTAGATATTTCTCCTAATGCTAACCCTCCATTAGCCCCCCGACCCCCCAACAGGCCCCAGTGTGTGATGTTCCCCTCCCTGTGTCCATGTGTTCACATTGTTCAACTCCCACTTATGAGTGAGAACATGCGGTGTTTGGTTTTCTGTTCTTGTGTTAGTTTGCCGAGAATGATGGTTTCCAGCTTCATCTATGTCCCTGCAAAGGATGTGAACTCATCCTTTTTTATGACTGCATAGTATTCCATGGTGTATATGTGCCACATTTTCTTTAACCAGTCTATCATTGATGGGCATTTACCTTGGTTCCAAGTCTTCGCTATTGTGTTCACTGTGTTTTAAGAGTCATCTGCCTCTACAGTTTCTCCATTTCTTTTTTGATATTGCTCAAATATTGACAACTGCATAGGAAGATATGTACACTCCTATATGTAGATGATTTTTAAAAAGCATTATCTCAAAAGTTACTTTATTTTGCTAACTACTATTAGAATGAATGAGCATATTTCAATTTTTCTTACACAAAAATCATTTGGCAGATGTCCTCTCTTAACTAATACAACAAACTATTTTTCCCCCTTTACTTAGGCCTGCATAATGGAACTGTTATTTTGACAGGTTTATGTAAGGGTAATTATTGGTAAACTTTTTGCAAAGTGGCTATAATTATTACCTTCCTGTATTTACCCCCTTTGCAGCTCCTGCCATCAATAGATGGAGTCTGTTTCTTCGCTACTTGAGTCTGCGTGGCCTTGTACCCTGCTTTTACCAATAGAATGTGTGGAAGTTGCTGTAGGCCAGTGCTGAACCTGGTCCTCTAGAGCAGGGGTTCCCAACCCCCACACTACAGACTGGTACTGGTCAGTGGCCCATTAGGAACTGGGCTGCACCGCGGGAGGTGAGCAGCAGGTGAGGAAGCGAGGTTTCATCTGTATTTACAGCCACTCCTCATTGCTTGCATTATCGCCTAAGCTCTACCTCCTGTCAGATTAGTGGTGGCATTAGATTCTCACAGGAGTGCAAACCCTATTGTGAACTGTGCATGCAAGGAATCTAGGTTGCACAGTCCTTATGAGAATCTAATGCCTGATGATATGTCACTGTCTCCTATTACCCCCAGATGGGACCGTCTAGTTGCAGGAAAATAAGCTCATAATGATTCTACATTATGGTGAGTTGTATACTTATTCATTATATATTACAATGTAATAATAAAATAAATAAAGTCTACAATAAATGTATTGTGTTTGAATCATTCTAAAACAATCCCCCCATCCCAGTCTGTGGAAAATTTGTCTTCCACGAAACCAGTCCCTGGTACCAAAAAGGTTGGGCATCACTGCTCTAGAGGGCCTTGCATGTCTGTGATTTCTTTCTCAGGATGATTAAACTCCTTAAGAACAAGCCTGGCTGAGCCTGCTAGAGAATGAGAGACCAAGTGGCAAAGTGACAAGAGTGATACCAACTAAGTCTCCAGAGACTGAGAGCCCGGCCCAGATGAGTAAAACTAGCTAAGCCACTTACCTGAACGATGGCTAACCGCCAATGCATTAAGAACCCAGCCAAGACGAGAAAACTTGCCTACCTGATCCCAGTTTAAACTGCTGACCTTAAATAGCATGAGCTAAATAAATGGCTGTTTCAAAGCACTGCATTTTAGAATGGTCTATTGTATCACAAAAGCTTGCTGATATAGGAACTAACATTGTTCATTGGTTCATTCTTTCTTTTATTCAACAAATATTTATTTCTGGCCTACTCAAAGCCAACCCAGGTTTGACACATTTATCCTAATCTTCAGAGGTTTGTTCTCATTTTATAAAGATGAAATGGAAGGGCAGAGAGATAAATTGACTTGCTGAGGACCACACAACTAGTAGGAGCAGAGCCAGGATCTGAAGCTAGGAATGTTGAAAGGCTCATTAACCTGCCCCCACCAACAATGTTATCACTAAGAAGGTAGGTTATGAAAAAGTTGATGTTCTCTGGGAGCAATGGAATATTTTAGGCCCAAATTGTCAAACTTATGCTCTATTATGACATTGAAGCCATCATGGATCACTTGTTTATGTACTGGAACAGACTTAAGACTAAATTTTGAGAAAAAGTCTGACTTCTTCTGAGAATACCACATAGCCACCTCCAAGTAGTTGTTGAATACAAGGCCATTGAAAGCTGGTTAGACTATTTTATTATCACAAAAATACTACCCTTACCATAGACTCACTATCTAAAGTATATTTATGTCAATAAATTAAGTAGAATAGCTTCACTTCCTGTCCTCATCCAAAAATGCAAACTCTGCCCAGATAGCAACATTGATTCTACTCTTAATGAAGCTCATTAAAAGATGGAATATTTATATATCTAAGTAGGATTGTTTCAGGAAAAGTAATCCAAGTACTGCACGGTTTAGACTTTATTTTAGAATCATGTTCAAATTCCCCTGTCCATTTGGAAAAGGATGGGGATTAGTCTAACCAACAGTGTTCCATTGGGTCATAAACCTGATGCATGGAATGTATTTTACCTAATTACTGCAGGAAATGCTGAGAGCTAGAGATCTACAGAACTCGAAGCCAAAGTTGCAGTTGAAGCCAAGACAATATGGTCCAGAAACAGATACTGAAATATGAGAATTACGTAGAGAAACCAGAGGAGGGAGATAGTGCATCAAGAGATCAAGTAGAGGTTAAAAGTAACCCTAGCATTTAAATGTTGCCCACAGCTAACATTTTTTTTTTTGAGACAGAGTCTCACTCTGTCACTCACTGTGGAGTGCAGTAGCGTGATCTCGGCTTACTGCAGTCTCCACCTCCGGGGTTCAAGGGATTCTCCTGCCTCAGCCTCCCTAATAGCTGGGATTAAAGGTGCCTGCCACCATGCCCGGCTAATTTTTTTTTTTTTATATTTTTAGAAGAGATGGGGTTTCGCCATGTTGGCCAGGCTGGTCTCAAACTTCTGACCTCAAGTGATCCACCCACTTCGGCCTCCCAAAGTGCTGGGATTACAGGCGTGAGCCATCATGCCCAGCCACCCACAGCTAACATTTTGATGGAGGACAGTCGCTGAGTAAATAAAATAAAAGTGAGACCTGAAGGGTACATTAAAATGTTAGCCCTTCAGTTCTCACTTTTATCTTATCTACTCAGCGACTGTCCTCAATCACTGTAACTGAAGCACCTCCCACTCACTTTTAAAATCGATATCATAGATTTGTGTTTCTTCGCACTTATTACAATTTTATGTATAGGTAATTTACTCAATGTATTACCTATTTCCCTTTTAAACTATAAGTCCTCTAAGGTCAGGGGCCAATCTGTTTTGTTTATTCCTAGTTTTCTCATAGACCTCAGGACATAGTTGGTGCTCAAGTATTTCTTGAATAAATAAATGTGTAATTACTGATAATCTTAAAAAGGCAAAGGAAAGAAATAAAAAGCTCTAAAAGCTTTCTACACAGAAGATCAATGCTTCTCAAACATTTATATGCACATGAATCACCTGGTAATGTTGTTAAAATGCAGACTTTGATTTAGCAGTTATGGGATAGAGTCTGAGACTGCATTTTTACAAGCCCGCAGGCGATGCCCATGTTGCTGGTGCAGAGACCACACTTTGAAAAGCAGGGGCCTAGATCATGATTCATTATGATTGCCATTTCTGATCCAATCTAGCCTTTTTCATAGAGATACTTCGAAAGTGTCTTAAAAAGCTCATTTCCACCTTTACTCTCAGGCTAATATTGAGGAAATTGCCTATTAAATTATCCAGTGCCTCCTATATGAATCTTAATGTGAAAAATTAAGAAGTTAGAGTTAGGGAACATGGTTCCTCCTGAGAAACTTGTATGTTTTCTCCTCTTTTACAAAAATAAATAAATAAACTAAGTAGTTAAGCCTGTATCCTTTTTTATTCCAACCATCAGTAAATTCAAAGCCAAATTTGTAGCAGAAATATAAAAACTTTGTTGACCTACAGGCCAGAGTATTTCTGTTTTATTTCTCTACTGCTCTTCAATTTCTAATTTATATTTCACCTTGTATAGGTGAAATATGTATGTAGCATTTTTAAATAAATATTCATGGAAATGAGAGCAAGCTGAAATTTCAGCAGTTGGTGAATTTGATTCAAAGACAAAAAGCATGGCCTAAACAGAGGTAAGAATATCGAGAGAGTTAAATAATAGGGCTGGAACAAAGGACTCCATAGATTAGCCAAACCACTTATAAACATTTGCTGTGATATGGGAGCAACACCATAATATTTTGTTGTTATAATATGCCGGTGATAGTAACTAAAATAATCAAGTGAGATTCCAATGCCAGAGCAATATTGCCAATAACATACACTAGATTTCAATCCTCTGCTAGTCTCTCCTTTGAGACTGTAAGCTCCAAGGCAAAAGGAGAGTCTCTTATTTGTCTTTGCTCTCCTTAGTGCCTAGACTTGCAGCAGCTGATGTTTTGTAAGTACTTAAATATTTTAGAATGAATTAATGAGTGAAGCTGTTTTCAACCTAAAAAAATCAATGTATCACTCATTTTAAGATCTTTATGTACATAAACCGGTAGCTTCTGATTTTTTTTCAGCTGCCCAGGTACATATGCATTTCTCTTCCAAATCAGGGTATTTTTAATGAATTCCAGTGTTACTTTCTTTGTTAGTATGACAAAATAATGTAGTTTGTTTCTCTATTTTGGTTTTCCAGGCAGTCTTAAAATATATATTAAATAAATCCTTGATCTATCAGAAAATAAATATTCTCTTTTTTCCCAACTTTTATTTTGGGCTTGGGGGGTACATGTGCAAGTTTGCTACATGAGTAAATTGCATGTTGCTGACATGTGGTGTATGAATGATCCCACATCCAAGTAGTAAGCAAAAATGAATATTTTCTGAGCAAATATTTGATGAATTCTGTTTCTCAGTTGGATGGTATCTGAAGAATAAGACTGTGAATACAACTGTGAAACACATTCACTTTTTAAAGATGAAATCATGACAAGTTCATTTAGTTTCTCATTGAAAGATGCACTCTAAACCTACTAGAATTCTTTGAAAAAAATGCTAACATCTATAAACTGGAAGATAAACTTGCAACCCATTCTAAACTAGAAAAATTAAGCTAAACTTTTCTGACTTATTCCTGATGTGTTGGTTCATTTCTATTTTCTCTATGGTAGGCTCTATGGAGAAATATATACATATACATATATATGTGTATATATATATACATATATGTGTGTTTGCATATATACATATATATATATATAATATTCCAACTTTCTTAGTCTCTACATCCCAAAATCATTAGATAGTCAAAGCTTCTGTATTTCAAATGTTGGAACATCCAGAAGATTTGGAAGTACAGATGAGGCAGGGGATCTAGGGAGCTCCCTCTCCACCTTACACATTCCAGTCACCACATATTTTCAAAGGACTCCTGAAATTTGCCTAGGATGGGCCTAGGTGGAACTTAATACATACATACATACATACATACATACATGCGCGTGTGTGTGTGTGTGTGTGTGTGTATATATATATATATATATATATATATAAAGAAAATAGAGTTTCTTCCCCCAAGGAGCCAATAATAAATACAGCAAAAGAGGTAATACATCAATTCAGTCTTAACAAATGCCACAGAAAGCTAGCATGTTCCATAGAGTAAGGAAAGGTAGATCACAACTGATTGATACGATCAGTGAATGACTCATGGAGAAGGTAGCATTTTAGCATTTAGGGTCTTAAAATGGGCTTGTTTCAAAAGTTATTATGACATGAGTTACATGGAACATTTTATATTTGCTAATTGGGTAGAACCCGCAATTCAGCAGGTCATTTTCAATATTTCTATGTGTTGCTACTAATGTTAGGGAAAGCTTATTTGAGCAGCAGAGTGAAGACTACAACCCCCATTTTCCACTTTAACCTAATTTTCTTGCCATTATGCCACACTACCTTTCAACTAGTAAAGTATGGGTTATCATATTACTGTTTATATTTTTTCACTTGCCAAATTTTGGAGTCTATCGAAAAATCACATTAACAAAAATAAACCTCCCATCTCCCACTCAGAAAAAAAAAAAAAAGCAGATGAGCAAAGTTGGCAGTGGATTCGCTTTCAAACTATTACTGAACAACATTCAAAAATTCTAATAATTAACATTTCTGAACACTTACTTTAAGCAAGGATCTCCATTAAGCACCTTATAAATGCATCACTTCATTTAATCATCACAACCGTCCTAAGAGGCAGGCTTCTTTTTTTTTTTTTTGACTGAGTCTTGCTGCTGCGGGTCTCGGCTGGAATGCAATGGTGCGATCTCCGCTCACTGCAACCTCCGCCTCCCGGGTTCCAGCAATTCTCCTGCCTCAGCCTCCCAAGTAGGTAAGATTACAGGAGCCCGCCACCACGCCTGGCTAATTTTTGTATTTTTAGTAGAGACGGGGTTTCACCATGTTGGCCAGGCTGGTCTCCAACTCCTGACCTCAGGTGATCCACCCCCCTCGGCCTCCCAAAGTGCTGGGATTACAGGCGTGAGCCACAGCGCCCGGCAGAGGCAGGCATTATAATTAATCTCTTATACAGATGAAGATGCTTAGGTGCATGAAATTAAGAACTTACCCACTATCACCCACGGAAAAAGAGAAGAGTTGGGGTTTGAATCCACGCAAGAGCCCACGCCCTTAATCATTAAGCTACCAAGATATAACTCTGTAGATGGGAAACCATATCTATTAACTGGCTCTGGAATTTTAAAAGGCAATTTTATAAGTTACAAAAATAGATATGGATAATTATTTATTCAATGGAGCTGACTCACAATTCAGAACACCCAATGTGATTTATTCTTTGGTTGGGGAAACAATTATTGATCCGGTGTTGATTCATGTTCTGGAAACCACATGAAAATACCTAAGCAGCCGCAGATGCTGAGCGGAGCTGGGCCAAGTTGGTAAGAACTGCTGGTGGTAGGAGCTCCAGCATAGCGCACAGGGCGGGCCCAGAGAAAGGCGGGCCCATTGTTGGGGGATTCGGCTTCCGGAGGAGGGGACAGCATTCAGGGGTGTACCAGGCCCCAGAGGCAGCGGAAAGGGAGACTGTGGGGAACTAGGAGCAACAGCAGGTACACTCCAAATTCTATTGACGGTTCGAAATTCCCGCTTTCTCCATAGAGATTCCTTTCTTCATATTTCATTACAGTGCTCTGGGTCCATTACAGGCTTTTCTTTTCAGACACCTCTCTCACATCCGCGGGTCCTCGGCCCCCATCCTTTATTTTTGCTAGGCCGCTAAGGACGCTAGAAAGCGATTCGAAACTCCCGCTTTTTCCATAGAGATGCTTTTCTTCTTATCTCCTTACAGTGCTCTGGGTCCATACAGGTTTTTGTCTCAGGCACTTCTCTCACATCCGCGGGTCCTCGGCCCCCATCCTTTATTTCTGCTAGGTCCCTAAGGACACTAGGATGACGGAGAGGGAGCCAGGGGACCCAGGCTTCAGGACTGAGAGTGAATTCTTGAGGGGAGGTGAGGAGGAAAGAGGAGGGACCAGAGCGTGGGGCAGGCGAGCGGCGAAGGACCAACTGTGTGGGGTAGGGGAGAGGACGAGCCCCGGGACTCAAGCCAGCAGACAGGAGGACCCAAAAGGAAACGGAACTGTCACGCTCCTGTGGGGATGGTTGAAGCCAGCAGGCAAGAAGACAAAGAAGGAAATGGGACTTTCACTTGCCTGTGGGGACGGTTGAAGCTGAGCCTTGAAGGTCACAAATCAGTCTCTGCGGCTCACTAAGGAATTTGACAAGCACTGAATCACCAGCTTGACACCGAATTTCACAGGGCAAGACCATATTCACTGAAAGGATCTTGACCTAAGAAATCAGAAGAGCAGGCAATGAAGATACCTAGAAATGAATTGCCTGGCTCTGCCATTATGGCAAAAGGGATATCATGCAACGATAGCAAATGGAATATTAGTGATGGTTTTACAAGGAAATAACAGGGTCTTCTTTGGGGGAAGGAGTTGAGAGAAAATCAAGCTCAAATTTAAATGCATTTATTTCAAGAGCCAGATTCTGAGACAAAACCCTAGTAAAACCTTTTTTATTTAAAAGGTTAGGTACCAAAAAAAAAAGGTGGGGGTGGAGGGAGTTTCCATTAACTACTTCAGATTACTATGTAGCACTATTAAAGAATAACAGTACTATCAAACAGCAATTATTTTTAATTTTACTCCAAAAGGAATTTTACTGTATCATGGGAGGCTATTAACAAATATTTTTCTGCTGTAAGGATCAAGTTTTAACTATTTAAGGGATTTTATATGTAGTTGTGCTTGCATATGTCATACATAAGATAATAATTCGAGATAATAATTCAAGAAACAAAATATACAGCCAAAAATCTGAGATTTAAAAACCATTAATAATTGCTAATGCAAAATATTTCAAAAGAAGAAAATGAGATATCTTGATGAAATAACATATTGTCAAGCAATATCTGTTTTGGTTAACTTCCTTTTAAACAATAATATGCCCCCAAATTGCTTTGAGTAACTACATCAGGAATTTTACTTACATTTTACTTTGGACTAGTTACCGCTTTCACACACCATACATTGGTTCATGTTTTTTCCTCAACCTAACATCCCTGAATTTCAAACTTGTATTTTCCCTTTCTTCTTTGCTATAGAAAAATCTAAAGACAAGTGTCTCATACTTGTTTACATTACATCTGAAGATGTAAACTCATCCAGTCAGAATGGATAAATTGACTTTTGCAAAATAGCCAGCATTTACATTCTGGGATTCTGAAGAAGTTCTTATGATTGATTTCATAGGACTAAAACTGAAACTCTTATTCTTCAGCAGTTAGCTGGCTATCCCCAAAGGTTAATCCCTTATACAAAATTACAAGACAATAGAAATGCAGAGAGATTGCTTTGAGCACATTAACTTCCATGCATCTTTTATTTACCAGTTTACCAAACAAAATATAAGAAATAAGCATAACAGCAGAAAACATCTGTGACATGATAGTTAAACAAGTATTTTTAACATCTTTAATTAAGAATAATTACAGTTAAAAGTCATGCCTCAGATTTAATATTGCATTAGGTTTTAATGCAGTAAAGAAACAAATATAAATAAGTCAACTGGGGTGTGGGTGGTAAGGAGTGGAAAAGACAATGCATTTGACCACTGTTAATATTGGTTATAACAAAAATTCTCGCAGTGCAATGGAGCCCAAGTAGGTGCCCTATGAGTTGAATATAGAAATGTTAGTATTTGAGCTATGAACACTATTGTGGTGCTTTAGATCTTATTTATTTATTTAACACTATCTACTGTTTACTACTTTCAGGCATGGACCAAAGCAGTGAAGGATGTATGAAAAAGATTAGCAGTGTGAATCTTGACAAACTTATAAATGACTTCTCACAGATAGAAAAGGTATGTAAAGATAGAAAACAATTCTACTATATAGGGATACATGGAACAGATTTTGCCAAGGGAAGAAGTTGGGAAGAAAGAAAAATATACCAAAAAATGATCAAGATAATAATATTATATTTTGCTATGCTCTTCTCTCTCATTTTAAAACTCCATGTTTAAAATATATCTGGCTTGGATTCATTTGTACTAATACATCAAAATGTCCCTATGACAGGGAAACAAATAATTTATGTACTTTTGCCAAAGTCAAACAGAAAATACATATAGTAGTCCCCTTATCTGAGGTTTTGCTTTTTACAATTTCAGCCACCTGAGGTCAACAGTGGTCCAAAACTATTAAATGGGAAATTCCCAAAATAAACAATTCATAAATTTTAAATTCTGCACCATTCTGAGTAGCACGGTGAAATCTTCCATTGTCTCTGTCAGTCCTGCCCAGGTTGTGATTCATCCTTTTGACCAGTGTATCCATGTTGTATTATAGACCACTTGTCTGTTAGTCACTTGGTAGCCACCTCGGTTATCAGAAGGGTGAGTACAGTACAATAAGATAATTTCAGAGAGAGAGACCACATTTATGTAACTTTTACTACAGTATATTATAATTGTTCTATTTTATTATTATTGTTATTAACCTCTTACTGTGCCTAATTTATAAATTAAACTTCATCATAGTTATGTATGTAGAGGTAAAAACATACTATATATAGGGTTCAGTACTATCTGTGGTTTCAGGCATCCACTGGAGGTCACGAACATATCCTTCCATGGATAAAAGGGAATTGCTATACTTGAAAGCCTACATTGTCCAGGCAGGGCACGGTGGCTCACTCCTGTAATCCTAGCACTTTGGGATGCCGAGGCGGGCGGATCACGAGGTCAGGATATCGAGACCATTCTGGCTAACACGGTGAAACCCCGTCTCTACTTAAAATACAAAAAATTAGCCGGGCGTGGTGGCAGGCTCCTATAGTCCCAGCTACTCCGGAGGCTGACGCAGGAGAATAGCCTAAACCCGGGAGGCGGAGCTTGCAGTGAGCCGAGATCGCGCCACTGCACTCCAGTCTGGGCGACAGAGCGAGACTCCGTCTCAAAAAAAAAAAAAAAAAAAAGAAAGCCTACATTGTCCATAAACTCAGGAATGGTTTTAGTAAACATTGAAGTAAATGCATATTTCAATCTGTTATTATAACTACTCATTTTTTAGTATTTCCTGTTCTATCTCTTCCATTTTCCTTCTTTTTTGCCTAAAAGCAAAGCCATTTAAAGTCTGTCTCCCCAACTCTGGACAAATGGTAGACCAAACCCACAAGTGTGTATTGGGTTTATCCTCCCTCCTCTGCCTTCAATAGCTGTTGAAAAATGTAGGTGGTTAAATGAAAGAATTGGGAAGTGACTTTGTGAAGCAAGAGTGGGAGGGAGGCTAATATCTACTTCTGTTTTCTCTTCTTTTCTTGTAATTCTTTTCTATTCCTTCTTTTCGTCAGCACACACACACACAAATGTCATAATGAAAGAATTTTTATGATCATGCGTATTTTGAAGTAACATGAGCTTTTTTTAAACGGTAAAGTTAAGTGTTCTTAACCGAGTGATTCCTAACATAATAAGAGATAAAAGAGAAAGGAATAAGAAGCATTTTTGGTGGGAAAGGAGTTAGTGCAATGATTTTGGAAATTAATTTGGAAATATCTGTCATATTCTTAAACACTTTAAATAAGAAATAATTGTTCATTTTTGAGGTGATGATGGTATTGTGGCCATATTTTGAAAGAGTCGTCTCTTGGAGATACATATGGATGGTAATATTAACAGATGAAATAACATAATGTCAGAGAGTTGCTTTGAGATCAATTCAAAAGTGGTGAGACTAGGGCAGTGGATAGAGATACAGATGATATAAGACTGTTCATGAGTTGATTTTTGAAGCTATTTGAAGAGTATATGGAGGCTTATTATACTATTCACAAAAATACCCAAGAGATATGGTCAAGAATGTTTAACCATTACAAAAAGTAGAATATGGCCTCTGTCTGTCTCTCTCTCAGTAAGAGACTGGTTAAATAAATTACAGCATATTCAAAAATGAAACTGAATGTAGCTGTTAAAAAGAATGAGGTAGGCCAGGTGCGGTAGCTCACGCCTGTAATCCCAACACTTTGGGAGGCCAAGGCAGGTAGATTGCCTGAGCTCAGGATTTTGAGACCAGCCTGGGCAACATGGTGAAACCCTGTCTCTGCTAAAACACAAAAAATTAGCCGGGTGTGGTGGCGTGCCCCTGTAATCCCAGCTACTCAGGAGGCTGAAGCAGGAGAACTGCTAGAGCCCAGGAGGCAGAGGTTGCAGTGAGCCAAGATTGCCCCACTGCACTCCAGCCTGGGCAACAGAGTCAGACTTCATCTCAAAAAAAAGAAAAAAAAGAATGAGGTAGATCTATGTGGGTTTACATGACATCATCTCCCAGATAATAGTACTAAGCGGAACAGCCAAGGCACAGAACAGAATATAATATGATTTCTTTCTATAGCTGTACAGTCATAAAATATTTTGGAAACATATATAAGGAATTGTTAACCATGGGACTGAGAGTTGAATAGTTGGAAAGAAAGTGGTTCAAGTTAGGTCATATTTTTACTTTTCATTTATAACTGCTAGTCTGTTTTAATATTTTACCATGTTACTTTTTAATTTGAAAATAAATTGGGAAGTGGGGTTATTTAAAATACAGTCATATATTGCTCAATGACAAGGATATGTTCTGAGAAATGCATTATTAGGCAATTTTATCATTGTGTGAATGTTATAGAGTATATTTACGCAAACCTAAATGGTGTAGCCTATTACACACCTAGGCTTTATGGTATAGCCTACTGCTCCTAGGCTACAAACCTGGACAGCATGTTACTATACTGAATGTTGGAGGCAAGTGTAACATAATGGTAAGTATTTGTATATCTAAACATAGAAAAGGTACAGTAAAAATATGGTATAAAAGATAAAATTGTTACACTTGTATAGGGCAGCTCCATTATAATCTTGTGGCACCACTGTTCTATATGCAGTCTGTTGTTGATCAAAATGTCTTTATGCAGTACATGACTGTATATGTATTTTTTTATTAGACTATCAGATATTAAGTGGTTTGTATTTTCATTAGTCTGCATATACTTAATAAAAAATTAAACTAGCAGCATTGATTTGTTAATAATAAGTATTCTATTTCTTCTACAGAAAATGGTAGAAACCAATGGAAAGAACAATATACTGGATATTCAGTTGGAAAAAAGTAATTGCCTATTAAAAGTAATGCAAGCAAAGGAGGTCTCCATTAAAGAAGGTTAGTTATTTGCTGCCTGAGGAATGCTAATTCTAATGAAAGTGTTTTTCAGTTCAACAGTGATTAATATTACACCATATATTTGTAAAGTGTTTTAAGTCCACATAGAATTTTCCAGATTATCATCTCATTTATATCCTTACTATAGCCCTGAAAGACATGTAAGATGGGTATTATTACTCTACCTCACCAATGAAGAAACATAGAATGAGACAAGTTAAATAATCTTTCTGAGACTGCTCAACTTTCTGAGGCCAATAAGAAATGGCCAATTGAAGTCTCAATACAGGCCTATAAAAACCATAGGGAAAAAAATTAAGTTGAATTTCTACCTTATAATTACATCAAAATAAATGTCAAATGTGTCAAAAAAATTGTGTTAAAAATGAATCTGTACACATATATTGATTTGCTCTGTCATCTGAGAGAGCCTAGAGGCAATAATGCCCCACTGACATTGAACATACCTGGTTCCCAGATCTTGGTTCCTTACACCATTCTCTAATAAAAGGAACCAACGTTTTTTTGAGACATGGCTGATTATAGCACTGGGGCAGGAAATATGCACAATAAGCCTCAAGCATCTTGTAAGGGCAGAAAGTAAGAAAGTCCTCAAAAAGGAAAAAACAAACAAACAAAAAGCACCCCACAGTGATGGGAGTATGTTGAAAGTGAGACAAAAGCCAACTGAAAGAGCCGAAACTGGAACAACATGAGCTAGCCCAAAGTATAAAATAAACATCCATAAATCCTTACTGATATAAATAAATGATTTAATAAATAAACAATTGGGGAAGAAGACACACATCTTCTGTGCAGAAGAATTACAAATGACTTTCGTAGATATTTTGCCCTCGAGGAGGAAGAGCATGGCTCCACACTCATTAATCGTGGGCTCAATATAGTCACTTTCTTTACTATAGTGAAGACACAGTATGGAAAGGGTGAGGGTAGGGGAAAAGTAACTACAAAGTGGAGAAGCCTGACAAATACTACCTCAGCAGAAGATCAACATAAATTGTTATATCATATTGATAGTATATACTCTCGATAAGATACAATAAAGATGGCAATTCTGTGGTCTTTCTCCCCAAAACCCATAACCCTAGTCTAATCATGAAATAAATATCAGAAAAATTCTCATAGACATTACAAAATACCTGATCAGTATTTGCAAAACTGTCAGAGTCATCAAAACTAAGGAAACTCTGAGATATTGTCACAGCCAAGGTTTGAAGATATAGCCCTAAAAAGTAAAGTTTATTAAAAGTTAAAAAGATGAAACCACAGAAAAACTAGAAGAGAAATGTAGGGTTTTTATTTTTATAATGGAGAAGGACTTTCTAAGTGTATGACACAGCATATAGAAACAATCAAAGAAAGGATTTGTACTTTTGACTCTAAAAATTAATAAACTTTTTGGAGCAGTTTTAGGTTTACAGAAAAAAATTGAGTGAAAGTACAGAGAGTTTCCGTATACTCTCTCACCCCACCACTTCCCTATTACTAATATCTTGCATTAGTATGGTACATTTGTTACAGCAGATGTGCCAATTGATCCACTATTATTAACTAAATTTCGACCAGGCATGGTGGCTCACACCTGTAATCCCAGCACTTTTGGAGGCCGAGGAGGGTGGATCACGAGGTCAGGAGTTCAAGACCAGACTGGCCAAGATGGTGAAACCCCGTCTCTACTAAAAATACAAAAATTAGCCGGGCATGGTGGCAGGCGCCTGTAATCCCAGTTACTCGGGAGATTGAGGGAGGAGACTTGCTTGTATATTCAAACATTTGAAGAAGAAATAATACCAATCCTACTCAAACTGTTCTGAAAAACAGAGGAGGAGGAGGAGGGAATACTTCCACACTCATTCTACAAGGCTGATATTACCCTGATACCAAAATCAGACAAAGACACATAAAAAAAAATAACTACAGGCTAATATCTCTGATGAATACTGATGTAAAAATCCTCAAAGTACTAGCAAACCAAATTCAACAATACATTAGAAAGATCTTTCATCATGACCAAGTGGGATTCATCCCTTGGATGCAAGGATGCTTCAACATATGCAAATCAACCAATGTGTTACATCATATCAACAGAATGAAGGCTAAAAATTATATGACCATTTCAATTGATGCTGAAAAAGGATTTGATAAAATTCAACATTCCTTCATGATAAAAACCCTCAAAAAACTGAGATAGAAGAAACATAACTCAACATAATAAAAGCAATATATGACAGACCCAAAGCTAGTACCATACTGAATGGGGAAAAACTGAAAGCCTCTCCTCTAAGATCTGGAACATGACAAGAATGTCCACTGTCACCACTGTTATTCAACATAGTACTGGAAGTCCTAGCTAGAGCAATCAGACAAGAGAAAGATATAAAGGGCATCCAAATTGGAAAGGAAGAAGTCAAATTATTCTTGTTTGCAGATGATATGGACTTACATTTGGAAAAACCTAAAGACTCAACAAGAAAACTATTAGAATAAACAACTTCAGTAGAGTTGCAGAATACAAAATCAACATACAAAACTCTGTAACATTTTTATATGCCAACAGTGAACAACCTAAAATAGAAATTTAAAAAGTAATCCCATTTACAATAGCTACAAATAAAATTGAATACCTAGGAATTAACCAACAAGTGAAAGATCTCTATAATGAAAACTGTAAAACACTGATGAAAGAAATTGAAGAGGACACCAAAAAATGGAAAAATATTCCATGTTCTTGGATTGGAAGAATCAATATTGTTACAATCCCCGTACTACTCAAAGGAATCTACAGATTCAATGCAATGCCTATCAAAATACCAGTGACATTCTTCAAAGAAATAGAAAAAACAATCTGAAAATTTGTATTGAACCACAAAAGACCCAGAATAGCCAAAGCTGTCCTAAGCAAATGAAAAAAACTGGAGGAATCATATTACCTGACTTCAAATTATACTACAGAGCTACAGTAAGCAAAACAGTATGATACTGGCATAAAAACAGACACATAGACCAATGTAATAGAATAGAGAACCCATGAACAAATCCACACATCTATAGTGAGCTCATTTTTGACAAAGGTGCCAAGAACATACACTGGGGAAAAGACAGTCTTCAATAACTGGTGCTGGGAAAACTGGATATTCATATGCAGAAGAATGAAACTAGATTCCTGTCTCTCACCATATACAAAAATAAAATCAAAATGGATTAAAAACTTAAATCTAAGACTTCAAACTATGAAACTGTTACAAGAAGACATCAGGGAGATTCTCCAGGACATTGGTCTGGGCAAAGATTTATTGAGCAATAACCCACAAGCACAAGCAACCAAAGCAAACACAGACAAATGGGATCACATCAAGTTTAAAAGCTTCTGCACAGCACAGGATACAATTAACAAAGTGAAGAGACAACCCACAGAATGGGAAAAAATATTTGCAAACTACCCCTCTGACAAGGGATTAATAACTAGAATATGTAAGGAGCTCAAACACCCCTATAGGAAAAAAATCTAATAATCCAATCCAAAAATGGGCAAAAGATTTGAATAGACATTTCTCAGAAGAAGACATACAAATGGTAAACAGGCATATGAAAAGGTGCTCAACATCATTGATCATCAGAGAAATGCAAATCAAAACTATAATGAAATCTCATCTCATCCCAGTTACAATGGCTTATATCCAAAAGACAGGCAATAACAAATGCTGGTGAGGATGTGGAGAGAAGGGAACCCTCGTACACTGTTGATGGGAAGGGAAATTAGTACAATCACTATGAAGAACAGCCTGGAGGCTCTTTGAAAAAATGAAAATAGAGCTACCATAGGACCCAGCAATCCCACTGCTGGGTATATACACAGAAGAAAGGAAATCAGTATGTTAAAGAGAGATCTGCACTCTTTGTTGCAGCACTGATTACAATAGCCAAGATTTGGAAGAAACCTAAGTGTTCATCAACAGATGAATGAATAAAGAAAATGTGGTACTTATACACAATGTAGTATTATTCAACCATAAAAATGAATGAGATCCTGCCATTTGCAACAACATAGATGGAAGTGGAGATCATTATGTTAAGTGAAATAAGCCAGGCACAGAAAGACAAACATCATATGTTCTCATTTATGGGATCTAAAAGTCAAAACAATTAAACTCATGGACATAGAGAGTAGAAGGATGGTTACCAGAGGCTGGGAAGGGTAGTGGGGGGCTGGAAGGGAGGTGGGGTTGGTTAATGAGTATAAAAAAATAGAAAGAATGAATAAGACCTACTATTCGTTAGCACAGTAAGGTGACTACAGTCAATAATAACTTAATTGTACATTTTAAAGTAACTTAAAGAGTGTAACTGGATTGTTTATAACTCAGTTGATAAATGCTTGAGGGGATAGATACGCCATTCTCCATGATGTGCTTATTTCACATTGCATGCCTTTATCAAAACATCTCATGTACCCCATAAATATATACACCTACTATGTAACCACAAAAATTATTTTTAAGAAATACAATTTTATTTGTTCTAAATCTAATGTCCTTTCTGCTGGATAGTACTTAGCAAAAAGCATAAGTTGTCATAAGAATGACAACTTATGGAGCCAAGTGTGTAATAATTCACTTAGGAAGGAGGGGCAAACTACACATGATCAAATTTATTCAACAACAAAGAATGATATATGGACATTTTATTTTCTGCATTTGATGCCAGACAGATAAATAATTTATTTGCCAGTTAAAGATAGTAATAATATTAGTATTGAGAATCAAGTACTGCAGGAAACTCTTTACATGTATAATTGCTTTTAATATTTGCAACTATTGTATGAAATACATATTAATATTCATATTTTTGGTTAATCTTAGAGCCCACATTTGAGCTCAAAATGATTATTGATTTACTAAATTATACAGTATAAGAAATAGCTTAATATTCTGACCTCTGGTTTTTAGGAAGAATTTAATAGGCCAGCATTTTCAACTTACACAGTAAAGTCCAACAACAACAACAACAACAAACAGTGTGGATTAAATTTTGCAAAGAGAATTAAAAGCCATTGTTCAAAATTAGTGAATGGTATTCTCGTGAAGAATTTATCTATGCTCCATTGTAGAAAAATGTGGTGAGAGAGCCACCTTGTGTTTAAGTTTTGAAAATACACATTTTTGAAACATTCAGTTGCAGGGTTCTGTTCTCAATTTACGGATTACTGAAGTAACTTCAGCTACTATATTCTATGAATCACTGGATTCATTATTCTAAAAGGCACAAAGACAAGTGATGGCAGAGTCTGTCTATGCCTCTTTAATTTTTGAATTCTATCAGTTAGCACAGTGACACTCATGAAGCAGATTCTCAGCTAATTTCTGTCAAATGTAATTTAACCGTTATTCTCTTACTGGGAAATAGCAGGATAGAGAAAATGGAGGATGAGGGGAACTTTGAGTAGATGGTGGGGATGGTAGGGAGAGCAGGGAGGAGTGAAGAGCCACAATAGCACCTTATAGCATCACAAAGCTTTAAACTTCTGCAAAATACTCTCATTTCTATCAGCATAGTTGAAAAAGTACATGAGACTGAGTGCAGAATCTCTAATTAAAAGGTGAAAAGTTTTGAATTCTCCCTTCACAGTATTGGTTCTTTCATTCAGTCGACAAAACATATGTTATTTTCATACCAGAGATTCCCTACTTACCCCTTATCTGCTTCAGCTTACTGTGATATTACCTATCAACCCAATAATCACTGAACAAATATTTGTGGATTGCCTACTATGGACCACAAGTGTCCTAAACAGTAGGAATCAATAGTAAGCAAAACAAAACAGTCTCTGCTGTTGTAGCCCTAATAGCCAAGTGGATTTCTAAAGTAATGAAATTACCACTACTATTGCTGTCCATCTTGGCTGTTGCTGGTGGCTACCAATATTATAGTCAAGGCTTGAATGCGCATGTCAAGGCTCTAATATTTGCAATGAAACTTCTATCTTCTATTATGTCAGCAGCCATTGGCAGCACAGTTGCTGAAGCCTTGGAACACTACTTACTGAGTTTTTACTCCTTTTATTGCTAATCTCTTGGTCTAAGACTCAAGCCTAAGTACTAAGAGGATAGACTGGAAGATAGAGTAAGAAAAGCATTGTCTTATACCACACAATTGTACCACACATTGTCTTATACCAAAACAATATAATTTGACTCCCTTTCCTTAGGATGTTCTTTCCTGGAAGATTTGCATGGACATACTTCTTATAGTTCCCCAGATATATGCAGGTGTGCCTTACTACTTAGGGCAGAGATTGCTTAGGCACATGGTAGGACCCATACTATTCTGTGCTTTAGGAAAGTCATTACCAAGTTTTGAAATTCATTTGGCTTAATGAGTGAGTTAAAAGTAAAGGCTCACACCTATAGTCCCAGCATTTTAGGAGACCAAGGGGGGTGGATCACCTGAGGCAGGTGGATTACTTGAGGTCAGGAGTTCGAGACCGCATGGCCAACATGGTGAAACGCCGTCTCTACAAAAATATACAAAAACTAGCCAGACATGGTGACGCGTGCCTGTGATCCCAGCTGCTCAGGAGGCTGAGGCAGGAGAATTACTTGAGCCTGGGAGGCGGAGGTTGCGTGAGCCGACATCGTGCCACTGCACTTCAGCCTGGACGACAGGGCAAGACTCTGTCTCAAAAAAAAAAAAAATTATATTTTTCCTTTATATAATTTTATTTAAGGTGCTTGGCTGCTTTATTAATATCTTGTAATTTCAAATTAAATATTATTATTATTATTTTTAGAGACAGGGTCTTGCTCTGTCACTCAGGCTGGAGTGCAATGGCATGAGCATAGCCCCCTGCAGCCTTGAACTCTTGGGTTCAAGTGATCCTCCTGCCTCAGCCTCTTGAGTCAATAGGACTACAAGGCACACATCACCATGCCTGGCTTAAATATTATTTTATTTTAATAATTTCAACTGAGAGAATAATTCCAAAATGAAAGCAAGGGATTTTAAAATAAATTTATCTTTTATATTTCAGAATGTGCTACTCTTCATAATATAATAAAAGGGCTACAACAGACCATTGAATATCAACAGAATTTGAAAGGTAAGTTAGAAAAAAAAGTAAAATCTAAAAAAGCATTGTGTATTTGAGCACCTTTAAAAATAGGAAGTTTTTACATGGTTGATAATAAATTTCAATTTGTCAGCTAAAAGAGGACTCCTTACTACTTAAAAATACTTTCCTAGATGATTATGAAATAAGAAATGTTATCCTGAACAGAACAATTCAGTCATGTTCTATCTGATAGTGACATAAAGGGATGTTTTACATAGGTCATATAGTTATTACCTTCAAAAATTTAGAACTCTATTTATTCTCAGTAGCATTCTTGGTCTTTAATAATCTTGTGTTCAGTTTTGAAGAGTGGATATTACTAGTTAAACCATAATTTTTTATTTAAACCACAGTGATAGTTTACCATTTAATTTTTTTGTCATAGACTAAGACTATATTTGTGCAAGTGAAGTCAACACATTCAGCTTATCTTATCTGTAACAATCATGTTAATCAAACAGGCCTACCATTCACAAAACAGACCAAGTATTTTGTGCTGTTCTGACTCAGCTGTGATGGCTGTGAGATTTTCTTCTACTATATCAGAGATTAGACTAAATTGCCTTAAAGGCCCCTTCCACATAAAACTCACATCAAATAAGCATTTCTCATCTTAGACCTCTGCCTTTATTTTAAAACAAGCACCTTATATATGTGAGATAAAATATTGATCTTATATGTGATTCCTGTAATTTGGAGTGTTAAAAAGGGGCACTCATGCTCCTATTTCAATGCCAGGGCTCAAAACAACTTTTCCCTTCCTTGTGACTAAAATACCACACCCAGCTGGGTTCTCTATTCTGTTCCATAATCTACATGTCTTTTTTTTTTTAACAGTGCTGTACTGTTCTGATTATTGTAGCTCTATAATATATTTTGAAATTAGGTAGTGCAGTGGCTCCAGGTTTGTTCTTTTTACTCAAGATTGCTTGGGCTATTTGAGGTCTTTTGTGTTTCCATATGGATTTTAAGATTGTTTTGTCTACTTCTGTAAAGAATGTCATTGGCATTTTGATAGCGATTGCATTAAATATGCAGATCATTTTAGATAGTATGGACATTTTAATAATATTCTTCTAATCTATTTATCTGTGTCTTCTTTCATTTCCTTCATCAATGTTTTATTACTTTCAGTGTACAAGATTCTCACCTTCTTTGGTGTACAAGATTCTCACCTTCTTTGGTTAATTCTTAAGTATTTTTATTGCCATTATGTATAGGATTGTTTCTTAATTTCCTTTCCAGATATTTTGTAATTTGTATATAGAAATGTGATCGATTTTTATATGTTGATTTTGTATACTGCAACTTTACTGAATCTGTTTATTAGTTCTAATAGGTTTTCTAAGTATATAGTCATGTCATCTGCGAATATGGATAATTTTCTTCTGTTCTGATTTGGATGCCCTTTATGTCTTTCTCTTTCCTAATTGCTCTAAGATTTCCAACACTATGTTGAAAAGAAGAGGCAAAAATGCTAAACACACTCCTGAACAATCATTGAGTCAAAGAATAAACCAAAGGAATTTTTAAAGTATCTGAGACAAATGAAAACACAACATACCAAAACCTATAGGATACAGCAGAAGACATTTTAATGGGGAAGTTTATGGCTGTAAAGCCTAAATTTAAAAGGAAAAAATATATATATATCCAATAAGTAATCTATCTTTACACCTCAAGGAACTAGAAAAAGAACAACAAATTAAGCCCAAAGGTACTCAAAGGAAAGAAATAATGAAGATTATAGGATAAATCAATCAAATAGAAAATAAAAAACAACAGAAAATTTAACAAAACTAGGAGTTTGTTTTTTTTGAAAAAATAAACTAAATTGACAAATGCTTGGCTACACTGAAAAAAAAAGAAAGATGTCAATATATAAAAGCAGAAATGAAAGAGAAGACGATACAACTGAAATCCTAGGGGGCGTGAGGAGGATAATAAGGGACTATTAAGAGCAACTATATGCCACCAAACTGGATAACCTAGAAGAAATAGTCAAATACCTAAGAATATACAACCTGCCAAAACTGAGTCAGAAATAGTCGGAACACACCAATGACAAATAAGGAGATTGAGTAAATAATCAAAAATCTCCCACCAAAGAAAAGCCCAGGATGAGGTGGCTTCATGGGAATTCTATTAAACACTCAAAGAAAAAGTAATACCGCTTTTTCTTAAACTCTTTCAAAAAATAAAAGCAAAGGGAACACTTCCAAACTCATCCTATGAGGCCAGCATCACCCGGACACCAAAATCAGACAAAGACACTGCAAGGAAAGAAAATTACATCCCAATATCCCTGATAAACACAGACTCAAAAATCTTCAATAAAATACTATCAAATAAAATTCAACAGCCCATTAAAAAGATCATATATCCTAACCAAGTGGGATTTATCCCTGGGATGCAAGTATGGTTCTGTATACACAGATCAATCAATGTGATACACCATGTGTTTTCTATTTATTATCAAAATGAATAGAAAAAAACACATGAACACCTCAATAGATACAGAAAAAACATTTGACAAAATTCAACATCCACTCATGATTAAAACTCTCATGAAATAGGCATAGATAGAGAAGATAATAGGCATGGAAGGATCTTGCCTTAACACAATAAAGGCCATAGATGAAAAGCTCACAGCTAACATCATAATCAATGGGAGAAAACAGAAAACTTTCTCTTTAAGATCCAGTACAAGGCAAGTACAAGTTTTAAAATAGCCTTTCTTGGCCGGGCGCTGTGGCTCACGCCTGTAATCCATATCCTGGCCAACATGGTGAAACCCCGCCTCTACTAAAAAAAAATACAAAAATTTGCTGGGCGTGGTGGCACATGCCTGTAATCCCAGCTACTCGAGAGGCTAAGGCAGGAAAATCACTTGAACCAGGGAGTTGGAGGTTGCAGTGAGCCGAGATCGCACCGCTGCACTCCAGCCTGGCTGCAGAACGAGACTCCGTCTCAAAAAAAAAAAAAAAAATAGCCATTCTTAAAAATGAATATTGTATGATGTCTCTTGCAAATAAATGATGACTCATTGAGTTCACTTTCCCAATGCTTTTACAAGCCTTGATTGAGCAAGGTAATAGATAAGAACTATCTATATTTGACCATTTTCATCCAATTGATTGCCAAGATAGTATGATTAATCTGCTTATTTAAGCTACCCAGTGGTTTCCTTTCCAATAGCTCTTTTCTCTCCTTAACAGGAAACGGTTTTTCTTTTTCAGACATTCACCCTTCATTCACTTAACCATATGCCTCAGGGGAAGCTGATCGCATCCAAGCTCCAAGGGAGTTCTTTTGGAATAATTTTCCTCTCTCCCAAGAGATGGACTATGTTCTTCTGGTTGTTATAAGACTGTATATAATGCCTAAAATTGTTTCAGATTTCTTGTTTCTAGTCTAAAAATCATGCCAGCAGGATGATTTTGGAGGATAGCAAGAAAAGTAAACTAAAAGGATCTGGTTTTTTGGTAACATTATTGAGCTGATTAATCAATTACCCTTTGGGTTTAAGAGACTTTTCAGTTACAATGAGAGAAATGCTACCTTCCTTTAGTCTTATCAATGAATCTTTTCAGTAGGGACTTATGGATTATGTAAAAGATAATTCAATGAGATGTAGAAAAAAATTGCAATTCTTATTTATCTTTATTTTCATCTGAAAATTCAAAGCCAGTCATCTTACAAAAATTTAATAACTGGGATAATATTCCTTTTTCTATCTATAAGTTAATTATATGTCACGCATGATACACAAGGTTCTTTCTCTGAGGAGAATGGGAGTTCTAAAACTGAACAATTGCATGTTTACTTTTTCCCCTAGTTTCAGTGTATGGCCATGTAGTACAGTTTATATGTTTCTGGATAAGAGGATTGATAGATAAAATTAGCTAGTTCTAATCAAACTAATCCTTTCAAAATGGACAAGTAGTTTTAAAAAATAAAACATATATTGAGGACAATAATAATTACAATAATGCAAGCACAAGCCAACAATAAGAAAGTATCAGAGCTGTCACTTCTCCTACCCCCATACAAGCTCTTTATCAGGCATATTAAGTTAAAAAGTAGTGAAAGTCTGTTAGACTTGAAAAAATGTCAGCCAACAGTGGCCAATTAACTGATTTTGGAAAATTAATTTATGGAAAAACCATTGTATCTTTAGAAATGGTTCCACCATTAAGCAACTTCAGGGCTGAAAATGTGTCCCTTTTAAGTATTCTCACTTGCACATAAAACTTGGAAATAGAATTCTAACTTTAATGAAAATCCTTCAAACGTACCTCATCTTTCTGGTAAAACATATAAGGATCTCAGAAGTTGTCACGCCCTGCTAACAACAAGTAAAACATTGAGCAAACTGAAAAATCAACAATTCTTAGACTTTTGATCAGAGAACTGAGGTCGCAGGACAAACTGATGCATCTAAAATTGGAGACAGGGAGGCAGACTCAGAGAATCACAACTTAACAAGAGCAGAAACCTCCCTGTTTGTCAGGCTAGGAAACCCTAAAATGTAATTTTGATGAATTGCAGATGGCTCATTGTAGTCAAATCTAAGAGATTAAAAATTTCAGGGGACCCAATCCCATAGGAGAGCCCCTATAGTTTTGTAAGTTTTACCTGTGAGAGCTCTACTAAGATCTCACAGTTAAGATATGAGAAAAATTCCCTCATGTTGTTGGCTGGAGGAGAAGAAAAGTAACCATTTTGAAATAATCCACAGCTTCTGTTCTTAACAAAGCCTGACTTGAAAGAAGCTATTTTATCTGAGCCTAAACTACTGGGGTTTTAGCCGAGGATAAGCTGCCTTAGGGGAGGAAAATATCCTATTTCAGCTCCCCCTAGCCTTCCCAACTCTAGCCCATTCTAGCCATCCCATCTCACCAAAGGGGAGAGGGACTAAGAAGCATGTGGGTAACTCACAGTCCAAAGACACAGGCTTACTGAAAGACTGAGACCTAATCATAGGACTATAGAATACTTCTCCTTCTGCAACACCTTAGGCGTTTTTACTGGTACTTGGTCTTGAGCTTTGTACAAAAAATTACAAGGCACACTAAAAGAAAAAAAATAGGCAGTTTGAAGAGACAGAGAAAGCATCAAAACCAGACACAGAAATGGCAGGGATATTGGAATTATTAGACCAGAAATTTTAAAAAACTACAGTTAATATGCTAAAGGCTCTAAACAGTGTAACACAAATGAAGAATGCCTTTGTTGGACTCATTAGTAGACTAGACATAGCCTAATGAAAATAATTTCTCAGTTTCAGGAAAGATTCTCTGAGCTTGAGAATATGTCAATAGAAACTTCCGAAACTGAAATTTCAGAAAAAAAAAAAAGACTAGGAAAAAAGTAACAAAATATTCAAAAACAGTGTAATAACTACGAAAGCTGTAACAAACACTTAATGGGAATATCAGAAGAAAAATAAAGAAAGAAAGGAACAGAAGAAACATCAGAAGCAATAATGACTGAGAATTTCCCCTAATTAATATCAGATACCAAACCACAGATCCAGGAAGCTCAGTGAACACCAAGCAGGGTAAATGCTCAAAAAACTACCCATAGGCATGTCATATTCAAACTGTAGAAAATAAAAAACAAAGAAAAAATTTTGAAACAAGTGAGGAAAATTATTTACCTATAGAGGACCAAAGATAGGAATTATACCCAGCTTCTTCTCAGGAACCATGCAAACAGTAAAGGAGTAGAGTGAAATATTTTAAAGTGCTGAGAGAGATAGAATAAAACACCAACCAATAATTCTGCATCCTGCAAAATTATTGTCCAGAAAGTAGAAATAAAGACTTTCTTAGACAAAAATTGAGGGTATTTGTTGCAAGTATACCAGCCTTGCAGGAAATGATGAAAGAGGAGAGAAGCAAAATGATATAGGCCAGAAACTTGGATCTACATAGAAAGGAAGAACATTAGAGAAGGAATAAGTGAAGGTAAAATAAAAACTTTTATTTTTCTTATTCTCAATTGATCTAACAGGTAACAATTTATTCAAAATTATAGCAACAATGTATTATTAAGTAATTATAGCTTATGCATAAGTGAAATGCATGACATCAATGACATAAGGAATGAGAGGAAGGAATTATGAATACTTTAGTATAAAGTACTTGTACTACCTGAGAAGCGGTATAATGGATTTGAAAGTGGACCTGAATTCATTGTAAATGTATATTGCAAATTCTAGGACAATCACTAAAAAAAAAAAAAAACTAAAATTAGAAGTATAATGGATTTGCTAAGAAAGAAGAGAAAATGGAATCACGTGAAATACTCAAAACCATAAAAGGCAGAAAAAGAATAGAAGACAAAAATAGGATCAAAGAACAAGGTCTATGAATAGAAAAGAGTAACAAATACGGTAGATATTAATCCAACTTTATCAAAAATCACTTTGAAAATCAATAGCCTAATACAGTTTACAAGACAGAGATTATCAGAGCGGATCAAAAAACATTACCCAACTATATCTTTCTACAAAAAAAGTCTACTTTAAATATAAAGGCACATATAGATTAAAAGCTAAGGGCTGGAGAAAGATATGCCGTGCTAACACTAAGAACACTGGAGTAGCTATCTTCATTTCAAACAGCAGATTTTTAGAGCATGAAAAATTATCCAGGATAAAAAGGGGTATTACATAATGATAAAAGGGTTAATTCTCCAAGAAGACATAAAATTGTTTTATTTATGCATCTAGCAAAGGCATCAAAAATATGTGAGTCAAAGATTTATAGAACTGCAAGGAGAAATAGATGAGTCCACTATTGTAGTTGAAGATTTCAACATTCTTCTATCAGAAAATCAGTAAGGACACAGTTGAAATCAACAATAACATCAATCAATTGACTATAATGGACATCTATAGACTATTTCATCCAACAACAGCAGAATACACATTCTCCTCAAACTTAATGAATACTCACCAAGATAGATCCCATTGTGGTTTATAAAACACACCTTAGCAAATTTGAAAGACCAGAAGTCATACAATGTCTGCTGTCAGGCCACAATGGAATTAAAGTAGACATCAAAAACAGAAAGGTAGATGAAAAATCTCAAAATATATGCAGATTAAAGAACACTTTTAAATAATACAGTGGTCAAAAAACAAATATCAACAGAAAATTTAAAATATTTTGAACTAAATAAAAATACAATTTATTAAAATTTGTGAAATGCTGCAAAAACCACAGTGCTTAAAGAGATATTTATAGCGTTAAATGTGCATATGAGAAGACAACAAAAAACTAAAATTAATTTAAGCTTCCACTTTAGGAAATAAGAAAAAGGAGAACAAATTAAATCCAAAATAAGTAAAAAAAAGAAATAACAAAAATAAAGCAGAAATTAATAAAATTGAAAACAAGAAATCAATAGAGAGCAATGAAACTAAAAGCTGTTTTTTTGAAAAGATCAATAAAATTGACAAGTCTGTAGCCAGATGAACTAAGGAAATAGGAGAGATTACTCAAGTTAATAATATCAGAAATGAAAGAAAGGACATCACTACAAATGTCATGTTCATTAAGAGGATAATAAAGGAGACCAGCCTGGCCAACATGGTGAAACCCCATCTCTACCAAAAATACAAAAATTAGCCGGGCATGGTGGTGTGTGCCTGTAATCCCAGCTACTCGGGGGCCGAGGCAGGAAAATAGCTTGAACCCAGGAGGGGGAGGTTGCAGGGAGCTAAGATCGCGCCATCGCACTCCAGCCTGGGGGACAAGAGCAAGACTTCATCTCAATATAAAAAAAAAAAAGAAGAAGAAGAAGATAATAAAGGAATACTCTGAACAACTCTGTGCTCAACTCAAATATTTGATAGCCTATGTGAAATGGACTAATTTCTTGAAAGACACAATCTGACAAACTGAAACCATCATCAGAATTAAGATTTGTATTAAATATGACCCTTAAAAGTGTAACACTTTTCCTATCGGTTTCTCATCACAACCTTTGAAAACTAATAGATTTTAGATCTTTACTTAATTTTAATACTTTGATATAATGCCTCTGCAAGTTTTATATGTGGACCCTATTTCCAAGGCTCCTTTCAATGTTACTGTACTACAGAACAAACCTTCCTAAAGCATTGTTCAGATAATGTCAAAAATCTTTACTGATTTGTCATTGTTTTGTTTAGCTAATTCTTAGTTTTGTTTATAGTCAAGGTTTTAATTTTAATACTGTGGTTTAATACCTCTGCAATAGTTTCATAAGTGGACTCTATTTCCAAGGCTCCTCTCAACTTTACTATACCACAAAACAAACCTTCCTAAAAGCATTATTCAGATAATGTCAAAAATCTTTACTGATTTGTTGTTTTGTTTAACTACTTCTTGGTTGTGTTTATAGTTAAGGTTGTAGAGGGGAAATTGTAATAGGATGTCTATTGAGGCTTTTCCTGTTTACCAGGAATTAGTGACTAGGGCACATGCCACAATTAACAACAAAATAGCTACATATTTCCATATTCTAGTGACATCTGCTAAAAAGTCGCCAAATGTTGGAGTGAGTCCAGACTGCATATATTTGCTACAACCACCTAAAGGACTGGAACCTCGAAGTTAAATAGAGAATTTTTTACCTCTCCTCATTTCCTGTCTCCACCCCCCAAGAGATGACCCAGAGGAAAGACAGGGAAGAGCAACTAAGGAGGAAACTAAGACTTCTTTCCCACTTCTATTGACTCTTTACAGCCACTGATCTAGCCAGTGATAAGGATCATGAAAACTTTCAATCAAATAGGAAATTACAGTTTTAAACCGACCTGGATGTTTAGTAATCAAAATTAACCACAGGGTTTTTAAAATTTGTTAAAAATATTAAGGTATTGTTTTCAGTTACCCAAACCAAAAACCTAAAAAGAAAAGGCTCCCCCTTTCTCTTTTGCCTCCTCTATCTAAAGGGTCACTAAATTCCTAGGTAATTCTATCATCTAAATAATAATTCTCCTCATTGCTTCCTTTTTTCCATACTGCCGCTGACGTAATTTAGGTTCCTGTTATCTCTTACTTGACCTATAGTTACTGATCTCCATTCCTCTAGGGTCAAAACCCTCTCATTCATCATCCACATTGCCAGATAATCGTTTTAGCATGTAACTCTCATTATTTCACTTCTGCACTATTCAAAATTCTTTGATGACTCCCTGTAACCTCTAAAACCAAAATCCAAAATTGTTCATCTAGAATATGTAGAATATGTCTACCTAGTGATAGGATCCCAACCTATATAGCATCTCCTGCTCACACTTTACACTTCAACAATACCGTACGTGAATTGTAGTTTTTCCAAGCTATATTCACTCAAGCCCATGGTCTTCTGTGCGATTTTCTGCATTTAGAATGCTCTCTCTTAACATGGGGTAAGCCTATCACTTAAATCTCGTCTCAAGTAGCTTCTCTTCTCTAAATCCTTTCCTGACTTCAAGCTGCCCTAGGTTTTCTTTTTACAGGTTCCTGTAGTATTTCAGATATACTGCCATTAAAGAGCAATTATCATAGCATATTATAACTACTAACACATTTGACTCAGCACTAGGCTGTAAGTTCTTTGAAGAGCAGTAACTCTTTTCACTTTCATATTCTCAGTGTCTAGCATGGTGCCTGAAGTGTAGCAGCTGCTGGATGCATGTTTGTTGAATGCATACATAATGGAAGCTAAAATGTTGAACATATTTTCATATTAATTGAAAAGTGCTATATATTATGATGTTCTTTGATTATTCTTACACAGGTGAAAATGAACAACTAAAAATAAGTGCTGATCTTATAAAAGAGAAGTTAAAGTCTCATGAACAGGTGAGTTTATGTATCATTCTATTCAGTCAAGTCCCTGTGGAGATTTATCTTTTCAAATTAGGAAAAAAAAAGAGGTTTTTAAATTAATAAACACAGCCAAATGTTTGTGGGTGTGTGTGTGTGTGGAGATATACGTATATATGCCAAAATCTTTAGTAAATGACAATTTGTTTTCAAAGCAATACTAGTTTTAAGAGTTTTTTTTTTTTACAAAATATAATGTACTAACAAATAACTTGCATTACTTTTTCTTTCTACCAAAAAGAGATGCAGTTATTTTGCTACATAATTTTCAATTATGTTAATAGAGGTTTTACTCTAGTAAACTCTATTTGTTACTACTTGTGAACTTTCTTATTATAATGTAAATGAATCTATACTCTTTATGATTTGGGTAATCATTACACCATTCCAATACAGGGGGCATTTCATGTGGATCACAAATTATTTCTCTCCCAGGAGCCACCATACCCTCTGCTACTTTTCCTTATCTCCTGTAGGAACAGTGTAGTGACAGCAGTTGTAGAACACATGAACAGCGTGTAAAAAGCATAAAAGATGCTAAATAAATGTCAGTTCCCTCTGCTCTTTGAGAGGTTCATTATGCTAACTTCCTCATCTCTCAAGAGCTAATATGTCAAATTCTAGCAGACAAAAGATCCTCAAAACTCAAGTTGAATCTATAGGAGCTTTCAACTTGAAGAATCTTCTCTAAATTCAGTCTGGTTCCTCATCTGAGGACCCTCTGAAGAAATCTGCCCAGAACTTCTGGTTAATCCTGTACAGTAATAAGTAGCATTCTGGCTATGCTCTTAGAAAATTTAGCTTTTCATCACCAATTTTGAGATGGTTTTTAAGTATTTCTGAAATGAATCCTACCCTTTCTCCCCCTTTCTTTTCCTTTTTCCCTTTATTCTTTCCCAATCCTTTTAATATATTGACTCTAGATCTCAAAAATAGATGGTAAAGTCAGGTTGTAATTGGGGTGGGGAACCAGGGGGAGAAAATTTGACCTGCTTTCCTTTCTAAAACTTCAAGCACTAGGATACTGCTTTGTTGAGAATACTACAGGAATGTTCAGAGGGGAAGAAATTAAAGAGAAAACACCACAACCCAAGAGTCTGAATTTCTTACTTAGGGGCTGCCCAAAGCAAACTATGACAACGCAGATTTGCTAATTCAAAACCTCTGAACACATCTAAAATTCATGGAGAAAACTCCCCAGGAACAAACTCAGGAGGTACCCAATAGCAGTATTTGTGAGAGTAGAAGGATTTTGCAACTTGTATAGAGAGAATCATTGTTTTTTATATCAAGAGTGAAACTGGAGGCTATTCCTTGGAATTTAAAATTCCCAGAAAGCATATGAAAAGAAGACAACCAATTGTAACCTATTGGGGATTAGTCTCCTTAGAAAAATGAAAAGATTACATTTTTTAGGAATGGCACAGGCTAAAGTGGAAGAGAAGATCTAGTGGGATAGAACTTGGCTCAACCCAGATAGAATAGTCTTCATGCCTGGAGGCTGAAATGCAAATCCTGGGTCTCACCGAATTAACTGGCAGCATTCCACTTTCCTGGTGACATCTTCCTGTGGCAAAAATCAGTGGAGAATAGAAAGGTACATAGGTTTGTCTCTTGTGGTTTCTCAGAGCAGCAACAGCTTAGTGCACACAGTTGTCAGGAGTAGTTTATAAAAGCTGCTCTGTAGTTGCCCATCTAGAAATCTAGATATATAGAAAATGGCAATTTGTGGGATTGCCAGCTGGGTTCACCTGCCCAGTTTTAATTAGAACCGAGAAGTTGAATAGCTTTGTCCATTCCTACAAGTTGCCTGGCAGGATAAGTAGAACAAACAGGAATCCAGACAAAATCTCTTGAACTGAGATAATATGGAGGAATGTATGCCAATTTTTAATTGTGGGCATAGAAGCCAGTGTGTCTTGACCTGTTTTAAACTGTTTAACCTCCTCAGTACCATGAAATATCTATTAAAAGCTATGAATCCTCACTGAGAAAAATGCGCGCGCGCGCACACACACACACACACACACACACATACACACACACAAATAAATACATGTATAATTTTACCTTAAAATTTGGAAGTTGATCAAAAGCCTATTCACTGGCTCTAGGTTAACAGTTCTGACCTAAATAATTCTTATTGGCACTCCCATTCATTCAAGAAATATATATCAAGATATATGTGTGTGCACATATATACATGTATTTACACACAAGGAGTTGGGAACACAATGGTGAGTCCCAGCTGTTAGGTATTAGAGGCTTTTATTGACCTCTTGCCTTTATTATTGCCTTTTTATTACTATCATACTTAACTTTTATTCTTCCTGCTTTCCTTTTCTCTTGCCTACATTTTAGGCCTCTGAATAATTTCTTCATGTAGGACCATACCCCCGGTAAAGTTGTAAAATTTATCTTCACAATTGTAAAATAACTGTCTTCCATCACCACTCTCAATGCTCCTCTCCCTGTTCTTAGCATAATAAATCACCCCTATCCTTCAACAACCTAAGAAGCTAATCTCAGGCAGCTGTCAAGCACTTTGCAAATCCCAAACTCATCTTTCTCTCTATGCCTCCTCATAAAGCATACACTTACCATGGGTAATGCTTAATCTTGCTCTGGGAATTAGGAATATTTATATAATTTTTGGAAACAGAAGTTCAGCTTGCATTCAAAGAGACTCATCTTACATTATAGTAAGCTTGCTAGCTATTGAACAGTGCCTTTTGTTGGCTCTAATGTATAGTTTTGGCTTATATTGAACATACCTTAATTCTGTAGTGGCATTTATTCATAAAATTAAATATTTTGAGCATCCTTAATATTCTAAACCCTGGTAATGAGTATCCAGAAAGCAAAGATAAAAAAAGACATTGTTTCTGTAATATCTTTATCTTATCTCCTTGGATCAGAAATTGATCTTTCTTATGGAATTCATGAAGCAGAGAGTAGAGTGGTGGTTAGGCTGTGGTGGAGGCAGCAATTGGGGAGATGTTGGTGAAAGGATAAAAAATTTTAGTTGGAAAGGAGGAATAGAATCAGGAGAGCTATTGTACAATTTGGTGATTGTTATCAATAACGATGTATCATATACTTCAAAATTGCTAAGAGAGTAGTTTTTTAATGTTCTCACCACAAAAAAGTGATAAATATATGAGGCAAATGGATATACCTCACATATTTAACATATATTTAACATATCCATAATATAGATATGTTAATTGGCTTGAGTTTAGGCATTCCACAATGTATACATATATTAAAACATCATGTTGTACATCATAAATATATATAATTTTTAATTTTCAAATTAAAATTTAAATTTTTTTTTTGAGACAGAGTCTCGCTCTGTCCCCCAGGCTGGAGTGCAGTGGTGCCATCTCGGCTCACTGCAAGCTTCAGGGCCTCCCGGGTTCACGCCATTCTCCTGCCTCAGCCTCCCGAGTAGCTGGGACTACAGGTGCCCACCACCACGCCCAGCTAATTTTTTTGTATTTTTAGTAGAGATGGGGTTTCACCGTGTTAGCCAGGATGGTCTCGATCTCCTGACCTCGTGATCTGCCTGCCTTAGCCTCCCAAAGTGCTGGGATTACAAGCGTGAGCCACCACACCAGGCCAAAAATTTAAATTAAAAAATAAATACTTTATACATACAAAAAATAAAATAAAATGGGTCTATCTCAAAGCTGATTATTCAAACAATGAACAATATTTTTCCTTGTAGATATAACTTTTAATTATTAGAAAGGTGAAATTGTTCATTTATATTACATTTATAGTAACTTTTAAAAAAGTAACATAAATGGAGAATTTTTAAAGTATTTAAAAAGTAATATGAATGGAGAATTTCACCTTTCTAGGAATCAGAAGTTATATACACATATTTAAATTTTAAAAATTAATATATATTTTAATCTTTAGGAATATAAGAATAATATTGCCAAACTTGTAAGTGAAATGAAAATCAAAGAGGAGGGATATAAGAAAGAAATAAGCAAACTTTATCAGGACATGCAGAGAAAAGGTAAGTTTAAAATAAACTTGCTTTTTTGTTATTGATTCAACAGATATAATGTGTGGGTTTGTTACATGGGTATTTTGTATAATGCTGGTGTTTGGGCTTCTAGTGAACTCATCAATTATATAGTGAACATAACTCGTGGTAGATCATTTTTCAACCCTCACCCCTCCCACCCTCCCTTCTTTTGGAGTTCCCAGTGTCTATGGTTTCTATCTTTATGTCAATGACTACCCATTGTTTAGCTCCCACTTATAAGTGAGTACATGCAGTATTTGACTTTCTGTTTCTCAGTTAGTTCACTTAGAATGATGCCCTCCAGCTCCAACCATGTTGGCAAATAATTCAGTTTTATTCTCTTTTACAGCTGCGTAGTATTTCATGGTGTATATATACCACATTTTCTTTATCCAATCCATCATTGATGTGCACTTAGGTTAATTTCATGACTTGCTATTGTGAATAGAACTGTGATAAACATGCAAGTACAAGTGTCTTTTTGATAAAAACAATTTATTTTCCTTTGGGTAGATACCCAATAGTAGGATTACTGGGTTGAATAGTAATTTTATTTTTAGTTATTTGAGAAATCTTTGTAATGTTTTCCATAGGGGTGAAACTAATTTACATTCCCATTAACAGTGCATTATTGTTCCCTTTACTCCACATCCCTGACAACATCTGTTATTTTTTTGACTTTTTAGTAATACTCATTTTGACTATTAGTCATTTTGACTGGTTTGAGAAGGTATCTTATTGTGGTTTTAACTTGCATTTCTCTGATAATTAGTAATGTTGAACATTTTTTCATATGCTTGTCAGCTGTGTGTATGTCTTCTTTTGAGAAGTGTCTGTTCAAGTCCTCTTTGCCCACTTTGTAATGGGGTTGTTTTTGTCTTGTTGATTTGTTTAACTTCTTTGTAGATTCTGAATATTAGTCCTTTGGTGGATATACGGCTTGCAAATATTTTCTCCCATTCTGTAGGTTGTCTGTTTATGCTGTTGATTGTTTCTTTTGCTGTACAGAAACTCTTTAAATCCGATTTGTCTATTTTTGTTTTTGATGCATTTGCTTTTGAGGTCTTAGTCATAAATTCTTTGCCTAGGCCAATGTCCAGAAGAGTTTTTCCTATGTTTTCTTTTAGGATTTTTATAGTTTAAGGTCTTACACTTAAGTCTTTAATCAATCTTGAGTTAATTTTTGTGTATGGTAAGGGATGGAGGTCCAGTTTAATTCTTTTTCATATGGCTAACCAGTTTTCCCAGCACTGTTTGTTATAATAAATAGGGAATCTTTTCCTCATTGTTTATTTTTGTAGAATTTTTGAACATTAGTTTGTTGCAGGTGTGTGGCTTTATTTCTGGGTTCTTTATTCTGTTTTACAGATCTATGTTTCCATTTTTGTACTAGTACTATGCTGTTTTGGCTATTATAGCCTTGTAGAATAGTTTGAAGTAGGGTAACGTGATGCCTCCATCTTTGTTCTTTTGCTTAGAATTACTTTGACTATTCAGGCTCTGTTTTGGTTCCATATAAATTTTAAAGCTGCTTTTTCTAATTCTGTGAAAACTTACATTGTTAATTTGATAGAAATTGAATATGTAGATTGCTTTGGGTAGTATAGTCATTTTGATGATATTGATTCTTCCTATCCATGAGCATGGAATGCTTTTTCATTTGTTTGTGTCATCTATGATTTCTATTACCAAACTGTTTTGTTCTCCTTGTAGAGGTTTTTCATCTTCTTTGTTAAATGTATTTCCAGGTAATTTTGTGTGTGTATGGTAATTGTTAATGGGATTGAGTTCTTGATTTGGTTCTCAGCTTGAGTGTTGTTGGTTTATAAGAATGTCACTGATTTTGATGCATTCATTTTGTATCCTGAAATTTTACTGAAGTCATTTGTCAGGTCTAGGGGGAATCTTTAGGGTTTTCTAGGTGTAGAATCTTTTAGATGAATCTTTAGGGCTTTCTAGATGTAGAATCATATTATCAGCAAACAGGTAAAATTGGACTTCCCCTTTTCCAATTTGAATGGCTACTATTTATTTCTCTTTCCTGATTGCTCTAGCTACAGACTTTCAGTACTATGTTGAATAGGGGTGGTGACAATGGATATCCTTGTTTTGTTCCAGTTCTTAGGGGACATGCTTTCAACTTTTCCCCATTCAGGATGATGTTGGCTGTGAGTTTGTCATGTATGGCTCTTGTTATTTTGAGGTACGTTCCTTCAATGCCTATTTTTTAGGGTTTTTATTATAAAGGGTGTTGGATTTTACCAAATGCTTTTTCTGCATATACTGAAATGATAATATAGTTTTTGTTTTTGATTCTGTTTGTGTAGCGAATCACATTTATTGACTTGCATATATCGAACCATCCTTGCATCCCTGAAATAAGGCCGTTTGATCCTGATGAATTATCTTTTTGAGGTGTTACTGGATTCTGTTTTGTTGGGGATTTTTGAATCTATGTTTATCAGGGATATTGGCCTGTTGTTTTATTTTTTACTGGGTCCTTGCCAGATTTTGGTATCAGCATGATACTGGTTTCATAGCATGAGTTAGAGAGGCCTCCCTCCTCCTCAATTTTTTGGAATAGTTTCAGTAATATTGGTACCAACTCTTCTTTGTACATCTGGTAGAATTTGGCTGGCCTGTAAATACTCTAGTCCTGGGATTTTGTTGTTGTTGTTGTTGTTGGTATATTTTTTATTATTTATTCAATTTTATAACACATTAATGGCCCATTTAGAATTTCAGTTTCTTCCTGGTTCAATCTCTGGAGGTTGTATGTTTCCAGGAATTTTTCCATTTGCTCTAGATTTTCTAGTTTGTGCACATAGAAATGTTCATAGTAGTCACTGAAGATCTTTTGTATTTCTGTGGTATTAGTTGTAATGTCAACTTTATCATTTCTGATTGTGCTTATTTGGAAACTTCTGTTTCTCTCTGTTTTTCTTGGTTAATCTAGCAAGTGATCTATCACTTTTGTTTGTCCTTTCAAAAAACCCAGTTTTTGTCTCATTGATCCTTTGTATGGATTTTTGGAGTTTTGTTTTCATCTCATTTTCACTTAGTTCTTCTCTGATCTTTTGTTATTTCTTTTCTTCTGCTACCTTTGAGTTTGGTTTGTTCTTGTTTTTCTGGCTCATTTAGGTGCAACGTTGGGTTGTTAATGTTACATCTGTCTTCCTCAGGTAGGCATTTAGTGCTATAAACTTTTCTCCTAATACTACTTTTCTGTATCCTAGAGGTTTTGGTATGTTATGACTGCATTTTCTTTTGTTTCAAAATAAGTTTTCATTTCTGTTTTTTTTGTTGTTGTTTTTTACCTAAAAGTCAACCAGGAGCAAGTTGTTTGGTTTCTATGTATTTGTGTGGTTTTGCAAGTTCCTTTTGGTATGTATTTCTGATTTTATTCCATTATGGTCCACATATACGTTTGATATAATTTTATTTAAAAAATTATTGAGACTTGTTTTATGATCAGGCATATGGTCAATTTTAGACAATGTTCTATGCACAGATGAGAAAAAATGTATATTCTGCAGTTGTTGAGTGGAATGTTCTGTAGATGTCTATTAGGTTCATTTGGTCAAAAGTCCAATTAAAGTCCAGAGTTTCTTTATTATTTTTCAGCCTCCATGATCCAGTAGACTGGTCTCCAAGCTTTTAAATTATTCCTTCTGCTTGGTCTAGTCTGTTGCTAAAACTCTCAACTATATTTTAAAATTCCTTTAGTGAATTTTTTAATTCCAGAAGTTTTTGTTTTGTTTTGCTTTTTAAAATGTAGCTACCTCCTCTTTTATATCCTGAATCATTTTCTTGGTTTCTCTGTGTTGGTTTTCAACTTTCTCTTGATCTCTTTGAGTTGCCTTGCAATCCATATTTTGAATTCTTTATCTGTCAATGGGGCATTGACAACCCCACTACTATTGTACAGCTGTCTATCTATTTTCTTAGGTTTAATAATATTTGTTTTATAAATCTGGGTGTTCCAGTGTTGGGCACAGTTAAATCACTTGTTAAGTCTTTTTGTTGAATTGAAGACTTTATCATTATATAATAGTAGTTAGGTAATTATATAGTAGTTAGGTAATTGCTGAATTGAAGCCTTTATCATTATATAATGCCCTTCTTTGTCTTTTTTACTGTTGTTGGTTTAAAGTCTGTTTTAATTGATACAAGAATATCAACCCCTGTTCTTTTTCATTTTCTATTTGCATGGTAGATCTTTCGTCACCCCTTTACTTTGAACCTATGGTGTCATTACACATAGGATGGGTCTCTTGAAGTCAATAGATGGTTGAGTCTTGCTTTGTTAACCCAATTTGCCAATCTGTGTATTTTAAGTGGAACATTTAGGCTGTTTATGATTAATATTTATATGTGGCATTTTGTTCCCTTTAGAGTGTTGTTAGTGAGCTTTATAGTCTCAGTTGTTTGTTTTATAGGATCTGTGAACTTTGTACTTCTGCGTGCTTTTATGATAGCAAGTATTGTCCTTTTGTTTCCATGTTTAAAACTCCTTTGAGCATTTCTTGTAGGTCTGGTCTGGTGATGATGAATACCTTTAGCACTTACTTATTTGGAAAAAAACTTTATTTCTCCTTCCTTGTTTGGTGGATATAAAATTCTTGGATGGCATTTTTTTTTTTCTTTAAGAAAGCTAAAAAGAGGACCTCAGTTTCTTCTGGCTTGTAAGGCTTCTGTAAGAAGTCTGCCATATAATCATTAGACTATTTAAGGTCAATGCCAAAAAAAAAACAAAAAACCCTCAAAGGCAGCTAGAGAAAATAGCCAAATTACCTATAAATGAAATCCAATCAGGCTAACATAGTAGACTTCTTACAGAAGCCTTACAAACCAGAAGAGACTGAGGTCCTCTTTTTAGCCTTCTGAACTCAAACTCACAACCTCAGGTAAACTGCCTGCCTTGGCCTCCCAAAGTGCTGGGATTACAGGCATGAGCCACCGTGCCTGGTCCTTCATCTGTATGTCTCTGGGATAGTAACTGTCCAAATATTTTTGCCATTTGCTTGTTGAATTGTTTGACTTCTTCTTACTGAATTCTTAGTGTTCTTTATATATTTTTGGATATAAATCCTTTATCAAATATCCATCTGCAAGTCTATGGATTGTCTTTTCATTTTCTTAACAGTATTAAAGAATATAAATTAATAACTTTGATGAAGTCCAATTTATAACTTTTGCCTTTATTGTTTGTGCTTTTTGTTGCTTTCCAAGAAGTTGTGCCTACATGGTCCTGTAGCTTCCCATGGACCTGCAGGTTCCCCGTACTTGCCAAACTCAGAGCAGCTTGTGGGGTATATTTGCAGGGGATTTGGTGGTATGGTAATGCAAAGACAGAGATCCCTTGGGCAGCAGCAGTGGCCCACGACAGGTACACAGCCAGTACAGCACCCACCATCTCAGTTCAGGCCTGAGGCATACGCAGGCATGCCTGCATGAGCTAGCCACCTGGTTTTCTTTCCTCAGGAAGTTCCTAAATGACCACCAACAGTATTGCCCAGTGTCACAAGGGCAGACGACCTCCTTAGTAGTTTGGCAGTCAGCAGATTGTTGCAGGAGTGAGGAAAGACAAGAAGCACCCTCACTTACCCTTTCTGCAGGGCTCTGAGTTCCTTTGGTGTTGATCTCTGCTAGAGTCTTGCTGCCTTCATTTTCTGCACTTTGGCTTCTTCCTGTGGGCTCTCTGACAGGTCCTGGCTCTCTTCCCTCAGTTTTCCTTTCAGAACATGTCCATTCACAAGTAACTTTGATCTCTTTGAGAAGAACTAGCATCCAACATTCCTAGACAGCCATGTTGGCCAGGGTGGTCTCGAATTCCCAACCTCAAGTAATCCACCTGCCTTGGCCTCCCAAAGTGCTGAGACTACAGGCATGAGCCACTGCACCTAGCCCCTTGATGCATTTTAATTTGGGTTTTGTACCTTCCTATATATTTATGTATGTAAATACAACATTTCTAAATTTGGTTCCTAGTATTTACACTTAATGTTATCTAATGTGAAACAGTTTGTATTCTTATAAAATTAAAATTAGTATTAAATGTATAATTAATAATTTTTATGTATATGTAAAGCATATTGAATATAATTTCACTAATGAAATTTTCCTCCTTCAGTAAAGCAGATCTCATAAGCCTATGTTGAGGGTTAATCGGTTTTATATGGTTGTTGAAAACCTTCCTTAATGAGCCTATCTTTATGCACATCATATGCAGCAATTAACTTAAAATGGGTAATAAGTTACATATAAAACCTACATCTGTAAAATTACCAGAAGAAAGCATAAGAGATTATCTTTGTGATCTTGAGTTAGGCACAACTTCTTGGAAAGCAACAAAAAGCACCAACAATAAAGGCAAAAGTTCTAAATTGGACTTCGTCAAAGTTATTAATTTATGTTCTTTAATACTGTTAAGAAAATGAAAAGGCAATCCATAGACTTGGAAATGGATATTTGATAAAGGGTTTATATCCAAAAATATATAAAGAACACTAAGAATTCAATAAGAAGAAGTCAAACAACTCAACAAGGAAATGGCAAAAATATTTGGACAGTTACTATCCCAGAGACATACAGATGAAGGGCCAGGCACGGTGGCTCACACCTGTAAATCCCAGCACTTTGGGAGGCCAAGGCGGGCGGATTACCTGAGGTTGGGAGTTCGAGTTCAGGCACATACAGATGAAAAATAAGCCATGAAAAGATACTCAACATAATTAGTAGGTAGGGAAATGCAAATTAAAACCTCACACCTTTTAGAACAGGTAAAATCTTAAAAATTATCAATGCCATGTTGATAATGCCAAATGGAGCAACTGGAACTCTGAAACATTATTACTGGGACTATAAAATGGTACAGTCACTTTAAAAATAGTTTGGCAGTTTTTTAAAAATGCAATGAGTTAATTTGGGTCCTCTGCGAAACAGATGCCAAGACAGGATTAGACATTTGAGAAGTTTATTGGGGAAAACATTTGTGAGGGTAAATGGGAAGGGAACCAGGAGAGACTGGGTAAGTTGTCAGTCTGTAATACAGGTTTAACCTCTGTGAAGAAGAGAAGAAAAGAAGGAATCTTGGGTAGGGAAAGTGTTAGATTGTAACATTTTCTAAGAAAGTTTCAACAAAATTGAGCCAAATTTGCCCATTAAATAAGTTCTGCAACTTGCAGGAATAAGCTTGCCTTCGTAGCCCTATCAAGCTCAGTCATTGACTGGGAGTAGCTCTTGAGAAGTATGACCTCAGCATAAACATGGTCATGAAAACAGGGAGTCAATTATGCTCTCCGAAATTGGAGATCTAATAGGTGCATTTTCATGGCTACAACACTCCACCTACTGTACTACACAGAGTTACTTCTCTACATGAGTTCATGTAGCAACTCTTCTGTGGTTCTTGTTGGCCTCTCTTCCTAAAGGGATACTAGAAGTATTATTTAAGTGTTCTTCCTAGTGACCTGACCATATATTTAGCCAATGGGTTCCAGATCCCATAATTGGTTCAGGTCTGGAGACTGAGAAAAGGATGATAATTTTTTAATTGAGGCATGTACCCTAAGCCTTGTGTTCTTCCATTTTTTATTTTTTTAAATTGTAGTACCTGTTAAGCAGAATTGGCTATCCATCTATTAACTATCTCTACAACTACCTGCACATCAAGTCTTTTTGGCTGCTCTCCAGCCTTCCTGGTAATTTGGTAATTGTGGCCTCCTGCCTTTTGGCAGTTAAGCACTATCATCTGGCTTTTATTACTTTGTGGTGGAGAGGCCTGCCATCCCCATGGGTATTAATAAACCTAGCTCTATGGCAACCTATTTTACTGTCAACCCTGGCTTGCAAAGGAGACTGATCACTGAATTTTTTGTGATACTTTTTTACCCCTCACCAGCACATTTCTGGTGGCCTTGGCTAATAATGTGTCTTCTGGGCCCTCCTGAAGAACATAATCCTTTTGTAGGTTGTCTTACCTCATGTAATATATTCCTACTAGCATGCCAACTTTCTACAGCCTCCTTATTTCTTTCTTTACTATCTGTCAGGCAGCTCAGATATTTTCACTTCACTCAGCTTTGGTCATTGCTTTCTTTAGAGGTTTAAGGCCACTCTAGCAGAGCATTTGCCCCATCTCCTAGGGCCCTTGCTAGGATATTACATCTGTGGTCCCTGAAGAGTAATGCTGAGTCAATGAATTCTTGCTTACCTAGTCTTACTTTCTATCTTCTTTGATCCAGCAGCCTCAAAATCTGTTCTCAGGGATACTCACATAGCTCTTCCCAGTACAACCTAGATAATTCTTGCAGATACTTTTAGATATAATCACTTTTCTCCCTTATCTCCCAGCCAAGTTATGGTGCATCTTGACCCTAGTTATTGACCTAACAGCCAAAAGAGGAGATCGAGGCAGCTTCTGAGAGCAGCCTCTGCATCCTTCACCACAGGGGAATTGCTAGCTTTTACTAGGAAAGAGTGGGCCACCTCTTCAGACTCCAAGGGCTTAGGGAAATCTTTAGAGCTAGCATCCTCAGAGGCATCCATCCACATGTTTCCATTCTATTTTTCAGGATCTCAGGTCTTTCCAACCGGGGTCCAAATTTTATCATAGTAGAACTGCTTTGGCTAAGCATTTAAACATCTCTGGAGTTCTTCAAATCTATTATATTTTCTGTTGCTTAGCTGTGTTTGATGTTCCATTACCAGAGGTAAGAACATGTTTGTAAGCTACCAAAGAGATCTCTCACTCTCACATTTATTCTTTAATTCTGTAACTTTTTGCTAACAGCCCTCAATTTCTCATTATCCTTTAGTATAATGTCAATTTAATTTAGCAGTAACCAGATAACTCTACTGCATTTGTGGGCATTATTTCCATCCATATTTCAAATGTCTTAATGATAACTAATGTCTTGCAAGGCATTCCCCACCACCAGGACATTTTTCCAGATTACTTCTGGTGAAATCTGTAGTAATTATTAACACCATTGTATACTAGGAGCTACCAGTGCTCCACATACCACTAAGGATGGCTTCTTCATTGCCCAGAAAGTGGTAAGTGAGCCCATCTTAGAACCCCATTATACCTGTTTCCTTGTGCTAGTTCAGGTCCTTAAAGGAGGAAACACCAAGATAGGATTAGACATCTCCCAGAATTGGCCCACAGTAGTATTCCTTCCATACCCTGTCATTGACTAGTTGCAACCATAGAAGCATGGCCTCAGCTTAAATGCAGTAATGGATTTTAGAGTGCAGGAGCTGGGGCAAGTGATCAGTTAGGATTCCTGAGATCTGAGAGGCTCATTGTCATGGCGCCACATAACACACCATCTGACCCAGCATTCGCACTCCTGGGTATTTACCCAAGAGGAATGAAAGCATATGTCTACCCAAAGACCTGTTTGTGAATGTTTACAGCAACCTTATTCATCATGGCCCAAACCTGGACTCTAGCAAATCCATTAACATAAATAAACAAATCATGGTACATCCATGTAATGGAAATTACTCAGCAATAAAAAGCAACAAACTGCTGATACATTCAACAATACAATCACTTCAGAAGCAATATGCTAAATCAAAGAAGCCAGACACAAAAGTCCACATACTATATAATTCTGTTTATACAACATTCTTGAAAATGAAAATTATGGTGACGAAAATCAGATCAATGTTTGCCAGTATTTGAGCAAAAGGATAGATTATAAAGGGGCACAAGGGCTCCTTTTGAAGTGATAGAAAAATTTTACCTGATCGTGGTGATGGTTAGATTCTTGTATATGGTCCTCGAAACTCCTCAAACTATACGCCTCAAAAGAGATTTTGCTATATATAAATTACGCTGCAGTAAATCTGACTTTAAAAATACAAAAAAACCTAAGCAAGCTCAATTATAAACATTTTTAAAAGGAAATAAATATAAATTCATTTATGATCCAGATAATGGCATTATCAGATATATAATTTACAATGACTCTGATTAATATAATCAAAGAAATAAAGAACTTGGGGAATTTTCTTTTTGTTTTTTTGGAGACACAGTCTCACTCTGTCACCCAGGCTGGAGTGCAGTGTTGCCATCTCGGCTCACTGCAACCTCCACCTCCCAGGTTCAAGCAATTCTTCTGCGTCAGCTTCCTGAGTAGCTGGGCCCACAGGCACGTGTCACCATCCCTGGCTAATTTTTGTATTTTTAGTAGAGACAGGGTTTCACCATGTTGGTCAGACTGGTCTTGAACTCCTGACCTCAGGTGAGCCACCTGCCTTGGCCTCCCAAAGTGCTGGGATTACAGGTGTGAGCCACCAAGCTCAGCTGGACTTGGGGAATTTTTATGGAGAACTGGAAATTATACTAGAGAAGTAGATGGAAATGTAAGTGCTAAAAACACAGTAGGTAAAAATAAAGTTTCACTGTATTGGTTTAATAGCCAATTAGATACACTGGAGATAGAATTAGTAAGCTGGAGAACAGGTTAGAAGAAAATATCTACTCTGAGACAGGGAGAAGCAAGAAAATGGCATATACAGAAAAGAACATGTGAGATATAGGAACTGGTAGTAAAGTCTATGAAAGGCTGTTGTCTCTCATCTAGTGTTGGGCCTAAAGTTGCTGCAGTCAGAAAGGCCTACAGGTAAAAAGAAAAGTTGGATGTCAAGTGGAAATACTGAGAACAAACTGGAATTTGCATCTTTCTTATACCTCCTTCGACCTTAATGACATGACGACCTGCAGGAAAAGATGGTGCCCTACGCCATTGAGCTTCAAGGACACCTGGCCTGAGACTTCTAGCAGCTAAAAAAAGAAATCTGTTGGGAGCTTAAGAAGCTGTGGAACCAAACGTTTTTCCTTATTACTGAGATGATCCTTTGATAAGTGACAACTTGTATAAATTGCACTGTTCCCTGGGGCTCTACATTGACCTTCAAAAAATAATAGCTGCTGATTTGGTGAGCCAGAAGGCCAGCAACACCATGTGTGAACTGAAACACTGCCCAGCATCCTATACTAAACATCAGAGAAAATTAGTTCTTGCTATACTTCCATCTTCCAAACCTTGTGGAGATTTCTCTTACGGCTAACTCTACCTTAGAACATATAGACAAGGGAATTCTGGAAAACATAGTTCTAATTTAGCTAAGTTAACATAGTACAAAAACACCAAAGACAAAAGGGGGAATAAATGGAGTTAAAATGTTTTTAAGGTTTGTATCATGTCCATAAAGTGATAAAAGTACTAATTTTATTAAATTCTAATAAGTCAAGTAGGCATGCCATAAACTCTAAGATAACCACTAAAGGAAGAATAAAAGAATATTTATCAAGCTAATGATTATCAATCTAATAGAGGAGGAAAAAAGGGAAGTAAAAATAGTTATTCTGTCTAAATGAAGATGAGAAAAAAGAGAGAAATGAACATAAAATGTAAAAGCCAACAAATAATAAGCTAGTTGATTTAAACCCAAATATATTACTAAATGCATTAAGTTAAACTTGAATGAATTTCCAATTAAAAAAGATTGCCAGATTGAATAAGTATTAAAATCTGCTACTATCCTGCTTTCAATATACCTAAAATACAAAACTATAGAAAGATTTAAAATAAAAGATGGAAAAGAATATAACATGCAAATAGTAGCCAACATGAAGCTGGCATAGCTATACTAATATTGGACAAAGTATACTTTAAAGCAAGAAGCAGTTCTAGAGCAAAAGATGGATATTTTGTGATGTAAAGTGTTTGATTTACCAGGGAAATAAAACAACAATTCTAAATGTATATGTACCAAGTAAAATTCGCAGAACTAGTAGGTGACAGACAAATCCACAATCATAATGAGAGACTTTAATTCACCTTTTAGTGGTAGAAAAGTACATACAAATATGCAAAATTAGTAATGATATAGAAAATTTAAGCAACAAAATAAACAACTGATACTAATTGACATAAATGATATACCCAATAAATGCGGAATACGTATTATTTTCAAGTATGCATGGAACATTTAAGAAAGTTGACCATATCATAAATGAAAAAGTAAATTTCAACCTATTTCAAAGGTTTAAATCATACAGAGTAGGATCTACAAATTTATTATCTAAATATCTATATCAGAATACCATTTGACCCAGCCATCCCATTACTGGGTATATACCCAAAGGACTATAAATCATGCTGCTATAAAGACACATGCACGCGTATGTTTATTGCGGCACTATTCACAATAGCAAAGACTTGGAACCAACCCAAATGTCCAACAATGATAGACTGGATTAAGAAAATGTGGCACATATACACCATGGAATACTATGCAGCCATAAAAAATGATGAGTTCATGTCCTTTGTAGGGACATGGATGAAATTGGAAATCATCATTCTCAGTAAACTATCGCAAGGACAAAAAACCAAACACCACATGTTCTCACTCATAGGTGGGAATTGAACAATGAGAACACATGGACACAGGAAGGGGAACATCACACTCTGGGGACTGTTGTGGGGTGGGGGAGATGGGGGAGGGATAGCATTAGCAGATATACCTAATGCTAAATGACGAGTTAATGGGTGCAGCACACCAGCATGGCACATGTATACATATGTAACTAACCTGCACATGGTGCACATGTACCCTAAAACTTAAAGTATAATAATAATAAAATTAAAAAAAAAAAAAAGAAAGCTAGGAAGCCCTTCATTGTGGGGCTTGTAGATTGTCTCCTTTCTCGTTAAAAATAAAAGATTTTCTTGAGCCTCTCATCCTAGATGTCATGGTGTCATTAACAGGAATAAGAAAGTTGGGAGAAGAAGAAATTTGATAAAGCATAAAGATATGATGTGAACATGAGAATGGCCTGATCATATGGAATAGTATAGCAGGGGCTTCATGTAGCTCTAGAGTCATCCAGTAGTTTGAGCCCTTCATACCTAGAAACTCAGGCTTTGTGTCCCTCTTCAACCACTGTATCTCCCATTTATTTTCCAGGCCTTTGATGTTTAATAGTTTAAATTACCTTATTCATTCAAAAATATTTGGCAAGTGACTTCTGTGTCTCAAACATTATTCAGGGTCTTGTAAAAAACATAGAAAAGCTATTCTATACCTACACCATTTCTAAAATATGTTTCATTAATAAAATTTACTTTTTTAGGAATGATTTAAAACACTAAAGAAATACAAACTTATAATAATTTTGAAATTTTTAACAAATGAATTTTATTTATTTCATTTTATTCAGTTGAATTAAATGAAGAAAAGCACAAAGAACTAATAGAGAAAAAGGAGATGGAAATTTCAGAGTTAAATGCAAAGCTAAGAAGTCAAGAAAAAGAAAAACAAAATGAAATAATCAAGCTACAACTAGAAGTAAGTGTTTAAGAGTCTGCTAAACTTGAGGACACATCCCTTAGTCTAAACTGTACTTTGATTGTTTTTCATCACAGTGAGATACATTTTAGGATTAGAAGCAATTCTGTGAGAGGGCTTCACACATGCTCATTCTCCACCAAATGATTGCAGTAATCACATACCATACAACTGTCATCTGCATTGCCTTTCAGCACTTGACCTGAAAGTGGACCCTTGAGTTGTTCGAAAGTTCCTGGTTTTTAGGGAGGATATTGCTTCCTCTGAGAACTTTTCTTCTCAGTATTTCCCACTTGACATCCAACTTTTCCTTTTAACTGCAGGCCTTTCTGACTGCAGCAACTTTAGGCCCAACACTAGGTGAGAGACAACAGCCTTTCATAGACTTTACTACCAGTTCCTGTGTCTCATATGCTCTTTTCTGTATATGTCATTTTCTTGTTTTTCCCTGTCTCAGGGTAGATATTTTCTTCTAACCTATTCTCCAACTTACTAATTCTATCTTTAGTGTATCTAATTGGCTATTAAACCAATACAGTGAAACTTTATTTTAGCTATTGTATTTTTAGCACTCACATTTCCCTGACAGAAAACTCAAGGATTATCTGCATTTTATGGTAAATTCTATGTAGGTTTCATAATTTCTACCATTCCAGCATGGGAAGAATGTTTCTAACGCTTCACATTTATTCTCATCCCAGCCGAAATTTGTCAAAACCCAGTAACCAACTAGAAATTTATTTTGCTTTATTTCTCATTAAAAAAACAAATTTCTTCCTAATAACTTTCTGGAAGAATATATATCCTGGGGGCAAACAAACCAAATTCCTACAATTTTTTTTTTAAGGGACTTCTAATAGGGCATCTCAAAGGCTGAGGCTCTAACTCTTTGCTCAAAAGTCTTGAGTAGGCCGGGTGTGGTGGCTCACACCTATAATCCCAGCACTTTGGCAGGCCGAGGCGAGCGGATCACCTAAGGTCAGGAGTTCGAGACCAACCAGGCCAACGTGGTGAAACCCGCCTGTACTAAAAAAAAATTACAAAAATTAACTGGGCGTGATGGCAGATGCCTGTTATCCAGCTACTCAGGAGGCTGAGGCAGGAGAATCACTTGAACCCGGGAGGCAGACTTAGCAGTGAGCCGAGATTGTGCCACTGCACTCCAGCCTGGGCAACAGAACGAAAAAAATAAATAAATAAACAAACAGTCTTGAGTAGTTCATTTAACCGGATATCACAATCTCAAATGTACTTTGACAAAATATTTGTCCTTTAAATGTTTTCTAGACTCTATCAATCTACCCTTCCATCATTCTTCCGTTGCTTCCCCCCACCCCAACTTTCATTTTACCTTGTAAGAATTCACAAGTCTTAATTAAAATCACATACTACTCATATTCCTGAAACTTTGGAATCCCCAGGGTACTTGGTGAGTTACCTTGAGTAATCACTGGGCAGAAAGAGGACTGATGTTGACTTTAGATACCCTTTGCTGCTGGTGCTGCTGCTGCTGCTGCCATCTGACCAAGTGTACCACAAACCACAGGAAAGGCTGAATGGCCAACTGAAATTAATAGGCCATGTTTCAAGATCTACTACCAACTTCTAATCCTCCTCTGTTTGGAAATTTGCATTTTGTTTGCCATTTGGGCCTTATCACTGGTCTATTATTTGACTGGTATACACAGCTCCTTATTTGTTTTCATTGTACCTAACCATTTCTCTCCTCAAACCAGAGCATAATCTCAGAGTTTATTCTTAGTCCTCAGAGAGGCTATGTTAACTAAATCTGAAGAGAAGAGTTATATAATGGAATATTGTGCAAAAACAAAAAAAAATTGGCCTGTTAAGAATGGCCTATGAGAACTTTTTTAACCTGATTCAGTTTAATTGAAACCAGCAAGGGTTCAAACTATATCGACAAGATCGTATTCAAATTCTACTGTTCAGCCTCAAAGTTCCTGCAGAAAGCTAGGTGAGGTTTTCTTCCTTGACTGTTTATTACATTTTCTTTATAATACACTCATTTTAACGTAAAAATATTTTTACCTATATTTAAGTTAAACTAGATTCTAAACCCTGTCTGCACTATAGAATCACGTGATGTTTTGAGAAAAAGATGACGCTAGCTGCACACCAGAATCTCTAAAGTAGTGCCCAGGCATTTGGTACTTTAGAAACAAAGAAAAAAAAAACCTCTCCAGGTAATTTTGCCGTGCAATCAGGGTTAATCTTGTTTTTCTGTTCTTTGCTCTTTCTGAAAAATTATTTCTTAAAGAAAGATTTTTCTATTGTCTATACTGTAATTTACACCTGAATTACAGATTACATGTCAAAGGATAACATGGATTATAATTATAGAAACAATTGTTTCTAATTGTCTAGAGTTTCAATAACTTTCTTTTCAATTTGATTCAGTTTGATGCCAAACTAGCAAGAGTTCAGACTAAATCAAAATCATATCAGGATTCTACTGTTTTGCCACAAAGTATCTACAGAAGGGTATGTGAGTTTTCCTCTCAGTATTTGTTGCTTAAGAAAACTTTCTAAGCATGTTTCTATAAAAATCATCTAATTCTTATTAACAATATAAGGTATTTTTTAAAATACCAATAGCAGAAGTGCATTTCTTTGTTATTTTGTTGTTCCTTGTACTAAATTTTATTTCTGAATTCTAATAACAAATTTTTTGTTTCGTTTAGAAACTTCAGCATTTTCAAGAAGAAAAAAACAAGGAGATTGCAATTCTTCGTAATACCATTCGCGATTTAGAGCAACGCCTTTCTGTTGGCAAAGATTCTCACCTTAAGCGTAGACGGTTTTGAGCTTAGCAGTAAATTCATTAGTTGGTATTTATTTAAAAGCAATCGAAAGTTTCACTTCTGTTTTCAATATATGCATACAGCCTACATAACAAACGAAGTCAGCTTTAAGGTTTTTATTGAATTTATTTGGACAAATCCGTACTGTATCCAATTCTGTACTGCATTCTTGCTTAATAGTATTAACCATAAAGGAGGTCAGGTTTATAGGGTTTGGTTTACCTATTAAACCATCATTGACTATGGAAATACTTACTAAGCAATATAGAGACAGACAATATTATCTTTCCCCTTATATCTTTTAAGACAGCCACTCAAGTTTTAGAAGAGTATGATACAACATTAGAGAAAGAAAGATACAAAGGCTTTATTCATGTGTGATAGTAAAAATCAGGATGAGTCTTAGATATACAAAAGATAAATGGATATTTAAAATAGTTATATATGCTTTTTTAGCAAAATATTCACGTGTTAAGTATTTCTGGATCTTAAAATACAAAATCCACTTATTTTATTAGTTAAAAGTAGAAGATTGAAAAGACAAAGTAATATTGTTTTGAGAGATAAGTAAAGAAAAAAATGGAAAGCATGTCTTTGTTGTTCTTCCTCCATTCTAAACTGCTAATTATCCAACAGAAACCCCTAGGTCATAGTTTACGTTTCTATTCTCATTAAAGCAAATAGAACACTGGAAAAAGAAAAAAAAAGACATATTAACCAAAAGCTGCAATCACCTTTCAGTTGCTCCATCATAAAAAATATGGTTTGAGTCAATATTTCTATGACATAAAATTTAAAATCTGGAAGCCAATTCAGTAGATTTCTCCATGTTTGCACAAATCTAATTTCTATTTTTGGTTCACTAATTTGGTAGTTTATAAAAATGCTGGAAATGAAATTGTGTCTAGACTAAATTGGGGAGTATGTCCTATTTTAAATATTTAGTTTGAAGGTCATTCTCACTTTTTTGCCTGATTCTTTCAGCGTCAACTGGCACTGGCTTCTGTGGGTATAAGCTGCTGACTTATTTGTCAGGCAGCTGGAGGCAAACGTCACTGACAAGATTCAGTTATGTTCTCCTCTGCCCGAAGTCCCTGTCAGCTACATAAAGATGGGAGGTTTTCTTTACACTGTCAGGTGATTGCAGACCCTGTTTTTTCAAATATCAGATGTCGACAATGGCAGCATCAGCTCCTAGGAGCCAACTCTGAATCTGTGGGCAATTTACAGAGTAATTGATTTATACATCTCTTTCGACAGAGCTTCTTTTGTAAATCTTGTAAATCTTCACTTGCTGGCATATCTCGGTTCTCTGGGTGACCCTGCCTATGCTGACCCTTGTGCTTATGGTGGTGATGAAGGCCTGGAGGAGCAGGATGAGTAGGAGCATTTGGTGCTCCTGGTTGCTGATTCTCTGAAAGCTCACTGCTGCCAAGGTGCTGATGTCCATGATTGTGATGATGCTCATGATGGTAATGAGGCGATGGAGTTTCAACTGTTTTATCCACAGTAGCCAAAGATACACGTTTACAAAAGTCTTCATCTTTGAGAGTCTGGAACAAATTTATAAATCACTTTTTAACAAGCTTATAGAGATAGGAATAATGCGTGAAAAATGATTTGTAGAGCTAACATGTGAAATTCCAACTAGTTAATTAGAATCGAGCTGGCTTTGTATTATATTAATGAGAAAGAGTCTGATGTTAGTCTCAACACCTAGACATTTTATTAAAGGCTTAAAAAGAAAGCCAAACCACTGTACTTATATTTGCAGAAGCAAATGAAGTAAACTGGCAAAAGGAACTTGGATTGCAGGAAAGTCAAAGTAATATCAAATCCTAAATTCAGTTGATCTGGGCCGAGCATGGTGGCTCATGCCTGTAATCCCACCACTTTGGGTGGCCGAGGGGGGCAGATTACTTGGGCTCAGGAGTCGGAGACCAGCCTGGGCAACATGGCGAGATCCTGTCTCTGCAAAATATACAAAAATTAGCTGGGTGTGGTGTCAGATGCCTGTAGTCCCAGCTACTTGTGAGGCTGAGGTGGGAGGATCGTTTGAGCCTGCAAGATGGAGGTTGCAGTGAGCTCAGATGGTGCCACTGCACTCCAGCCTGGGTGACAGAGTCAGACCCTATCTCAAAAAAATAAAAAATAAATAAAAAATCAGTTGAACTATATGGAAACTTCTGTACCTGTGTCAACGGTGCATCTTATCTAATACTATATGATACTGTAATCTAATATTATCTCTGATAATTCAAAAATGCTAATAAACTCTGCTCAAATGTGTTAGTTTTTCATACTTCATCCTATGCCAGGAAATGTTTTGAACTTCACCAAAGCTTTGCTAATGTCTCCCTACCATAAGGCTGTCAGCTGAAAATAGCAAATTACTGCCCGACTCCCATTGACCATAATATCCATTCCGCATGATCCTAGTTCTTTAATTTACTGGAAGTCTTTACTGTTTTGTGGTACCTACTAATCAGAGACTCAAAGCCTATAGATACAGAAATGTAACAGTAAATCTCAACCTAAGGCTAATTTGCAAATAAAATTACAAAATCAACTTAGAACCCAAAGACTCACTAAGTGATATGCTTTTGATGTTTTGAAGGTTTTAAAAGGTTATAAATTCCATTAAATTTTAGCATACAACTACTAAGTGGTACTTTATTTGGTTATTTCTGAATTACTTCTACATTAGAAGCTAATAATGTTTGCTTACAAACTTATAAAGAATTTGATACATGTTTAAAATATACTGTGTAATGTTCAAAGTGTTCAAGGTTTAAACAAACACAAATACCTATGGTAGTAGTCTAATTTCTTTCATTTATTTATTTATTTAGTGACGGAGTCTCACTCTTTCGCCAGGCTGGAGTGCAGTGGCACGACCTCGACTCACTGCAACTTCCGCCTCCTAGGTTCAAGTGATTCTCCTGCCCCAGCCTCCCAAGCAGCTGGGATTGCAGACACGTGCCACCACGCCCAGCTAATTTTTGTATTTTTAGTAGAGATGGGGTTTCACCATGTTGGCCAGGATGGTCTCGATCTATTGACCTCGTGATTCATCCACCTCGGCCTCCCAAAGTGCTGGGATTACAGGCGTGGGCCACCGCACCCTGCCAGTAGTCTAATTTCAGAAACGAATTACTATATTTTACTGATTATGTGATGCATATTTCTTTAGATTTTAATATCTCTAAAATTAGAATGTACCATACTGTTGGTGGTGGTTTCTCACTGTATCCTACTTTAATTAGCAGCATTTTTTTTTCCTAAATACTACATAAGATAATATGTCAAATAATCAGTGGTATCTAGGAGACAATGAAATAGAAAAACTCCAATCGGATTTGGCATATCAGATACTAATAGTGTCTGATCTGTAATTTGTATTTACAGATGATTCACACATTTTAAGCATATTGTGGTAACTATTAACTGCCTTTTTCAATATAACTGGGTATATTTATAACTAGCAAGCATTTGCACAAATGAGAAATGCAGAAATAATCCCAAAATATGAGGAATCATTATAATTAGTATTTATTAAATGCTTAGTATAGGTTGAGTTAGTACTTTTCTTTCATTACTCTTAGTATTTTCTTCCATTACCTCAGTCTCCTCATCTTTAAAAATAGTAAAATAACCCTCAAAAGATCATTATAAAGATTAAAATGTGAAAATTACATAACTAGAGTAAGTAACTTATACTCCTTAACAACTAAATTAATTAATTAAATTCGTTAAAAATTTGAGGCGGCTTTCTTTAGACCTGGGGAAAATCTGAAGGAAATACAACTTACAGATAAAATTGTGAATTGTTTTTAAACCTAAGTTCAAATTTTCCCAATCTGACTTCTCAATGGAACATTGTTTAGAATTATTTTCCTTTTTGTTATGAAGGAAAACAAGTCTAGTTAATACAAATTAAATTCTTTGAGTGCCTTTTTTATTTAAAAAAGATTTAAATATAGTTCTTCTCATAACAAAGAAGAAATATTTTCATGGTTGTTAGGAAATAAATACCAGTAATGAGTAGAAAACTTACTCCATTTTGAAGTAAACTCAGACTGCAGATGGGCAGGCAGTGGAAGGGCTTCAGGAAAAATCTGATAGCCTTGCATCTTCAATAAATTAAGTAGTTTCTGGCCCCAGTTCCATTCCAAGTAATGCTGTGGGTAAGCTTTGCTATTTTTATGTTCTTGTGCTAACATGTTCAGGTTACTACAATAACATTGCTTTTTTGTGTTGACTAAATTTTTTGAGCACTTATGCCCATGCAACGTCATTTGGTGGTAACTGAAATACGATACATTGATTTTTAATTTCTAAAGCTCTTCTAGATAAAGGCAGCAACATCGATCTTCAAAAGATGTTTTAAACTAGAGGTTAGGCCGGGCGCGGTGGCTCACGCCTGTAATCCCAGCACTTTGGGAGGCCGAGGCGGGCGTATCACAAGGGCTGGAGATCGAGACCATCCTGGCTAACACAGTGAAACCCCGTCTCTACTAAAAATACAAAAAATTAGCTGGGAGTAGTGGCGGACGCCTGTAGTCCTAGCTACTCGGGAGACTGAGGCAGGAGAATGGCGTGAACCCGGGAGGCGGAGCTTGCAGTGAGCCGAGATCGCGCCACTGCACTCCAGCCTCGGCGACAGAGACAGACTCCGTCTCAAAAATAATAGTAATAGTAATAAATAAATAAATAAAGTAGAGGTTAGATGACAGGATGTTTGTTTAATTGTAAAAATTATTGTTATTTATTTTTAGTACACCTGCAAAAGCATTGAGTTTTCTAAATAAGTGTTTCATGATAAACTCTTAAAAGATTTCCTCTTTTCTCCCCAGAAAAATAATTCAGAAAAATACCGTGAGAGAGCAGTTTCCACATTTCTTTTCACAGTAAGCAATCTTAATGGCTTCTTCTACATATGGGAAAGTTAGGAAGGAAAAAGGCAAACCAAGATGATATACAAGACGGCCACATCTAAGAAAAAGGACAAATACAATGTCACTATAATATTTTCTGTATCACGATCCTACTCAAATACAGTCTGGGATAGGTATTATAGGTTTAATGGTCATAACTAAGACCCTTTCACGCCTTTACTAAATTTCTTTGGATGAGAGCTACAAATGAGCTCCCAGGTACTGCACACCAGGTCAGGTCATAGCAACACTATAATTAGTCTAATACTAGTATTTTGAAATGTTATAGATATGTCACTATATAATATCAAAAATGTCATCACTGTGACTTGGTAAAATACAATTTTGTGACTGACTTATAAATTCTACCAGTGCCCAAACCGCTAACTTATAAATTAGGCTCTGAAAATCACTTGAGCTTGTCATAACTGCTAAGGCAGCACAAATTTGACACAACAAGAAATCATCACATAACAAAAACATCTCCAAGCCTTGGCCAGTAGCCCATTTATTTAAAAATGTATCTAATGCAATGAAAATTTCAGCACAATGAAAGTATTAGAACATGTGGCATTGTCAGAAATGGTGGGGTTAAAATGTTCTTCTTGCCTACATTTTACCTAGTATATATGGTTTTATGTGACTATCAAAGGGTTATACTTTTAGGTTATCCTAAAAATTAGAAGTTTAAAGGCCTAAAAGAATGAAATGTGAATTTTTAAAAATTTAGTGTAAGACCAAGTAGGGCTCACCAGACTCCGGAGAGTCAAAAAAAACAAAGCACCAACTAAGAATGTTTATAATGGCATAATGCATGAATTGAGATTCCCTCAAAATATAAATGTTTTATTTGTTCATAGAATCAAAAGTAGATTTGTGCAGATCATGCTTAAATGATTAACTCACTTTACAGTTCAGAAATTCAGGTATGTAGCCTTAAAATTATTATTTAGATTAAAATTAATTAGAAGATATGGTTATTCATTTGCAAAAGAATTAGGTTAGAATTGTACAGGATATACAAATTGGTCATTCTTTTTATTTAACCGAAATGCCAATTTATGGGGATAATCAATTTTCTGTATTTTCCTCTTGGAATGGTGAACTCTTTTACATGCCTTACTTTTTAAAAAGTCATTTCAAAAATCAAAGTCATTTCAAAAAAATAAATGTGAATAAAGAGTTTATAAACTATTTGGCAATAATCAAAAGCAAATATATTATTTTAAATCACTTACTATTAAATACAAAACAAGAAGAAATCAAGTGAAGAGATTAGTGGAAAAATCTAGAGGAGTGGTCACCAGGAAGTAACTTGAGATAATAATTACGGATATGAGATAAATATACTCAGGATTAAGAACCCATAGAATTTGATTACTGACTGAGGTGGGAAGTGTGGTGGAAGGAGTAAGTAATACATTCCTGTCACACAGTTTTGTGAAGGGGTGGATGGCAGCAAGGCTGCCATACCTGATGGTTTTTGTGATGTCCTGCAAAATAGTGGATGATGACTGGGAGTGCAGGGTCTGAAAATTATAGGATTATATGCCCTAGTGGTTGGCTGCATCTGCCTCCAATAGGTTGTATATAAAAATCACACAAAAGTGAAAGTATAAGCATGTTTTAGGAGAAGATAATCAATACAGATTTGAATAATTAAATTTAAGATGTTTGTGAATATGTCTAGGAAGTAGACTCGTCTGGAGTTCAGTCATTGTGTTTCAGCTTTGTATATATGGGATCATCCTAATATGTGTTTTAATTGTAATCAAGGGATAGATGAGATTGCTCAGGTAAAATGTGCAGAGTGTGAATAGGCAGAAAGCTGTATAGCCCTGAATAACACAAACACATACAGAATAAACCAAGGAAGAATGTGGGAGGAAGAAAAATCAGGAGGTGGAAGAGGAGGAAGTGTGGAGGAGGAGAAAGAAGAGGAAGGATATGAGGAAAACCAGCAGGGTATAGTGTCATAGAAATTTTTTAAAATGAGAGTATTTCAAAAATAAGGAGTGATTTTTACTTCTAAATGTTAAAGAGAGATTATATGAGATGAAGACTGAAATATGGCATTGTATTTAACAGTAAAGAAGATTGTTATGTGTGATGGGAAGTAAATAAATAGATACGAAACAGTTATTTTTAAATTTGGGATGTGTTTGTGTGTATGTACAAACCTATCATATATGAGGAAGTCATCTTTGCTTCCATTTAAAAGAGTCCAGACATCTGTTTGGTTTTCTTCTTGTTGATAAACAGGAATATGCTCTGAAACCTTATTCTTAAGATGTGTGTATTTTAATCGAGAAGAGATTCCTTGATGATTAACAACAATATAAGAAATATTAGAATATCCTTCTTTCTTCAGTTTTACTCGCAGGTCTTCTAATCTAAAATATTTGGGAAGAAATACATAAAATGAATAATCTCATTTGATTTGATTAGTGGTTTTTCTCCCTCTTCCTTAATTTTCTATGTGAAACTCTCCTTCTTATTTTTAACTAACCCATACTGCACCTATTCTTTATATTGCTGTAAAAGATTTTAAAACTTTCATTTTTAGAATTACTTAAAACTTGTGCTTAATTAAAACCTTATGCTTAAACAAACATTGGTTTAGTTCTCAAATTAGCACGATGAAGTGTATATATTTTGAATGTATCTTATAGGTAGAATGGATTCAACCAACCACAGATAAAAAATGGTTGGAAAAAAAAAGATGGCTGCATCTATAGTAGTGAACATGTAGACTTTTTTTCTTGTCATTCATTATTCACTAAATACAGTATAAAAATTCCTTACATAGCATTTACATTGTGTTAGGTATTATAAGTAATCTAGAGATGATTAAAGCATATGAAAGTATATGCATAGGTTATACATGCCATTTTATATAAAGGATTTGAGCTCCATGGATTTTGGTGTATGAGGGGGATCCTGGAACCAATCCTGCACAGATACCACTGGATGACTGTAAGGAGAATTCCACCCAGTGAATATCTGGTGAATAACTCAACAAATATTTTTTATATTTATTTGTTAAATAACCCAAGACTTTGATAGCAAGCCTAGTGTTCTTTCTACTCTGACAAAACAGTCTTCTCTGCCTCTTGTATTGAAGTAACTGTTCTATTTGCAGAAGTACATTTTAGAGCATTTTCATTACACAAGTAATACATATTTAGTAGGAAGTTATAAAATATAGGTGCACAAAAAGAAGAAAAAATTTCCATAACCCTAGGAAACCCACTGTAAACATTTTGGTGTGTATCATCCTAGTTTCTCTCTTCTAATATGTTCTATGCAAACACATAGTTTTTCTAAAAGTGTGACTTAATACATTATTTACACTTTTATTTTATGTCTATATGCGTGTGTGTATTTAATAGCCTTCCCCTTAAGGTATTTTAAGCCACAGAAAGACTGTCTTACTTAGATGCCTGCAGTATGCACAGGTATCAGCTGGCTTGAAGAAGAGCAACCACAGTCACTGAACCATTGGAGTTTAGCATTGGATCTTGATCTCTTATGCTCCAGGCTGGGGGTTGCTTACATAAGGAGCTTTGGTCCTGGCTCTCTGTTCCTCCCGATGGGAGGAGACAGAGAGCCAGGGCAAGCCCCAGGCTTCTCCACATTGCTGGGGTTGTCCTGTAAAAGAGAAAACCTGTCACTCTTCTTCATAGTTAACTTCACAGTCCTAACTATGAATTTCTATAAATCCTGCAGACATAATTCCACTTCCTAAAAATACCTAGCCCATGAATTCTGTCTCCAGAAAGTTATGTTCAGACTGTGGCTTATAAAAATAAGTCTGTGACTTATGTAACATTCTGCAAACACAACCTAACTTTTGTTTGAGACACACCAAGTTCTGACTGTTCTTTCTATCCTCCAAGAAGAAAGGGATAGGCCGGGTGTGGTGGCTCACGCCTGTAATCCCAGCACTTTGGGAGGCCGAGGCTGGCAGATCACGATGTCAGGAGATCGAGACCATCCTGGCTAACACGGTGAAACCCCTTCTCTACTAAAATTATACAAAAAAAAAAAAAAAATTAGCCAGGCTTGGTGGCAGACACCTGTAGTCCCAGCTACTCAGGAGGCTGAGGCAGGAGAATGGTGTGAACCCGGGCGGTGGAGCTTGCAGTGAGCTGAGATCGCGCCCCTGCACTCCAGCCTGGGCGACAGAACGAGACTCTGTCTCAAAAAAAAAAAAACAAAAGAAGAAGAAGAAAGGGATAAATAGAGCATTCTGCACAGAAATGAAAAGAGCCAGCAAAAAAAGAGAACCAAGGAAAAAAGATGATGGCAGAAAAGACAGTATACCAACATGAATGTGGCTCATGTCGGGCCCTTAGCTCTTCAAGTTCAAACATTCTATATTTATCTCTTGGGTATGGCTCCCTTTTGTTTCTCTTATTCCTTGAAGTCTGGCTGTATGTATCTAACCAAGTAGAAATATCACACATCTGCCCCCTCTACCATTTAAGACTCTTTGAAATCCACACTCAATTAGCCTATTTATTGGAAAGTTCCTATGACTAGAAAATTCCTATGACTAGACAGCACTTTCTTTGGTAAAAAGATGCTTCCTCTGAGCAACGAAATTAAAATGCTTTTAAATACCTGACTAGAAATATCCTCAAAACTAGGGCTAGCTCTCTAAACAGAAATGTTCAAAAACAGGTGAACTGTAGACAGGTGATAAAGAAAAAGGAACACATTCAGCAGAGAGGAGCAAAGAAAAATCCTCACAAGTAATTCAGGCTCATTTTGATGTAAGAATCTGTGGGGAGAGATCAGGACAAAATTTGAAAACTGGGAAATCAATATATTTTCAAGCACTGATTTGAAATTTTTAAAAGCAGATGCATTTCTTTGGAGGTGGGGAGCTAATGGTAAATTACTTAGAGTGAGCCCAGAATTAAGAGAAGAATAGAAAAGTTAAAATCAGATTGATCTGGGCTTTAATGCACTGGTAGATATAGATAGAATTTTTAACCCTGATTGTCTTTCACATTATTTAACACATCAAAACTCTTACCTATATATGATATCTTGATAAGAACTTAACTAGAGAGAGTGAGGTGAGAGAGGTAGAGAGAGAGGACAAATTAACTTACTTATTTAAGGCCACTCCAACTACTTATTTTAATATTTAAAATATTCTAATATTTTAAGAAGAAGAAGAAGATATATTTGGACTGTTTCTAGAAAATTCCTCTAGAATGGTATTTACAATGATAATACAATTATCCTTATTATAGCTAATGTTTATTTAACTTTTATACAAATATATTCAGGTGGCACTAAGCACTTTTATATATCATGTCAGTTAATCCTTAAAACAATTATGTGACCATTATCCCCTTTTGCAGTTGAGAAAAACCATGGCTAAGAGTTTAGGTAACTTGTCTATGATCACACAGAGAGAAAGTCAGTCACAAAAGAGACTGGATTAAAACTAGTTCTGTCAAATCCTAAGCTACATCTTAGCTACTGCAATATATTGAGAGTTTTTAGATAGATCACCTTGTAATAACTATAGCCGCCAACTATTTTTGTTTATGCACTAAGATGCCAAAGAAAACATAAAAATAATTCAAGCTGTTTTATTTCTTAATAGAAAGGCTAGGTTTTCTCTGTTTCCTAGACCACAAATTCAGTAGTTACAGAACCTTGGCAAAAAATCAGCACTTGGTTTTTTCACTTTGCCACAGAGCACATATTTATTTATCTATTTATTTATTTATTTATTTTTTGAGACGGAGTCTTGCTCTGTTACCCAGGCTGGAGTGCAATGGCGCAATCTCAGCTCACTGCAAACTTCGCCTCCCGGGTTCAAGCAATTCTCCTACCTCACCCTCCCAAGTAGCTGGGATTACAGGCTCTCGCCACCACGTCCTGCTAATTTTTTTATTTTTAGTAGAGACGGGGTTTCACCATGTTGGCCAGGCTGGTCTTACACTCCTCACCTCGTGATCCGCCTGCCTTGGCCTCCCAAAGTGCTGGGATTACAAGCGTGAGCCACCGCGTCCAGCCCAGAGCACATATTGCAAGTAGCTGAATGGTGAATACAAATGAAAAGACTGTTTCACTCATTTCCCTCATTTAGGTTTATGATGAAAAAATAACCCATTGGCAGAGAGTTGTAGCTTAAGAGTTCACACTTTCGGATTTCTTCTGTCATTATAATCAACAGGCTGCTCAATTTTGTTTTCTTAAAATTATTTCTTACACCGTAAACCTTTGATAATTATAGTTGTCAGACAGCTATATAAAAATAATGAAGATAAATAACAAAATTGGGTTTCCTGGAAGCTGATCCAATAAGAATTGAAAAGTAGTTGTAAATTTCACTATGTCACCACTTTTCAATTGCGAAACTTAAATTTCATGGCCACATTCAGACCTACATTTATTTAAAATTACTCATTAAAAAGCAGGATATGTACAAACTTTCTCTGTCCTCCACCTCTGAACTTTAGGCCAGCATCTGAAAGCCCCTAATTCACCTGAATGCTCTCATTCACCATTTAAAATACAAAAGTTTGCATTTAATCACAGACCACCTAATTGTTGACATGGGTTTTAGCTTCTTTAAGGGTGACCACTTCTGCACTGTGGACTGAACCTACTGTACCCCATTCCACCACTTTTTCTTCTGAAACTGCTCACAATATCCCTGGACATTTCTACAACACTAGAATGAGCATATTTCAGTGTCTGCTCTTCAAATCCAAATGGCTGGGTTTTTTCCCTGTTTGTTCTTACTCTGCCCTTCAGTGGAAAATATTTAAATTTGAACATATAATACTGCCTATGTAACATCACAACAGATTATAGAATAAAAGGTTTGGATTTCTCCAGCTTCCTCTGCTCTCAGCTGTGCAGAAGACAGGGCAGAAATCAAGAACTGACAAATGTGCGCACTGGGAACTTCACCTACCACACCTAAGTTCAGACTCTTCTTATTCTTTTTCTCTTTTATTATTTTTATTTCCTCTATCCACCAGTTTTCTGAATCTATTCTATGGAAAAAAACAATTTATCAGACTCAAAAAATATTTACCAAACTTTAAAAGAATAAAGTATCAGAAAACACGAAGTTCCTACTTACACAACCACTTCCAACGGGCCTGCTTCCTTTCTCTTTGCTTTACTCTGGCAGCTCCACAAAGCCACAGCAGCACACTCTGATATTTATAGTCCTGTTGTTTACCTCACCCCTCAGGTATAGTCCAAAGTTCAATGTTCATTCTTGCAGTGACCTTGCAAGCAGAGCAAACCCCTGAGCTGATTGTTATCAACTTAAAAGAAAGTAGCAAGTGCTGCCATGCATAATATGGGGAAAACATTTTGACAATTACTAATTTATTCCCTATCCTTTTCAGTCACCCTAGAATCTAGGATTTAATGGTACAGTCGGGGGCGGGAGGAAGGGCTAAGGGTAAACAAGGCCTCCAAGTTGCCTTCTTTCCCAAACTATAACAGGGAAAAACATTTGCTGAGCCAGCGAATTATGCTGCTGCTTTAAAAAAAAAAAAAAAAGAGAGAGAGAAGCTTTTTTTTCCTTTTGTTTTGCTTCTTGCAGTGATGAGGTGCTAGCTTAGCCCACACAGTGTGACCTTTGTTAGAAAAGTCACCTGCTGTTACAAGTTACTCTGGTCTCCTGTTGTTACAGACTTACACGTCGATTGTGTTCTATGTTTATAACTTGAATTCATATGGGATTTCACAGGACCACTGCTCTTTTCTTGTTAATTTAAGGAAATAGAAAAATAGACTTCCTATCTGAGGGAAATCAGACCTCATTTTTATTGTCACTGAAGTCGTACTTCCTGGAAGACCTATGCATCCCCAGAATTTTTTGAGGATCGAATATAAAATCTTTACAAATGTGAATACCATAAAAATAAAAATTAAAGGTAGTAGTTGGACATGGAAAGAGTGTGGAAATTTCAAGATGTACAAATGAAATAGCTAATTCCTACTATTTCAGAAGAGGGTATTTTCTTTCTGGTAACGCTTGTAAGTTGGCATGCTCACTGTAGGTGAGGTAAGGAGCAATGTCAAATGATGTCATTCCTAGATAGCAATGGTTTTCGAGTAGGCCTTGCTTTTTTCATCAATTAATTTTTTTCCAAATAATCCCCCACTGATTGCTGTATGCTGAATACTGTTGTACAAGGTGCAGGAACTACAAAGAGACTCAGATGTTATCCTTCCTTTCAAGAAACTTCCTATCAAATTAGGAGGTTACCATTTGAAATCCAAGTTCTCTTTACTTGCCCTGAGCAGTTGTTACTTGCCTTTTGGGGTCCCATATCTCTTTGAGAATCCAGTTAAAATGCACATATACATAATCATTTTTTTAAAGAGTGTCATTAAAAAAATCTTTGTACAAAGCAGATATTCCTCCCTGTAGTTCATTTCCTTGACCAATTTAAGTAGTCATATTGAGGAAAGAGAGAGACCCTCTCATATTGTTTTATACTCAGTACCTGTTTTAAGGAAAAAAAAAAACAAGGATGTGAAATCAAAGACAGGCAGCCCGGTGCCAGGCCCAAACCAGGCCTGGGCCTGCCTGGCCTAAACCCAGTAGTTAAAAATCAATTCATAACTTCGAAACCGATGTTATTCATAGATTCCAGACATTGTACAGAAGAACACTGTGAAACTCCCTGCCCTGTTCTGTTTCTCTCTGACCACCGGTGCACGCAGCCCTTGTCATGTACCCCTTGCTTGCTCCAATCAATCACAACCCTTACATGTGAAATCTTTAGTATTGTGAGCCTTTAAAAGGGACAGAAATTGTGCACTCGGGGAGCTCGGATTTTAAGGCAGTGGCTTGCCCACGCTCCCAGCTGAATAAAGCCCTTCTTTCTACAACTCAGTGTCTGAAAGGTTTTGTCTGCAGCTCGTCCTGCTACATTTCTTGGTTCCCTGACCAGGAAACGAGGTAACTGATAGACATAGACGGCAGAGCTAACCCGTTAGGCGGCTTAGGCCTGTCCTGTGGAGCGTCCCTGCAGGGGACTCCAGTCAGCCTGAGTGACGCGATCCAAAGAACGCTCCCGGGTAGGAAATTGCCCCGGTGGAATGCCTTGCCAGAGCAGCGCATAGCAGGCCCCTGCAGAGGATTAACACGGTGGCTGAACACCGGAAAGAACTGGCACTTGGAGTCGCGACATCTGAAACTTGGTAAGACTAGTCTTTGGAACTTGCCCCACTCCATCTGAGTGGAAGTGTGGCCTGATCACCCACGGCGTGCCTGTATTGGCACTTTTGTTCTGGTTTTGACTTGGCTTGACTTGGTAAGACTAGTCTTTGGAACTTGCCCCACTCCATCTGAGTGGAAGTGTGGCCTGATCACCCACAGCGTGCCTGCATTGGCACTTTTGTTCTGGTTTTGACTTGGCTTGACTTGGTAAGACTAGTCTTTGGAACTTGCCCCACTCCATCTGAGTGGAAGTGTGGCCTGATCACCCACAGCGTGCCTGCATTGGCACTTTTGTTCTGGTTTTGACTTGACTTGAATTGCTGGATACTTTGGTTTTGATTTTGACTTGGCTTGAATTTTTTGGTACTCGGATTTTGAATTTCGTGATTTTGGTTTGGTATAAACGGTAAAAGTGTGTGTGCAGCCTCTTTACCCGTTCTTTTTCTTGTGGTGAGTGTGTGTGGTGTGAGCGTGGTATTTTGTCTCGGAAAAAAAACATGGGTCAGGCACAAATAAGCCCACCCCACTAGGAACTATGTTAAAAGAAAATTTTCAAGAAAGAATTTAAGGGAGATTACGGTGTTACTGTGACACCAGGAAAACTTAGAACTTTGTGTGAAATAGACTGGCCAGCATTAGAGGTGGGTTGGCCATCAGAAGGAAGCCTGGACAGGTCCTTTGTTTCAAAGGTATGACACAAGGTAACCTGTAAGCCAAGGCACCCAGACCAGTTTCAGTACATAGACAATTACAGCTGCTTTTAGACCCCCTTCCCCGCTACAGTAGTTAAGAGAACAGCAGCATAAGCGGCTGGCAGAGGCAAGGAAAGACCAGCAGAGAGAAAAAGAGGCCATCTATACCAATTCTAAGTTAATTTAGACTAAACAAGGTCTTATTAATAGCAAAGGATAATTGAAATCCCAAACTTACAAGGTTTTCAACAAAAGTGAAGTTTGCTAAAAGTTAACAGTGTAACATGTATTATGGTAACTTCTAATCTTGTGGCCTTAGACTGTCTAGTCCAAAGACATAAAGAAAGTTCGCTTTAAAAAAAAAAAAAAGGAATGGTTATCTTAAAAAAAAAACAGGAAAAAAAAAAGGGGGGGAGGCAGAATTTATGTAAAAAGAGTGTTATAAGGTAAATTCTTCTCCTAAAATAAATTAACTGGTTGTTAAAAAAAAAACACTGTTTGTAATAAGTCAGAAAGTTGAGACATGTTAAAAAATTGTCTGCGAAAGTCGTAAAAGAAAATGTTATAAAAAAATTTTTATGCAAAAAATGTTGTATAATTTAAAAGTAATAAGGCCTCCTGAGTACTATTAAAGAAACTGTTTATGTACAAGGTGTATAAGAAAAGTAAAATATAACTTTGGTAAAAAAAATTATAAGGAGGCATAAGAATTAATTTTTACCTACATTAAAAGGTTAAAAAAATTATTGTTTTAACAGTTTAAGCAAGTTTTAAAATATTAATTTTAAAGAAAATTCTGTGGGTAAACATATTAGCTAAAGTTAAAAAGGTATCATCCAGTTTTTCTGTGAACTGGACATTAAAGTAAAAATGCAACAGGTTTTTCTTAAAGCATCAACTTGCTCTTTAACAAAAATTATAAAAGATTAAAAAGAGTCTATAAAATCTTACCTTATGGTCAAACATAAAAAATTGGATAAATATGTCTACAAGGTTTTATTAAAATTAAGTTTAACATTAATAACACACTAATAAAAAGGTAAAACTTAACTCATCTGGTATAGAAATCATACAAGAAGCATTATTAAATATAAAATGGTGTTTAGCTTTCTTTGATTTAAAAACTAATAAAAATTGGTGCTGAAGGAAACATTCATTTTACTAGAGGATCATAGAAGTTGAAGACTTAAAACAAACTTTGGCAATTAAGACAGCATACCAAGATGCAAATGCCTGGTTGGAATGGATCAAATATTCCATCTGCACATTAAACAAAAGCAATTGTTATGCTTGTGCACATGGCAGGCCAGAGGCCCTGATTGTCCCCCTTCCACTAAGGTGGTCCTTCAGTTGACCAGGTGTGGGCTGCATGTAGCTCTTTTCCAGGATTCTGCAGCCAGGAGTAATAAGTCATGCCAAGCTCTCTCTGCTATATCCCGAAGTCCCTGCCAGTCAGCCCCCGAGGGCCATCCAGCTTCCGTCTCCCAACACTAAGTTCACTTCTTGTCTCTCACAGCAGGGAGGAGACTTAGCATTCCTTGTAGACCTGAAGGGATGCAGTGAGCTTAAGAATTTTCAAGAGCTTATCAATCTGTCTTCCCTTGTTCATCCCTGAGCAGATGTGTGGTGGTATTGTGGTGGACCTTTACTGGGCACTCTGCCGAATAACTAGAGTGGCACTTGTCCTTTAGTCCATTTGGCTATCCCTTTCACCCTGGCATTTCATCAACCAGAGGAAAAAAAATAATAATAAGACATCATAAAGCAAGAGAAGCCCCTTATAGGTCTTTCAACTCTCACATCTATTTAGATGCAATTGGAGCCCCGCAAGGAATACCAGATTAATTTAAAGCTTGAAATCAAATAGTTACAGGATTTAAGTCAATATTTTAGTAGATGACAGTCAATAAAAATGTAGATTAGATGAACTACATCTATTACAACCAACAGCAATGAGCTTTTCATGAGTTAAAAAGAAAAACTCATGTCGGCCCCAGCCCTGAGGCTACCTGGCCTGACAAAACTCTGTACACTCTATGTGTCAGAAAGAAAAAAATTGGCAGTTGGAGTTTTAACCCAGACTGTAGGGCCCTGGCCAAGGCCAGTGGCCTATCTCTCAAAACAACTGAATGGGGTTTCCAAAGGCTGGCCCCCATGTCCAAGGACCCTGGCAGCAACGGCCCTGTTAGCACAAGAAGCAGATAAGCTAACTCTTAGGCAAAACCTAAACATAAAGTCCCCCCAATGTTGTGGTGATTTTAATAAATACCAAAGGACACCATTAGCTAATGAATGCTAGACTAACAAGAGACCAAAGCTTGCTCTGTGAAAATCCCCGCATAACCATTGAAGTTTGCAACATCCTAACCCCGCCACATTACTCCTGATATTAGAGAGCCCAGTTAAACTTAAACTATGTAGAGGTGTTGGACTCAGTTTATTCTAGTAGGCCCAACCTCTGAGACCACCCTTAAACATCAGTAGACTGGGAGCTGTACGTGGATGGGAGCAGCTTCGCCAACCGCTGCAAAGTGACTCTGAAGAAGACCACAAGCCCTGCTCCAGTCACACACGGAAGCTGACTGGTTCACGCATGGCCGAAGCATGAGGAAACTCATCGTGGGACTCATTTTCCTTAAAATTTGGACTTGTACAGTAAGGACTTCAACTGACCTTCCTCAGACTGAGAACTGTTCCCAGTATATACATCAAGTCACTGAGGTAGGACAAAAGATTGCTACAGTCCTATTATTTTATGGTTATTATAAGTGTACCAGGACTCTAAAAGAAATTTGTTTGTATAATGCTATTCTATCCAAGGTATGTAGCCCAGGAAATAACCAACCTGATGTGTGTTATGACCCATTTTAAGCCTCCCATGATCACAGTTTTTAAAATAAAATTAAGGACTTGTCCTTTTCTAGGTGACACAAGTAAGGTAATAGCTAGAACAGAAGAAAGAGGGGTCCCCAAAAATCTAACCTTAAAATTTGACGCTTGTGCTGCTATTGATAGTAAGCAGCATGGAATAAGATGCAGTTCTCTAAATTGGAAAAAAAGTTACACAGTAAAAAAATAAGTATATCTGTCAAAAATCATATTTTTATGAGATGTGTCAATACTGGTCTCGTGTCATTTAGGCTACTTGGAAAAAAGATAAAAAAAATCCTGTTTGGCTCCAAAAAGGAAAAATCAGCCCCCTCCTGCATGAGTGGGAGCTGCAACCCTTTAGAACTGATAATCACAAACCCCTCAGAACCAAAGTGAAATGAAGGAAAATATGTAACATTAGGCATTGATGGAAGAGGACTAGATCCTAGTGTAAGCATCCTAATAAAAGGAGGGGTTCAAAGATGCTCTCCAGAACCAGTATTTCAGACTTCCTATGATAAACTAAATGTGCCAGTACCAGAGACTCCAGGAAAAACCAGAAATTTGTTTTTGCAATTAGCCGAGCATGTAGTCCAGTCTTTAAATGTCAATTCATGTTATGTTTGTGGAAAAACTGTAGTAAGAGTTTCCATAAGAAGAACTTCCATAAGAAGCCCGAGAATTAGTTCCTACAGACCCAGTTCCTGATGAATTCCCAGCCCAAAAGAACCACCCTGACAATTTTTAGGTCCTAAAAGTCTGAATTATTAGACAGTGTTGCATAGCTAGAGAAGGAAAAGGATTCACTCATCCTATAAGGCGGCTTAGTTGTCTTAGGCAAAAGCTGTATAATGGTACCACAAATACAGTTACATGGTGGAGTTCCAATTACACAGAAAGAGATCCATTCAGTCAATTTCCAAAGTTGCAGACTGCTTGGGCCCACCCAGAATTCCACCGGGACTGGACGGCCCCCACCAGGTTATACTGGATATGTGGACACAGAGCTTATGCTAAGCTGCCTGATCAGTGGACAGGTAGCTGTGTAATTGACACCATTAAACCATCTTTCTTCTTACTGCCCATAAAAGCAGGGGAACTTCTGGGCTTCCCAGTCTATGCTTCCCGCAAAAAACAAAGCATAGCCATAGGTGATTGGAAAGATGATAAATGGCCCCCTGAAAGAATCATACAATACTATGGACCCACCACTTGGGCACAAGATGGCTCTTGGGGATATCGGACCCCCATCTACATGCTCAACGGAATCATACGGTTACAAGCTGTTTTCGAAATTATTACTAATACAACCGGTCAAGCCTTGACTGTTCTTGCCCAGCAGGAGACTCTGATGAGAAATGCTATCTATCAAAATAGACTAGCTCTTGACTACTTGCTAGCAGCTGAAAGAGAAGTTTGTGAAAAATTTAACTTTACTAATTGTTTTCTACACACAGGTGATCAAGGGCAAGTAGTTAAAAATATAGTTAAAGATATAACAAAACTGGCACATGTACCCATACAAGTGTGGCACGGACTCAATCCAGGATCCATGTTTAAAAATTAGTTCCCAGCAATAGGAAGATTTAAAACTCTTATAATAGGAGTTATAATAGTAATAAAAACCTGCTTACTGCTCCCTTGTTTACTACTTTTACTTCTTCAAATGATAAAAAGCTTCATTGCTACCTTAGTTCACCAAAATGCTTCAGCACAAGTGTACTATATGAATCACTATCAATCTATTGCACAAAAAGACATAAGTAGCAAAAATAAGAGTGAGAACTCCCACTAATAAAAAGTGAGAGTCTCAAAGGGGGAAAATGAGGAAAGAGAGCGACCCTCTCATATTGTTCTATATTGTTTTATACTCAGTACCTGTTTTAAGGAAAAAAAAAAAAAAAGAAAGTGAAATCAAAGACAGGCAGCCCGGCGCCAGGCCCAAAACCAGGCCTGGGCCTGCCTGGCCTAAACCCAGTAGTTAAAAATCAATTCATAACTTAGAAACCGATGTTATTCATAGATTCCAGACATTGTATAGAAGAACATTCTGAAACTCCCTGCCCTGTTCTATTTCTCTCTGACCACCAGTGCATGCAGCTCCTGTCACGTACCCCTTGCTTGATCAAATCAATCATGACCCTTTCTTGTGAAATCTTTAGTATTGTGAGCCTTTAAAAGGGACAGAAATTGTGTACTCAGGGAGCTCAGAATTTAAGGCAGTAGCTTGCCGATCCTCCCTGCTGAATAAAGCCCTTCCTACTATAACTCGGTGTCTGAGAGCTTTTGTCTGCGGCTCATCCTGCTACATTATTGGTCTATCTGCAATCAGAAAGCAGGTGTTTCACTATGTCCTCTTTTCTTTACATGTGAGCTTAGCAGGAACCTCCTGACCCAAAAGAATTTCATCCAAGTGTTCAAGTTGATTGTTATCAACTTAAAGTAGTTTTGAAAGTTGTTTCAAAAGAAAGTGCCAAGGATTATGTGTATTGAGGCCAGTGTATGTCTAAAACCTCAGGTGACAAAAGGAAAAGATGAGGAGCTTGTAATGTTTGAAAGGAATTTATTCTTAGAGGGCATGGTGTCTCATGCCTATAATCTCAGCTACTCAGGAGGTTGAGATGGGATCACTTGCACCCAGGAGTTCGAGGATACAATGAGCTATGATTGTGATGCAGGATTTTTTGCTTCTTAGCTCAGCTAAAATCTAGGTTCTTGTCTCACAACCAGAAAAAATTAGGCATGCAGACACATTGGAAGGCAGGGAGAGTGGAATTTATTAAAAGAAAGCTCTCAGCAAAAAAAAAATTAAAAAATTAAAATGGGGGGTTCCTGCCAACAGGCTTCCACCTCACAGATTGAATACCAGCCCGCCACACAAGAGCTGAAGAGACAGGGCTCCTCCCCACTCCATAAGGTGAGAATTCCCAGTGGCTCCACCCCATTCTCCCAGTGCACAAGGGGACCCCTAGTCGGTTGTGGGCATCTTTAGGCAACCCTCCTGTACACAATGACCTGGGCAGCATTTGGCTGTCTCCTGTCTCTATCAATTGCACCACTGAACTTCAGCCTGGGTGAAAGAGCAAGACCACACCTCTAAAAAAAGAAAATAATAATAATAATAAAATGGGCTGGGAGTGGTGCCTAACACCTGTAATTGCAGCACTTTGGGAGCCCAAGGTGGGTGGATCACCTGAGGTCAGGAGTTCAAGATCAGCCTGGCCAACATGGTGAAACCCCGTCTCTACAAAAAATACAAAAATTAGCCAGGCGTGGTGGCGGGTGCCTGTAATCCCAGCTACTCGGGAGGCTGAGGCAGGAGAATGGCTTGAAACTGGAAGCAGAGGTTGCAATGAGCAGAGATCATGCCCTTGCACTCCAGCCTGGATGCCAAGAGAAACTCCATCTCAAAAAAAGAAAAGAAAGAAAGAAATTGATCCATTCCTAACAGTCTCTTCTGTGCTGGGCAACCTGGCACCAGTCAGCATTTTCAAGAAAGCAGAATTTCCAAACAAACACCAACTCGGTATTATACAAAATTACATTAAATCAAACAAATCAAAGGAACATTTGTTGGTTGCTTATGCTAGGCACAATGCTAAATGTTGGGACTACAGAGATTTAAAAATAAAAACAAAAAATGGTATTTCTTGTTCTCAGGGACCTCAAAATCTGATAGGGTAGACAGACAAGTAAGCAGAAAAAACAAAGTATAAAGCTTGATCCCCTCTAGGATGACTGTAAGCACAAGATTCTGTTGGAAACTTGGAAATGAAGACAGGAGCATTGAACCCAGCCTGGAGATAGGATCAGTATCAGGTTGGTGCACTTTCCAGCAAGTTCAACAGGCATTATCTTGGATTTTACATTCCACCTACAGAATACTCAGCAAACCTGACCACAGCACTGCCTAGACCAGGGGTGTCCAATCTTTTGGCTTCCCTAGGCCAGATTGAAATAATTGTCTTGAGCCACACATAAAATACGCTAACACTAACAATAGCTGATGAGCTAAAAAAAATTTTAAAACACTATGTATAAAGACGGTCATTCTCTATTTATTATTCCACAATGCTTTTAATTTAAGCATCATGGAAATCTTTCCCCGTCATAGACATTCTTCTGTGTCAGTGTGTATAGAGTTACCTCATTCTTTTTAAAATGCACATTATTTTATTCTATGAATGGTCTGTAATGTGTATACTCATTTTCCCTTTCTAACTGAAGCAAAGATTTTGTAAATAAGACATTCATTTTTATTTTACAGTTTTCCATGTTTATGTAACTGAAAAATATAAATATTTAAATAAAGCAATCAAATTTAGAATATATACTTTCGCTGATCCGAGAATTAATGAAAAAATGGCAAAATATTTATTCTCTTTGAAAAATGACTCAATTGTCATTTAAGAGTTATAACTATTAAAACAAGCCATGACCTTAGTCCTGAATACATATTTGTGTAGGATTGTCTAATGTTGGGACTCAGAAAAACATACCCAAAATGAAGGCCGCAGAAGCAGCCTCAAAACAGAAATTTTTCTCTGACCTTCTCCTACCCTACTATCTCTCAATCCCATTCTCTCTCAAGGCTAGCCATAAAAACTAGAATCTGTCTTACTCAAGGTGGGTCATAGAAACTAGAACCCCTTTACCCAAAGCCAGCCATAAAATCTAAAAATTTTACTCTAACTTTCCCTCCACTATAACTGCACAAAAACTGGCCACTAAAAAATTAGATAACTAGACTTATCTTGTTTGATTATAGGTCATAAGACCCCCATTCCAGAGAGGGCCCTGTGCCATATCCAAAAAAAGGAATACATGCTCAGAGAGGCGAAGAAAAATCTAGACAGACAGACCTTTCTGAGTTTCCCCACTCAGTCTATTAACATTAGATCATATTTTTTGTCCAATCATGTTTCTACTTGCTGCCCATACTTTGTTAAACCTAAACATAAAAATGGACAATTTCCCCTGTATCTTTGGGTCTTAATTTTAAAGGCTCCCATGTACACATTAATAAATATGTATGCCTTTTCTCCTATTAATATGCATCTTATCAGTGATTTTCTGCAAATCTTCGGAAGGCAAAGGGGAAGTTTTCCCTTTTCCCCTATACTAATCTTTAAGGTACATATTCTAACTTTTACAAGAAGCATAAAATCATGTGTGCACGTATATTTCTGTGTATGTGCATGTGTATGTGTGCATGCATGTGCATTGGAAACCTAGGCCCTGGAGCATGACTCCAGAGTGAGAGTAAACAGAAGACAAGCACATGAACAAAGACTGGGAAGATATGCTCAGAATTAACAGTGGTTCCCCTTCAGAATAAACATGATTTTTAGTTCTTCTTTTTATTTTTATGTATTTTCTAGAAAGTCTAGAATAATAATAGCTATCATTTATTGGATGTTTACTATATTCCAGTCATATTCTGTCTTTTATAGGTAATAAATAACACATTTAATCATCACAATAGTCTTTACCCTGTGAGAAAATAGGTACGAAGATGTTAAGTAACTTGACCTATATTCACAGCTAAAAGATAGAGGAGCTGGGATTCAAACCCAATGGTTTCAGAGCTCCAGAGTTTAACTGCAACAATAAACATGAATTTATTTTTCATCATAAATGTGGATAAGTGTGTATGTACATACAAATATATATATATATATATACACACAGACACACATTTATATATGCATGTATATAAAGGCTAGACACATGCATGCTGAGGCTTGGTACATTTAAATAAATGCATAACACCTTAAGTTGAATTCCATTCTCGTGGTTGCTGGAGAATAGTCATTATAACTATTCTTCAAAAGACCTCATTTGCTAGTCTTTTTCAACTGGACAAAGAAGAAACTAGAGTGAGGAGGACAAAGGCTTTGCACAACTTTTCCTACTACTTGACTAGCAGCAGACTCAGGGCTGCTGAGTCTGCAAGCAATAGGAAAGGCTTTGCAGATTCAGATTGCTTTTTGGAGATTACAATTCTGATCGATTTCAGATGGGCATACTGTACAATTATGAAATGCAGATTTGAAATCCTTTTAGTCAAACTTTATCCAGAAAGCAATTTTGAAATCTCTCTCCTCAACAATCTTCTAGCCTCTGTTTGAACACTACCAGGTCAGAAAGCCCACCACTCAGAGTGGGGCCATGTTCTCTTGCTGAGCCTCACATATTCTAAGTAATGGTCTCCTTACACTAATCTGACATCTCTTGGTGCAAGCTCTGTACTCAACAAAGACACTGAAAAATATATAATCCAAAGCTGATGTGGTTCATCACTTTGCACAGCTCCTTCCTTTTTAATTCTACCTATTTTTGTATGTTCCCACTCCACTTACCCTGTGAGATAACAAAGGTAAAGCTAATATTTAAAAGTAACATGTTTCCATGGAAAACAACTGTTTCTTTTGTGCTCTCATAGTCTGGGGTCATCTTATCCTCTTAAATGTTACAGCGTTTAACTATAAGAGTTAAAAACTAGTGCTAAGTAATGGGCCAATAATATTCCTAAAGTGCTGGGATGTACTGCCATAAAACAAACAAGAACCTAGGTATGTAATATTCCAGGATTCTAATTCCCCAACTCTAACTCCAAACCATCAGACCCTGGCCTCCAGCTCATATATCTTTGACTGCTGGACACATCTGACTGCAGAACATCCTGGACCAAACCTTGGCTACTGCTTCTTAGGATGTTCCAGCTTCAACTTTTGATTTACCACACCCTGGGTTCTGGCTCTGCTCATATTTGGCATCTCCTCATGCCTTCTTGACAATATTTGCATATATATTGTCATTATTTCAATTTCAGGACCGACGCAGTTCATGTTCCTGAAGGCTTACCCAGGCAGATGGTATAAATCCAGATCTCCTTCCCACCTGACTTCCCTCCACTCCTCAGCATGGCTCCTTTATTCCAGCCTCAGGGCCTCTCTCACACATGATCAGCATCTAGGGTTCCAATGTACATGCATGCACATGTACACACATACACATGTGCACACGTACACATGCACACACGTACACATGCACACACGCACTGCACCTTTGTTAACACTATCTTCCTGTCACAAATTGCCTTTCCTTCTACTCTCAGATTCAAATCCTAGCACAGAGTTAAAAGTTCAGGCTCTGGAAATCAGATTGCCTGTGTTTGTATCCGGCTTTTCTACATATTAACTAGATGACCTTGGGCAGGTTACTTAACTCTCAATGTCTAGGTTTCCTCAGGCAAAACGAGAATAATAGTAGTACTCATCTGTGGTGGCACTGCTAAATGTCTATTTGATGTCAATTTCCTTCCTTCTTCACCAATATCCAACTCCATAGCTTTTTAGGCAGCTATGTTGTCAGATGAAAGAAAAACAAAAAGCCTTCATTTCTCAACCAGTTATGCCACTGGGTGTCCATGTGATATCGTTCTAACCAACGAGATGGAGTGGAAATCTGAAGTCTGCTAGAAAATCTTAGGAAAGTTTTCCATTTATTTGCACTTGTTGCTTTTGTTGTCTTTCTACTGGGATGCCAGTGCGATGCCTTAAGTGGACCAGTCATTTTATAACCATGGGGCTAAAAAACACACACTGAGCATGATGCAGCTGAAGGTTAGAAGAAGCTAGAAACTTGATGGTTTCTCACGCATTTGTATCAGCCCCAGACTGCCTACTCCTGAACGTTATTATGTGACGAAGGATGAGTCTTTACTTCATTATGCCACTGTGATTATGATATGGACAAGAGGCAGGGAAATACTGGTTAAAAGAGAGCGGTTCCCTGGCAAAGGCCCCATCCTCAAGCCTGGAAACCTGCAGCCCTAAATAGGAACAGGCATTCCTGTTTTCGTGCCAAATGTTGCCTTTTCCAGGACCACCCTGGCCCACCACACCCCCATCCTGTACCCATAAAAACTCCAAACCTCAGGCTCCATGAGCAGAAGAGCAGCAGAGCAGTGTGGCAGAGGAGAGAGGAGAAAGAGTGTCTGAACATCGAGAGGAGTTCGGCTGGGGACTGTCAGAGAGATCAGCCATGGGATGGCCAAACCCCAGGGGAAGATTATCTTCTCACTCCATCCGCTTTCCAGCTCCCCATCCATCCTGCTGAAAGCCTCCTCCATCATTCAATAAAATCTCTGTATTCACCATCCTTCAAGTCTGTAGGACCTGATTCTTCCTGGATGCTAGACAAAGACCCGGGTACCAAGAGGACAGGGCGTAAAAGGCTGCCACCCTGACTCTCCACTGAGCTGGTTTAACACTTAGCCATCCGCGAACAGCAACTGCTAAAAGAGCATTAATTGTAACACACCCCTAGATGCTGCCATGGGGCTAGAGCCCAAAAGCGCTCACCCCGTCTCCTGCACCTGCCTGTCTGTGTGCTCCCCCTCCCTTAAGGGGTTTGAATGTGCAGTGGCCAAGCAAACAAGCCACACCCCTGTTGCAAGTCCCATAAGAGGGTCAGAGAACTCTCCCATTTCAGTCAGGTTTCTGTTACCTAACAGTGTGTATGTGACTGTGAGGGTTGAATAAGAAAACACACATCAATGACTAGCAGAATGCCTGAATAAGTGCTTATAAGAGTGTTAGCTAGAGACTGGGCATGGTGGCTCAGGCCCATAATCCCAGCACTTTGGTAGCCCAAGATGGGCAGATTGCTTGAGCTCAGGAGTTCAAGAACAGGCTGGGTCAATATGACAAACCCCCATCTCTAAAATGTGTATACACACACACACACACACACACACATACATATATACACACACACACACATATATATATAAAGGTTGTTAGCTGGCATTGTTATTTCAAACCTCAAAGCCCCTTTTGTGAGATCTCCCTCCTTAATATGGCACTTAAAATTTGCACTATTCATTGGGCACATATCTTAAGTCCAATTCTCTCCTACTGCTATGTGGTTTTTGTATTGCTGTTAAACTTGTATTTCCTAAGTTTTCCCATAATGCTTATCTGAATTCTATGCATATAGGTGCTACTCACTAAATAAAATATGTATTCAGGAACTTTGAAACTGCTTTGGAAACATTTGAAAGGTTGTATTCTCACATTTCTTGTTTTACTTTATGGCAAGAGTCTTTAAAACTAATAAATTCTCTAGCTGAATTAAACAGCTGATTGTTTTTAATGGAAATATCTAGGTAATGAACTTCTATTTCCTTTTCTTAGCTTTTGATTACTATAGAATTGATACATTATCAAATGGTAGATTTTGAAAAGCTATTAATTCAACATACATTTTAATAGAAGTATTAGCTATATATACAAACTTTATTATGCATCAAATAATACAATGCTTTAATAAGCTACTTTTACCCCAGGAACTGGACTATAAATAGACCTAAAGCTGCAAGAGAAAATAAACTGTCTGTAGTGACTTCTTCACTTGCATAACTTGTACTACATGGCCTCTGAAAAACAACAGGTCCCTCCCCCTTGTCCCACCCTGCGAAGATGCAGGAATAGGGTGGTCCAGGAAATCCTTCCCTCCCTGGATCCTTCAGAGCATTGTTTTAACATATTCCTCTACTATTTGTGTATTTTTAAAATTATACTTCCAGGCTATGAACTTCTAAGGGCCAAGAGTGTGTTTTACTCAGTTTTGTATACTCTACAGCTACCATCATAATACTTGCCACAAAAAAAGGTCCTCAGAAAACATTTATTATGTTTCACTAAACTAAGTTGAGCTGAAATTGGCCAGGAACAAGAACTGGAAATTTATTTGCATCATAGTCAAGGGAAAAAATGTTTCAAAGAGTTAGAGACCTGTTTTCTATCTCCATTTGATGGCTATGTGAAAAGCTCCTTTTTTAATAGATCTGCTCTCCCAAATGATATTTGCTTCCTCCTGTTTCCCAGAAGTCACATAAAAAGATGTATGGCAAAAATCCTCGGGAATCCCAGCAACAGAAGACATGTTGTTTGTAGTGTCTTGGTCACTGTCCTTAGGGTGTGTTTTTCTTAACTGAACAAGTAGTTCTGGAATATCTAAGTGCTGATATCGTTCTAAACACTTGAAAATACATCGCTATCCTTATAGAGCTTATAGTTCAATGCTAGAATGAATGTCAGTAAGTGTTAAATAGCAAAGAATAGAAAAATAGAGAAGTCACCCAGTTCATAGAATTTGGCAAAAGCTTCCCTGGGGAGGTAAAAATTAGCAGCAATTATAAAGAAGTGTAAAACTTAACCAGGTGGAATTGGAGGCAGATGAAAGAGCACGTGCAAGGACATGGTAGGAGGGAGGAGGACAGATTGAAGGAAATGAGCAAAGCCTATGTAGCTGGAGCCAAAGGTAAGCAATGAAATAGGAAACATGTACAGAGGCTACACCATGCCAGGCCATGTAGACTTTGTGGGAGTTTGTGTGTAACATGATCAGATTTGTATTTTAAAAGATTCCTTTGGTGCACAGTGAGGGATGCATTGAAAGGCAGCAAAGCAGCCATGTGTATCATGGGTAGTCCAGAAAACCTCAAAAGGCCAACTTCTGCCTTTTCAACCATCAGCTTTCTTCTTACAGATACCCAGTACAGATACTTTTTTTTAACTTTTAAGTTCAGGGGTACAAGAGCACGTTTGTTACACAGGTAAACTTGTGTCATGGGGGTTTGTTGTAGAGACTATTTCATCACCCATGTATTAAGCCTAGTCCATTAGTTATTTTTCCTGATCCTCTCCTTCCTTCCACCCTCCACCCTCCAATAAGCCTCAGTGTCTGTTGTTCCCCTCTATGTGTCCGTGTGTTCTCATCATTTAGCTCCCACTTATAAGTGGGAACATGAAGTATATGGTTTTCTGTTGCTGTGTTAGTTTGCTAAAAATAACAGCCTCCAGCTCCATCCATGTTCCTGCAAAGGACATGATCTCATTGTTTTTTATGGCAGTATAGTATTCCATGGTGTATATGCACCACATTTTCTTTATCCAGTCTATCATCGATGGGCATTTAGGCTGATTTTATGTCTTTATAAAAGAAGCCTAGTGGGGCCATTTTTGCACTGAGTCAGAATAGTTTGGGGTCGGACTCAATTTTAAAGTGTTGCTCTAAAGTTGTTGCCAGATTCAATATTTAGGAAGACTCAAAATTCATGTCTTACCATCTTGGTGACCACAATTGTATATTATGCTTGGTTTTGTGTCCTGAGAAAAGGAAGCCAATTTTTTTCCCTTAAAGTAATGCAATTTAGAGTCTCTACAAACAGTAAGAAGTGACTGATATGAGAAAAGAGTCAAGAGTCTTATGAGGATTATGTTTGTGTATGTTTAAGTTAAGGAATTTGTGAGTTGGCATGACAGCCTGCGGGAAAACAGCTTCATGATTGTCTTTCTGTCAGAAGCAATTTTCAGCAGGCTCCCATCTTCCTCGGCTTCCACTGTCAGTGCCAAGACACAGCCCCTCAGGCCTGGGGCCAGGTAACCATAAGACTTCAGTCAAATCTTCTTTGCATTTTCTCTGAGAAAAGCCTGCAGTTTCTTTTCTTGATCTTAGTCCAAGGGTAAGGTTTTCTGGAAAGTTTGAAAAGAAATTTATGCCTAGCGGTTGGAGGCCTATAGAAAGGGAAAGCAGTATGTTCCTATACGGCTATTTTTATTTTTTTGGCTGGAGAAAGCTACAGGAAGCAGCCTTGTAATCAATTGCTTTGGCATACCTGAGCCCTTGCAGGATGCACATTGGCTATTTCGTACTCACACAAAGAATATTACTTAGTACAATACTGACACCAGGAAAGCTGAATCTATATAAGATAGTAAAAGATGCTAAGCAACAAAACTGGCTATATTCCTTCATTTATTTATTCATTTATTTCTAAATAAATGAGCATTGATTAAGCAGCCACACTGTGCTAGGTAATGGGAATTACAGTGTCATTGATTTCACTAGGGTGGCACCAGGATAAATATCTTGTGAGCTCAGAGATCTAGATCACCGAAAATGAAGGCCACAGTGCAGACCTTAGTTCAAGCCATCAGGTTAGACTTGGCTTAGACTGAGTTCTCACAGTATTTTGGAGAAATAGGTCTTCCTGGGGTCCAGACAGTGTCCCCATCCTGGTAATGCCTAGGGCATGGGTATATCTGACCTCTACTGCTGAAATGGGCCCAATATTCTCATAGACAGTTGTTTTTGGGTAAACATAGAAATTGACCCTTCTTCTGTTTTTTTTTTAATTGTTGTTGGGTTTTGTTTGTTTGTTTGTTTTTGAGATGGAGTTTCACTCTTGTTGCCGATGCTGGAGTGCAATGGCGCAATCTCGGCTAACCGCAACCTCCGCCTCACGGGTTCAAGTGATTCTCCTGCCTCAGCCTCCTGAGTAGCTGGGATTACAGGCATGTGCCACCACATTTGGCTAATTTTGTATTTTTAGTAGAGACAGGGTTTCTCCATGTTGGTCAGGCTAGTCTCAAACTCCCGACCTCAGGTGATCCACCTGCCTTGGCCTCCCAAAGTGCTGGGATTACAGGCGTGAGCCACTGTGCCCAGCCCCTTCTGCTGTTAAAGCTTGAAACTTGTATTTGTTTTATCTGAGTTCCTTCCTCAGGAAAGGACCCTCAGGCCTCTCAAAAAAAAAAAAAGTAGTAGTTTCTGTTTTCTTACACATTGTTACATTTCTCTCTTGCTATATAAACCCCTAGTTTTAGTCAGTTAGGGAGATGAATTTGAGGCTGAGCTTTCATCTCCTCAGCTACAGCACTCAGTTAAAGCCTTCTTTCTAGGCAATAATCGTCATCTCAGTGGTTGGCTTTCTGTGTGGCAAGCAGCAGGACCTAGCCTGAACCCCTGGTTTTTCAGTAACAGTGCTACTTTCTGACTTGCTATCTGAGCTCCTGGAATCAGCTCTCAAGATGCAGGCTACATTTGTCCCAGAAGCCTTGCTGTGAGTTTACGTGCCTACAGAGTCCCATTAATGGACCTAGTGCCAGCTACCCAAGTACCAGAGGCTCTAAACCCCATTAAAAATGTACATGTGTTTGTGTCTGCCGACCTACTTCCCTCCCTACCTACCTAACTGCCTGTCTCCCTCATATCATATCGCTATGACAATAGGAAAAACTGAAGCTGTGGTGGTATTTGGAGAAGAGAATCTGGATGATAGCTTGGAGGGAGACCTTGCCCTGTGTGTCTTTGGTCTTTTTTGTATTCCTTAAGAGCACATCTCCTTCTAGCTTCAGCTCATTTACTCCTTTTGCAGCAAAGTGTCTCAAGTTTCTGTCTTCATGACTCCTTTCTACGTCTTCCTTTGTATAAGTTGCCAATGGCTTTTATGTTACTAACTCCAACGATCAGTTTTCTATCTTCTTATGATTACTTATCAGTATCTGACTCAATAAACTCTTTAGTTTTTCTTAACCAGTGTCTTCATTCGGCTTCTGGGACACTATACTTGAATGGTTTTATTTTCTCTTCTCTCATTGTTCCTTCTCAGTCTCCCTTGTTAGCTCTTCTTCTTTTGTTTGACATCTGCATTTTGGATTGTCCCAGGGATCTGTCTTGGGTTCTTATCTCTATCTACACATGCTGTCTACATGGCTTTATTCATATTTATGACCTAACACCATCGATGTATTAGTGATAGCAAGTTTATATCTCTAGTACTACCTCACTTCTGCTGACTCACCATCTCCAGATGGATGTCCGGAGGCATCTCAAACATAACATATCTAGATCAGGAGTTATGACTTCCTTGTGGTCACTCAAAACCTGATTTTCTCCCAGTGTTCCCCCATCTTGGTACTATATCCACCCAATTGCACAGGTCTCAAACCTAGGAGTTAGCTTTGATTTCTCCTTTTGTCTCACTTCATGGTCAATCTTTCAGCAAGTTCTATAGACTCTATCTCCAAAACATATCACAAAGACATTTATTTCTTCTCATGTCTACTACTCCAGTCCAAACACTAATATTCTGTCTTCGAGGAAACTGCTGTAGCCTCTGAACTGGTCTCCTTCTTCATTCTTGCTCCACTACAATCTATTCTTCACATGAGAGTCCAAGTGGATTTTTAAAAAAATAAATGGTTATTAATTGAGATAATTTTGCCCCCAAAGGGACATTTGGAAAGGTCTTGACACATTTTTGGTTATTACAACTCAGAGAAATAGATGCCACTGGGTAGAGACCAGGGATGCTGCACAGGACAGTGTCCCACAACAAAGAATTATCTGGCTCAGAATGTCAATAGTGCCAAGTTGGAGAAATGCTCAAAATCTCATTCCCTGACTTCTCCTTGCACTTGGAGCAACTCTTTATATTGTTTTACAAAGTACTAGTAATCCGGCCTGTCCCTGCTTGTGTTTCCAACTTCATCTTTTACTATTCTCCTCTTTACATTTTGATTCAGCCACATTGATTTTCCTGTTTTCGAACATACCCAGCCCATTCTTCCCTAAGGTCTTTGTGTCAGTTGCATCCTTTGTCTGGAATTTTTTTCTCTTTACTCCTCAAATGATTATTCCTACTTATAATAATAATTCACATTTATATACTGTTTACAAGATGCCAAGAATCCCAATTTTCTGAGCACTATACACATACTAACTTGTACATGCAATCCCACAAGCAGTTACACTGCCAGAAACTAAGGAACAGGGTTTAAATAATATGGCTGAGGTCATATGGCTAGTAAATGAGAGAAGTAGCAAGTAGCTCCAAAGTCCCAGCTCTTAACCACTGCATGGTACTGTAAGGCAGACTTCAGCTTACGTCATCTCCTCAAAGAGACTTTCCTTTACTCACCTCTAAATTTGTCATCCAGGCCAGGCATGGTGGCACATGCCTAAAATCCCAGCACTTTGGGAGGCTGAGGTGGGTGGATCACCTGAAGTCAGGAGTTTGAAACCAGACTAGCCAACAAGGTGAAACCTCGTCTGTACGAAAAATACAAAACTTAGCCGGGCATGATGGTACACGCCTGTAGTCCCAGCAACTCAGGAGGCTGAGGCAGGAGAATCACTTGAACCCAAGAGGGGGAGGTTGCAGTGAGCCGAGATTGTGCCATTGCCCTCCAGCCTGGGCAACAGGGTGAGACTCCATCTTAAATAAATAAATAAATAAATTTGTCATCCAGTTATTCTGTCACCTCATCTTACTTCAATCCATGGCACAGCTCAGACCATAACTGGATTTTCTGGGTTCTTATTTATGTGTTTGTTTATTACATGTCTCTTCCAGTAAAATCAGGAATCATGGCCATCTTATTTATTCTGTATTCTCCATATATAAGAAAGTGCCTGGCACATAGCAGACATTCAAAAAATATTTTTGAATGAATGTTACTAAATTGTATTGTTAGAGAAGGCAATATGGCAAATTTATTAAAACCACATATTTTGGGGCCAAATCTATGTTTGAATCTCATCTCTACCACATCATATTATGTGATCTTTGGCAAAATGACCTAACCTTGTTAAGTCTCCATTTCTACATCTTGAAAATGGAGGTAGTAACTACCTCAGAAGGTTGACATAAGAATTAGATAATGCTTATAAAGCTTTCAGATTTACCTAAGTGTTTAATATATGTTAGCTATTAATATTAGAGAAAATTAAAAAGGCATAATGACAGCCTAACTATACTCCTCCAAATTTACTTTTTTTTTTTTTTTTGCCTAAAGGCCTACACTCATTTACATATTATTGCCACAGCAAGTATCAGAGCCAGATCTTCAATATCCAGTTCTAATACATCCGATCCTTGAGTAAGAGTTGCTAACTACCTATATTAATGGACTAGCACATGCTTAATTAGGCATATTCTTGTCAGTTTTGAATTAACAACTAGAATTGATATTTCAGTAATTTGATGTTTCAAGAATAAGCTTTTCTTTCATTAACCCTAAAAATTACTTCAACCTAAATTAAGTTCATGCAGTAGTATTCTACAAAATCGAAGTTTTCCCATTATGGTTTCTGAAGAGACTTTAATAAGAGTTAGCCAGTCTCAAACCAGATGGTCTTTATAGTGACATAGTGGGAGGAATCCTATTTGAGGATAATGGGTCAATAAGAAACCCAGAATTATAGTTTGGTCTACAGAGTAAAGAAAGCTAAAATTCCAGGGCAATCACTCAAAATAATAATAGAAGAATCCAAACCGTAACCAAAACATCATGGTACTAATACAAAAACAGACACATAGACCAATGGAACAGAATAGAGAGCCCAGAAATAAGACTGCACACCTACAACCATCTGATCTTCAACAAAGCTGACAAAAGCAATGAGGAAAGGACTACCTATTCAATAAATGTGCTGGGATAACTGGCTGGCCATATGCAAAAGATTGAAACTGGACCTCTTCCTTACACCATATAAAAAAATCAACTTAAGATGGGTGAAATACTTAAGTGTAAAACCCAAAACTATAAAAACCTTGGATGAGAACTAGGCAATATCATTCTGGAAATAGAAATGGGCAAAGAGTCCATGAGAAAGACACCAAAAGCAATTGCAACAAAAATAAAAATTGATGAATGGGATCTAATTAAACCTAAGAGCTTTTGCACAGCAAAAGAAACTATCAACAAAGCGTTTACAACCTACAGAACGGGAGAAAATATTTGCAAATTATGCATCTGACAAAGGTTGAATATCTAGCCTCTGTAAGGAACTTAAACAAATTTACAAGAAAAAAAAACAAAAAAAGTGGGCAAATGACACGAACAGACACTTTTCAAAAGAAGACATACATGCAGCCAAAACGCATACAAAAAAAGCTCAATATCATTGATTATTGCAGGATCTGGCCAGCAGCCTGCAATGCAACGGGGCTCTTTCTTTGTTCCCAGGCAGATCAACAGGTCAAGAAATAAAAGACACACACAAGATAGTGAAAGCTGGGTCCAGGGGGGTCACCGCCTTCTGGTCCTGTGATGCCGCCAATGCACTGGATATACCAGCATTTATTATTAAGTTTAGTGAGGGCAGGGGTAGGTTAGTGAGGGTTTTAGGGTCGTTTGATTATGAGGTGAGATGGTCACATGGGGATGAAGTAAGTCTTTAACGTAACATTGGTATGCAGAAGTACAGTATACAGAGATAAGAATTTACAATATAGTGTGTGCATCAACAATTTCTAACAGAGCCTTAAAACAGAAACACAGTCTCTCCATAACCTATGATTAGCAAGATATTAATCAGCAGTAACAGTTGCAGCAAAAGCTGGTTGCAAACAATCAATAGAAACAGGATGTGAAGCTAGACAACCAGTTAGACCAGAAATTCTCAGAAGGGAGTATGCCTTAACCTTAAAGAGGCCTAGAAGAGCTGTGGCAAAATAAGGACGTTTATAGCCCTATCTTATCCATATGAACAGGCGCCCCTCATGCATCTGCTTATAGGCTCTCCACAAGAATCACATTCCATTCCCAGAGCTATGAACATCTGCTTTTCTGGGATAGGAATCCTGGTTATGTGAAACCTCCCTGACTGCACGTCCGTTTATAGGCTCTCTGCACGGGGAAGCACATTACGCGCTGTTGGCTCATTCTGGCAGCCCAACCTGGCATTGTCTTTACACAATCCTGCATGCAATTTTGTACGTACAATAATCAGGAGCATTTCATCTTTTACTCCATAGCAATAGTTTCAGGGGGTCTCCCTACAATTGATCGTTAGAGAAATACAAATCAAAACCACAATGAGTTACCATTTCACACCAGTCAGAATATCTATTATTAAAATGTCAAAAAATAACAGATGCCAGCAAGGTTGCAAAGAGAAGGGAACCCTTATACACTGTCAGTGGGTGCATAAATTAATTCAACTACTGTGGAAAGACGTATAGTGATTCCTCAAAGAACTAAAAACAGAACTGTCACTGGACCCAGACATTTTATTACTAGGTATATACCCACAGAAATATAAATCATTCTATCATAAAGACACATGCACATGAATGTTCATTGCAGCACTATTCACAATAGCAAAGACATGAAACCAACCTAAATGCCCATCAATGACAGATTGGATAAAGAGAATGTAGTACATATACACCATGGAATACTATGTAGCCATAAAAAAGAACAAGATTGTCTTTTGCGGGAACATGGATGGAGCTGGAGGCCATTATCCTTGGCAAACTAATGCAGGAAAAGAAAACAAAATACTGTATATTGTCACTTGTAAGTGGAAGAGAACACATAAACATATAGAAAAGAACAGCAGACATTGGAGCCTACCAGAGGGTGGGGGGAGGAAGAGGATCAGAAAAAAAATAACTATTGGGTACTAGGCTTAGTACCTGAGTGATGAAATAATTTGTACAACAAACCTCTGTGACACAAGTTTACCTATATAACAAACCTGTATGTGTACTCTGAACCTAAAATACAAGTTTTTCTAAAAAAAAAAAAGGAAGCCCAATCAACGGAATGAAAATAAAAGAGCAGCAGGAGCAAGGGTTTGAATCTTTCTGAGACCTTTTAAAATTAAAGTAATAGTTACACAATCAACTTTTGGGTTTATATCCAGCCCAGAGTTGAGGCCCCAGGAACCATGTTCCAGGGGATTATAGCTGACTTCCTGGGAAAAAAAAATAATACTAAGTGCAGCAAGAAAAAAAAGCAGATTGAAAGTGGGACTGTGGAAGCCTGGTTCTAAGAATACACCCAATGATTCCTTCCTCCTGATATCCATATCCTTGTGTAATCACTTTGAGAGGTGACAACATGCTAGTAGCCCTCACTCGCTCTCAGCACCTCCTCAGCCTCGGCATCCACTCTGGCCATGCTTGAGGAGTCCTTCAGTCTGCCACTGCACTATGGGAGCCCTTCTCTGGGCTGGCAGAGGCCACAGCTGGCTCCCTCTGCTTGTGGGGAGGTGTGGAGGGAGATGGCGCAGGCGGGAACCAGGGCTGCCTGCGGCACTCACGGGCCAGCACGAGTTCCTGGTGGGCGCGGGCTCAGCAGGCCCCGCACTCCTAGTGGCCGGCCGGTGCCAGCCACCCTGGGCAGTGAGGGGCTTAGCACCTGGGTCAGCAGCTGCAGAGGGTGCGCCGGGTTCCCCAGCAGTGCCGGCCTGCTGGCGCCATGCTCGAATTCTTGCCAGGCCTCAGCCACCTCTCATTGGGGCAGGGCTCGGGACCTGCAGCCCACCATGCCCAAGCACCCCCCCAGCCCTGTGGGCTCCCATGCGGCCCGAGCCTCCCCCTTGGGCGCTGCCCCCTGCTCCACGGCACCCAGTCCCATCGACCACCCAAGAGATGAGGAGTGCGGGTGCACAGCGCAGTACTGGCAGGCAGCTCTGCCTGCGGCCCTGGCACAGGATCTCCTAGGCAAAGCCAGCTGGGCTCCTGAGTGGGGTGGAGACTGGGAGAACTTTTATGGCTAGCTAGAGGATTGTAAATGAACCAATCAGCACTATGTGTCTAGCTAAAGATTTGTAAACACACTAATCAGTGCTCTGTGTCTAGCTAATCTAGTGGGGACTTGGAGAACTTTTGTGTCTAGCTAAAGGATTGTAAATGCGCCAATCAGCACTCTGTGTCTAGCTCAAGGTTTGTAAACGCACCAATCAGCACCCTGTCAAAAGGGACCAATCAGCTCTCTGTAAAACGGACCAGTCAGCTCTCTGTAAAATGGACCAATCAGCAGGATGTGGGTGGGGTCAGATAAGGGAATAAAAGCAGGCTGCCCAAGCCAACAGCGGCAACCCACTGGGGTCCCCTTCCACACTGTGGTAGCTTTGTTCTTTTGCTGTTTGCAATAAATCTTGCTGCTGCCCACTCTTTGGGTCCACACTGCCTTTATGAGCTGTAAAACTCACCACGAAGGTCTGCAGCTTCACTCCTGAGGCCAGTGAGACCATGAACCCACCAGGAGGAATGAACAACTCTGGCTGGGATGAACAAACTTCAGATGGGAGGAATGAACAACTCCAGATGTGCCACTTTAAGAGCTGTAACACACCGCTAAGGTGTGCAGCTTCACTCTTGAAGCCAGTGAGATCAAGAACCCACCAGAAGAAAGAAACTCCAAACACACATCCAAACATCAGAAGGAACAAACTCTGGACACACCATCTTTAAGAACTGTAACACTCACCGAGAGGGTCCGTGGCTTCATTCTTAAAGTCAGCGAGACCAAGAACCCACCAATTTCGGACACAACTTCTCCTTGAGCTAGGTGGACATAGTGACTCATTTGTAAGAAATAAAATATAGCAAAATAATGAGCTGTCACTTCTCAGACTCTAATTTCCATCCTTCTTCCCTCTTCCATTTCCTCCCTGGCTCTGAGCAAAGCCAGCTGCTAGGCTGTGAGCTTTCCTATGGAGAAGTACATGTGACAAAGAACTGAGGGAAGGCTTCAATGCAATAGCCAGCAAAGAAATGAATTATGTCAACAACAACATGAACGAGCTTGGAACAAGAACCTGTCTCCATTGAACCTTCAAATGAGAGTGCAGCCCTGGCTGCCATTTTGACTGCAGCCTTTTGAGAGGCTTTGAGAGAGAGAGATTTCAGCTAAGCTGCTCCCAGATTCCTGATCCAGAAACTGTAAGATAATAAATGTTTATTGTTTTAAGTGGTTAAGTCCTGGGATCATCTATTAGACAGTAATAGATAATTAATACAGAAACTATGCCAAAAGTAAGGGCCCCATTAACTCATTCATTTATTTGTTCACTTAACACTTATTTTTTGAGCATTGGTGAGATAAAACCATCCCAAGGACAAGAAGATTCCTCTGTCTTCTAAAAGTTTCATTTTATAGAAGTCCACGAACATCTAGAAAGGGCAGAAGTATTGAAGGCCCAGTCAGGGAAGGCATTCCAGAGAAGGTAAACTGAGTTCTTGGCCAGAACTCGTTGGATAGATAGTATTCAACAGGCAGGCAGGATGGGGACAAAACAAGTGGAGAAGTGAAAGGATGGTGGCAGACAGGAAACAGGTTTAGAATCTGAGACTCTACAGGTTAGTGAAAAGTATGAGGGGAAAAAACACAGAAGAAAAAAGCAAGACTCATTTAAACTTTCCTTGCTGGCCAATCACCACCAGCATCAGGGACTCTGTGGAAAAAAAGTCATCCTCTGCCGACCCTAATATTGTACATACAACTTGTTAATTCTGTCAAAGATGGGAATGCAGAGGACATAATTTCTTCATTTGGTTTATTGTACCATTTCTGATGAGACCATTGTTATACTACTACATTGTTCCTAAGCTTGAATGAACCATTTATCACTAAAAATGAGGGAGAAACAAAGCAAAAAAAAATGCTCAGATGCAACTTCTTGAGGATTTATATCTTATCAGCTAGACTCTAGAAATTTAGCTAAAATGTTGTATGTGTGTCATGAAATGTGGGAAGAGAGAAATTTTTAAGCCACAAATGCAAAACACCATTGGAAAAGATGACAGAATGATGATTATCATAGAGTTTTGAATTCCAGATATACAACAAGTGCACATCTATGTTATTAGCATTAGACCTTTCCATGGCTCTTTCTGGAGTGTTTGGAAAAAATCTTATAAACTTTACTCTGAAAATATTCTTTATTTCAGAAGTGAAGCATTTGAAGAGAAGATATAGGATCCTCTCAAGCGTCTGTTAATGTTGTTTTTATCACTGGCATCAATTTTTAATGTCTTGAGTTATTTAACTTAGACATTTCAATGATGAACATTGTTATGGAGGCTGAATTGTGTCCCCTCTAAAATTCATATGTTGATATTTTATCCCCTAATACTCATAATGTAATGGTATTTGGAAATAGGGACTTGAACGAAGTAATTAAGATAAAATGAGATTATATGAGTGGGCATTTATCCAATGTAAGTGGTCTCCTTATAAGGAGACTAGGAGACAAACACGCACAGAGGATCATGTGAATAAAGAGAGAAGATGGTCATCTACACACCAAGTTGAACGACCCTCATTAGAAACCAACCCTGCAAACAACTTGATGTTGAACTTCTAGCTTTCAGACCTGTGAGAAAATAAATTGCTGTTGTTTAAATTACCCAATCTGTGATATTTTTTATGGCAGCTCCAGCAGACTAATTCAGCAGTCCTTATAGTTTCACAAACAGAATAAATAGAAAAAAAATAATTCACTGAAACTTGTTACCATCCAACAGTAAATGTATTTAACTCATCTATAAACAGTTTCACATAATTTTCTCACTTAAAAAAAACTTCTGTTAAAAAAAGACATTCATTGGAGATGCATTTTGAAATATACATAATCTAAATTTAAAAATTAAAAAGTCATTATCCTTAATCGGTTAATATTACAGTTTATTGCCAGTGGTTTTTCTTTACAAACACATACACTAATGGTTCAAAATATCCTAACGCATCATGGATATTTTTTACATATTGTCAATGTGACTTTGGGCATATTGTTAACTTCCGTACACCTCAGTTTTGTCATCAGTAAAATGAGGATAATATGAACCGTTCAGGTTTTTGTTAATGATTTATATTAAAGTGCTATATACAAGGCACTTAATAAAGTGCCTGGCACCTAGTAAGCAAACAATAAGTGGTCTGTATTATTTGTATGTCCTGCATTTTACCAAAAGAGGGTCTTTCTGCATGTTATTTTTGCAATCTGCTTTTTTTCATATTTTATATAGCTATTACTAGTTATTTGTTACATTATCTTTCTGGGTATAAAAGTTACCTACACATAAGAATGTCCTCTCCTGGTCTCATGGAGTTTTTGTTTGAACAGCCTTTCTTCAAGACTCTCAGTGTAGAATTTCATGCAGTTTTAAGATTCTTGTTCTGTTAGCAATCTCCTTTCGTTTAGGAAAATTTCTAAAAGCATAATTGGGGTTGAGAACTCACTCAAATTTGAGACATTGCCAGGCAGTAAAGGAAAAACAACAGTTCTTGCTGACTCTGCATCACAGCTGCCAGATGCGTTGGTTAACTTGTGGAAAGGGAAACAAAATGGAATTGCGAAATGAAATGCTTTGGAGACCACAAAATGGTGGGGGCAGAATTGAAGTTTATCCCTCTGGTACTTTTAGTAACCGTTCTAAGGGTCATCTATATGCCAAGCCCACGGGTCTGAGCCAGTGGCAGGCTGCCATGGGGTGGAATGCGCTGATAAGAGGTAACTGCAGTCAGGGTACCAAGTGTACCAGGAAGCCACCTCTTCCATGCCTCCTACACCACCACTGCCACCAAAAAGCAACCTCCTCCACCTGAAGTTTTGTTCATTGAGCTTTCCTAAAAGGCATAAACTCACAAGAGAATTTCAACCTGAATTTTTTAGGATGAATGAGTTTCTAGTTCTTTTTCAAAGTGGGTGTCATGGGGGGGAAGGAAACAGCTTGAGAGAACACTCAGCCCATGTGTGTAAGAGAGACACCAGCTCCAAAGGGTGAAACAAATAAAAGGAAAGCTGGAGGCTGAAGCTTTAAGCCAGCTCAGTTAAGTCTTGGTTTACCTCCAACTGTGCAAGGGCCAGTCGAAGCTGTGCAGGGGAAGGGGTGTTGTGATAGATAGTCAATGTCGCTTACAAACACCGTGTGGCTATCATGAGGAAAAACTGCATCCTAGCAGGGCATCAAGATATCACTTTTGTACATGCAGGATAAGGCTGTCTCCATATAAAAAAACACCTGCTTTTATCCAGAGGCACTTTATGGAGCAGCCTTGGGCCCTATAGAAAGACACAAGACAGGAAGTGTGGTGAGCTCCTGCCTGTCAACAGTAGTTCTTTCTTCCAGTGCTTCCATTATCACATCAAATCAAATCAACGTATCTTTGTCAGGTGTCCAGGATGGGCAAGACCTGGCATGAAGGTAGCTCTGCCAAATGGAGGCTGCTCTGAGAAGGTGGCAGCTCTTTTTTGCAGCAGCTGTATCAGAGGACTTTGGCCTGGAAGGCTGTGAGGAAGCCAGTGATAGGAAGACTGGAGGAGAGAGCCACATCTCATACCCAAATGGTCAATTGCCACATATGTCTACATTGAAAAAGGAGCAAGTGATACCACAGGCTGAGCCAGTAGGGCTTTCCTGCCAGCTAGCTTTTTCAAAAAAGACAAAATTAGATTGTCTCCGATGAGAAGAATTTAACATGGATCTTTGAATAACCCTAAGAGTCAGATGTGACTTTATTTCATAACAGATATATTTCATGGAACAATATGTTCAAGAAGGTGGGTCAATGGCAAAATATTGCTGCAGTTGGTTGTATTTATTTTAATATTCTTTTTTTAATTTTATATTTTTACTCAAGAAGATGTAACTTTTTAAATTTTATTATTATTATTATACTTTAAGTTTTAAGGTACATGTGCACAACGTGCAGGCTTGTTACATATGTATACATGTGCCATGTTGGTGTGCTGCACCCATTAACTCGTCATTTAGCATTAGGTATATCTCCTAATGCTATCCCTCCCCCCTCCCCCACCCCACAACAGTCCCCGGTGTGTGATGTTCCAAACAAACAACCGCATCAAAAAGTGGGCAAAGAATATTATTCTTTTCTGCTGGTTTTTCTACCAGAGTTTGAAAGCATGGAACATTGTCAGCATAAACTTTATGCTATAAAGATGGCTGCAGTAGGACCCCTAAAATAACACAATTCCCAGACTATTGTTTACAACTAAACAGTTTCACTCATTTTTTGTCAGTATGCCTGAAAACATGGGTTCTTCATTTCTTTGTCTGAAAAATGAACATTGTACTGCCAGATAGATAATGATGCCTCCCAAGCCTCCCTAGCCTACAGTTTTCTAAAGAAAACTGCCAGCTAGAACCCTGTGGAGGAGAATTGCAGCAGACCATTGGTCCTAATTATGACTGCACATAAGAATCACTGGAGAATTTTAAAAACTTGTAACTGTCCAGGCCAGGCGTGATGGCTCACACCTGTAATGCCAGCATGTTGGGAGGCCGAGACAGGCGGATCATGAGGTCAGGAGATTGAGGCCATCCTGGCTAACATGGTCAAACCCCATCGCTACTAAAAATACAGAAAAAAAATTAGCTGGTCATGGTGGCACACACCTGTAGTCCCAGCTACTCTGGAGGCTGAGGCAGGAGAATTGCTTGAACCTGGGAGGCGGAGGTTGCAGTGAGCTGAGATCACACCACTGCACTCCAGCCTGGGTGACAGAGCGAGACTCTGTCTCAAAAAAAAAAAAAAAAAAAAAACAACTTGTCATGTCCAGAACCTACCCGCAGATTCTAATTCCAGGATTCTAATTAATCTTGGAGGGGGTTCAATTTATAAAGGCATTATAGAAGATTCTGCTTTGCAGCCAGAGTTGAGAGCCACTGCTCTAGATCATTCCATAAGCTGGGGTCTCTAGCTGCTCTCCACTATATGCAATTAATCTTGTTAATTAATTGAAATGGCCTGTGTCAGGATCTTCAAGATCATCCCCATATTCAGAGATTTGCTAGAAGGACTCATGGGACTCAGGAAATCACCACATAGCTAGGATTTATTACACAGATGAAATAACAAGAATACACAGTGAGATCATAATGGGAAAAGACACAGAATTTACAGAAATCCATGCACGGGCTTCCTATGCTCTCTCCTTCTGTAAAGGGAGACATGATGTGAGTGACTTACTTCCTTCAGCAATTAAAAATGCTGTATCATGTATGCAATGTTTCTGCCCAGGAAATCCCACTAGAGACTCAGCGTTCAACATTTTTATTGGGGGCTCATCACATCTACTCTCTGCATAACACATGCCAAAATTCCAGACTGGCAGAAGGAAAGCAGGTGTTCAGCATAAATCACATTTTCACAAACAATCTAGGCACAGTGAAACTTCTTTATCATTTGGAATTTATTCCAAATAATTATCTGTGGAAATTATTGTGCTAAGGGCCAACCTTGCAAGCAGACCCTACTAAAAATAGCAGCCTTAGGCCTGCTATGTTGACATTCTGCCCATGGCCCAAAACAGAGATAATGAATATCAGCTAGACTAATAAATTCTCTCTCGGGAATTTGACTTGAAAAACACAAAGAGCCTCAGGCAGTTGATTTTGAAATAAGTGACCAGACACAGAGGAGAGAAGCAAAAATTGAGAGAATGGTTGAGTCGCATTGATGACACTGCTCTAGTGAAGAGAACAAATTCCAGTGGTGAGAATTCAATAAGATAACTTAGTTTTTTGAGCTCTGTCATTCTTGTGTCCCAAATACTGTTTCTCTTTATTCCCTGAAACCTATCACCCCACTTACTCCTTGTTCTCCATGAATTTTCTGTTTCTTAGAGCCACTTCTGTCCTCTCTATAAATCTCAATAATTTTCTCCTTTCTACAAACCTCAATTACTCAGCCAGAGTGAGTTTTTAACCCTTCGAATGGAAAGCGCTAACATATCCACTCATCACCTGATAGTGAGCCAGGACCACCCATGACACAGGCTGGGACAGAGCAACCACTGTCACCCTCAAAGAAGAGAAAAAGGAATATGAGCTTGCCACCCAGAATGGGCTTCACAAAGCCACAACCATCATTTTTAGCAACATGCTGTCTTCCACACTAATTGGACTTTTAGCTGAATTGGTTAATTAATAACTTTGCAGAAATTATTGACAAGTTTTGGTCATGGAGATCATAGAGATTTAGTCCCTGTGGATCCAGAATAAAAGGCAAATAATTGAGAATGGTGCAAGAATTTCTAGTTTTACACCAGGCACAGTGCTTCACATTTGTAACCCTAACACTTTGGAGGACTGAGGCAGGAGAATCACTTGAGGGCCACGAGTTTGAGACCAGTCTGGGCAACAAAGTGAAATCCTATTTCTTTTTTTTTAATATAAAAGACGTAAATTTTATTCTTTTTTTATTATTCTACTTTAAGTTTTAGGGTACATGTGCACAAAGTGCAGGTTTGTTACATATGTATACATGTGCCATGTTGGTGTGCTGCACCCATTATCGTCATTTAACATTAGGTATATCTCCTAATGCTGTCCTTCCCCCCTCCCTCCACCCAACAACAGGCCCCAGTATGTGATGTTCCCCTTCCTGTGTCCATGTGATCTCATTGTTCAATTCCCACCGATGAGTGAGAACATGCGGTGTTTGGTTTTCTGTCCTTGCGAGAGTTTGCTCAGAATGATGGTTTCCAGCTTCATCCATGTCCCTACAAAGGACATGAACTCATCCTTTTTTATGGCTGCATAGTATTCCATGGTGTATATGTGCCACATTTTCTTAATCCAGTCTATCATTGTTGGACATTTGGCTTGGTTCCAAGTCTTTGCTATTATGAATAGTGCCACAGTAAACATACATGTGCATGTGTTTTTATAGCAGCATGTTTTATAATCCTTTGGGTATATATCCAGTAATGGGATGGCTGGGTCAAATAGTATTTCTAGTTCTAGATCACTGAGGAATCGCCACACTGACTTCCACAATGGTTGAACTAGTTTACAGTCCCACCAACAGTGTAAAAGTGTTCCTATTTCTCCACAACCTCTCCAGCACCTGTTGTTTCCTGACTTTTTACTGATTGCCATTCTAACTGGTGTGAGATGGTATCTCATTGTGGTTTTGATTTGCATTTCTCTGATGGCCAGTGATGATGAGCATTTCTTCATGTGTTTTTTGGCTGCATAAATGTCTTCTTTTGAGAAGTGTCTGTTCATATACTTCGCCCACTTTTTGATGGGGTTGTTTGATTTTTTCTTGTAAACTTGTTTAAGTTCTTTGTAGATTCTGGATATTAGCCCTTTGTCAGATGGGTACATTGCAAAAATTTTCTCCCATTCTGTAGGTTGCCTGTTCACTCTGAGGGTAGTTTCTTTTGCTGTGCAGAAGCTCTTTAGTTTAATTAGATCCCATTTGTTAATTTTGGCTTTTGTTGCCATTGCTTTTGGTGTTTTAGACATGAAGTCCTTGCCCATGCCTATGTCCTGAATGGTAATGCCTAGGTTTTCTTCTAGGGTTTTTACAGTTTTAGGTCTAACATTTAAGTCTTTAATCCATCTTGAATTAATTTTTGTATAACGTGTAAGGAAGGGATCCAGTTTTAGCTTTCTACATATGGCTAGCCAATTTTCCCAGCACCATTTATTAAACAGGGAATCCTTTCCCCATTTCTTGTTTTTGTCAGGTTTGTCAAAGATCAGATAGTTGTAGATATGCGGCATTATTTCTGAGGGCTCTGTTCTGTTCCATTGGTCTATATCTCTGTTTTGGTACCAGTACCATGCTGTTTTGGTTGCTGTAGGCTTGTAGTATAGTTTGAAGTCAGGTAGTGTGATGCCTCCAGCTTTGTTCTTTTGGCTTAGGATTGACTTGGCAATGCAAGCTCTTTTTTCATTCCATATGTACTTTAAAGTAGTTTTTTCCAATTCTGTGAAGAAAGTCATTGGTAGCTTGATGGGGATGGCATTGAATCTATAAATTACCTTGGGCAGTATGGCCATTTTCACAATATTGATTCTTCCTACCCATGAGCATAGAATGTTCTTCATGATATCCTATTTCTATTTAAAAAAAAATCTTAGTTCTATGTAACTCATCCATTTATATCTTGGTCTCACTCAATGTTTAGATGGACATATCTATGAACTTCAACATCTTTTTAAACAGTGAAATGATCACAAAACTATTCAGTTCAGATTATGTGAAATGCCAGCTTTCAGGTTAAAGCATTAAGCCTTCCTCTATCAAAAGATCATTCATTCAGGGAGAAATTCTCCTTCCCGAAAAAAAAAAAATCATTCCTTTATTCCTCTCCATTCTACAGCTCATTTTTCTACTGCTAACACTTTCCATTATCATTACATATTCTTTCTACCACAGTTGTTGTTGATTTAAATAAATAGTAGAATCTGAAAACAGGAAGAGGCATTACCAATCATCAGAATTCAAGCCTCTGAGGCCAGGCATGGTGGCTCACCCCTGTAATCCCAGCACTTTGGGAGGCCAAGGCAGGCGGATCACCTGAGGTAAGGAGTTCAAGACCAACCTGGCCAACATAGTGAAACCCTGTCTCTACTAAAAATACAAAAATTAGCCAAGCGTGGTGGCAGGCGCCTATAATCCCGGCTACTCTGGAGGCTGAGGCAGGAGAATCGCTTGAGCCCTGAAGGTGGAGGTTGCAGTGAGCCCAGATCGCCCCATTGCACTCCAGCCTGGGCTATAAGTGAAACTGTGTCTCAAAAAAAAAAAAAAAAATTCAAGGCTCTGGTTTTAAATATGAGGATTTGGAGACCCAGCAAGATTTTAGACTTACTCAAAAATCTCACAGTTGACTAGAACCAGAGCCAGAACTAAAGAACTCTGATCTTCTGACTTTCAGGCTAATTACTACTCTAGTTCTTTATCTTGTTTTGTTTTTTTTGTTTTTTTGTTTTTCCTGTGCAATTGAATTTAGGCTTCAAAACTATGGGTAACTAAGGACTATCTCTAAAGCTTTTTATCTTTTTGTCTGTTCTCATTCCCAGAAAATATTAACATTCACAAGGCTGTAAATTTGTGATTGTGCAATAAATAAATAATTCAAAACTCTCCAATTTGCTAATGTTTGCTGACTAAAATTACATGTTTCTAAAGAACAGGAAGCTGTGCTCAAAATTTGTACTTTTCAGTCTAAGAACAAGTCAGCACGATGTGTTGTTTGTCATAGTTATATCTAAAAGAGAATATAACCTTCACTCACTGGTTTACTTTTAAAACTGTATCACATGACAGTGTTCAACTCAAAGAAGGTAAATGTTGCCGGGCGCGGTGGCTCATGCCTGTAATCCCAGCACTTTGGGAGGCCGAGGCGGGTGGATCGCGAGGTCAGGAGATCAAGACCATCCTAGCTAACACGGTGAAACCCCGTCTCCACTAAATATACAAAAAAAAAAAAAAAAAAAAAAAAAATTTAGCCGGGCATAGTGGTGGGCGCCTGTAGTCCCAGCTTCTCGGGAGGCTGAGGCAGGAGAATGGCGTGAACCCAGGGGGCGGAGCTTGCAGTGAGCAGAGATCACGCCACTGCACTCCAGCCTGGGCGACAGAGTGAGACTCTGTCTCAAAAAAAAATAAATAAATAGAAGAAAGTAAATGTTACCTGTACAGCAACTGCTTTACTCAGAAGTCAGGCGTCAGTTAATCTATCAGTAACCAATGGAGAGGAACTTAGCTAACCATTATTAGAGTCACAAATCAAGAAGCTCTCAGAGCATTTAATGAAATGTAGAAATATATTAATAATGCACAGGAAAACAGAAAGTGAAATGCAGAAATAATAATATACAGGAAAATATTTAAAACAATAAGCACTAGATCGTATAATAAATCTTTCAATGTCATAAAAACTCAAGCATGAGAGAGATCAGCAGAGATAGAGCTAGTCCAATTAATATTTTCTAACTAGGCATTTGTGCTTGAAAGTAGTTAAACTAGAACATTTTTGCCCCTGAGGCATATTAGAAAGCCAAGACAGCTTTGGGGTCCAGCTGATTCTTCTATTTCTTCTCTTTGTACAATGAATATCATACTACTGTATAATGAATATTGTATTAATGTTATTGAACACATCCTATGTGCTAGAAAAACTGGACATCTATATGCAAAAAACAAAAACAAAAAAGCCTCAACTTTATTTCACAGCATACACAAAAATCAACTCAAGATGGATCATGGATCTAAAACTATTACACTTCTGGAATAAAACACAGGAGAAAATCTTTGTGACCTTGGCTTAGACAAAGACTTTTAGACATGAAATCCACAAAAATTTTTGCTCTTCAAAAATCGCTATAAAGAGAATTAAAAGACAAAGTGACAAACTACCAAAAGAAAATGCAAAAAAAGATATCTGATAAAGGACTTGTATCTAAATATTAAGAAATCAAAAAATAGTAAAAACAACCGAATTTTAAATGGGCAAAAGATTTGAACATGTGACTGAGAAGAGATACAAATACAAATGGCATATAAGCACATGAAAAGAAGTTCAAAATCATTCGTTATTAGGAAAGTAAAAATTAAAACCACAATAAGATACTACCATTTTCTTACTAGAATGGCTAAAATTTTGTAGGAGGATGTCTAGTGCTAACAAAGCTATAGAGCAACTAAAACTCTCAATATCACTAGACAGAATGTAAAAAGGTACATTCATTTTGAAAAATGGCTCAACAATTTAATATAAATTTAAATATAGATGTACCATATAGTCCGGCAATCCCACTCCTAGGTATTTACCCAAGCGAAATAAAAACTTATGTTGAACTACCTCACATCCACTAGGATGGCCATCATAAACAAAACAAAACAGAAAATAACAAGTGTTGGCAAGGATGTGGAGAAGTTGGAACCCCTGTGCACTGTAAAATGTAATGTAAGATGTTGCAGCTGCCTGTAGAAAACAGTATGGTTGGTGCTCAAAAAGTTAAAAATAGAATTACCATATGATCTTGCAATTTCACTTCTGTGTATATGCCCAAAATAATTGAAAGCAAAGTCTCAGTGAGGTATTTGTACACTCATGGTCATAGCAGGATTATTCACAATAGCTAAAACATGGATCCAACCCAAATGTTCATCGGTGGGTGGGTAGATAAGCAAAGTGTAGTATACATATACAATGGAATATCGTTAGGCTTAAAAAGATAGGAATTCTGACATATACTACAACATGAATGAATCTTAAGAATATTATGCTAAATGAAATAAGCCAGTCATATAAAAACAAATACTGTATGATTCCACTTACCTGAGGCACTTAGAGTAGTCAAATTCACAGAGACAGAAAGTAGCATAGTGGTTACCATGAGCTAGTGGGAAGGGGAATGAAGAGTTACTGTTTAATAGGTATAGAGTTTCTGTTTTACAAGATGAAAAAAGTTATGGAGATGGATGGAGATGATGGATAAACAGCATTATGAATTTGTTTAATACTACTGAACTGTACACTTAAAATTGGTTACATGGTAAATTTTATTTTATTTTACTACAATAAAAGAATATGGCTGAGAAAGGGAGATTTTTTTTTTTTTTTTTTGAGACAGAGTCTCGCTTTATCACCAAGTTGCAGTGCGCCACTGCACTGCGGCCTCTGCCTCCTGGGTTCAAGCGATTCTCCTGCCTCAGCCGCCCGAGTAGCTGAGACTACAGGCACGCGCCGCCACGCCCAGCTAATTTTTTGTATTTTTAGTAGAGATGGGGTTTCACCATGTTGGCCAGGATGGTCTCGATCTCTTGACCTCATGATCCACCCTCCTCGGCCTCCCAAAGTGCTGGGATTACAGGTGTGAGCCATGGAGGAAGATTTTTTTTTAAAGTGTGGAAACTGAAGGGAAACCTCAGGGTAGAGACAGAAATTTTTATTTTGGACAAAGAGAATATTTTTATAGCCTATGAGGTAGGATCCAGTAGAGGGAAAGAAGCTGAAAATACTAGAGGAAAAAGTAAACATTGAAAATTACAGAGGAGATGGACAGTGAACATAGGTGTGAAAATTTATCTTGAGTAGATGATAATAACTGTTTTCATTATTCCATTATATTGAGTGCTTACTATGCCACACACCCAACTAAGTGTTATGTATGTTATCTTATTTTGTCCTCACAGCAACCTTAAGTGGTATATACTCTTTTTTTTCTCCATTTAGCATCTGTTGAATCTAAAACTGAGGTTGGGAATATATAGTACAAATAAAACACAAATGTAAACATAAGTGTCATACCAAAACCTGTGTCTTAATGCCTATGTGAAACCGAAGTAAAGAAATAAGAAGAGATGTGGTATGTGCCTGTAGTCCCAAACTACTTAGGAGGCTGAGGCAGGAGAATCCCTTGAGCCTAGAAGTTTCAGTCCAGCTGAGGCAACAGAGTGAGACTCTGTCTCTACAAATTTTTATTTTAATTTAAAAAAGAAAAGAAATAAGTAGAGTTGCATATATTGAAACATTTGCAGGATGCTGAGGAAGAAATTTGTGGGAGTTTGTGTTGGATAGAATTAATGTCCATGAATCCTATGAAATTAACTATTGAGATAGAGGATATCAGACAATATATATCTAGAAAAGTTACAAAGGAAGAAATAGATTAATTGGGGAAGAGGTAATATTTGATGAGAATTTTTCAGAATCAGTGAAAGAATTTAATTCTCAAATATAAGAATTTCATTTCTTAATTCTCAAATATAAGAATTTCATGTAGAAGAGCAGAGATTCACTGAAAATTGCTTGAAGGGGACCTGGCAGCATTGACCACTAAGCTAAACAAAAATTAATTCACACCTAGACACATCAGAATAAAACTGTAAAACACCGTAAATAATGAAAAAAACTTAACAGCAGTTAGAATGAAAATATAGATTACTTACAAAGTGACTGTTAGACTAAAGCTGACTTCTCAATAGAAAAAAAATAGAGATCCCAAAATAATATAATAATATCTCCAGAGTATTGAGGAAAAATATCAGCTAAATTATCATTCAAGGGTGAGATAAAATAAAATAAAATAAATCTGAATGTGTATGCCATATGCAATGAGCAGTAAGGATTTTCAAATGGTTCTTGAAAGAACTATTATATAAAGGAAGTACTTTAGAAAGAGGAAATTCAACTGAAAAGAAAAGAGTTGGGTATAAAAAAGCAGTATGTATCAAATAATGTGGTAAATATTTGAGTAAATAAAAATTGGCTATTGAAAAACAATAATAATAATGACTACTAGATAGAAGAATTTTAATGAGATGAAACTAAAATATTAAACAAAAATGGAAAGTGGAGAAGGTGATTAGAACTAAAGAGTTCTAAAGTTCATTGTTTTGTTCACAAAAATGTAGATATATTAACTTTTGGCTTTTTACGGGTATGCTTTTTTACTTTTTTTTTTTTTGTAGAGGTGGAGTCTTGCTATGTTGCATAGGCTGGTCTCAAATTCCTGGCCTCAAGTGATCCTCCTACCTTGGCCTCCAAAAGTGCTGGGAATATAGGCATGAGACACTACACCTGGCCTGTTTCCTTTTCTTTTTTTTTTTAAGCCAGATTTTATTTGTATTAAAAAAAAAATCCTCAGGAGACTTAAAAGTTCCAAAGACCTGAAGATATCAAGGTTCAATGTACAGCTACAGCGAGGTGCTTGCGATTAGTAACTGAGTCATGGAAGGTTCTATAGTGCCTCGGGGACTTCCACTCCTTCAAATCACTCCTAGTCTTGGTCTTGTGGTTTTCTGCAAGTTCTCATCGACTGTAACTTTGTAACTTTATACAGGGCTGTCACTCCAGTAAGGAAAAAACAAAACAAAACAAAACCCCTATGGCTATCATTGTTAATCCAGTAGAGAAACTACAGAGTCACAGGGGTCATGTACAACAATGATTCACGGAATCACAGTCGATAACCTTAAGCAGGTGACAAGCAGACATTCAGAGCAAGACAAGCATCAGAACTCCTGTTTTCCCGGTAGTCCCATCCATGGATAAGCTTGGACAGATTGGTACATGGTGATTTTTTCTTTTTTTTTTTTTGAGACAGAGTCTTGCTCTGTCACCCAGACTGGAGTGCAGTGGTGTGATCGTGGCTCACTGCAACCTCCACCTCCCGGGTTCAAGCAATTCTCCTGCCTCAGCCTCCTGAGTAGCTGGGATTACAGGCACATGTCACCATGCCTGGCTAATTTTTGTGCTTTTAGTAGAGACGGGGAGTACGTGGTGATTTTTTGCTGGTATGGCAGGCAGGAAGCTTTTTTAGTCAAAAGAAGGTCAGGAATAGTATCCCCAAAACAGCCAGATGCCCTCCATCAAGACAAATTGTTTTTGGATAAAAAGATCCTGATTTCTTTTTTTAATGTAAAGGTAACTATTATAGGAATAAAATTACAATCTCTTAATTTCAAAGGAAAAGAGACAAGAAATGCTTGAATCCAGTACAACAGGAGTTGACAATTTTTTTCTGAAATGTCCTAATAGTAAATATTTTAGTCACTACAGACCATATAATTTCTGTTGCAAATATACAGCTCTAGCATTGTAGTATGAAAGCAGCTATGTGCTATATATAATTGAATGAGTGTGGCTATGTTCCAACAAAACTTTATTTATATAAAATAGTTTGGTGACAACCCCTATAATATTAAGGAGAAAAATAAAAACTTTATTTATATAAAATAGTTTGCTGACCCCTATAATATTAAGGAGAAAAAAAGACACAGAGAGGAAAAAATGCCTGCCAAATAGAAACACAACAGAATGTAAGCAATAGAAATATAACTGTAATAAATATAAATTCATCAAAATTCCTAGTGAAACATACAGTAATTCATAAAACTGACAAAAAAAATCCAACTGTGTGTTGATCATGTGAAAGGAAATTAAATTTTGAGACCCCAAACTCATTTAGCCAAAGGGAAAAGTCAAGCTAGGAACTGGGTCACGAAAACCTGCCTCACCATTTTGGTTCCTAAATAAGATGACTACAAGATGAAAATCTACACACCTCCCCATATTTTGTCCACAAGGAAATTCCTAGTGAGCTGCAAGATCTTTTAAGGTGTTTCTGTTAAAATTCCACCATGGCAATGTAAATTGATAGCTTATCTTTATAGGTGCAGTCACTCCTAGTCCACCAGACACAAATGCATATCTGATTGTTCTCCTGCCCCATTTTGTCTATGTTATCCCTGCATTTTTCCTCTGCCCCATTTGTTCATGTCATTTTATGTAAAAAAAAAAAAAATGAAGATTCATTGAGCCAAAGGCATGAATAACTATTTTTCCCTACCTCCTCTTACATAAAAATTGTGTACTTCTCAATATCACGGCCTTTCCCCTTTCTTCAGAGAAAGGCATATAGACCTGTCTCCCAGGCATGCATCCCTAACTTTGGCAAACAAACCTGCTAAAATGCTTGAGACTTGTCTCATCATTTTTCTGGATTGACAATCACAAGAGACACATTAAATCATAACTACACCAGAAAGTTTGAGAGAAAGTGGATGAGAAAAGTTAGAACAGAAAAAGTACTGAGTAAACTATATTAGTAGAAGACAAAATACATTAGGAGAAAATGTATTGTTTGAGACAAAGATATACCCACCCTGAAGCTGTATGAACTTAACAACATAGCCTCAAAATATAAAAATCAAAACTGACAGACTGAAAAGGAAACAATGATAAATCTACAACTACACATTTCTTTCAGAAATGTATCAAGAAGACAAAAACCTAATAGAAGATTTTAACCAAAAAATTTAACAAACTTGATTTGTAGACATATATAGAAGTCTGCACTCAATAATTAGAGAATACTCCTTCTCAAACAAACATGAAACATTTAGCAAAAGTTAGTCATGTGCTAGGTCACAAAACCAGTCTCAATAAACAGAAAGCATCAGTAACAATCATACCACATTTTTGGACACACTGCAGTAAAATTCAATGATTTGTAACCAAAGTATTTGAACTAATTAGAGAATTCAGTAATGAGATATGGACTTGGTGGTTTATTTGGGAAGTTATCCCAGGAAACAGAGCAAAGGGGCAAACAGAGTGAGGCAAGGAAGGAAGCAAGGCAAATACAGGATGTTTTATTGTGTTTGTTACCTCTTTGAGCAACTGTGATACTATCCTGCTTTGGGATCTCCAAGGAATAGTATGGACTGTGCCTCATAACTTTTCATGAAGAGAACAAGAGCCTGGAAAATTTATCCCTTGACTCTGCTGCTCATTAGTTCAGGGTTGCTCCTGGTATTACTCCTCCACAGTTGTAGTCTGTGCCTGTGCAGCCAAGGAACTTCCAGGTCTTCAGGGAAAACCCTGATGTAGAAGAGCAGAGATTCACTGAAAATTGCTTGAAGGGGACCTGGCAGCATTCATGCAACTGTCCCCTACAGGTTCCCTAAAATCCAGTGGCTTGAGGGAATTTAGCATCTGCTACAAATTGCATCCTTGAAAAATTAAAACAAAATGATTGTATGCATTATTTAAGATACATAAATATGTGTAAAAGTGTCAAAAATATTCAAGGGAATAATACAAACTACTTCAAAATCATAGTTTTGGGGTGGATGTAAGAATGAGTGTGACTTCAACTGTAGGTATAATTAATTTCTATAGAGAAAAAATGAAGAATCTAAAGGAAATATCACAAAATGTTAGTATTTATTAATTTAATAGATATGGGTATCTAGTTATTACTTTCTGTATTTTTTTATATATTCCACAATTAAATATTGTTTTGAAAGAATAAGTTCTGGTGCTTTCAATAGAAAGATTTTGCTTGATAATACATGCCATAATTACTGAACCTTCATTAAATAAAGAAGCTGAACTAGCAAAGCTCAGTTTTGTCTAGGTAGGCCCTGGCCTCCTCCAGAAGCAAAATTAAATGTTATGTTGTTTTCTGTTTCTTTAGGGGAAGTGTCCCTTTAAGGATCTGAACTTTGAGCACATGAGTCAAGCTCAAACAACAGTTTTCAGTCACAAGCTGTCTCAGCAGGTCATGGTGGCCTCCATCTTTCAGTTTGTGGTTATCACTTAAATTATCCTGGAAGAGTATTCTTAGCAATCTTTCAAATTCCTTTCCAAGTCCCTGTCAGTTTAGGTTCACCATTTTTATGGTCTAATTGGTTAATTATCATAAAATGATACACAGTGTACATGCGATCATGCTTTATAGCTGTTGTAAAAATAGATTATCACTCTAACTCTGTCTGGCCACAGGTGTGTTTGTTTTAATGGATTACAACAAGATTAGATTAGATTATCAGTCTAATCTTTTCAATTTACAGAAAATGAGGCCTAGAAAAATCAGATTTTTTTGTACTTAGTAACTAGTAGGTGACAAAGTTGAAAATCAAATTTTGGACCCATCATTATCATCAGTCTATGAGATAATATCTACGTTCCTTAGAGGTTACAGAATAAAACAAGTTATCTGTGAAGATCTGAAAGTATCACTCATTAAGACATCACAATTTATAGCCACCTGATTTAATCACTGTGGATAGCATAAGCATAATGCATCTGGCACTAGGAGCCATGCTCCTGGGTGGTATTCATGTCCAGCCTGTGCCTGTCTAATGCACTTATGCCCCTGGGATCTTCAGAGACAAATACCTTGCATGATTTCATGGTGTGTTAAGGCAGATCTTGTGTGTTGATATCATCTATAACAGCCTTAGCAAAAGCCATAACATCACTAATGTGATTAGGCACACCCCATCAGAATTATCAAAATTGCCCAGATCATTTGCCATTGGGTCAAAGAACCACTAGACTGGAGAGGACTTTGAGAAGTCACCTAGGGTACCTGTATCTAACACAGTGTTTCTCAAACATTAATGTGTATATGAATCACACAGGGAGCTTGTTAATGGAGATTCTGATTAAGTAGGTTTGTGCTATGGCCTGAAATTCTTCATTTCTAACAAAGGTGATATCAACACTGCTAGTCTTAGGACCAGCCTTGAAGTAGCAAAGCTTTTTCCTGTGGTTAAAAATTGCCCAGGGTCTATGACAAAGAAGTTGTGCTTCTCTGAGACAGGACACTGATGGCCAGAGAGGGTTGGTGGCAGGTGTTTTGTGTAAGCAACGCTCACAAAGCTAGTTATGTGCTGTCTAAATGCTTGTCTACACTAGTCAGAAACAAACTATTTGGCACTGCCAAAGTGCTTGACCCTGAAGGTTGCATTGGAGCATCTATAGACTCAGAGCTAGTAATTTTGCAAACAGCAAATTTCCCCACTTCTTAATTTAGAAAGAATGCATCGTGGTCTATCAGCTTAAAAAAGTAGATTGAAGAGGGAAAAAATGCAACCTGGAATGACAGGGTTCAGATCTGGTATCAAACTCCAGCTCTTTCATTTACCTTCTGTGTGACCTTGGGTAAGTTTCTTAAAGCCTTTGACACTCAATTTCCACAAGTCTAAAAGGAAAATAATATTAATATTAACCAAGTCACAAGGACTTTGCACGTTAAACAGGATAATGATTTGAAAATCCTTTTGTAAACTAAGTGCTCTACATGTAATAGTTTCATTAAAAGGTAATAGTTTTAAAAGAATAGATAAATCCTAATGATACCCCCATTGAATTTTAAAGGCTTCAGCAATTGCATTTTAGAAAACAGCCAGTATTTCATTCTTTATCTATCCCTAGTGAGTCTAATATCAGAGAGAGATCAGATGGGCAGTCTTCTCAGGGTCTCAGGCAAAATGGTCACTGTTTATCTGTTCCCAATATTCCTTCCAGGTACCTGTAGCTACACCTGGAAGAATGCTCGTATGCTGTTTAAACACAGGGTGATGCTTATTACAAAATGATGAAGTTCCCCTAAATGTTCTTTAGGTCCTAAATTTATCAGGTGTTCTCTTCACTACCATCTACCCTAATCATAACATGAAACATGTAACGGTGTACAAATTAGATCAACTTAGGTACACATACATAGTATGTGTTTAGGGTTTTCACTTTTTGTACCTCTAAGTGTTTAAGGTTTTATACTTCACATTGTGCCTTTGTATATGTACCTAATTTGATTCTCTTAGCTATCCGTAACTTGCTTGTTATTAGTACCTAAGGATTATACGTTACTCCAAATATATACCAAAATAATTTATAAATGTCTTTTGCCATAAAATATGATGCTTGTATATTGCAATGGATACTGTGGTTGCCTCCCCTTCTCTTGGTAACAACTCCATATTTATTTGGTATTCACACCTCTTCATGAAGCCTACATACTTAGAACAGGGGGTCTCCCCTGCGAGCTATTTTGCCCCTACACCCAGGATGTTTGGCAATGTCTGGAGACATTTTTAGTTGTCACAATATGGAAAGGCAACTTCTGGCAACTCATAAATAGAGGACAGGAATGCTGCTAAATATACTACAGTGCACAGGACGGCCCCTCACACCAAAGATTTATCCAGCCCACAATGTCACTATTGCTCAAGGTGAGAAGCCGACTTAGAGAACAGCTAACTCTACCTCTAACTCTAGCAGTGGCACAGGTAGTTCAAGCCTGCTTAAAAATCACAGTCCCATCTTGCAAGAATTATAGATTTAGGGTAAATGCATGACCTTAAATCGTCAATGAACCTGAAGAAGACATTTCCAGAGGGTTTTTGGAATAAGAAAGCTTCCTTAATCTTTTGAGAGAGGTTTTGGAAGTGGCTGTTGTTGGTTCCACTTCCAGCTAGGATGAATTAACAGGGACCAATTTTATCCACCTGTTGGAGGTAACTGGAAAGCAGGAAAAAATATAAGACACATAGGACATCAGACTGTGCAGGACAATGATACCTAAAAAAGAGAAAAAACTCAAAAATAAAAAGAAACAGAGTATCAGTGAGCCATGGAACAACTTCAAGCAAGCTAATTATATGTGTTACTAGATTAACCAGGGTGGGATGGGGGCAGAAAAATATTTGAAGCAATAATGGGTAACACTTTTCCGAATTCTAGAAACTCAAGATCCAAGAATCTCCTCAATTGAGGGCTCATTACTCAATAAGTACAAGAAAAAAAAATAAAAGAGAGACTATCATTATAGTAAAAGAAATTTAACTCAGTGGTGGAAATCCATAAACTATTTCCCTTAAAAGAGGTCTGTATGTTAAATAGTTTTGTAAAACCTGTTTTAAATATATTTGCATTTCTTCTGTAAATCAGTACTACAATAGAAATAGTTTGATTTTGCTTTTAGCAGAACTCAAAACTAGCTTGGATATGTCAATAGATCTCATTGTTCTGCCAATGTATTATTCATCAGGGTCACATGGTCAGGCCAGACCGAGCTTACAAGGCAGCTGGAAACTCTGCCCAATTCAATTATCTGTTTCACCACAGCTACAAATCATGTACTTCCTTAATGTATGTGTTTAGGGGCTTGACTCCCATCCCATTCTCCATTTAGAGACACTCAAAGCCAAGGTAGTCTATGACCTCCTGCAAACTTCCCTACCTGCCCTTGACCAGTGGCAGTGGCTCCCTGCCTTCCTCCCTCTCAAGCAGGCCCAGCTAAGTTTCCACTGGCTATTTTTAAACTCTGAGTGGCTAAATGAATTAACTCAATTTGTAGAAGAAAAGACAAGGAAGCTGTGTTTTGGCATTTAATCCACACATCTTTCTTCCATCCAGCTTTTCCATTAAATAAAACTGGTACTTTAAACCTCCACATTTTTTAAAAAAATTGTACCATTTACACAGTCATGAAAAAAAAAATCAACTAGCCTTAAACTATCAGCATGCTGACTTTCTGATTACTTGCTAAGAAACCCCAAAAGACAAACTACAGACACGTTCTTAAAATATTTCCTCAAGAACGTGGGGCACATTATTCTTGTCACATCCTGACTGCCAGGAGGAGCTACATCCCTCTCCCCAAGTGGAACTGCCAGGAATGAAAGCTAAGAAGCCCCATTGTCTGCCTGTGGAACTCGGCACAGTCACTGCTTGGTATTCCTGGGTCCGTGAGCACAGGCTCAGCTTCCTTGTTTTTTTTAACAACGTGCCTGTCCATGTATTGTTTGCCAACTCTTAGGATCCCTTTCCCTTGCATCTCGGCCTGAGCACTTGTTTATTGTGCACACTAAAAAGTACGGTCTGTTGAAGAGAAACAAGGCAATTTCTAAAAGCAAAGTCAGGCTGGAACAGTCTGTGTTCAAAACATAGAGTTTTTGATCTTTTTGTCTTACTTGTCTGTTTTTTTTAATTTATTTTTAATTTCAGTGGGTTTTGAGAGAGCAGGTGGTGTTTGGTTACATGAATAAGTTATTTAGGGGTGATTTCTGAGATTGTGGTGCACCCATCACCCAAGCACTGTACCCAACGTGTAGTCTTTTATCCCTCACCCACCTCCTGCCCTTTCCCCAAAGTCCCCAAAGTCCAATATATCATTCTTTTGCCTTTGTGTCCTCATAGCTTATCTCCCACATATGAGTGAGAACGTTCAATGATTGGCTTTCCATTCCTGAGTTACTTCACTTAGAATAATAGTCTCCAATTCCATCCAGGTTGCTACAAATGCCATTATTTCCTTCCTTCTGATGGCTGAGTAGTATGCCATGGTGTATATATATAACATTTTCTTTATCCACTTGTTGGTTGATGGTCATTTGTGCTGGTTCCATATTTTTGAAATTGCAAATTGTGCTGCTATAAACATGCATGTGCAAGTATTTTTTCGTAAAATGATTTCTTTTCCTGGGGTAGATACTTAGTAGTGGGATTGCTGGATCAAACGGTAGATGTACTTTTAGCTCTTTAAGGAAACTCCACACTGTTTCCCATAGTGTTTGTACTAGTTTACATTTCCACCAATGGTGTAAAAGTATTCCCTTTTCACCGCGTATATGACAACATCTATTATTTTTGGATTTTTTTGTAATGGCCATTCTTGCAGGAGGGAGGTGGCATTGCATTGTGGTTTTGATTTGCAGTTTTCTGATAATTAGTGATATTGAGCATTTTTCCATATGCTTGTTGGCCATTTGTATACCTTCCTTTGAGAATTGTCCAATCATGTCCTTAGCCCACTTTTTGATGGGATTGTTTGTCTTTTTCTTGCTGATTTGTTTGAGTTCCTTGTAGATTCTGGATATTAGTCCTTTGTTGGATGTGTAGATTGTGAAGATTTTCTCCCACTCTGTGGGTTGTCTGTGAACTCTGCCAACTTTGCCGATTATTTCTTTTGCTGTGCAGAAGCTTTTTAGTTTAGTTAAATTCCGTCAATTTATCTTTGTTTTGTTGCATTTGCTTTTGGGTTCTTGGTCACGAATTCTTTGCCTAAGCCAACGTCAAGGAGGGTTTTTCCGATGTTATCTTCTAGAGTTTTTATGGGTTCAGGTCCTACATTTAAGTCTCTGATCCATCTTGAGTTGATTTTTGTAAAAGGTGAGAGATGAGGATCCAGTTTTACTCTTCTACACGTGGCTTGCCAATTATCCCAGCACCATTTGCTGAATAGGGTGTCCTTTCCCCACTTTATGTTTTTGCTTGCTTAGTCAAAGATCAGTTGGCTGTAATATTTGGGTTTACTTCTGAGTTCTCTATTCTGTTCCATTGGTCTGTGTGCCTATTTTTATACCAGTACCATGATGTTTTGGTGACTATGGACTTGTAGTATAGTTTGAAGTCTGGTAATGCAATACCTCCAGATTTGCTTATTTTTGCTTAGTCTTGATTTGGTTATGCAGGCTCTGTTTTGGTTCCATATGAATTTTAGGACTGTTTTTTTCTTTCTGCGAAGAATGATGGTGGTATTTTGATGATAATTGCATTGAATTTGTAGATTGTTTTTGGCAGTATGGTCATTTTCACAATATTGGTTGTACTCATCCATGAGCATGGGATGTGTTTCCATTTGATTGTGTCATCTATGATTTCCTTCAGCAGTGTTTTGAGTTTTCCTTGTGGAGGTCTTTCATGTCCTTGGTTAGATATATTCCTAAGTAATTTTTTTGCAACTATTGTAAAATGGGTTGAGTTCTTGATTTGATTATCAGTTTGGTCGCTGTTGGCATATAGCAGAGCTACTAATTTGTGTACATTAATTTTGTATCTTGAAACTTTGCTGAATTTATTTATCAGTTCTGGGAGTTTTGGGGGAATCTTTAGATTTTTCTAGGTATATGATCGTATCATCAGCAAACAGTGACAGTTTGACTTCCTCTTTACCAATTTGGATGCCCTTTATTTCTTTCTCTTGTCTGATTGCTCTGGCTAGGACTTCCAGTACTATGTTGAATAGAAGTGGTGAGAGTGAGCATCCTTGTCTTGTTCCAGTTCTCAGGGGAAATGCTTTCAACTTTTCTCCATTCGGTATTATGTTGGCTGTGGGTTAGTCATAGATGGCTTTTATTTCCTTAAGGTGAGTCCCTTCTATGCCGATTTTGCTGAGAGTTTTAATTATACAGGGATGCTGGATTTTGTCAAATGTTTTTTTCTGTGTCCATTGAGATAATCATGTGATTTTTGTTTTTAATTCTGTTTATGTGGTATATTACATTATTGACTTCTGGATGTTAAACCATCTCTGCATCCTGGATATGAAACCCACTTAATCATGCTAAATTATCTTTTTGATATGCTGTTGGATTCAGTTAGCTATTATTTTGTTGAGTGTTTTTGTATCTATGTTCATCAGGGATATTGGTCTGTAGATTTCTTTTTTTGTTATGTCCTTTTCTGGTTTTGGTATTAGGATGTTAACTGGCTTCATAGAATGATTTAGGGAGGGTTCCCTCTTTCTCTAACTTTTGGAATAGTGTCAACAGGATTGGAGCCAATTCTTCTTTGAATGTCTGATAGAATTCAGCTGTGAATCCGTCTGACCATGGATTTTTTTTGTTAGCAATTTTTTTATTACCATTTCAATGTCGCTGATTGTTATTGGTCTGCTCAGAGTTTCTATGTCTTCCCGTTTTAATCGAGGAGGGCTGTATATTTCCAGGAATTTATCCATCTCCTTTAGGTTTTCCAGTTTATGCATGTAAAGGTGTTCATGGTAGCCTTGCATAAACTTTTGTTTTTCTGTGGTATCAGTTCTAATATCTCCCGTTTTGTTTCTAATTGAGCTTATTTGGACCTTCTCTCTTCTTTTATTGGTTAATCTTGCTAATAATCTATCAATTTTATTTATCTTTCAAAGAAACAGTTTTTTGTTTCATTTATCTTTTGTATTGTTTTTGTTGTTTCAATTTCATTTAGTTCCGCTCTGATCTTGGTTATTTCTTTTCTTCTGCTGAGTTTGGGTTTGGATTGTTCTTGTTTCTCCAGTTCTGTGAGGTGTGACCTTAGATTGTCTATTTGTGCTCTTTTGGACTTTTTGATGTAGGCATTTAATGCTATGAACTTTCCTCTTAGCACCATTTTTGCTGTATCCCAGAGGTTTTATAGGTTGTGTCACTATTATGGTTCAGTTCAAACATTTTTTAAATTTTTATCTTGATTTCTTTGTTGACCCAATGATCAATCAGGGGCAGGTTATTTAATTTCCATCTATTTGAATGGTTTTGGGGGCTCCTTTTGGAGTTGATATCCAATTTATTCTACTGTGGTCTGACAGACTACTTGATACAATTTTGATTTTCTTAAATTTATTGAGACTTGTTTTGTGGTCTATCTTGGAGAATGTTCCATGTGCTGATGAATAGAATGTATATTCTGCAGTTGTTGGATAGAATCTTCTATAAATATCTGTTAAGCCCATTTTCTCTAAGGTATAGTTTAAGTCCATTTTTTGTTGTTGTTGACTTTCTGTCTTGATGACCTGTCTAGTGCTGTCACTGGAGTATTAAAGTCCCCCACTATTATTGTGTTGTCATCTATCTCATTTCTTAGGTTGAGTAGTAATTGTTTTATAAATTTGGGATCTCCAGTGTTAGGTTCATATATATTTAGAATTGTGATTATTATCCTGTTGAACTAGTCCTTTTATAACTATATAATGTCCCTCTTTATCTTTTTTAACTGCTGCTGCTTTAAAGTTTGTTTAGTCTGATATAAGAATAGCTACTCCTGGGATCTGGTTCCAAGATGGTCGAATAGGAACAGCTCCAGTCTGTAGCTCCCAGTGTGAGCAATGCAGAAGATGGGTGATTTCTGCATTTCCAACTGAGGTACTGGGTTCATCTCACTGGGGCAGCACCTGGAAAATTGGGACACTCCCACCCTAATACTGCACTTTTCCAACTGTCTTAGCAAACGGCACACCAGGACATTATATCCCATGCATGGCTCGGAGGGTCCCATACCCATGGAGCCTTGCTCACTGCTAGCACAGCAGTCCGAGATCAAACTGCAAGGCGGCAGCAAGGCTGGGGGAGGGGCGTCCGCCATTACTGAGGCTTGAGTAGGTAAACAAAGCAGCCTGGAAGCTCAAATTCAGTGGAACCCACTGTAGCTCAAGGAGGCCTGCCAGACTCTGTAGGCTCCACCTCTGGGGGCACAGCATAGCTGAACAAAGGTAGCAGAGACATCTGCAGACTTAAACGTCTCTGTCTGACAGCTTTGAAGAGAGTAGTGGTTCTCCCAGCATGGAGTTTGAGATCTGAGAACAGACAGACTGCCTCCTCAAGTGGGTCTTTGACCCCCGAGTAACCTAACTGGGAGACACCTCCCAGTAGGGGCCGACTGACACCTCATACAGCTGGGTGCCCCTCTGAGATGAAGATTCCAGAGGAAGGATCAGGCAGCATTTGCTGTTCTGCAATATTTGCTGTTCTGCAGCCTTCACTGGTGATACCCAGGCAAACAGGGTCTGGAGTGCACCTCCAGGAAACTCCAAAAGACCTGCAGCTGAGGGTCCTGACTGTTAGAAGGAAAACTAACAAACATAAAGGACATCCACACAACAACCCCATCTCTAGGTCACCACAATCAAAGACCAAAGGTAGATAAAACCACAAAGATGGGGAGAAACCGGAGCAGAAAAGCTGAAAATTTCAAAACTCAGAGTGCCTCTTCTCCTCCAAAGGAATGCAGCTCCTCACCAGCAATGGGACAAAGCTGGATGAAGAATGACTTTGACGAGTTGAAAGAAGTAGGCCTCAGAAGATCAGTAATAACAAACTTCTCCCAGCTAAAGGAGGATGTTCAAACCCATCACAAAGAAGCTAAAAACCTTGAAAAAAGATTAGATGGATGGCTAACTAGAATAAACAGCATAGAGAAGACCTTAAATGACCTGATGGAGCTGAAAACCATGGCACAAAAACTACGTGACACATGAACAAGCTTCAGTAGCCAATTCGATCAAGTGGAAGAAAGAGTATCAGTGATTGAAGATCAAATGAATAAAATGAAGCAGGAAGAGAAATTTAGAGAAAAGCAAGTAAAAAGAAATGAACAAAGCCTCCAAGAAATATGGGACTATTTGAAAAGACCAAATCTATGTCTGATTGGTGTACCCGAAAGTGACAGAACCAAGTTGGAAAACACTCCTCAGGATATTATCCAGGAGAACTTCCCCACCATAGCAAGGCAGGCCAACATTCAAATTCAGGAAATACACAAAATGCCACAAAGATACTCCTCGAGAAGAGCAACTACAAGACACATAATTGTCATATACACCAAAGTTGAAATGAAGGAAAAAATGTTAAGGGCAGCCAGAGAGAAAGGTCGGGTTACCCACAAAGGGAAGCCCATCGGACTAACAGCGGATCTCTCAGCAGAAACTCTACAAGCCAGAAGAGAGTGGGGGCCAATATTCAACATTCTTAGAGAAAAGAATTTTCAACCCAGAATTTCATATCCAGCCTAACTAAGCTTCATAAGTGAAGGAGAAATAAAATCCTTTACAAACAAGCAAATGCTGAGAGATTTTGTCACCATCAGGTCTGCCTTACAAAAGCTCTTGAAGGAAGCACTAGGAGCAACTGGTATCAGCCACTGCAAAAACATGCCAAATTGTAAAGACCATTGACGCTAGGAAGAAACTGCATCAACTAATGAGCAAAATAACCAACTAACATCATAATGACAGGATCAAATTCACACATAACAATATTAACCTTAAATGTAAATGGGCTAAATCCTCCAATTAAAAGACACAGACTGGATAATTGGATAGAGTCGAGACCCATCAGTGTGCTGCATTCAGGAGAACCATCTCACGTGCAGAGACACACATAGGCTCAAAATAAAGGGATGGAGGAAGATCTACCAAGCAAATGGAAAACAAAAAAAAGCAGGGGTTGCAATCCTAGTCTCTGATAAAACAGACTTTAAACCAACAAAGATCAAAAGAGATAAAAGAGACGAAGAAGGCCATTACATAATGGTAAAAGGATCAATTCAACAAGAAGAGCTAACTAAACTAAATATATAGGCACCCAATACAGGAGCACCCAGATTCATAAAGCAAGCCCTTAGAGACCTACAAAGAGACTTAGACTCCCACACAATAATAATGGGAGACTTTAACACTCCACTGTCAACATTAGACAGATCAATAAGACAGAAAGTTAAAAAGGATATCCAGGACTTGAACTCAGCTCTGCACCAAGTGGACCTAATAGACATCTACAGAACTCTCCACCCCAAATCAACAGAATATACATTCTTCTCAGCACCACATCACACTTATTCCAAAATTGACCACATAGTTGGAAGTAAAGCACTCCTCAGCAAATGTAAAAGAACAGAAATTATAACAAGCTGTCTCTCAGACCATAGTGCAATCAAATTAGAACTCAGGATTAAGAAACTCACTCAAAACCACAAAACTACATGGAAATTGAATAACCTGCTCCTGAATGACTACTGGGTACATAATGAAATGAAGGCAGAAATAAAGATGTTCTTTGAAACCAATGAGAACAGACACAACATACCAGAATCTCTGGGACACATTTAAAGCAGTATGTAGAGGGAAATTTATAGCACTAAATGCCCACAAGAGAAAGCAGGAAAGATCTAAAACTGACAACCTGACATCACAATTAAAAGAACTAGAGAAGCAACAGCAAACACATTCAAAAGCTAGCAGAAGGCAAGAAATAACTAAGATCAGAGCAGAACTAAAGGAGGTAGAGACACAAAAAACCCTTCAAAAAATCAATGGAATCCAGGAGCTGGTTTTTGGAAAAGATCAACAAAATTGATAGACCACTAGAAAGACTAATAAAGAAGAAAAGAGAGAAGAATCAAATAGACACAATAAAAAATGATAAAGGGGATATCACCACCAAACCCACGGAAATACAAACTACCATCAGAGAATACTATAAACACCTCTACACAAATAAACTAGAAAACCTAGAAGAAATGGATAAATTCCTGGACACATCCACCCTCCCAAGACTAAACCAGGAAGAAGTTGAATCCCTGAATAGACCAATAACAGGCTCCGAAATTGAGGCAATAATTAATAGCCTACCAACCAAAAAAAGTCCAGGACCAGACAGATTCACAGCCAAATTCTGTCAGCAGTACAAAGAGGAGCTGGTACCATTCCTTCTGAAATTATTCCAATCAGTAGAAAAAGATGGAATCCTCCCTAACTCATTTTATGAGGACATCATCATCCTGATACCAAAGCTGGGCAGAGACACAACAAAAAAAGAGAATTTTAGACCAATATCCCTGATGAACATCGATGCAAAAATCCTCAATAACATACTGGCAAACTGAATCCAGCAGCACATCACAAAGCTTATCCACCACAATCAAGTTGGCTTCATCCCTGGGATGCAAGGCTGGTTCAACATACACAAATCAATAAACATAATCCATCATATAAACAGAACCAAAGACAAAAACCATATGATTCTCAAGAGATACAGAAAAGGCCTTTGAGAGAAGTCAACAGCACTTCATGCTAAAAACTCTCAATAAACTAGGTATTAATGGGACGTATCTCAAAATAATAAGAGCTATTTATGACAAACCCACAGCCAATATCATACTGAATGGGCAAAAACTGGAAGTGTTCCCTTTGAAAACTGGCACAAGACAGGGATGCCCTCTCTCACCACTCCTATTCAACACAGTGTTGGAAGTTCTGGCCAGGGCAATCAGGCAGGAGAAAGAAATAAAGGGTATTCAATTAGGAAAAGAGGAAGTCAAATTGTCCCTGTTTGCAGTTGTCATGATTGTATATTTAGAAAACCCCGTCTTCTCAGCCCAAAATCTCCCTAAGCTGATAAACAACTTCAGCAAAGTCTCAGGATACAAAATCAATGTGCAAAAATCACAAGTATTCCTCTACACCAATAACAAACAGAGAGCCAAATCATGAGTGAACTCCCATTCACAATTACTACAAAGAGAACAAAATACCTAGGAATGCAACTTACAAAGGATGTGAAGGATCTTTTCAAGGAGAACTACAAACCACTGCTCAAAGAAATAAAAAAGAGGACACAAACAAATGGAAGAACATTCCATGCTCATGGATAGGAAGAATCCATATCATGAAAATGGCCATACTGCCCAAGGTAATTTATAGATTCAGTGCCATCCCCATCAAGCTACCAATGACTTTCTTCACAGAATTGGAAAAAAACTACTTTAAAGTTCATATGGAACCAAAAAAGAGCCCGCATTGCCAAGACAATCGTAAGCCAAAAGAACAAAGCTGGAGGCATCACACTACCTGACTTCAAACTACACTACAAGGCTACAGTAACCAAAACAGCATGGTACCGATACCAAAACAGAGATATAGCCCAATGGAACAGAACAGAGCCCTCAGAAATAATACCACACATCTACAACCATCTGGTCTTTGACAAACCTGACAAAAACAAGAAATGGGGAAAGGAGTCCCTGTTTAATAAATGGTGCTGGGAAAACTGGCTAGCCATATGTAGAAAGCTGAAACTGGATCCCTTCTTTACACCTTATACAAAAATTAACTCAAGATGGTTTAAATACTTACATGTTAGACCTAAAACCATAAAAACCCTAGAAGAAAACCTAGGCAATTCTTCAGGACATAGGCATGGGCAAGGACTTCATGTCTAAAACACCAAAAGCAATGGCAACAAAAGCCAAAATTGACAAATGGGATCTAATTAAACTAAAGAGCTTCTGCACAGCAAAAGAAACTATCATCAGAGTGCACAGGCAACCTACAGAATGGGAGAAAATTTTTGCAATGTACCCATCTGACAAAGGGCTAATATCCAGAATCTACAAAGAACTTAAACAAGTTTACAAGAAAAAATCAAACAACCTCATCAAAAAGTGGGCGAAGGATATGAACAGACACTTCTCAAAAGAAGACATTTATGCAGCCAACTGACACATGAAAAAATGCTCATCACCACTGGTCATCAGAGAAATGCAAATCAAAATCACAATGAGATACCATCTCACACCAGTTAGAATGGCGATCATTAAAAAGTCAGGAAACAACAGGTGCTGGAGACGATGTGGAGAAAGAGGAATGCTTTTACACTGTTGGTGGGACTGTAAACTAGTTAAACCATTGTAGAAGACAGTGTGGCAATTCCTCAGGGATCTAGAACTAGAAATACTATTTGACCCAGCCATCCCGTTACTGGGTATACACCCAAAGGATTATAAATCATGCTGCTATAAAGACACATGCACACGTTTGTTTATTGCGGCACTATTCACAATAGCAAAGACTTGGAACCAGTCCAAATGTCCATCAATAATAGACTGGATTAAGAAAATGTGGCACATATACACTATGGAATACTATGCAGCCATAAAAAAGGATGAGTTCATGTCCTTTGTAGGGACATGGATGAAGCTGGAAACCATCATTCTGAGCAAACTCTCGCAAGGACAGAAAACCAAACACCACATGTTCTCACTCATCGGTGGGAATTGAACAATGAGAACACTTGGACACAGGGTGGGGAATATCACACACCAGGACCTGTCATGGGGTTGGGAGATGGGGGAGGGATAACATTCGGAGAAATACCTAATGTAAAGGACGAGTTAATGGGTGCAGCACACCAACATGGCACGTGTATACATATGTAACAAACCTGCACGTTGTGCACATATACCCTAGAACTTAAAGTATAAAAAAAAAAAAAAAAAAAAAACAAGAATAGCTACTCCTGCTCCCCTTTGGTGTTCATTTGCATAGGATATCTTTTTCCACCTCTTTACCTTAAGTTTACATGAGTCCTTAAGTGTTAGGTGAATCTCCTGAAGACAGCAGAAACTTGCTTGGTTAATTCTTGTCCATTCTGCCATTCTGTATTTTTTAAGTGGTGTATTTAGGCCATTTATATTCAATATTAATATTGAGATGTCAGGTACTATTCTATTCATCACGCTATTTGTTGCCTGAGTACCTTGTTTTTTGTTTTTGGGTTTTTTTTTCCATTGTATTATTGTTATGTAGGTCCTGTGAGATTTATGCTTTAAGGAGGTTCTGTTTTGGTGTATTTTGAGGATTTGTTTCAGGATTTAGAGCTCCTTTTAGCAGTTCTTGTAGTGCTTGCTTGCTGGTGGCAAATTCTCTCAGCATTTGTTTGTCTGGAAAAGACTGTATCTTTCCTTCACTTATGAAGCTTAGTCTCACTAGTTACAAAATTCTTGGCTGATAATTGTTTTGTTTAAGGGGGCTAAAAGTGGGGGTCCCAATCCCTTCTAGCTTGTAGGATTTCTGCTGAGAAATCTGTTGTTAATCTGATAGGCTTTCCTTCATAGGTTACCTGATGCTTTTGCTTCACATCTCTTAAGATTCCTACCTTCATCTTGACATTAGATAACCTGATGACTATGTGCCTAGGTGATGATCTTCTTGTAATGAATTTCCCAGGTGCTCTTTGAGCTTCTTCTATTTAGATGTCTAGATCTCTAGCAAGGCTGGGGATGTTTTCCTTGATTATTCCCTCAAATATGTTTTCCAAACTTTTAGATTTCTCTTCTTCCTCAGGAACACCAATTATTCTTAGGTTTGGATATTTAACATAGTCCCAAACTTCTTGGAGGCTTCTTTCTTCATTTCATTCTTTTTTCTCTGTCTTTGACGGGTTGGGTTAATTCAAAAGTTTTGTCTTCGAGCTCTGAAGTTCTTTCATCTGCTTGTCTGATTCTACAGCTGAGACTTTCCAGTGCATTTGCATTTCTCTAAATGTGTCCTTGATTTCCAGAAGTTGTGATTATTTTTTATTTATGCTGTCTATTTCACCGAAGATCTTTCCTTTCATGTCCTGTATCATGTTTTTTTTATTTTTTTAGGTTGGATTTCACCTTTCTCTGGTGCCTCCTTGATTAGCTTAACAATTGACCTTCTGAATTCTTTTTCTGGCAATTCAAATTTTGTCTTGATTTAGACCCATTGCTCATGAGCTGGTGTGATCTTTTGGGGGTGTTAAAGAACCTTGTTTTTTCATATTACCAGAGCTGTTTTTCTGGTTCCTTCTCATCTGGGAAGACTATGTCAGAGGGAAGATCCAGGACTCAAGGGCTGCTGTTCAGATTCTTTTGTCCCACAGGGTGCTCCCTTGATGTGGTGTTCTCCCTCTTCCCCTAGGAATGGGGGTTCCTGAGAGCCAAGCTGTAGTAATCGTTTTTCCTCTTCTGGGTCTAGCCACCCAGTGGAGCTACCAAGCTCCCGGCTGGTACTGGGGAGTGTCTGCAAAGAGTCCTGTGATGTGATCTGTCTTCAGGTCTTTCAGCCGTGGATACCAGCACCTGTTCTGGTGCAGGTAGCAGGGGAATGAAGTGGACTCTGTGAGGGTCCTGGGTTGTATTTTTGTTTAGTGCACTGGTTTTGTGTTGGTTGGCCTCCAGCCAGGAGGTGGTGCTTTCAAGAGCACATCAGCTATGGTAATATAGGGAGGATGTAGACTTGCCCTAGGGCCACCTATTTGTATTCAGGTTTCTCAGGTGGTGGGCAGGACCATAGAACTCCCAAGAGATTATGACCTTTGTCTTCCGCTGCCAGGGTGGGTAGAGAAAGACCATCAGGTAAGGGCAGGGATAGGCTTGTCTGAGCTCAGACTTTCCTTGGGCAGGGCTTGCTGTGGCTGTTGTGGGGGATGGGGGTGTGATTCCTAGGCCAATGGAGTTAGATTCTCAGGGAATTATGGCTGCCTCTGCTGAGTCATACAGGTTGCCAGGGAAGTAGGGGAAGGCCAGCATCACAGGCCTCACCCTGCTCCCATGCAGCCAACAATCCTAAAGGCTGGTCTCATTCCCACTGTGCTTCTACAGTAGCAACGAGTTTATTTCCAGGCAGCCGATGCCCAGGGCTCAGAATTTGCCCCAGACCATAAGCTTCCCTGCTGAGAAAGCAAGCCTACTCATAGTTTTTCGGTATCTCAGGAAGCCTGCAGCAGTGATCCAGTTCTTTAGATTCTCTCGGCATTCCTGGTATGTTCCTGCAGTAGTTCCTGGAGGAAAAGTTCTTGATGTGAGTCTCCACATGCTGCCCTGTCTATCTGAGCAGCAGCTGCAAGCTAGTCCTGCCTCCTATCTGTCATCTTCTGCTATCTCCTCTTACTTGCCTGCTTTGGAGGAGCTTGTAAATGCCATTTCTGTCCAGTTTTGCTTTGCAAAGGAAGGTTCCTTAACACCTACCCACTTTCCCAGGGACTCCCACATGGGAGCAATACTGCCAAAACAAGCTTTGGCTCCTTCTTTAGACAAACCCTTTACCTTGAAAGACTGATTCTCATAGAGGGTCAATAAACCATTTTCTTTCTTCTACAATGAAATAATTTAGTTTCAAATTCTTAGAAAAATCAAGCCAGAATCATGGGCTCCTACAGTCTATGCAAGATGTTTCATCATATTTCTTGCCTTTGGCTGATTTTTTAAAAATCAATAGATCTTTTCTGGCCAAAACAATTCCTTTCACAGTTCTATTTTAGTAAGAAATTATTTGAATTCTTCCTCATTCTCCGAGTAGAGTTTTAAGTTGAGACTGAGCTGCAGAATTAAAGATGAAATTCCTTACCCACTTTCACTGGGCAGCCAATCTCACAGGGAGTCAGAGAACCAGCAAGTCAGACAAACCCCTAGATTTCCTGGGACCTGCACTCTGAGGTCGTCAGCCTCTACAGAACAGGGGCTATGGACACTAAGGTGATGAGAGCCCTACCATCCCCAGCTTAGGTTGTGCGCCCACTCCGCATCTACTCCCATCACAATAGGGACTTACTGAGATGAGAAGGGGATAATCTAATGCAGGAGTGGATCCATAGAGCCGTCATCATTTATCTTTGTTTTCAGTGTTTAAAATCACACACACAGGCCAGGCGCAGTGGCTCACGCCTGTAATCCCAGCACTTTGGGAAGCCGAGGCCGGTGGATCACAAGGTTAGGAGATTGAGACCATCCTGGCTAACACGGTGAAACCCCGTCTCTACTAAGAATACAAAAAATTAGCCTGGCATGGTGGCACGTGCCTGTACTTCCAGCTACTCAGGAGGCTGAGGCAGGAGAATGGCGTGAACCTGGGAGGCGGAGGTTGCAGTGAGCAGAGATCTCGCCACTGCACTCCAGCCTGGGCAACAGAGCGAGACTCCATCTCAGGAAAAAAATAAAATAAAATCACACACACAAATACCCACACATATGTGATGTTTACTCTGTTGCCAAACACATAGAGCTGTGACTCAGGTTTCATATTTAAGCAGCTGATGTTGGATACTATCGCATTTCATGGTTAACCATGTTTTGTAGAGTTGCCAATTGTTTTCCCCCTTCTGAGACGACAGGACACTAATTTGGTGTGGCACATGGGTTGGGCATGGAGTGTGGAAGGATGCCTCTTCCTCACTGCTACATTAATATAAACACCTTTTAATGCTGTTAGTGAAATGGTTTATACCTACGAAGAGACCACATTTCTGAATAGCATAAAGGTCAGGGTCTTCATTTCCCTTACAAGAGCCTGTCAGAGAAAGAGACAAGAATGGTATTGCCTATCAATGCTAGGGTTTTGGTGCAGAGGCTACTGTTACATTAAATGTATATTATGTATAAAGATTTCAATTTCTAGACTGTTTTTAAACTGTCATTTGCTCTTCATCATAAAAGACAGTAACTACCTGGGTGATGATTATAAGCAGAGCCCTAGTCCTTACCTCACTTTCCCAGTTACTAACTGTGCTCTTCCAGAAAGCCAGAGAGGGACTGTGGCTCGCTTATCTCATGCTTGCAGCAGCCTAGAGAGAGCCCAGCATGGCTGAGACAGATGTTCTCTGTTTGCCCTCCAAATCTGCTCTCCACCCTTCTCCACCCTTTGCACCCTGCTCCGCATCATGAGGGTGTCCTTTTCTTCAGCTTCTGATTTGATTTTGCCAGTGGAAAGTACCAGCAGGAGATTGAAGGGACCGAGGAAGGAGAGATCAGGGCCACTTTCTGCCAGGTTTTGGTTTGGCAGTGGCCACACTCCCCTGCTGAAGGCCACAATGATCAGCAAGCAGCCTCTCCTTCACCTGAAGCTCTCACTCAGCCTCCCTGGGAATTGTATCTTTCCTTTCCCCTCAGGCCTAGGGTATAAAGACTCCTTCTCTCTGTATGCCTCTTCATCCTTTGTCAATGTCTTTTCATCATGCCCTGCTTTTATAGATACTCTCCATTCAACTCTGTTCATTCACCCCTTTAAACAAATGCTTTTTCATGTGTTTTATGATAGGACCCTTATCAATGAGGATGCTGGTAAAGGTTTATGACAATGCATAGAATTTTCTTCAACATGATATAATTCAGGAAAACACCTAAGTGACAACTCAGAGATGAAAGCTGTCAAAGTCTTTTCAGGACCATGACTCTTGAAAAGGAGACTTCACCTTGAATCCCAGCTCTGCAATTTGCTAGCTTGTGATAGCTTGTAGGATAAGGCATCCATGAGTCCCCTAACCCCATCCCAGATGGTTACTCTTGGCCAAGCAAACAATACTAGTCACTCACCCTGCAGTATTAGAGAAACTCCTTGAGGCTAGAAGACTCTACAGTCAGTCCTGGATTCTGGTAGTTCCCATTTTTACACACACACACACACACACACATACACATATTCATACATATATCCCCTCTTACATACACTCACACACGTAAACACATATACACATTCACATATATTCACTCATACACACTTTCACACTTTTCCTCCAAGATGTCTCAGGAAGACACAATCAAGAGGGATTTACAGCCTCAGCTAACTGTTACACTCAAACACACCCCTGCTTACACTCATGATCTTCCCCAGCCTCAAGGGTTGAGAAAGCGTAGCGCACCACCACGTTTCCTGCTGCAATACAAATAATATTTACTTCAGACAATAATCCCACCCAGGTGCTGTCTTCATTGAAATTATTTCAAAATACGTAAGTTATGAAACTTTAAATTATTGTGTTTTATAAGTTTCTGTCTTGTTTCATGGAACAAAAATATAACTGTATCCACACAATTTCAAGTAGCTGGACAAATTTTTTTTTAACGGTAAATCTTTCTAATATTTTGCAACTCATCTATTGTTCAATCCTATCAGGATTTCACTCTGTCTCTTTATGAGAGGATAAAGTGATGTAGTCTCTATGTCACTGCACACTCAGATCAGGGCAGCTCAGAGAGTATCCTGAAATGAGTACATTTGCCCGTCAAGTTACTTGAACTTTAGTGAAAGGAGAGGAAGAGCAATCAGTGCCCAAAGGCAGTTACTCTATTTCTGATCCTGTTTCTCATGGCTACAAAAACTGGGTTTGCATTTGCCTGGCACTTTACAGTTTATAGAATATTAACAAATGCTGGGGAATCTTGGTGTTGGAATTTAACAGTGAGTGTGGATGATTAGAACAGCATCCTGGAAATTGGTAACATGCCCCAATTTACAGTTTTCCCTTGGATTTTCCAACAGCCTTGTGCTTCTTTATTTTCATGTCTGGACAAAGCTCTGGATAAAGGGACAGTTATGACCTGCTAGTAGCCAACACTGAGGGCAGTAGGATGAGGGAGGGGGTGCAGTGACGGCTCCAGCCAGCAAAGGGGTTCTGAGTGGGCACCCACAGCATCTACTATGCAGAGTATTTGCAAATTTGGGAGTCATCAAGTTCTTAATTTTTGTCTCTTGCATGTGTGAAGAAATGTCTTGTAGTTTCCAAACTGTGCTTCCAAAGTCCACCAGGAAGCTGGGGCTGGGATAAGCAAGCAGAACTTTAGCCCCTGCCTCTCATTTCCTTTTTATTTATTTTACACGTTGGATTTCTAGGTAAGATTACAACTGAACAAAGAGTCACCTCATTCTTTAAAAAATGAAAAATACTGATGCACTTTGAAATATAAATGTCCTTGATGGCAGGGTCCTTGTCTATCTTGTTCACTGAGAGACCCCAAAGGCTGCAGAACAATGAGCAAAATTCAATCCTTTCATAAATAACTTGAAAAAAAAAGAAAATATATTAACCAGTTTAATCCTCATGACAACCTTATAAGGAAGACAAAGCAGGTATTTTCTCCCATACTTACACAGGAGAAAACTCAGTTTCAGACACTTGTCCAAGCTCACACAGGTCACTTGCACTGATCTGAGTTAAGTAGCAGTGGTATATTGGAAGAACATATGCCTGGGCATGGGGCTGGGATGTGTTCACATCCCTTCTTCCCACCTGTGTTAAAAGGTGCCCATAAATAAATAAATAGGAGAAATGACTTGGAAAATTTGAGAGCTTCATGCTTTGGACAATCAACAAATCTGAAGTTAACTTTGTGGAAAATTCATATAAAATTCCTCGTTAGACCTGAGGGTACTCTCATAGACCAGTATGTCAGGACAGTTGTCATTCCCTTCCCCTCCTTCACTGGGTCTGGAACACAGGTTTTCCAGCCCTAAGTATGATGCTATGGCCTCTTTTACCAGACCCTTTGGTCTAATGGATTTATTTCCTCCCATACCCTTTCCTCTGCCCCCAGATTCCCAAACATTCAAGATTCAGTGAGTGTCCCCAGTGAGGAGAGCTGAGCCAACTACCTGTGCCCTTGGACTTGAACAGTTTCTGTTTCCTCTGAGGAGTCAGCCTTCCTCTTCCGGGGGCCACAGAGAAGAAGGAGGAAGCAGAGCCCTGGGGTTAGAGCTTGACCCCAAGCTAAAAACAGGAAATTGATTAAGCAGAGGACTCAGTCTGCAGAGGGGTCAAAAACCAGGAGTTGGTTCAGGGAAAGCAACCTTGGTGACCAGACTAGCAAGCTTAAAAGTCATTCCTGTGGAGGCCTGAGCCACCTGTCTCCTCTGTAATACAGAAGGTAATTGGAAGACTACTCACTCCTAAAGCACATGGATGCCCACTTGGTGTGTGATTTCAGAGGAATCCTAAAACTTTCCCAGCCTGAAGCCCCACCAATTACAAGTTCTTTTGGGGTTGGTGACTTTCCTTTAAAAAATCTATTATTAAAAGGGAGAAATAAATAAACAATTACATGGCATTACATTAGCAAAAAGTAGGCTTTCAACCTATGAGGTAAGGCAAATAGGAAAATCAGAACTTTTTTTGTTTTGCTCAAGAAAAAAGGAAAAGAAAAGAGTGTTTGTCCAATTGGCAATCTCATGTGCTCAAATTTAACATAAAAACAATGATAAAGAGAACAGGAAAATTCTTGAAGCCCTCCATAATTTGAGGTCTTTTACTGTTTACACCATAGAGGAAAAGAAAGCACAACAAACACAAAACCAGACAGTCAGATAAAGCAGCCTGGTCAGCATTATGTCGTTTGTCATAATGTCATATTGCTTCCTTTCTAGCAGCGAGCTGAGACCTACTACATATAGGGATCATGAATGAGATAAGAAAAGAGGCCATTGTGAAATAGTGGTTCAGTAAATGTGTCTCCCAGTTCATCCAGGATAATCAGGACTTCAAGTGTTCTGTTAGTGGACACCATACGTGCACTGAATCTGATCAACGCATGTGCTTTCATTTTCAGCTAAGAAAGCAAGTTCATGATAAATAGCCTTGGAAGGGCAATGCTTTTATTTCAAGCAGGAAAACCATTTACTCTGCTTGTTACTAGCTGAATAACTTTGTGAAGCTCATTTAAAATCTCTGAGCAACAATTTCCTTATAAGCAAATGGGATAATGACAGCTGACTAAGAGGGTGGTGAGGAATTAAAAAAAAAAGTTAGATAACTTGTCTAAGGCTGCTACTAAAATGTCTGAGACTTTAATAGACCTTCAACAAATGATAGTTTTTATTATCTGAGCATTCAGAGAGCAACCCATAAGCATGTGACACCATCTTTAGGAAAGAGTTTTACTGAGGTGAGTTGTATACATGCATGCAGAAAGGCTTACAGGCAGGTAAGCCCCCTGCACTGTCCCGGGGAAGTTCAGGTGACAAGGCCAGGAGTGCTGGGAAAAGTGAGAAAAGAGGACTCCTTCAGCACAGGTTTATGAAACTCCAAATAATGGAAGGATCTGGCTCTCAATGGCTAGAAGAATCCATCGGGGTGAAGTCCAGAGCGCCATACCCTCCTTCCTCCCCAACCTACACCCTAAGCATCTGTGCCTCCCATTTCAGGGGTACAGAGCCTGTAGGGACCTCAGGTAAAGGCCAGGTGCATTAGAGGATAGAAGAAGAAGGAAATGGGTAATGAGTGCTTTGGAGACATTTGTAACAAGAGCTCAGAACAGGGGCTCAACTACAGAAAAAAGAGGCAGCTCTCACTCCACCAACTAAAGTCAAAAAGGTAATCATCCTAGGCAATGTAGTCAGACTTGTCCACGCTCTGCCTCAGACACATATTCATCTACATATGCAGTGTCCAGGCTCAACCTCCAAGTTTACAGGAAATCCTGATCTCCCTTCTCTCCATGATTTAATCTTTCCCTAACCCAGGTTTAATTCCTCCTTCTTCCCTTTGTCTAGAATCAGGAAATACCAGGACCTCGGTGTGGTGAGGGGCCTTAGATGTGACTGACCTTCACCTTGTAAAGCAGTCACTGGTACTCTAAAAGGTTAGGAGACTTGCCCCCATTACACACCTAAGCGATGGCACAGTCCAGACCTGAATACAGAATTTTATTCTACTTTATTATGCTGCATGTGGGTACTTATACTACAATCCCTGGGTAAAGTGGTCATTCTTAAAGTGAACTAACTTTCAAGACTGAAATTGAACATGCCTGGGCTCAAATCCAGGCTCTAATAGCTGAATGATCTTGGGCAAGCAACTGAACTTTACAGAACCTCAGCTTCATGGTTCACCAATTAAAATAATACTCTACATCAGTTACCTTGAGGATGAAAAGAGATAGCATGCAACATAGTGTGTGCCTCCAACACCACAGGTGCTCAATGTTGCTTAATATTGTCATTAATTAAGCTGTGATCAGTCACTGAACTTCAGACTGCTGCAAAGGGCTAAAGTGTCCAGAAGGCTTGAGAAAGAAGAGCCTTCTGAGGAGGAGAAAGTGGAGATTGGTTAGCTTTGTGTATTTGGTAATTCAGAGGCCTGCTAAACTCAAGAGCATATGGAGGGGTCTGGGACAAAGACCAGAGGGAAACAGAGAGCTCAAACCTTTGAGTCCCTCTTGGCTGTTTTATCAAGTTCTCTTTAAAGCAAGTGACCTTCTAACCATTGAGGACTCAAAGCCAGTAGGAAGAGCACAGAAAGTGAAAGGCATCAGAGTTGTCCTTGGGATGAAAGCAGAATCTCTGTGATGGTAGTGTTCTTGCTGGGGCAGTCATATCAGTAATATCCCTGAAAATCCTCGTACTATGACTCTAAACTTAAAAAAATAAAATAGAGACAAAAAAAGGAAGGGACGAGCAAGAAAGCTAACCCTGAAAATTTTTCAGTATCAAATTATAGCAACAGACCTTTTGTCCACCGTAGAGTTAAGAAAACTAAACAAACACTACGGTTACACAGAAACCAGATGTCTCTGCTACACTGACAGGTTGCATGCTGGAATTCCAGATGCTATTCTGTTGACCAAGATACATATTCACACATTTTTTGAATTATTGTAATCCTAAAGTGAATTGCCCAAAATGCAAAAAGAACTCCCTTTGGGGTGTTTTTTTAAAAAGGTGAGTTAGGAGAAAAAAGTTACCAATTTTATTTTAAGAACTAAAGCCAGCTACTTAAGAGTCTGAGTGTTAGGATCTGAAAAAGATAAGCTGGCTTCACTATAAAAATTGTGAATTCAGCATTTAGCTTTTTCAATGAAAAAGAAGAAAAGACTAGGAAAAAGAAGAGAATGTTTGTCCTGATATTTAGCTCTTCTCTAGGTATAGGCCACATCTTAAATCATTAGATGTCAAAAACGAAAAAGCATTTTGTAGGCCTGTGCTCAGGAAAGTGTATCAATAAGTCTATTTTCTGCTCATGCATGTGTGTGTGTGTGTGTGCGTGTGTGTGTGTGTGTGTGTGTGTGTGTTTAGGTGGGATTTGGAGTGGATTTCCATTTCCATGGGGATGGTGGGTAGTCTGGAAAGCAGAAAATCTAAAATTCTCTGTCTTGGAACTTAAAGTAAAGCTTCCTGGTGACCTACTGCCAAGCTGATGATCAGGCCTCAGCACAGGCAGGAACAGCAGACAGTCCAGCTCTGACCTCACAAAGGGAAACTTCAGTCTATAAATGCTAATCAAACATATCGCCCTGCAGGATCCACTTGTAAGAGAATTGCCTCTAGAGTGGACTTTGCTATGAACTCGTCTCTGAGGCTGTTTTATGATCTTTATGATAGTCAGGCATTGGGAGGGTGATCATTTTAGGTTACCAGGGCCCTAGCCTTGATTTGCACCATATGACCCAGGCAGATTTCCAAGAGAAAGAATCTGCAAGCCAAACCAGTGGATCTTAATCTAGAGTCTTCAGACACTCAAGGTGTCCTTGAAAGTAACAATAAAAGTCTGAGAAGTTTCTTTAAGATAGTGTTTTCTAAAAAGCATATCTTCATTTGCTCACTATAATGCTGCAAATGCTTGCTAGATCCCCAAGTTTCTATGCTTTTAGCTAAAATTATGTCATTCATTTTAGAAACAAGAGTAATTAGTCATTGACCACAAAATTCAATATGTGAAAAATCTAAGCATAAATTAGACTGGTTCCTTATATGATAGAAGTATTTTCTACTTCACTAAAATATTTGCAGTGTTTACATATTAGCATTTTCTTATATTTTTTACCTTAACTTTTTAATATATATTGAGTCACTATAAGCTTATAGTTATAATTCTGCCAATTTCCTTGAGAATTGTGTTTTCAGTTAAGTTCCCAAACAAACAAGTGTTTTAACAGACACTTGGGCTAAGAGATTGGCTAGTAGTTCTTTTTGTAAGTTGAGAATTTTAATGAGGTTAAAATATAAATTTAAAACTGTTTCATCTCTGCATGAATAAATGGACTTACTCTTCCACCATTTTATAGTGATGGTAAACAATGATAGCATGTTGATTTATTCAGAATTTGTAGTGTAAATTTCTACTGCGTAAAGTATACACACAATTTGTAAAAATTAAGGATAAAGAGGACTAATGGAGTAGCCATCTTCCTTCCCCTCCTCCTATATGCCCAAAGTAATTTAGAGTTGATTTGAAGCCACTTCTCTAGCAATTGGACTTGCATAGAATCGTGGGGGTTCACACATCACCAGCCCAGGAAACTTCAGGCTGTCCTTTGTTACTCTGTTTACTGAAATTGACATATCAGCAAGTTCAAAATTATCCTGAATAGTAGTTTTGGCATGTTCTACCTCTGGACCAGTGATAACTGTAGTCAGTGTATAATCCTTCCTGTTCAAATGGCCACACAGATTTCCTTAATGGCTTGACCTGCCAAGAGCTGGAGGCCTTAATCATCCCAGGAAAGAGGATGCCAAATACGGAGGATTTTAATTACTCTCATTTTCTTGGAGGAAAATCTCTTACAATCTTTGAAATATATTGCTTAGAACATTCCATATCTGAAAAGTAATGTTTTCTGTTAGCATCTATTGTGCAATTGGCTATAATGTGTTTACTTAAGAAAATATGGAGATGGCTTTTAACTAATTCAAAAACACAGTAAGACAGGGTATGTACACAATATTACATTTACTTAGTATGACAGTAAAGAATCCTTGTTCCCTTTTCTGGGACTTTGAGTTTAGCTCAACAAGATGGTTGCTACATAACTGTTTGAAATATTGATGCCATATAATTTTTAAAAATAGTTTTAAAGGGTGATTTGTTTTGTATTTCCTTGAACTCAAACCCTGAGACAAGGACTAGGTGCAAGCAGTTTATTTAAAAAGATCTACTAGGGAACCAGGTCAAGGGAGCTTGGAGAGGGACATGAGGAAGCAGGGAGAGCTCATGTAAGGATGCATTACTGAGGTCCCTGCCATCAGCAATGGAGATTCAATTCTGCTGGGACTTCTGAGTGGTGTACAGACTTTCTCTGAATGGTTCACCTGAAAGATGGAAGGCGGAGCAAATACTCCAACACCATTCTCCCAAGGGTTGGTCTCAAGGGCTTTAACCCCTGGCACTTCTGATCTGCTCTTGCACAAGCCAAAGATGTTCCCAGGGCCTGGGAGATGGCCTGGGGCAGAATGTGGAAAGACAAAAAGCAGGAGCCTCTTTTATTTTATATTTTATTTTGTGATAAGAGCATTTAGGATCTATGCTCTTAGAAAATTAGGTATTCAATACAGTATCTTTAACTACAGGTGCTATGCTGTACAGTAGGTCTCTAGGACTTATTTATCTTATATAACTGAAATTGTGTGCCCTTTGACCAACATCTTCCCTCTAGCGGACAGCTTGACTGCAAACTCATGACAGAATGTGGCCAAAACTACCCAGCTAAGCCACTCAGGTATTCCTGACACTGAGAAACTATAGGATATAATAGATTTTTTGTTGTTTTACGCTGTTGAGGGTAATTTATTTTGCAGCAATTGATAACCAATAGACTGTCCATATAAAGTAGAATATTGTGTGGTAATAAAATATCAGATTTTCAAAGAATTTTTGAGGATATGAAAAAGTGATGAGTATACAACATTAAGTGAAAACAGCAGGAAGCAGAACTATGTAGTGCGTGTTAATCACATCTGTTATTTTCTTCTGATCAGCAGATGTCTTTCCCCTCCTTCTTCTGCTAATAGAACTTCCCTTTCCTATGGGAAAAACATCTCACGTGTTTCAAGTGGTGCTTTGACTCCAACCCACATAGGTCAAAAACGTTAATTAGATTAAATTAAGGTAACTCATTTCCTTGGTACATCATGAAAGACAGGCTAATGAAAACAAGTCCTGGACCTTTTCTTCCTAGAACTTGGTTAAGGAAAAGAAAGGCCTTAACTCCCAAATAAAGATGGTGAAGATATCAGACACCCTAGGTTGAGTAGTTATTAAAGTCAGAACCAGCTTTAGACTTCTCAGTCATAAGCCAATAAACTCTGTTTGCTTAAGCTAATTGGGCTTGGGGTTCTGCCTGAATACAAATACAATATACAATATCATCCCATAATTGTATATAAAATGAATAAATAAAATTATTCACAAAGAATAATTTGGGGTAAATCTACCAAACGTTATCACTAGTTCTAGCTAGATTTCATATTATTGAACTTGCCATATCAGAAATTTTTAAAACAAAACTTCTTAGCCCTCACAGTTGGAAGCTTTGACTCAGTAGTTCTGGATTACAGACTAGATCTTTTATTGAATATTTCTATGTGTTTGTGAGTTTTCCAAAATTTCTCTTGATTTCTAGTTTTATATCATTCTGTTCAAAAAAGATATTTGATATGATTTCAATCTTCTTAAATTTGTTAAGACATATTTTGTGGCATATATGATTACATATTATCTGTCCTGGAGAATGTTCCTTTTGTGCTTAAGAAGAATGTGTATTCTGCAGCTATTGCAAGGAATGTCCTGTGTATGTCTGTTAGGTCCATTTGGTCTAAGGTATAGTCTAAGGCTAGTGTTTCCTTATTGATTTTTCTATGTGGATGATCTGTCCATTGCTAAAAGTTAAGTATAGCAATCTCTTACTGTTATTGTGTTATAGTCTAATCTCTTCCTTCAGATCTATTACTATTTGCTGTATATATTTAGGTACTTTTGTGTGGGCATGTATATATTTACATTCGTTATGTCCTTTGGCTAAATTAACCTCTTATCATTACATAATGACCTTCTTTGTTTCATTTTACACTTTTTGACTTAAAATTTATTTTACCTGTTCTAAGTATAGCTATTCCTGCTTTCTCTTGGTTTCCATTTATATCACTTTCATTCTATGTGTTGTATTCTTACAGATGAAGTGAGTCTCTTGTAGGCAGGTTATGATTGGGTGTTTTTTTTTATTCATTCAGCCACTCTATGACTTTTGATGGAAGAATTTAATTCTTTTAAACTCAAGATAATTATTGATAGATAAGGATTTGCTATTGCCATTTTTTAAATAGTTTTCTGATTGTTTTGTAGAACCTTTGTTTTTTTCTTCTCTTGTTGGTCTTTCTTTGTGATTAAGAAATTTCCTCCAGTGTTATGCTTATATGTTTTGATTTCTTTTTTAAAAAAATCCTTTTTTACTTACTATAGGTTTTTGCTTTGTGGTTACCATGAGCACCATGAGGCTTACAAAAAAATCTTATAATGGTGATAAGCTGATAACTTGACTTTGATAGCATTAAAAAAACTCTACACTTCTACTCCACCTCTCCCTACATTTATAATATTTGATGTCACAATTTCCCAGTTTTTATTCATGAGGTAAATTTCAGCCACCTCTTTTAAAATGGGAAAAGAAGAGAAGAAGTATAAAACCTGTACACCAAAATTAAAACTCTAAGCCCCCACCGCACCCCACCGCCAACCATCTGAATGGGCCCCTCCTCTAGGCCAGGGCACTCCAAAGTTAACCTGAAAAGCTGATTTAGGCCATGGTGGGAAGTGGGGTCAGACATGGCTCATTATACCCTCTTCCCTTTTAGAATTCAGGAAAACCCAGCCAGCGTTTAATATCAACACAGATCTTAAGTGTGATGAGAAACGTTTATAATCTGTTATCTCTGAAGCCTGCTACCTGGAGGCTTCATCTGCAAGATAAAACTTTGGTCTCCACAACACTTTATCATAACCCAGACATTTCTTTTTATTGATAATAACTATTTCAATCAATTGCCAATCAGAAAAATTTTAAATCTACCTATAACCTGAAACCCCTCTCCCCCTCACGGTCCCCTGCTTCAAATTGTCCTGCCTTTCTGGACCAAACTAATTTACATCTTAAATGTGGTTAATTGATGTCTCATGTTTCCCAAAATGTATACAACTAGGCTGTGCTTTGACCACCTTGGGCACATGTCCTCAGTATCTCCTGAGGGCTGTGTCGCAGGCCACTGATCACTCATGTTTGAATCAAAATAAATCTCAAATATTTCAGAGTTTCACTCTTTTTGTTTACATCAGGATAGGTCAGTTCATGTTAACTTACTTTCCTGGTGGGATGGTGTTGAAGAGAGCCTGAGAACTTCTCAAAAACAAGGAAGAAAAGGTAACAGCAGACAAAAAAAGACAGACTAGCATCAATACGTTCTCCCTTGTTATCCCCATCTTGAGAAGGGGGCACATGGATTTGCCCTTTGATCTTGCACTCTCACCTAGAACACAACCACACTGGCCTATTACACTCCATAGACCTCAAACCACACTAATCCACTATTTACATTCACTTTCACCAGTTACCAGGGGAAAATAGCACATGTGGGGTTACAAAGGCTACATGATTGGGCTACCCAATTAGAACTTCACTGTGAAACTTCAGGACAAAATGCAGATCTGAAGATCATCCCAAAATGCCCAATAATGTTGGCTATGCTGACCCCAGCTGCTGGACTCCATTCCTTCTATGCAAGCTAAGTTCTCAGGCAAAAGTCTCTTGGAGTGTTTCTGCAGGGAGCAGAGAGCAAACTCTGCCCTCCAAGTTCTGTATCTTTGCCCTTAAAACTCAGCTCTCTGAAGGGAACCATATAATATTTCTGTAATATCTCTCATAAGCAAGTAAAGATCCCTCCTTAGACTCCCTTAATTCACCTCCAACTACTGCTTTGTTCCTCAGCAACCCTTTAGAGAAAAACCTCTAAATAGAGTTGTCTGTTCTTACTGTCTTCACTTCCTTGGCTCTCATTGTGGTTTCAGCACACACTGATTGAGTGTTCACCCCTCTCACTCCCCTGAACTTGGCCTTCTCCAGACACCAGTGATCTCCATCTTAATTTACCTGTAACCATCATTGTAGCAGGTTATCACCTCCTTCCCCTTGAAAATTCTTCAGATCTCACTGGACATCTCCATTCTGCCTCTATTGATGACTCCTTTACTTCTTCCAACATTTTACCTCAGTCTTCAACACTCTTGTCTATCTACTCCCCTCTCCTTGAGTGGTCTCACTCAGTTCCATGGCTTTAAATACATTTAGATATTGAATCTCAAACCTACATCTTTACATTGGCTTAAATCTCCAGCTGCCTACTTGACATCTATGCTTGGTGAACCCTAGTCAGCCTCTCCACACTTCCTTGTTTCAATAAATGGCCCCAATATTCACCTAGTTTTTCAGACTCAAGGCATAGGAGATATTTTTACTCTTTTCTTTACACCACACCTCCAACTCATCAGAAACTTCCATTTATTCCACCTTCAAAATTTATTTCAAACTTCACCACTGTTTACCACTTTCACTGCTGCTATCTATACCAAAGAAACCATCTTTGTTCACCTAAATCCCTGCGGTAGGCTTGCACCTGGACTCCCTGATTCCTTTTATACTCTTAAGTGGTCAGGTCTCCAGATAGCAACTAGAATGATCTGCCTAAAACATAAATCAGATAATGCCTCACCCCTGCCTCAAAGTCCTACATAACACTTTGGATTTTGGTTGTTGTTTTTGTTTTGTTTTTTGAGATAGGGTCTTGCTCTGTCACACAGGATGGAGTACAGTAGCATAATCACAGCTTACTGCAGCCTCGACCTCCTGGCTCAAGCAGTCCTCCTGCCTCAGCAACCTGAGTAGCTGGGACTACAAGTGTGCAACGTCAAGCCAGGCTAATTTTTTATTTTTCGTAGACATGGGAGTCTCACTACATTGCCGAGGCTGTCCTCCAACTCCTAGGTCCAAGCAATACTCCTGCCTTGACCTCCCAAAGTTTTGTGTTTACAAGAGTGAGCCACCATAATAGGCTTCCCATAATACTTTGAATGAAACCCAAACTCCTTACCATGTCCTATAAGGTCTAAAATAACTGGCTTTTGCCTATTTCTCCAGTTTCACCTCTTTTTATTTTCTGGCTCACTTCTGCCAGTTTGACCAAATTGACCTTCTTCCTTTTCCTACAGCAGATCAAGCTCATTCTGTGCTGGATTGTCACTCTGTCCAGAATGCCCTTCTCCCTAGACATTCATATGGCTCACACTCTCCCATCTTTCCAATGTCCACTCTCTTGTCACCTTCCCAGAGAGACCTCCCTGACTGCTTCATCTTAAATAACCACCCTCTCCATCTCCTTACTCTCCAGCCTATTAACATGTTACATTTCTTCGTACTTTTCCTAACAGTATATTACATATGTATTTGTTTATTGTTCTTTCTCCTCTCTCCTACATGAAAACAAGGAAATTGTTCATTGTTAAATTCTATATGCCCAACATCTAGAACTAAGCCAAGCACTTAGTATGAGCTCAATAAATATTTGCTAAGTGAATGAGTGTATTGAGCATGGGTGACTGAAAGATGGCTAACAGTTAAAGGCAGGGTCTTGGAAAGTATATCCCAGAGAGAAGTGAACTCCCAGATAGCAAGTCTGCTTAAAGAAACTGACCTTCTCTCTGATTTTCAGACTATATGAAGCCATTACTGAAATGTCACCTGGGGATTGCTAGTGACTGTTCTTCAAACCTGTCTGAATAGTTACTGAAAGCCAAGCTTTTAACTACCATTTTCAGATAATAACAGGAAGTAGAAGAGACAGTCAGATGACCAGCATCAGAACAGCTCTGTAGCAAAAGGCACGTGAGAAAGGAACCATGCATATCCCAGTCTGAGTTTATCCTAGGATTTAACAAAGTGAAGAACAGAACACAGGAAAATTAGCAACATATCAGAGAGAGGGAAAAAAAAAAAAGATCAACAGAGAAATAAATAAAAACAAATTAAATCTGTGTTTAAAATTTTAAATTTGTATAAATATTTTAAGTAGTGATGCTTAGTTTCGGCATTCATTTCATATGCTGTTTCATGTTGTCCACATGAAGGTAAGTCAGATTGTTACATATCAAAATATGAGGGCACAGAATGGTGTGTCTGCTGCTGGATAGACACGGGTGAGTTGCTGGCTGCTGTCAATAGAATCACAAGAGAAAGGACAGTTGTTATAGTGTCTTTGCACAGACAGGGTGTGGCGCTCACCTGAATGGAGATTGGATTTTATGAGGCACTGACGTGGCTCCTGACGGTAAGTCAGATGTCTCACCCCAGCCTCGATGACCTCTCTCCCTCGTCATGCTCCTGCCTCTCCCTGCAGGAACTCCAGCCTCTTCTGTAATATCTAGCCCAGATCTTCCTTCTGGTTATGACTTCCTCAATGTCCTGATTTCCCACATGAAATGTCACAAAGCATTTTTTCTGATTTTTCTAATATAATATCTTTCCATAAAACAATGAATACCTCCAGGTCTAAATGTGGGCTGTGTGGCTGTGTGATACAGTAGCCCCTAGCCATATGTGGCTATTTAAATGTAAATTTATCAATATTAAACAAATTTTAAAATTTAATTCCTAGTCACAGTATCACATTTCAAGTGCTCACTATCCTGGTGGTAAAGGACTACTATATTGCACAATGCAAGTAGAGAATGTTTCTGTGAGACAAAATAGTAAATGTAAGAAGCTGTGTTTGTTCATTCTTGCCAGCAGAATTTCACATAATCCCTTGCCAGCAGAATTTCACAGAGCCCCTGACTTGGTGACTGAGCACAGCCCTCCAAAAGAATGCCTTGAAAACGATAAGAAGGGGAGAGCACAGATTCCCATATCTCCTGCCTGAATCAGTGCATTTTTTAGAAAAGATAAGTTCAATGATTCTGGTCCTTGCCTTTTTCTGTACAAAAAATAATGTACAACGGGATTAATGATTATGCCTCTGTAATCTATAACCAGATGTACCCTCACATCCAAACTTTGATGACATTTTGTTTGCTTGTAACTTCTGAGCACACGTAATGTAATTCCGAGCACATTTGATGTAACTTCTGAGCACATACTGAGCTGCCACCACCTGTATATAAGCAGTGGATTGAAACACTACTTTGGTGCAGTCTGACAGAAACTCCTTGAAAGACTCCTATGGGATTGCAATTCTCATTAAGTCCACAATTCTATTACCTCCAAAGTTCTTTTATATAGTACTGTCCTAGATTAAATGGCAGTAAATGTATGGGGTAAAAACAAACAAAAAAATTACTGAAAAAAATGATATGTTATCCTGCAAACAGTGAGGGATAAAAAGAACTGAAGATATTATCCTGAAGAATCCTGGAATATAAGAACTCGACCCAGAAACTGAGACTAGCAAATGACAAGGAATAGCGAGTGGGATAGAAAGAAAAACATAAGAATGTGACATCACAGATGCAGAGGAAAGAAGAGCTTTCAGGAAGGAAAGAGTGTGCAGTAATTTCAGTGCTGTTGAGAAGTCAAGTGAGATAATGATTGAAAGTATGCATTAGATGTAGTGATTAGGAAGAGATGTTGGTGATTTGAAGAAGAGAACCTTTTGAGGAATTGTGGGGGCATAAGCCGGACTGCAATGGGTAGAAATGTGACTGGGAAAGCGAAAAAGAAAAGGGCAAATATAGACAACTCTGCAAAAATAATAGTAATAATAATGGTTATGAAATACAGGAGAAATGGGAAAGTTGAAGAATGATACAGTCTAGGGTAATGGTTTTAATGAGAAAATATGACTACGTTACAAGTTAATACAAGAACTCTTTTTTTTTTTTTTTTTTTTTTGAGACAGAGCCTTACTCTGTTGCCCAGGCTGGAGTGTATTGGTGCAATCCTGGCTCACTGCAACCTCTGGCTCGCCTCCCGAGTAGCTGGGATTACAGGTGTGCACTACGACGTAGAGAGGGGATTTCGCCTTGTTGGCCAGGCTGGTCTTGAACTCCTGGCCTCAAGCAATCTGCCCCTGCTCAGCCTCCCAACATGCTGGTATTGCAGGTGTGAGCCACTGCACCCGACAAGTTAATATGAGAACTCTTCTAAGCAAAATGAAGTAAATCCTGTAAGCCAATATTTCACTGTAAGAATGGGAAAAGCTGGAAATTTAAAACTATCATATTTTTAGGGGATTTGGAGACCTGTAGAATCAAAGAGAACTAGATAAACTAAAATTCCAGGGGAAAGAAAACTGTTTCAAGATGAGTCAAAAATGGTCAGCCCATCCTCCCGCACCCCCTACTCCTGTCCCACATACACATAACACTTTAACAAAAAAAAAAAAGAAAGAAAGAAAATATTTTCTGAGGCTTTACTATACAAATTATCTCATAACCCATGTTTTCCTCTGGCTATGCATCCACCACCCTTACTGAGAAGATAAGGAATCCCACCTGGTCCTATGGCTCCACCTAGTGTCGCCATTGGGGAGCAATTTAACTGCCTTGAGACTAGCTACAGAGGTTGGTTGGGAATGATGTATTTGCTTTACTGTCTTGCCTTCCTCTTCTAGGAGATCATGATTAGCAGCCTTAAAGAAGAGTCTGTGATTAATTAGACCTGAACCTCTCCTCACAGGAAACGAGTGAGAACATTTTCATTCCAAAGGGATAAAAAGGAATCCCATATTGTGACTTGGGAGCTGGATATATAGGTAGCATATGAGAGGATCTGCATGGGAAAGGGGGTGAACTGCTTTGAGACGCAAACTTATGCATCTTTTCAATAACTTTTCTTTCTCCCTCTTGATTTAATGCTACTTTTGGTCTTGGGTGGAAAATTTCCCCACTAAGTATGGGAGCTGATGTCCAGAAAGGTCAGGAGACTGAATGTGACAATCCAGAAGGGCAGGAGTTAGCTCCTCCAAGGGTAAAATATGACCAGTGAAGAACAAGGACCAAGCAAATAAGTGACTTCTTTTTTTCTTCAGCAAGCCGTCCAAGGTATGGCTTTTCCTTACAATCCAGCTGGAGAAGCCCTGCACCAAGTAGCCACCTGCTGACTTCTTGGCTTGTGAAGGCAGAGGCAGCACAATGGCACCCATCACATCACACTGCTTAGTATCTTCCCTTCCCTCACCTCCGTCCCTCCTTTCCAATAACTGACCTGAGTGTGCACAACCCAAATGAGCCGCTGGCATCTTAATCCTAGCTTCAGCCTCTGCTTTCTAGAGAACCTGCCTAAAACACTCTCTCTCTATATATATATATACACACATATCTATATCTATAGATATATACATATGTATGTGTATACACATAGATATAGATATATATTTAGACAGAGTCTTGCTCTGTCACTCAAACTGGAATGTAGTGGTGCCATCATAGTTCACTGCAGCCTTGAACTCCTGGGTTCCAGCAACCCTCCTGCATCAGTCCCCTGTGTAGCTAAGACTACAGGGGCACGCCACCACACCTGGCTAATTTTTTTTTAATATATTTCTTAAAGAAACAGGGACTTGCTCTGTTGCCTAGAGTGGTCTCAAACTCCTAGCCTTAAAAAAATTCTCCTGCCTCAGCCTCCCAAAGTGTTATGATTACAGGCATTCAATGCACCCGGCCTATCTCTCTCTCTCTCTTTTTAAAAAATCTATAATAGTCTCCCCTCCACTTTTTCCTTAAAATGTATTTGTTAAAGAAATTCTGTTGTAAGTTTGACACTCTAGGTTTGACTAATTACATCCCCAGGGTGTAATTCTCTTGGCTGGTAGTTACAAGTGAAGCTAGATCAAATTGAAGTCTGAGCTTTTTTGGCAATAATACTTTTTAGATTGAGCCGGAGACTCATATTGTGTCATTTTATTGTCTGGTTGTCTCCACTTAGTGGTTTTAAAAGTGTCAGCCCAATCCATTTATTATAAAGTTCCCCATCAGATTATCACCTGATGATTTCAGGAGCCATTGAAGGACATTATCTAGATTCATTACTTCATTGGGGATTACAAACGGTGATATTATGATTTTCTCATTCCTTTATTAGATAGACTTCTTATAAAAGGAAGGACATTTTCTTATCAACTATTTGTTTATCCTGAAATATAGTTGTGCAAGAAAATCAGGATAAATATTTAATGTTTTCTTTTATTTACCAGTTTCCCAATAATTCTTTTGTGTTCTAAAAACTTTCCATGTGTACAATGAGTTATTTTGTAGTATCATTATGGATTTTCACATATTTAATATGTTTCCAATCATTTTCAGCTATATGGAGGAAGCAGCAGAGAAGGGCAAATTTTAAAAAGTGGAAGAAAACTGGTATGCATATTTTCAACCAAGTGAAAACGTCAAGGAGGTTAAAGTAATCAACTGGGTCAAATGCTGCTGAGAGGTCAAATAAGGTAAGATGAGGACTTGAAGCTGGTGACCATACATTTAAAGTGAGGTCAGTGGGTATGGTGGGATGAGTTTTTTGTTGTTGTTGTTGTTGTTGTATTTTTTTGTTTGTTTGTTTGTTTTTTTCTTTCTTTTTTTTTTTTTTTTGAGACAGAGTCTTACTTTGTCGCCCAGGCTGGAGTACAGTGGCATGATCTTGGCTCACTGCAACCTCCACCTCCTGGATTCAAGTGATTCTCCTGCCTCAGCCTCCCAAATAGCTGGGATTACAGGTGTGCACCACCATGCCCAACTATTTTGTATTTTTAGTAGAGACAGCGTTTCACCATTTTATTTCAGTGCTCCGAAATTATCCTAGCCTGCATGCAAGAATGAGTAAAGTTCCCATAAACAAAAAAGTACAGTTAGTGCTGTTGGCTATTTTGCTGTTTCACTTTTACAGTAGTACTAGAGAAGAGACTAAACCCAGGCCTATGGGGCAGAGGTATGTTTATTTATGGAAGTAACAGTGAGGGGGTGGTGTTTGGATTAAAAGAGAGTGGAAGGGAAACCCAAAGGGTGATTTTGGGGGCAGCCTGGTTGGGAAGGAGAAGTCACTCAATTTTTCACCTCTATTCAGTTTACCAGTTTTGTCTTCTGTTGTTGAACTGGACATTTCACTCCCTTTTGTTTGTTATTTAGTTTTTATTTCATAATCATAAACAACTCTGCAATCCAGCTAGGCATGGAAGGGAACAAGGAAAACATGGAACCCAAAGGGAACTGCAGCGAGAGCACAAAGATTATAGGATACTGCAAGCAAATGGGGTGGAGAGGTCCTCTCCTGAGCTACAGAAGGAATGGTCTGGTGGTTAAGATAAAACACAAGTCAAACTTATTAGAATTGTCCACAGTCAGAAATGGTGGTCTTCTTGCTGGTCTTGCCATTCCCAGATCCAAAGTGCTCCATGGCCTCCACAATATTCCTGCCTTCTTTCACCTTGCCAAAGAGCACATGCTTGCCATCCAACCACTCAGTCTTGGCAGTGTAGATGAAAAACTGGGAACCATTTGTGTTGGGTCCAGCACTTTCCATGGACAAGATGCCAGGACCTGTATGCTTTAGTATGAAGTTCTCATCATCAAATTTCTCCCCATAGATGGACTTGCCACCAGTGCCATTATGCTGTGTGCAGTCACCACCCTGATACATAAACCCTGGAATAATTCTGTGAAAGCAGGAACCCTTATAACCAAATCATTTCTCTCCACTGCTCGGAACACGAAAGTTTTCTGCTATCTGTGGAAACTTGTCTGCAAACAGCTCAAAGGAGACACGGCCCAAGGGCTCACCGTCAACAGAGATGTCAGTGTCGAAGAACATGGTGGGGTTGACCATGGCTGATAGTACAGGGCTTCTGGCAGCGGTGGCATCTGCAAAGCCCATTTCACTCTTGAAATGCACTTTTAAATAAAACAATCTCACCTGGGTGTCTACTTCAGTAACGTTTCCTTGGGGAAGCCAGGCCATTAAATATGCCTCTCTGCTTACCTCATGTGCCTCAGTGTTCTTCCCCTGCAGGAGGAATCCTCAACAATTCATTCTGGGTTAAAATTTGCTTCAGGGTGCCTTCAAAAATAGAATGACTTAGGCCAATCTTGCCTTTTGAAATGCTCCAAATGAGACATGTTCCCTGTATCTGAAAAGTCTGACTGGGTAGGACAGTCACAGGAAAGACCTTTTAAATATTGACAAGTTTACGTATTAATAAGCCCATTTTCATGCATCACTCTAGTGCCCCTCCTCAATTTTTTGATCAGTCAATATCTCTCCCAATCACAGAGCAAAATCATAAATGGCATGTTAGTATTCTGAATCCAGTGCTTTTTTAAAAATGTGTTATAATCTAATAGTGTTTGTCAGGAACTCAACATTGGTTGGGCATTTGAAAATCAATCAATATTATTCCTCACGTTAACAGCAGAAAAAATATAAGATAATCTCAGTAGATACCAAAAAATTTTTTTAATTCAACCCTGTATATTATTAATGTAAAAATCATCTTAGCAAATTAGAAACAGTGAATTCCCTTAATTTGATACATCATATCTATAAGAGATGTACACATAACATCTCACCAAATTGTAAAATATTAAAATATTGAAAACTAACAATTTCTTATTGAAATAGGAAAACTCCCAATAACTGGACCCATTCTCTCACCCCCTGCCCCACGCTCTTACCACCTCACCTGATAAAAATCCAAGGAGTTTCAATAGTGCCTTCCAGAATGATAACATTTTCACCATAATCCTATCACCGCCTGAAGCAATTAGCAAGGTAAATAAGTGTTAATCCCCACATGATTGGATTTTGGTATCCGACTTCCTGTACAAGACAGAATACTACAAAAACCCACAGTCAGGGAAGAACTGAGCCATTTGCTGTTTTCCTAGGCTAGCTGTGTGACTGAGCCGGTCAGGCCTTGGGAGGCTGAGGCTATGGAGTTCCATCCATCAACCTTGGAAGAGCTGTCTTGGAGGCAGGCAGGTCCAGAGCCCCACATGCCATGGGACCTGAATCGAGAGCAAGCCTGGGCCTGGGCACTGGATAACTTCCCTGTGCTGAGCCGCCACTCCTGCCAATGCCATCAGCTCTGCGGGAGCTCTGCTGCGAGCTGGCTGCTGGACGGCACCCACACGGGGCACAGAGCCCTTCCCGGAAATGAGAGGGGCCAAAAACGCCCTCGAGATTCCCATGTCCAGGAGTCAATGGTGAAACCACAAAGGGGCTCCAGTCACCTCAAGAAGACGCAGATGCTACCGACGGTGGGGTCCAAAGCGGCCTGAACCAGCCCGGAGATGCCAGCGCCTGCGGAGGTGGAAGTACACATGCCCAGGGCGCCCTCTGCAGTTCAGGCCGCTCCCGGAAGCTGCTGAAAATCCACGATTCCATCAGGAAGGAACTCGGAAAGGAGAGGAACCCCAGCCTTGCTGCAGGCCTGCAGTAGGACCCGCTTCAACTGCTGTTCTGGAAGGAGCCCGAGGCACCCCAGTGGGGACCCTCTTGCCGTCCCTGCGGACATTTGCACTGGAACTGTGCCCTGCACACATGAGAGCCTTGAGGTCTCTGCTGTGGAGATCATTCTTTAATTTGTTCTTCCTCTCCTGAACGTCCTAAACATTTTTCATTTAGAAAAACTCTCTTCATGGAATGAATAATGTGTAATATGCTTAGGAACTGTTCTTTTAGATCTACTCAAAATTGCTATGGTCCCTCCATTGAAACTATACACTCTGATTAAAGCCTTTCCCTTATCCTCCACCTGTGGAGTTGATTTTTGAGCTGGTAGATCAAGATTGCTATAGATGGGCTGGGCGCGGTGGCTCATGCCTGTAATCCCAGTACTTTGAGAGGCCGAGGCGGGAGGATCACGAGGTCAGGAGATCGAGACCTTCCTGGCTAACACGGTGAAACCCCGTCTCTAAAAATACAAAAAATTAGCCGGGCTTGGTGGCGGGTGCCCATAGTCCCAGCTACTCGGGAGGCTGAGGCAGGAGAATGGTGTGAACCCGGGAGGCGGAGCTTGCAGTGATCCGAGATCGCGCCACTGCACTCCAGCCTGGGCGACAGAGCGAGACTCCGTCTCAAAAATAATAATAATAATAATAATAATACTGCCACAAACATGGGTGTATAAATACCTTTTTGAATCACCGCTTTCAAACATTTGGGATGTATACCCAGAAACAGATTTGCTAGATTGAGTGATATTCTATTTTTAATTTTTGAGGGGACACCATACTGTTTTCCACGTTTTTATTTTGAAGGCAAACTCTGTGGCTTTCTTTATAGTTAGACAATCAGTAAGGAGAGGGAGAGAAGGAAAAGCAGACTGTGAGACTTCAGAATTACATTGCGGCACCTAAGCTTCTCTACATTGAAATTTAGAACTGTCACTATAGGAAAGAAAAATGTCTTCAGAGCTACACAAAGTTAATGCCAACCCCTAGTTTCTGGGTCTTGATTTCTAACATCTGCATGACAGTAAAATTTCAAAACCCAAAGCGTGATTTCTCCTGTATGCCTTTTTATCTAAGTCCAGAGATTTTGATGTGCATGGCTAGAGGCTGAAGCTATGGTGGTGCATAAATCTTTCTCCTGAGTCACCTACAGAAAGAAGTGAGTGTCAGATGCTGCCGGTCTTGAGATGGGTGGAGACTGTGAGAGCATAGCCTCCCTGGGCCAAGTGACCATACCCATGAGCCTTCAGTTTTGCTGGATCTTAAAGTACAATTCATGTGCATCCTTGAGGTGGGCAAACTTCACACTGGCAAGAGTCTACAGCTTCCTGGAATTGTCTGACCTGAAGCTGGTACCCTGGAACCTCATGGCTATCAATTCAAAAGGCACAGGGCTGAGGGGTCTTCCTCATGTCCCCCTAAATTTAATTTCCACCTGTACCCTGTTAATGTAAACTGCATACCATTCAAGGAGATTTTATTGATGACTGTTCTTTTCTGTCACCAGGGAGGTCATGGTCAGTTTCAAGAGAACTCCAGCACAGTGGTCCACTGCCCCTTCCCACTCTGTTGGTATCATCCACAACTATACAAAGGCACCCTGGAGTTCAGCCTCCAATTCTGACCTGTATCACAGACTTTTTCATGCTCCTACCCACCTATATGTACTTCTAATCTTGACTCCACCCAATCCAAATCAATTCCACAAGTTGAGAATAAGGAATAGGCTTCAGTTGTCATGTATAAAGAACTATGAATTCTGAGTTAACCTAAAAGTAAAGCTCCTTAGCATATTCTTGATTGCATAAAGATAGTTTTTATAATTGTGAAAACTTTAAGGCACTTTGGAGAGGAAGCACTAAATAAAGAATGATCTCCATCACAGAGGGCACAGTTTCAAGGAAGTTCACAATAAAAAAAAAAAGTCAATTTTGTTCCCACTTATAAGTGGGAGCTGGATGATGAGAACACAAGAACATATAGAGGGGAAAAACAGACACTGGAGCCTATCGGAGGGTGGATGGTAAATGGAGAGAGAGGCAGGAAAAATAACTAATGGGTACTAGGCTCCGTACTTGAGTGATTGATATGGTTTGGCTGTGTCCCCACCCAAATCTCATCTTGAATTGTAGCTCCCATAATCCCCTTGTGTGTTGGGAGGGACCAAGTGGGAAGTAATAGAACCATGGGGCCGTTTTTCCCATGCCGTTCTCATGATAGTGAATAAGTCTCATGAGATCTGATGGTCTTACAAAGGGCAGTTCCCCTGCACATGCTCTGTTGCATGGTGCTATGTAAGACGTGCCTTTGCTCCTCCTTTCCCTTCTGCCATGATTGTGAGGCCCCTCCAGCCATATGGAACTGTGAGTCCATTAAGCCTCTTTTACTTTATAAATGACCCAGTATTTCTCCTAGCAGTATGAAAATGGCCTAACACAGTGATGAAATACTGCATACAGCAAACCCCCATGACACATGTTCACCTAAACAACGATCCCACACATGTACCCTGACTTAATGCCAACATCTAGTTTCTTTCAAAGTAATTGAAAATTCTTTCAAAGAATTTCTTTCAAAGAAATTGTTAAATTTTCACATAAATACTAGAATGTTCAAAATTAGTCATTTCAAACAACACTAATTTCAGATGATCCCTTTTATTTAGATGTCTTGCAACTATTTCTCTTTATCTAAAATTGCATAGTCTTATATCTGCCTGTTTTTTAATAATTGTACTTAAAATATAGTTACATTTTTAAAATAAATATAACTTGGAGAGACCCGAGGTACTTGATATTGTCTACACACATTCATTATCAATTCTTTACAAATTCTGCAGCCACCATCAGAATTCTTAGGCTTCCTCTTTTGGAAGCTGTCAATTCTTCAATATTAACATGTAATTTATGTATGACCCATTCCAGTGCTTCTCAGCCTTTATTAGCATTTGAAGATACTGTTCTTGCCACCGGTTTTTTCAAGGTATCTGCTGAGGCTCCTTCCTTTCACTACTTACAGCTTCTTGAGGCAAACTAGTTTTTTTCTGTGTCCTGATGATGTGGTTTGTGTATATCTCTCATCTACTAAAACCATATTTGTAAATGAAATATTCGTAGATTTAAGTTCCATTGTTTTCTCTATAGGATTAACTACAGAATATTCTAGTACATGTTTTGGTTCTTGCTGTACCAATAAGAGACTTCACAATGGAAGGCAGTTCCTACTCTTGGTGGAGAAGTCTGTGGTTGTGCAACTCTCCAGAGGGATCTATGTCTGTCCAGTACACCAACCCCAGCCATGCTCATGTTCATAGGGTTTGGGCATTTGTGCATTCCAATTGTTGTAACAGTTTCCTATGAGTGGTCAAAGTCATGCTCTGAAGTCCAGATTATGATGGAGCAGGCAGCCTTAGAGATGTCGGGGCAGTGCAGGATAAATGAGACAAAGAGGCTACACCTGCCCCACCTGACTCCCAGCATCCCAGCCAGCTTCACTGTGTGCCATCAACCCCACGTGAAGGGCATCCCAACCTCCTCCTTCACCACTTATTATTATACGATGTAACTTATAAACAATTTAAAGCAGGGGTCTCAATCCCCCAGAAACAGACTAATACCAGCCTGTGGACTAATAGGAACCAGGCCACACAGGAGGAGGTGAGCAGCAGGCAAGAAAGCATTACTGCCTGGGCTCTGCCTCCTGTCAGATCAACTATGGCATTAGATTCTCATAGGAGCACCAACCTTAATGTGAACTGGCACTGCAAGGGATCTACCTTGCATGCTCCTCATAAGAATCTAATGCCTGAAGATCTGAGGTGGAACAGTTTCATCATAAAACATCCCCCCAACCCTTACCAGCCATCCATGGAAAAATTGCCTTCCACGCAACAAATCCCTGGTGCCAGAAAGGTTGGGGAGCTCGATTTAAAGAACATTATTAATGTCTGTTTCCTGCCTTCATCTGGGAGGTCACAGTCAGCTTCGAAACTCCAGCAAGTGATCCACCCAGCTGTCCCCTCCCACCTTGTTAGTATCCACAGCTCCTGAAAGGCCCCCTGGGATTTAGACTAAAGCATGATCGTACCATTGCATGCCAGCCTGGGCAAAAAAGTGAGACCCCACCTCAAAAGAAAAAAAAAAAAGGAAAAAGAAGAAGGAAAAAAAAGCTCTGAGTTGGATCCCTGCCCCCTTTCTGTCAGCTTTGGGCCCATCTATACCAATCTTGATTTACCGGTCTTGATTTCACAGGTGGAAAATAAGGAAAAGGCTTTAAACAATGTGTATAATTTCAATAAAAGAACCATCACAATTTTAAGCAGATCTAAAAGAAGGGTTCCTTAGCACACTGCATATTATTCATTCCATGAAGAGAGTTTTTCTAAATGAAAAATGTTCAGGACGTTCAGGAGAGGAAGAACAAATTAAAGAATGATCTCCACAGCAGAGGCCTCAAGGCTCTTATGCGTGCAAGGAACAGTTCCAGTGTAAAAGTCCGCAGCGACGCCATGAGGGCACCCACTGGAGTGCCTCGGGCTCCTTCCAGGGCAGCAGTTAAGCAGGTCGTGTCGCAGGCCTGCAGAAAGGCTGGGGTTCCTCTCCTTTCCGGGTTCCTTCCTGATGGAACCCTGGGTTTTCAGCAGCTTCCGGGGCGGGGTGGGAGGGTCCTGAACTGCAGAGAGCGCCCTGGGCATGTGTACTTCCACCTCCGCAGGCGCTGGCATCTCCAGGCAGCTTCAGGCCGCTTTGGAACTCACCGTCGGTAGCATCTGCGTCTTCTTGAGGGGACTGAAGACCGTCTGTGGTTTCAGCCATTGACTCCTCAAAATGGGAGTCTGGAGGCCGTTTTTGGCCCCTCTCATCTCCGGGAAGGGCTCCGTGCCTGGTGGAGGCTCAGTGCAGCAGCCAGCTCGCAGCAGAGCTCCCACAGAGCTGATGGCATTGACAGGAGTGGCGGCTCAGCACAGGGAAGTTATCCAGTGCCCAGGCCCAGACTTGCTCTCGGTTCAGGTCCCATGGCATGTGGGGCTCTGGACCTGCCTGCCTCCAAGACAGCTCTTCCAGAGTTGATGGATGGAACTCCATAGCCTCAGCCTCCCAAAGCTTGACCAGGTCCGGCCAAGTAGCTAGTCTAGGAAAAGAGCAAATGGCTCAATTCATCCCTGACTGTGGGTTTTTATAGCATTCTGTCTTGTACAGGAAGTCGGATACCAGAATCCAATCATGTGGGGATTAACACTTATTACCTTGCTAATTGCTTTAAACCATGATAGGGTTGTGGTGGAAAGTTTATCATTCCAGAAGGCACTATTGAAACTCCTTGGGTTTCTATTGGATCAGGCTGTAATAGGGTGGGGCAGGGTGTGAGAGAATGGGTCCAGTTATTGGCAGTTTTCTTATTTCAATAAGAAATTGGCAGTTTTCAGTATTTCACAATTTGATGAGATGTTAGATGTACATCTCATATAGAAATGCTTTATCAAATTAAGGGAATTTGCAATTTCTAATTTGCTAAGATGACTTTTATATTAATGAAGCAGGGTTGAATTTTTTAAAAGATTTTTTGTATCTACTGAGATTATCGTATATTTTTTCTGCTGTTAATGTGGAGAATAATAGAGATTGATTTTCAAACGCCAAACCAAAGTTGAGTTCCTGATAAACTCCATTAGATTATGATGCATTTTTTTAAAGTATATTACTGGATTCAGAATGTTAACATATAGTTGATTTGGCCCTGTGGTTTGGGAAAGATATTGGATGATGAAAAAATTGAAGAGGGGGCACTGGAATGACGCACGAAAAGGTCGTATAAATACTTAAACTTGTTGGTATTTAAAAAGGACTTTCTATGTAGTTGTACCACTCAGTCAAAGACTGTTTAAATGTAGGGAACATGTCTCATTTGCAGCATATCGAGAGTCAAGATTGGCCTGAGTCATTCTATTTTTGAAGGTACTCTGAAACAAATTTTAATACAGAGTGAATTTTTGAGGATTCCAACAGCAGGGGAAAAACAGTGAAGTACATAAGGTGAGCAGAAAGGTATGTTTTAATGGCCTGGCTTCCCCCAAAAAACATTACTGAAATAAACACTCATGTGAGATTGCTTTATTCAAGAGTGCTGTCCTTAGGAAGTGGGAGTGAGAAGAAAAAGGAGAGGGTCAGGGATGAGCATATTCAATGCTGTGCTTCCTAGTTGTTCAAGCTTAGTATCAAGTATGACCAGAGGTGACTTTATTATTAAACCAATAAAGTTTAACTGTAAGGCAAACTTCCAAAGAGTTTGTAAAACATTTGTCTTAAAACATTTTTATAATTCTCTTAAACAGAATCCCCTACTACTTGTATGAACACTGACTCCACAAATTGGAAACCGCTGTGAACACTAATGGTTGTTTGATCTCATGAAACCATCTTCTGAGAGGCCTTATGAATAACTGCTTCTCAGCACAGTTCACTTGGGAGGAAGAAAAGGACAGAATATATCCACTGTTGGGAGATAACACAATTCTCACAACAAAAACCCCAGTGTACCAAACAGAAGAGGCAGGGAACACTAGCATTCAGTTGGTATTCACAGATTTTCATGCATTTAAGTTAGCATGACAACTACAAAGTTAGGCCACATCTCATACATTTTCAGCAGAGCAGGGGGAAGCAGGATGAATTCCTTTCTCTCTTCAAAGAAACAGAGAACACCTTACAATAGTATTTTGTCATCTGCTAAGAGACCCTCAGCTCATTCTGAAAGTACTTTTAAGAAACATTTACATATTATTATTTGTCCTGTGACCATGGATATATTGATATATTGCAAAAACTTGAGATTCAATTTTATCTTCAGATGGACAAATCTAAATTCAAATGGTTCAACTATGGATTAAGACTCACCATATTAAATGTGATATTACTGGTCAATTTCTTTTATGGGTTTTAGGAAAAGAAAACACTCATATAGTATAAGCAGAAAACTATTATGGGATAAAATTCACTTAAAATATGATAAAAATGTGTAGACATAGATTTTAGACTGAATGTCAGGGAATGATTTTCTGAACCACATTGCAAACTGGCTCCCTAAAACAAGATGCTGTCAGAAATCAGTAAACACTAAATCAGACAGCAGCTGAACCACCCTGGGCTTCTCTCTTCAGAAACATGCCTCAAATATTAGACACTGGATCAATCCAAGTGTCTATAGGGAATAAATGTATACAGTAATTATCATGATCTATTTTTGGAGGACAAATACTTAATCTATTTTTAAAAACAATCTGGCAATACTCCATAAAATTAGGTTATGCATTTTCAATGCACAGTTCAGCTGGAGGATGATGTATATCCTAAATAAATTCTCATGAGAATGAGACTAATGTATGTGATATTGGTGATTAGGTTGCATCTGAGTCTCCCCTGTGGGACACTGGAGAGGGAACGTGTGGCAGAGGCTCATCAGAAGCTGATATGCTGAAGTTGGAAGCAGCAGGTAAAATGTTCCTATAAAAATCTTAGAAACTTGTCAATAAATGGAAAATAATAAACAAGATACACACTCCAATACTTTTTGTAATAATTGAAAATCTACACAAAAAATGTGTCACATATAAGACTGATTGCTACAAAACACACAATAGAAATAAAAATAAAATAGCTGGAAATAAAATAGTAATAAGAATTTCAGTAGAAGTATGAAAGGAGATAAAAGACAATAAGTAATAAAATGCACCTAATTACATAAAATAGGATTGGGGCCTGCACAAAGCACTATTAAAAATGTTAAGTCAATTCAGCTTATTATACCCTTAGGTATAAAAATCATAGCACCCTTGAGGTCTCCCTTTCATATAGTTAGATGAGTGTAGACACAAATAGAAAATATATGGCTGCCGGGCGCAGTGGCTCACGCATGTAATCTCAACATTTTGGGAGGCCAAGGTGGGCGGATCACCTGAGGTCGGGAGTTTTAGACCAGCCTGGCCAACATGGATACCATCTCTACTAAAAATACAAAATTAGCTGGGCGTGGTGGCACATGCCTGTAATCCCAGCTACTCGGGAGGCTGAAGCAGGAGAATCGCTTGAACCTGCGAGGCGGAGGTTGCGGTGAGCCAAGATCGCGCCATTGAACTCCAGCCTGGACAACAAAAGTGAAACACAAAAAAAAGAAAAGAAAAAGAAGGAAGGAAGAAAGAAAGAAGAAAATGTATGGCTTTACAAAAGTCCTGGGATGCTCCATTTTTTTTTTTTTTTTTTTTTTTTTTTTGAGGCAGAGTCTTGCTCTGTCGCCCGGGCTGTGGCGTGATCTCGGCTCACTGCAAGCTCCGCCTCCCAGGTTCTCGCCATTCTCCTGCCTCAGCCTCCTGTGTAGCTGGGACTACAGGCGGCCACCACCACGCCCGGCTTTTTTTTTTTTTTTTTTTTTTTTTTTTGTATTTTTAGTAGAGACAGATGAGATGCTTCTTTTCACAACCTAGCCTAGACTAATATTTTATTCATTACTCAATGTGATTGACATGCTGCAGGACCTGGATTCTGAATCCAGATTCTAGCAGAATTAGCTTTCTGATCTTGGACTATGATCTAACCTCATTGTGTCTCCTATCTACAACCAGTCAATGCCTCTAAAATATGCAAGAAGAATGAGACATAGTAGGTGTAATTGTCTAGGGTGCCCTGAAATAAGGATACACTTTCTATAGTGAATGGACAGTGAGTAACTGGATCATGCCAGCAGTGGAACATCTCCATTGCTCTCTTTCCTTGGCTGATTCAATCATAGCAACCCAGCAGCGTTTTCAGAGTATCTTCCAGAATGATACAATTTTCACCTTAATCCTACTCTGAACTGATTTGCAAGGCAAATTAGTGTTAATCTCCTGCTTATTTGAATAGCTGGTTTCTGGCCTATATACAAGAAAAAGCATATTATAAAAACACACTCAGGCCGGCGTGGTGGCTCATGCCTGTAATCCTAGCACTTTGGGAGGCCAAGGCTGGCAGATGACGAGGTCAGGAGTTCAAGACCAGCCTGACCAACATGGTGAAACCCTATCTCTACTAAAAATACAAAAATTAGCCGGGGGTGGTGGCACGCACCTGGAGTCTCAGCTACTCGGGAGGCTGAGGCAGAAGAATCGCTTGAACCCGAGAGGCAGAGGTTGCAGTGAGCCAAGATCATGCGACCGCACTCCAGCCTGAGTGACAGAGCAGGACTCCATCTCAAACACCCACCCACAGACACACACACACACACACACTCAGTACTAGCCTGAGTCATTTACCTCTTTTCCTAGTTCAGCTACATGGCTGGCCTCATCACAAGGCTGAACCCATGGAGTTCTGTCCACCAACCCTGGAAGAACAGTCTTGGAGGTAGGCAGGTCCAGAGTGCTTGTCACATGCCACCAGGACAGGACCAAGAACAAACCTGTGCCTGGGCACTAGATCACTTGCTGTGCTGAACACCACTCCTGCCAATGCCCTTTGCTCTGTGAGGATGTAAAATCAGGTGTGTGTGGGCTGCTGTTTTGGGTTTCCAGCAGGCTCAGAGCTGTTCTCAGACTCAAGAGGGACCCAATCGCCATCAAAACCCACATGTCCAGAAGTCAGTGGCTGAAACCACAAAGTAGCTCCAGTCGCTTTAAGACAAGATGGATTAGGCCAGGCATGGTGGCTCGCGCCTGTAATCCCAGCACTTTGGAAGGCTGAGGCAAATGGGTCACCTGAGGTCAGGAGTTCGAGACCAGCCAGGTCAACATGGTGAGCCCCGTCTCTACTAAAAATACAAAATTAGCCAGGCATGGTGGTGCATGCCTGTAATCCAAGCTACTTGAGAGGCTAAGGCAGGAGACTCACTTGAACCTGGGAGGCGGAGGTTGCAGTGAGCCGAGATCGCGCCATTGGCCTCCAACCTGGCAACAAGAGCGAAACTCCCTCTCGGAAAAAAAAAAAAAGATGGATTCTGCCAATAGCAGGGTTCAGTGGGTCCCAAACCAGCCAGGAGATGCCAGCGCTTGCAGAGCTGAACAGACACATACCCAGGACGTCTCCTTAAACTGCTCACAATCAAGGCTTGAAATACTGAAGAACCCTGAAAGGGAAAAAAAACTTTTCTTGCTCATTACTCACAGTGAGATAGGAGTTTGGCAGGACTAGTTTCTCAAGACAAACAGGATGCTAGGTCCCCAAGACACAGGTCACAGTACCCGGTACAAGATTCCTTAAAAAAAATTTAAAAATTGTTTTAAAAAAGCCCAAACCAGCTAGAAGGAAAATGGCATAAAAGCTACCTCTGGTTACCTTCATTGCTCGTTATATGCTAATTATTATGCATTGGCATGCTAAAAGACTACCACCAGAGCAATGACTGTTTATAAGTGCCATGGCAATCCCCAAGAGTTACTCTGTATCTTCTGTAAGGTAGATAAACCCCCGGTCCACAAGCTCCTGCCTCTTTCCCAGATAACTAAAGAAATAGTCGACCCCTCATTTAGCATATAATCAAGAAATAGCCATAAAATAGCCAGCTAGCTGCCCTGTCCCTTGGTGCTACCCTGACTACGGGGGTAGCCTTCTTTTTGTTTCCTTAATACACTTGCTTTCACATTACTCTTTTGGCTTGCTCTTGAATTCTTTCTGGTACAAGCAAAGTATCCACTTGGCTTCCCTGGCTGAATGCCAATTCTGGGGGTATCCTTGCATCAACAGCACCACTGCCTTCAACCAATGCCCTGGAAGGAGCTCCTCACACCCCAGTGGGGACCCTCATGATGTTATTGTAAACTTGCTTGGGACTCTGCCTTCTAGATAGAGGCAACAGGAGCAAGAAGTTTCTATGTTGGAGATCATTCCTTGTTTAGTTCTTCCTCTCCAAAGTACTAGGAGCAAGAAGTCTATGATGGAGATCATTCCTTATTTAGTTCTTCTTCTCCAAAGTACCTCAAAGATTTCCAAATTATAAAAACTATCTTTGTGTAATCAAGAATATGCTAAGGAACTTTACTTCTAGATAGACTCAGAATTCATGGTAGATGGTAAATTTTGTTATATGTATTTTACCACAATAAAAATAAATAGAAAATAAAAGACAAGAAGGAAATGAAAGAATTGAGTGACTACCACTGCCCTGCTTCTCACTAACATCCCAAGTTGTCTTTGAGGACACACCTCTCCTCAAGCTTTTCTCTGCCTGGAGAACAAGATTGCAGTCTCTGCTCCAGGACTAGCAATGTGGTTTGGGGCAATAATAAACTATTAACCAGGGTTCCTCAAAAGAGCTTTCCCTCCACAGGTTAAGGAGTACCTTTTCTTTTTATCACTTAAACCACCCTATCACAGATTGAGTTTCGTCTAAGATGTTAGGGTTTTATGTTAATACCAGTAATTCCATCTTCTGTTACAATTTGCTTCTAGAATTAATATCACCACTATGCTTCCTATGATCTGATTAGGACCAGGCACTTGGCCAGAAAAGTGTAAAAACTCAAAAGCTGATGTCTCCTGCTGTGAGACTGGATGAAACACCTTTTCCCTTGTGTTCAGGAGCCCTTGGATTACACAATTCCATATTGCTTTCAGATTGGCCAGCCCAGAGGAAATCTTAGCAGATAATCTAACCTGGGTGTTGCACACAGAGGCCACCCTGAGGGAGCCAAAGCCAGGGCTGCATTCATAGTCCCTTTATCCCCTAGACCTTCAAAAGGTTTCAAATTGAAATCACGATCATGTCATCTAAGATAACAATTAATTTCTCTTTACAATTAATTGCCATTCAGGGATGTTGTGGTTTGAATATTTGTCCCTTCTGAAACTCATGTTGAAACTTAATCCCCAATGTAGCAATATTGAGAGGTAGGGCCTTTAAGCAGTGATTGGGTCTTGAGGGCTCTGCCCGTTTGATGTCTTAATCCATTTATGGATTAACGGTTAATTGGTTAATGGAATAATGGGTTATCAGAGGATTGGGATTGTGGTTTTATTTTTTTTTAAGTAGATTTTGAGACTTCAGAACAGAAAATGAGGATGATAAGATGGGAAGCCCCCTCCATATCCAAACCACAAAAACACTCTAACTCATCTTTCACCATCTGCTTATTTTTTATGACATGGATAATTGACATGTAATTAGTCTAATAATGAGTGCAAAGCAAACACAGCTCTAGTTCCACGTTCCAATAAGATGCAACATCTAAGCTTCTCTATACTGATACTTAGAACTGCCACTATGTGAAAAGATTGATGTAATCACAGCTAGACTAGATTAATGCTGTCATCTAGTTTATGGGTTTTGATTTCTAACATTTGAGGGGACAGAAAAGTGTAAAAGTCCCAAGTGTATTCTCTACTGCATGTTTTTCATCTCTGCCCAAGGATTTTGGTGTAAAGGCTGGAAACCTTTACACCAAATCTTTACACTAAAGTTGTGAAGACACATAAATCTTTCTCCTGGGATGCCCACAAGAAGGAATGAGTCTTAGTTGCTGCAGGACCTGAGATGGGCAGAGATTATGAGAGCCTCCCATACACTTGGTGTTCTGCACTGAATTGTGTTCCCCCAAAATTCATGATAATTTTGATTAACTAATCTCCAAGTGATGGTATTTGGAGATGGGGCCTTTGGGAGACAATTAAGTTTAGATGAGGTCATGAGGGTTGGGGTTTCATAATGGGATTAGTGCCCTTATGAGAAGAGGAAGAGATACCAGGTCCCTCTCCTTCTCTCCCTTTCTTCTCTTGCCCCTCTACCCACTTCTCTCTCTCCTTCTGTGCCATGTGAGAACACAGCTACAACATGGCCATTGGCATGACAGGAAGACAGCCCTCACCAGGAGCTGAATCACTGGCGCTTTCATCTTGGACTTCCAGATCCTGGGCAAGACTCACCAAGGCAGACATCTGTAGCTGCCTGGAATTGTCTGATCTGGAGTTGATGCTCTGGAACCCTGTGGTTGTTAACTCAGAAGGCACAAGGCTAGGGATCTTCTTTCAGTCCCCGTTAGTCTATCCCCACTCTTCATTTTCTCTTTTGTTTTTCAAGTAATGAATTTATTTTTCCAATTAATGTAGCCAGCTCATGGTACAGCATATTAAAGCATAAAGTACAAATCCAAGGAAGGTAATACCTTTACTATGTTATAAAACTTTGACAAATCAATATATTACTTTTTATTATAATAAAAGCATATGTTTCTGGGAGTCATATACTACTTTAGGGATAATTTTTACTCCAAAAATATTCAAGTACTAAACCAAAACACTGGTTTTTAATGGTGGTTTATAGCAGAGCAAGTTATTTTATACACATTAATATCATTTAAAACTGAGCAATTTCTCCTTTTAAAGTGAAGTTCCTTATGCAAGCTGTTGAAGTTTATGGCAGCAGGGCAATTGTGTGTATATAAGAGGTGGCTCTGCTTTGTTCTGAAGTTCCACCAAAGTCAGGTAGTGTTCCCAGGTGTTAAAAGCTTTAAAATTCTACCTCAAAATGATTCAATGTCAATGCAAACTGCCAAGTACTTTTTGAAAAATTTTTAAATTTTCACATAAATACTGGAACTCTCAAAATTAGACAATCATTTCAAACAACACTTATTTTAGATGATCCCTTTTATTTAGACACCCTGAACCTCTTTGTTTTTATTCCATGTCACAAAGTCTTCTATCAGTCTATTTTTTAAAAATTCTACCTAAGATACGGTTTTAAAATAACAGATTGCAAGGTTGGAGACACCTGGGGTACTTGATGTCTTCCAACATCCATTATCATTTCTCTGTAAATGATGCTGCTACTATCCGAGTTCTTATGCTTCCTCTTTTTGAAGCCAGCAATTTCTCAATCTTAACATGTAGTTTAAGTATTACCCATTCCAGTGCTTCTCAGCCTTTATTAGCATTTGAAGATATTGTACTTGTCTTCAGTTCTTCAAGGTAACTGCTGAGGCTGATTCTTTTCACAATGATTGTGGTTTCTTGAGTCAAAATAGTTTTTTTTCTGGGTCCTGAAGACTATGTTTTGGCTCTTGCTGCAACAGTAAGGGACTTGCAGTTCCCACTCTGTGCAGAGAAGTCTGTGGCCTTGCAACTTTCCAGAGGGATCTATATATCCTTCCAACACATCAACCCACACCCTGCTCAGGTTCGCAGGGCTTGGGTATTTGTGCATTGCAGCTGTTGTAACAGTTTCCCACGGGTGGTGAAAGACGTGCTCTGCAGTCCAGATCTTGATGGTGCAGGCAGTCTGCTAGATGTCTGTGAAGCGCAGGGGAAAATGAGGTGAGGAGGCTACACCTGTCCCACCCCGTCGGGGGCCCTTCAACCAGCTTCGCTGTGCGCAGGTGCCGTCGGCTCCAAGTGAGGCGGTCCTCCACTCTTCGTTACAATGTAACATTTAAACCATTTAAAGCAGAGATCCGCAACGTTTTTGGCACCAGGGACCAGTTTAGTGGAATACAATTTTTCTACGGATGGAGAGGGGTGTGGGGATGGTTTCGGGATGAAGGTGTTAGAAATCAAATAATCAGGCACGCAATAGATTCTCAAAAGGAGAGCAAAAGCTAGTCTTGGTCCTGCGCATGCGCAGTTCACAATAGGGTTCGCACTCCTGTGAGAATTTAATGCAGCAGATCTGACGCTAGGCGGAGCTCAGCCAGTAATGCTCGCTTGCCCACTGCTCAGCTCCTGCTTTGGGGCCGGGTTCCTAACCGGTCCGTGGTGGGGGGGATTGGGGACCCCTGATTTAAAGAACAGTGCTAATGCCTGTTTTCTGCCTTTATTTGGAGGGCCACAGTCAGTTTCAAAGCAACTCCAGCATATGATCCACCCAGCTGTCCCCTCCCACCCTGTTAGTATCCACAGCTCCTCAAAGGCCCCTGGAATTTAGACTAAAGCCTGATCACGCCACTGCACACCGGCCTAGGCGACCCAGCGAGACCCCCATCTTAAATAATAATAAGACTCAAAAGAAAAAGAAAAAGCTCTGAGCTAGGTCCCTGCCCCCTTTCTGTCTGCTTCAGGCCCATCTATACCAACCTTGATTTACTAGTTTTGATTCCACAGTTGGAGAATAAGGGAAAGGCTTTAATCAATGTGTACAGTTTCGATGGAAGAACCATCACAATTTTGAGTAGATCTAAAAGAAAAGTTCCTTAGCACATTGCATATTATTCACTACATGAAGAGAGTTTTTCTAAATAAAAATGTTTAGGACATTCAGGAGAGGAAGAACAAATTATGGAATGATCTCCACAGCAAAGACCTCAAGGCTCTTATGCGTGCAGGGCACAGTTCCAGTGCAAAAGTCCCCAGAGACAGCATGAGGGTTCCCACTGAGGTGCCTCGGGCTCCTTCCAGGGCAGCAGTTGAAGCAGGTCCTACTGCAGGCCTGCAGAAAGGCAGGGGTTTCTCTCCTTTCCGGGTTCCTTCTTGATGGAATCGTCGGTTTTCAGCAGCTTCCGGGGACAGCCTGGACCGCAGAGAGCAGTCCTGACTCCACACAGGTGGAGAATAAGGAACAGGCTTCAATTGTCATGTACAAAGAACTATGAATTCTGAGTTGATCTAAAAGTAAAGCCCCTTAGCATATTCTTGATTACATATAAATCAAAGTTGTATAATTGAGAAAACTTTAAGGCACTTTGGAGAGGAAGAACTATATAAGGAATTATCTCCATCATAGAGACTTCTTGTTCCTAGATGAACAGTCCCAAGGAAGTTTACAATAACATAATGAGGGTCTCCACTGGGGTGTGAGGAGCTCCTTCCGGGGAATTGGCTGAAGGCAGTGGTGCTGTTGATGCAAGGATACCCCTAAAATTGGAGTTTAGCCTGGGAGACCAAGTAGATACTTGACTTTGAGCCAGAAAGAATTCAAGAGCAAGCCAACAGAGTAATGTGAAAGCAAGTTTATTAAGGAAACTAAGGAACAAAAAGGAGGCTACCCCATAGTCAGGGTAGCAATGGGGCCAGGGTGGCTAGCTGGCTATTTTATGGCTATTTCTGGATTATATGCTAAACAAGGGGTCAATTATTTCTTTAGTTATCTGGGAAAGGGGTGGGAGCTTGTGGAACCAGGAGTTTCTCCCCCTTACAGAATATACAGAGTAACTCTTGGGCATTGCAATGGCATTTGTAAACAGTCACAGTGATTGCTCGGGTGTTAGTGTCTTTTAGCATCCCAATGCATAATAATGAGCATATAATGAGCAACGAGGGTAACCAGAGGTTGCTTATGTAGCCATCTTCCTTCTAACTGGTTTGGGCTTTTTTTTTTTTTTTTTTTTAAAGGAATCATGTCTTATCAAGAGGGTATTGTGACCTGTGTCTTGGGGACCTAGCCTCCTGTTTGTCTTGCAAAACTAGTCCTGCCAAACTCCTATCTCACTGTGAGCCAGGAGCAACAAAAGGTTTGTACCCCCCTCCCCTTCCTGGGTTGCTCTGTATTTCAAGCCCTGATTGTGAGTAGTTTATGAAGGCATCCTCAGTATGTGTCTGTTCAGCTCCACAAGCGTTGGCATCTCCTGGCTGGTTTGGGACCATTGAACCCTGCCATTGGTAGAATCCATCTTTCTTTAAGGTGACTGGAGCTCCTTTGTGGTTTCAGCCACTGACTCCTGGACATGTGGGTTTTGATGGCCATTGGACCCCTCTTGAGCCTGGGAACAGCTCCGTGCCTGCTGGAAACCCAGCACAGCAGCCCACACATACCTGATTTTACATCCTCACAGAGCTAAGGGCATTGGCAGGCATGGTGGCTCAACACAGCAAGTGATCTAGTGCCCAGCCTCAGGTTTGTTCACGGTCCTGACCTGGTGGCATATGACATGCACTCTGGACCTGCTTACCTCCAGGACTGTTCTTCCAGGTTTAATGGACAGAACTCCATGGGTTCAGTCTTGTGACAAGGCCAGCAATATAGTTGAGATAGGAAAAGAGGTAAATAACACTGGCTAGTACTGAGTGTCTGTTTTTACAGTATGTTTTGTCTTGTATATAGGCCAGAAACCAGCTATTCAAATAAGCAGGGGATTAACACTAATTTGCCTTGCAAATTGGTTCAGAACCTGATAGGATTAAGGTGAAAATTGTATCATTCTGGAAGATACTCTGAAAACGCTTCTGGGTTGCTATGATTGAATCAGCCAAGGAAAGGGAGCAATGGAGATGTCCCACTGGTGGCACGAACCAGTTACTTACTGTCTATTCACTACACAAAGTGTGTCCTTATTGCAGAGCAGCCTAGACAATTACACCTACTATGTCTCATTCTTCTTGCATATTTTAGAGGCATTGAGCAGTTGTAGATAGGAGACACAATGAGGTTAGATCATAGTCCAAGATCAGAAAGCTAATTCTGCTAGAATCTGGATTCAGAGTCCAGGTCCTGCAGCATACCAATCACATAGAGTAATGAATAAAATAGGCTAGGTTGTGAAAAGGAGCATCCCAGGACTTTCTTAAATCCATACATTTTCTTTTTTTGTCTACACTCATCTAACTACATGAAAGGGAGACCTCAAAGGTGCGATGATTTTTATACCTAAGGAGAAAATAAGTTTAATTGATGTAACATTTTCAACAGTGTTTTGTGCAGGCCTTGATCCTATTTTATGTAATTAGGTGCATTCTGTCAGTTATTCGTTTTTATCTCTTTTCCTACTTCTACTGAGATTCTTCTTATTAGTAACTACTTTACTTCTAGCTATTTTATTTTTATTTCTATTGTGTGTTTTGTAGCAATCAGTCTTATATGCGACACAATTTTATGTATATATATTTTTAATTCTTCCAAAAAGTATTGGGTGTATATCTTATTTCATTTATTATTTTTCGCTTATTGGCATATTTCTAAGATTTTTATAGGTACACTTCATTTGCTGCTTCCAACTTCAACATATCAGCTTCTAATGAGCCTCTGCCAGACTTTCCCTCTCCAGTGTCCCACAGGGGGCACTCAGATGCCACCTAATCAACAATATTTCGTATGTTAGTCTCATTCTCATGAGAGAATTTATTTAGGATATACATCGTCCTTCAGCAAAATTATTCATCGAAAATGCATAACCTAATTTTATGGAGTATTGCCAGATTGTTCTTTAAATGAATGAAACATTTGTCCTCCAAAAATAGTCCATGAGAATTACTGTATACATTTATTCCCTACGGATACTTGGATTGACCCAACCATCTAATATTTGCTGCGTGTTTCTGAAGGGAGAAGCCTGCGGTGGTTTAGCAGCTGTCTGATTCAGTGTTTACTGATTTCTGACAGTATCTTCTTTTAGGGAGCCAATTTGCAATGTGGTTCAGAAAAATCATTCCCTGACACTCAGTCTAAAATCTGTGTCTACACTTTTCTATCAGATTTTTTTTTCATTTTTTTCTTTTCATTTTTTTTTTTTTTTTTGAGACAGAGTCTTGCTCTGTCGCCCAGGCTAGAGTGCAGTGGCACAATCTTGGCTCACTTTAACCTTTCCTTCCTACGTTCAAGCTTTTCTCCTGCCTCAGCGTCTCAAGTAGCTGGGATTACAGGTGCCTGCCACCACACCTAGCTAATTTTTTCTTTTAAAAATTAAAAGAAAGTGGAGACGAGGTTTCACCATATTGGCCAGCCTGGCCACGAACTCATGACCTCAAGCAATCTGCCTGCCTCGGCCTCCCGAAGTGCTCGGATTACAGGCGTGAGCCACCACAGCTGGCCTCTATCAGAATTTTTTTTTTTTTTTTTTTTTTTGAGACAGAGTCTCTCTCTTGTTGCCCAGGCTGGAGTGCCGTGGCACGATATCCGCTCACTACAATCGCTGCTTCCTGGGTTCAAACAATTCTCCTTCCTCAGCTTCCTGAGTAGCTGGGATGACAGGCACGTGCCACCACACCTGGCTAATTTTTGTACTTTTAGTAGAGACGTGGTTTCACCATGTTGGTCAGGCTGATCTCGAACTCCTGACCTTGTGATCCACCTGCCTCAGCCTCCCAAAGTGCTGGGATTACAAGCATGAGCCACAGCGTTTGTCCTAGATTTTAATGATGTTTATACCATAATAAATCTTTTTATGCTTATACTATTTGAGAGTGTTTTGTTTCTTTTCCTAAAAGCCATAAAAGAAATACAACAGTAACATCACACTTAATATGGTTACTCTGAATCCGGAGTTGAACTATTGGAATTTAGATTAGTCCCTCTAAAGATAAAGCTGAATCTCCAGTTTATACAATGTAGTAATTTATCCAAGGTCATGGGACAAATATGTACATGTTTCTTAAAAGTACCTCCTGAATGAGCTGAGGTTCTCTCAGAAGATAGCAAGATATTATTGTAAGGTGTTCTCTCTTTCTTTGAAAAGAGAAAGGAATTCATCATGCTTCCCCCTGCTCTGCTGAAAATATATGAGATGTGGCCTAACTTTGTAGTTGTCAGGCTACCTTACAGGCATGTAAATATGCGAATGCCAACTCAATACTAGTGTGCCCTCTCTCTTCTATTTGGTACACAGCAGTCTTTTGTTGTGAGAATTGTGTTATTTCACCAACAGTGGATATATTCCATTCTTTTCTTCCTCCTAAGTGGACTGTGCCGAGAAGCAGTTATTCATAAGGCCTCTCAGAAGATGGTTTCATGAGATCAAACAACCATTGTTGTTCAGAGCAGCTTCAAATTTGTGGAGTCAATGTTCATACAGCTAGTAGGGGAATCTCTTTGAGAAAATTAGAAAAATGTTTTAGGTCAAAAGTTTTACAAACTCTTTGGAAGTTTGCCTTACAGTTAAACTTTATTGGTTTAATAATAAAGTCACCTCTGGTCATACTTGATACCAAGCTTGGGCTACTAGGAAGCACAGCATTGAATATGCTCATCCCTGACCCTCTCCTCTTTCTTCTCACTCCCACTTTCTAAGGACAGCACTCTTGAATAAAGCAATCTCACATGAGTGTTTATTTCAGTGATGTTTCTGGGGGAAGCCAGGCCATTAAAATATGCCTCTCTGCTCACCTCATGTACCTCACTGTTTTTCCCCTGCTGTTGGAATCCTCAAAAATTCACTCTGTATTAACATTTATTTCAGAGTACCTTCAAAAATAGAATGATTCAAGCCAATCTTGACTCTTGAAATGGCACATGAGACATGTTCCCTATATTTGAAAAGTCTTTGACTGAGTGGGACAACTACATAGATAGAAAGGCCTTTTTAAATATCAACAAGTTAAGTTTTTTAATGCCCATTTCATGCATCACGCTAGCGCCCCCTCCTCAATTTTTCCATCAGCCAATATCTCTCCCAATCACAGGGCAAAATTATAAACAATATGTTAGAATTCTGAATCCAGTAATATACTTTTAAAAAATGCATCATAATCTAATTGAGTTTATTGGGAGCTCAACATGGGTTTGGAATTTGAAAAATCAATCTCTAATCTCCACATTAACATCAGAAAAAATAAAAGATTTTTCAGTAGATACAAAAAAATCTTTTTAAAAATCAACCCTGCTTCATTATTAATATGAAAGTCATATTAGCAAATTTGAAACAGTGAATTCCCTTAATTTGATAAAACTTATCTATTAGAGATGCACACCTAACATCTCACTGAATTGTGAAATATTGAAATATTAAAATCTGCCAATTTCTTATTGAAATAAGAAACTGCCAATCAGTGGACTCATTCTCTCACCCCCCTGCCCCACCCTATTACTGCTTGATCCAGTAAAAACCCAAGGACTTTAAATAGTGCCTTGCAGAATGATAAAATTTTTACCATAACCTTATCACAGTCTGAAGCAATTAGCAAGGTGAATAAGTGTTAATCTCCACATGATTGGATTTTGGTATACGACTTCCTGTACAAGACAGAATGCTATAAAAGCCCACAGTCAGCGATGGACTGCGCCATTTGCTCTTTTCCTAGACTAGCTATGGCTGGGCCTAGTCAAGCCTTTCCAGGAAGAGGCTATGAAGTTCCAACCATCAACCTTGGAAGAGCTGTCTTGGAGGCAGGCAGGTCCAGAGCCCCACACGCCATGGGACCTGAACCAAGAGCAAGCCTGGGCCTGGGCGCTGGATAACTTCCCTGTGCAGAGCCGCCACTCCTGCCAATGCCATCAGCTCTACGGGAGCTCTGCTCCGGGCTGGCTGCTGCACTGCGATTCCACCGGGCACGCAGCCCTGCCCGGAGATGAGAGGGGCCAAAAACAGCCTCGAGACTCTCATGTCGATGAGTCAATGGCTGAAACCACAGACGGGCTCCAGTCCCCTCAAGAAGACACAGATGCTACCGACGGTGAGATCCAAAGCGGCCTGAAGCTGTCTGGAGATGCCAGCGCCTGTGGAGGTTGAAGTACACACGCCCAGGGCACCCGCTGCAGCCCAGGCCGCCTCCGGCAGCTGCTGAAAACCTAGGATTCCATCAGGAAGGAACCCGGAAAGGAGAGGAACCCCAGCCTTTCTGCAGGCCTGCAGCACGACCTGCTTCAACTGCTGCCCTGGAAGGAGTCCGAGGCACTCCAATGGGGACCCTCATGCTGTCCCTGTGGACATTTGCACTGGAACTGTGCCTGCACTCATAACAGCCTTGATGTCTGTGTTGTGGAGATCTTTCCTTAATTTGTTTTTCCTCTCCTGAGCGTCCTAAACATTTTTCATTTAGAACAACTCTCTTCATGGAATGAATAATATGCAATGTGCTAAGGAACTCTTCTTTCAGATGTATTCAAAATTGCTGTGGTTCTTCCATAGAAACTGTACACATTGATTAAATCCTTTCCCTATTCTCCACCCGTGAAATTGATTTTGAGCTGGTAAATCAAGATTGGTATAGATGGGCCTGAAGCAGACAGAAAGGGGACAGGGACGCAGCTCAGAGCTTTTTTTTTTTTTTTTTTTTTTTTTTTTGAGCTGGGGTCTCGCTAGTCTTCCTGGGTAGCCCAGGCTGGTGTGCAGTGGCATGATCATGCTTTAGTTTAAATTCCAGGGGGCCTTTGAGGAGCTGTGGATACTAGCACGGTGGAAGGGGACAGCTGGGTGGATCACTTGCTGGAGTTGCTTCAAAACTGACCCTGGTCCTCCAGATGAAGGCAGGGAACAGACATTAACAGTGTTCTTTAAATCAGCAGTCCCCAACCCTTTTGGCACAAGGGACTGGTTTTATAGAAGACAATTTTTCCATGGATGGGGGGTTGGTAGACAGGGATAGTTTGGAGATGAAGCTGTTCTACCTCAGATAATCAGGCATCAGATTCTCAGGAGGAGCGCACAAGGTAGATCCCTTGCATGTGCAGTTTACAGTAGGCTTCGTGCACCTACGACAATCTAATGTCTCTGCTGATCTGACAAGAAGTGGAGCTCAGGTGGTAACGCTGGGCTGCTGGCCACTCCCATCCTGCTGTGCCACGGGGCTCTTAATGCTAACGGTAGAGGGTGTCCAGGTTCTTGGCGTCTTGAAGAAAGAATTGGACAAAATGCGCAAGCAAAGCAAGGACGGAATGAAGGGATTTATTGAAAACAAAAGTACACTCCACAGTGTGGTAGTGGGCCTGCGCATAGGGGCTCAAAGTTACAGAGTTTTTGTGAGTTTAAATACCCTCTATTTGGGGTACGCCCTATGTAAATGAAGAGGATGAAGTAAAGTTTCAAAGTCATTTACTGGGTGTATGCCCTATGGAGAGGATATTTCCTGTTATAGCTGAAGTGTGAATGGGCCTTATGTTCCCGGCCTCCAGACCCTATTTTCCTGCCTCACTAACAGGCCAGGGTCCAGTACAGGCACGCTGTCTGGGGAGTTGGGGACCCCTCTTTTAAATAGTTTAAAGTTTACATTGTAATAAGGGCTGGAAGAGGGGGTTGGGATGTCCTTCACATGAGGCCGATGGTGCCTGCCTACTGCGAAGCTGATTGGCATGCTGGGGGTGCAGTGGGGCAGGTGTAGCCTCTTTGCCTCATTTTCCCCTGCACTGCCCAGACATCTCCTGGACTGCCTGCATCATCAAGATCTGGACTTCAGAGCACGTCTTTGATCACCTGTGGGAAATTGTTACAACAGTTGCAATGCACAAATACCCAAAAGCCCTATGAACCAGGGCATGGTGTGGGTTGATGTGTTGGACACACATATAGATCCCAATGAAGAGTTGCACAGCCACAGACTTCTCTGCACAGAGTGGGAACTACAAGTCTCTTATTGGTACAGAAAGAACCAAAACATATGTGCTAGAATATTCTGTAGTTAATCCTATAGAGAAAACAATGGAACTTAAATCTACTAATATTTCACTTAAAATATGGTTTCATTAGGTGAGAGACTTATATACAAACCACATCCTCAGGACCCAGAAAAAAATTATTTTGACTCAAGAAGCCATAATCAGTGAAAGGAGGCAGCCTCAGCAGTTATCTTGAAGGACTGATGGCAAGTAGGATATCTTCAAATGCTATCAAAGGCACGGAAGCACTGGAATGGGTCATACATAAATTACATGTTAAAAAATGAAGAATTGATGGCTTTCACAAGAGGAGGCATAAGAACTCCGGTGGTGGCTGCAGCAGCCTTCGTAGTGAATTGATAATGAATGTGTGTAGACAAGTACCCCACGTCTCTCCAAGCCGGCAATATATTTATTTTAAAACTATAAATATATTTTAAGTAGAATTTTTAAAAAGTAGGCTGACATAAGACAGTGACTTTAGATCAAAACAAAGAGATGCATGGCGTCTAAATAAAACGGATCGTCTGAAATTAGTGTTATTTGAAATGACTGTCTAATATTGGAGATTCCAGTATTTATGAAAAATTTAACATTGAAAGAAATTATTCTTCTTAATGTTTATTTTAAATTCAGGGTACATATGCAGGTTTGTTATTTTGGTAAACTTGTGTCATGGGAGTTTGTTGTACACATTATTTTATCACCCAGGTATGAAGCCTGGTGCCCATTACTATTTTTCCTGATCTTCTCCCTCCTTCCATCATCCACCTTCAATAGGCTCCAGTGTCTGTTGTTCCCCTCTTTGTGTCCATGTCCATGTCATCTCCAGCTTGTAAGTGAGAACATGTGGTATTTGTTTTTCTATTCCTGCATTAGTTTGCTAAGAAAAAACAGCCTCCAGCTCCATCTATGTTCCTGCAAAAGACATGATCTTGTTCTTTTTTATGGCTGCATAGTATCCCATGGTGTATATATACCACATTTTCTTTATCCAGTCCACCATTAAAGGACATTTAGGTTGATTCCATGTCTTTGCTATTGTGAATAGTGCACATGCATGTATGGTCTTTATGGTAGAACAATTTATATTCCTTTGGTACATACCCAGTAATGGGATTGCTGGGTCAAATGGTATTTCTGTTATTTGGTCTTTGAGGAATTGCCATGCTGTTTTCCACAATGGTGGAAATATTTACACTAATTTACACTCTCACCAATTGTGTATAAGCAAAATTTTAACATTTTTTTAAAAAGTACTTGGAAGTTTGCATTGACATTGAATCAACTTAAGGTAGAATTTTAAAGCTTTTCATACTTTGGAACACCACCTGGCTTTGGTCCAACCCCAGAACAAAGCAGAGCCATCTCTTACATACAAACAATTGTCCTGCTGCTGTAAACTTCAACACCTTGCATGAGGAAATTCAATTTAAAAGGAGAACTTGTATAGCTTTCAAACATATTAATATGTTTATTAATAATAACTTGCTCTGCAAGTTATTTTAAACCATCATTAAAAACCAGTGTTTGCCGGGTGCAGTGGTTCACACCTGTAATCCCACTGCTTTGGGAGGCCAAGGAGGGCAGATCACGAGGTCAGGAGTTTGAGACCAGCCTCGCCAACATAGTGAAACCCCATCTCTACTAAAAATACAAAAAAATTAGCCAGGCGTGGTGGTGGGCACCTGTAATCCCAGCTACTTGGGAGGCTGAGGCAGGAGAATCGTTTGAACCTATGAGGCGGAGGTTGCAGTGAGCTCAGATCACACCATTTCACTTCAGCCCGGGCTACAGTGCAAGACTCCATCTCAAAAACAAAACAAAACAAAACAAACAAACAAATGAACCAGTGTTTTGGTTTACTACTTAAGTATATTTGGAGTGAAAATTATCACTAAAATAATATATGACTCTAACAAAAATGCTTTCATTGTAATAAAATGTACTACATTGATTTGCCAAAGTTTTGCAACCTGGTAAAGGTTGCAAAAGGTCCTTGGATTTGTAGTTTGTGATTTAATATGCTGTACCATGGACTGGTTATGTTAACTGGAAAAATAAATTTGTTACTTGAAAATCCAAACAAAACAAAAAACAAAAAGCGAAGGCAGATTAAAGAGGACCACAGGAAGATTTATAGCCTTGTGCCTTCTGAGTTGACAACCACAGAGTTCCAGGGCATTAACTCTAGATCTGACAATTCCAGGCACCTACAGAATTCTCCCCTGGTGAGTCTTACCCACGATCTGGAAGTCCAAGATCAAAGCACCAGATTCAGCTCTTGGTGGGGATTCTCTTTCTGTCGTGCCAATGGCCATGTTGTTGCTGTGTTCTCACATGGCACAGAGGGAAAGAAAAAGAGAGAAAGGGGGAGAAAGGGAGAGAGGGAGAAGGGGAGAGAACAAGAAGGACATGGTATCTCTTCCTTTTCTCGGAAGGCCGCCAATCCCATTATGAAAGCCCCAACCTCGTAACTTCATCTTAACGTGCTTGTCTCCCAAAGGCTCCATCTCTAAATACCATCACCTTGTGGATTAATCAAAATCATCATGAATTTTGGGGAAGACAATTCAGTCCATAGCACCAAGTGTATGTGATGATCTCATAATCTCTGCCCATCTCAGGGCCTGCATCAACTGAGACTATTTTCTTTCTTCAGGCATTTCAGAAGACAGAGATTTTTTTTAAAAAAAGGTGCAGCAGAGAATACAATGCATTGATTAATTAATTAATTAATTAATTCTGAGACAGCATCTCACTCCAGCACCCTGGATTATTTGGGTTACTTCAGTGCCCCTCTGGCAGGTGATATTGTTTCACATTCATTGCTTGCCTGTATGGGGGCAAGTACACAGGCATCCATTGGGCCAATCCCCTTTTTGTAGCTTGATTACTTTCCAGACTCAGACCTTATTCTTATTCAGCTCATTTGAGGTCCACTAATGCTCTAATGCTTAACTCATAGCATAGATTTTATTTCACATTAATGGATTCAGAAGTGTGACCAATGCCCAATGTCACAATTCTTTTTTAATTGGAAATGACCCAGACATTCAATGGTATCTGAAATAATTTTAATAGTTTAAGTTACATTAAAAGTTCACCTACAAGCATTGATTCCATTTACATTTATTCAATTTATTCACCTATAGCAGTTTATCTAGATTAGTTCTTAGAACTAAGACATTAGACAACACTAATTATCGCTCCAAGTTATTTCTTTGTTAACAATTTGCATGGCCTGTGAATATCAGGTGTTCACCTATGCAAAAATCTTAAACACATGGGCATTTTTTTCTGATAATACAGAAAAATTAATTATTCTTATGGAACCAACAATATTAAATTAGTCTTATTTATCAAAAAAGTCATTCAAAGAAAGATTATTCTGTTTTTGGTTGAGTTTATGATCTTATAACCTTCATGTAAAATTCTAGCATGTTCAAATATTTAGCAAAGGCAAATATAAAACTCATCTAATTAGTAAACCCAGAAAAAAATGTATGTTTACCATTCCAAAGACATTTCTATTTTTATTTTGTGAATAGTTTTAAAGCAAGCTTATTATTAAAGACTACTAAATTCACACAAATTTGAAAAGCATTTGGACTTTCTTGCTAAATTTGTAAGCACTCATTTACTTATAAGCCAATATGGTGCCATTTTGGACATAACATACAACATAATACATGTAACACGCACAGAAACACATAGAAACACGTATCCATACACACAAAGATCAAATAGATGTTACCGTGAAACTCTAGCCATGACATGGCATCATAAACTCATTATTTTACAAAAGGCAGCTGGAGTGGATCCAAATTATTTCAGGACAGGACAAAACTGGGACCTGTCCACATGGCTAAACTTTATCTGCCCTGATAGGTAATCCAGTTAATGCTGTGGACCAAACCTTTGGCTAATGCAGTTTCCATAGTAGTTTTATATCTAAAACTTTTTTTAACCATTTTTTCCTTCAGTTCCAAATTAGTTTCCAATGTTTACATCTTAGCTAGAACTGGCTGAACTGCATACAAAAAACAAAGTTTCCAGGCCGGGCACAGTGGCTCACGCCTGTAATCCCAGCACTTTGGGAGGCTGAGGTGGTCGGATCACGAGGTCAGGAGATCCAGACCATCCTGGCTAACATGGCGAAACCCCGTCTGTACTAAAAAAATACAAAACATTATCCGGGCGTGGTGGTGGGCGCCTGTAGTCCCAGCTACTCTGGGAGGCTGAGGCAGGAGAATGGTGTGAACCCGGGAGGCGGAGCTTGCAGTGAGCCGAGATCGTGCCACTGCACTCCAGCCTGGGCGACAGAGCGAGACTCCGTTTCAAAAGAAAAAAAAAAAATAACACCTTTCCAATAGGCTTCAATTTGCATTATCTTAAGCGGTGCATACACAAAAATGGGCCTTACCTCCTTTTCAGTTTGGGAGAATGTTAAAGTGCCAGGATTATCTCATAACAATGGTAATCATGAACAGAATCTGAGAGCCCAAAATGATAAATCAGGAAGGGGCCTCTGTGGAGGGAATCATGCCGCAATCAACAATGTCCATATAGGGTGAAATTGCCTGACTGTTCAACAATCGTGGGCTGCTGCTATTTTCACCCTTTCAATGATTAAATGTTAAAATACCTGACAATACCAAGTGTTAGAGAGCATATTAAACTTCAGAGTATCTAATATATTGTAAATGGTAACATGTATTTGTACTATCACTTTGAAAAACAATCTGTTGCCTTATGAAGCTGCAAGTCACATATCTCAAAACCTACCAATTCCATTTCAGAGTACACGTCCAAGAAAAATTGTTGAACATACATATACACTAGGAAATATGTAAAAGAATATTAATATCTGTGCTGTTAACAGTAACAAAAACCTGGTGGGGAAGGAGGATCCAAAGGTTCTCATTGAGGTTTTAATTTCCATTTCCCTGATGATTAGTAATAAAAGAGCATTTTTTATATATGTTGGCTATCTGTATGTCTTCTTTTAAGAAACGTCTTTTCAATACAATAACTGAACTGATTGCAGAAAAGTTTGCTGGGTGGCTTTGGACCAACTAAATTCCCCCATTTTCTTGCTTGTAGTCCTCAAGAATAACTGTAGAATGTGCTGGGAGTGCAACATCCTAAAATAAGGAGGAAGTGGCTGAAACAGCCTGGGCTGTATTCCTGTCTCCATCTAGCACAAGATGTCCTTCAACCCTTTAGCCCAGCGTGCAAGGTAAGCTGCTTATTGGGGTCCCTCAGCTGTGGTGCAAGAAGAGCATGTGCAGTTAAGACACCATCTACCGTAGGCAGCTTTCTGAGTTACAAGGGACCAACACACAATGAACCCTAGTCTTGCTATCCCTTGCTGCCTGTCTGTAAGTACAAATTTGCTTCATATAGCTTGCTTATGAATATCTTATGTCTCAGCTGATTCAAAGAAGTTGGTAAGCAGTGCACAGTTAACCTGCTTCACACTTACAATTTTCTGATCTTTCACAAATTACTGGGCATTGGTCTTACATCACTGCTCTTTTTGAACCTCGGGATATGGTAGATACAACCATTCAGTTTATATATTTTTTTATTTTTGGGACGGAGACTTGCTCTGTCACCCAGGCTGGAGTTCAGTGGCCTGATCTCGACTCACTGCAACCTCCGCCTCCCGGGTTCAAGCGATTCTGCTGCCTCGGCCTCCCAAGTAGCTGAGACTACGCGCACCACCACACCTGGCTACTTTTTGTATTTTTTAATAGAGACAGGGTTTCACCATGTTAGCCAGGCTGGTCTCAGACTCCTGACCTGGCTCACGCCTGTAATCCCAACACTTTGGGAATTAATCTTTAGAACTGGGCCATTTTCCCTAACCACCTCCAAGCTCCCTCCCAAATAATCCTTTGAGCTTCCCTCCCATTCCCCTTCATCGCAAACACCACACCCACACCCTGCCTTCAGCCCAGTATCCATCCCACCAAACGCACACACTCTAGCTCAAAGATACAGACATACCTCTTTCCCACAGCCCTGGTTCTCGGTCTCTCCTGTAGTACTACCAGAACGTTTGGGGTCAGAAATCGGATATCTACACTTCCCCGTCTCCCAAAAGAGCTTCCCTCCTTAGGCGTCCGGAGGTCTCTTGGATTTTTCACTGCTAATCCCATCTGTCTTCACTAGACTCACTTCCCACAACTTGCTCCAGGAGGGGCCTATGTGGACACTGAAGGCGACTGGGGCGGTTCCTCTTCTGATGTAGTTAGCTCTCAGTTAGCTCACCGCCCAGTTCTCCTTGATCTCTCCGGGCTGGACCGCCTCGTAAGCAGGAGGAGCATAGAAGGAGGCGGGCTCCACAAGCTTGATCTTCTGAATCCCCTTGTCTCTGTAAACTTCCCCTGGAAGAAGCGATGCACTGGCGAAGCCATGTGAGGGGGGCTTTTGGTTCCAGAGAGACAGCCCGAGAGCCCCAGTGGGAACCATCCGGAGACCCAGAAGATCGAATTCGCGGGACGGCGCGTTACCTTCCAACACCGCTGGGCCACCACTCTGAGAACCAGAATCAGCGGTACTGGGGCTTCCCCACGGGACAGGAGCGCGTTCTTTGGATTCCCCTGGTGCGGCGTGCACAACCTTCGGACGAAGAGTCCACGCCTGCCACCCAGGAGGAGGCCCAGGCGCAGGCAGGAGTGGCGGCCGCAGCCTCGTCGGAGGAGCCCGGTCACTGCGCTCCGCGGCCGCCACACGCGCCGCGATCGGCCCTCTTCGAAGACTGGTCGCGGGAACCAGAGAGGTCTGACGATGGGGACCTCTCGGAGTGTCGTCGCCCTGCTACTGAGCCTTGGCGGCCACCGGGCTCAGCCTGGAGGCTTCCTTGTGCAGCATAGGCCGCCTGTCCGCCAAGAAGACCGCAGCCTGCCTGGGACGGCCGCCCTGGGCGCTCAGAAGCCAGGAGATGTCCAACGAGGCCCTTGGGTTCCTGATCCTCTGCCCAAGAACTGGGTTTCCGTAATGCCTCTGCTCTGTTCCCATGCCACTCAGGAGGCTGTGGCTGAGCAGCGCTTCGGACACATTATTCTCTTTAGTCTGTTCTCGGAATAAAATCCAACGCCAAGGCAAAAGTCTGCATCGCGTGTGTTTCTGGCCTAGCTTTTGGGGATGGATGGACCAATGCAAGGGCTGCTCTGATTGGGGGTCCCTGTGCTGTCCCGAACCACGCCAACGCGGGACATTCTCAGGCTTCCCGGCCAGGGAGCAGGGAGGTAGCCAGGGCCTCCCGGGCCAAAGGGCGCGCCAAGGAACAGACTTGCCCCTTCATCCACCTTCCTCCAAACACACTGCGCAGCCCAGGCTTCCTGTCTACCTGGAGCACCAGGTCCATCCCAGAAAACTTACCTTCCTTCTCCTCGTCCTCCTTCTCTTCCTTCTCCCCCTCCTTCTCAGACTCTCCTTACACCCCCTGTGCATCTCAAGCCTGCACACAGAGAAAGCAGCCCTTTGTCCCCACCTCCCCCTTCCCACTCCCAGCCATAGAGTTTAATTAGTGCCCCCCAGCCCTGTCAGGATGTGCTTTATTCCGACGCTTATTCCAACTGGGGAGACCTTACAGGCCCCTTTCCTCCCTAGTTCAAAGGGACCTTGAGTCTACTGGAGCCAGGAAGCCCACACCCTGGATACCTCCATGGACTTCACAACATACACAGCCCCTAGTGGGGCAAAAGACCATTCCTTTGGGCAAGAAACTTCTGTAGTGGCTTGCAGGCTCCTCTTTCTTTTCTGGGACCTCTTTACTCAGTTCTGTGCTTTTCACTTCTCTACTGGGAAGATCTCAACCCTCCCCTCCCTTCCCCTGACCACTGTCACAGTACATACACACACACACACACACACACACACACACACACACACACACACACACACGGATACATCCACCTGGGACTGCCCCCATGTTGTCGTTGCCCTCCTCTGTCCTGCCTGGAGTCTTCTGTTGTCTCCGTGTATAGCTGAAGGTGGATGTTGTTGCTCATCCACCTTCACTGCCCTATGCGCACCACACTGAAGAGCCAAAGTAGTAAAATGGGGTTGATTTTTGTCCTCTGGTGGACCAGTAGCTGTCCTGGTTTCTGCCTCACACTCCAAAGGAAGTGCTTGAATGCTTTTTTCAGCTTGGGTAACCTGTTGATCCATCAGGATAGCCTATCACAGATAGGACCTAGATTATCTACCTGTGATGGAGACAGTCATTCCCCACCCTGGAAGTCCCTCACTGCTCTTCCAGGTCTTCTTTTCTCACCCAGAGACAGAGGAAGAACATCTGTGGGGTTAAGAAATCAATGACTGCCTGAGTTTCCTCACTTCCACATCACTGCCCGAACTATGTCAGTTAGGCATCTCATGAGTCCTGGACGAGACCATTGTAATAGCCCTTGAAATTCCAGAAACGGTAAGGGTCCTGCTGAAAGCCCCTGGCCCAGTATTCCCTGGCATAATTTGGAATCCAGTTTCCCATTGACTGTTGCCAACTTCGAAATGCAAAGGCATAAGCACAGGTGCTGTGCTTTCTAAGGTTCTAGCAGACACAGGGTCAAAATCTGTAAAATACTAAAAGACATTTATTCTGAGCCAAATATGAGTGTCCAATGGCCCATGAAAGAGCCCTCAGGAGATCCTGAAAACATCTGCTTTAGGCGGTCAGGGCACAACTTGGTTTATACATATTTTAGGAAGACATGGGATCAATACATGAAAGACGTACATTGGTTCAGTCCAGAAACACAGTATAACCGGAAGCAGGATCTTCCAAGTCCAAGGCAAATTCAAAGATTTTCTTATTGGCAATTTGGTTAAACAATTATTATCACTAGAAAGGAGTGTCTGGGTTACCTTAAGGTATTGTGGAGACCAAGGTTTTACCATGCAGATAAAGCCCTCCAGGTAGCAGTCTTCAGAGAGCTAGGTAGTAAATGTTTCTCATCAGACTGAAAGAGTCTGTTCTATCATTAATTCCAAAAGAGAGGAGAATATTATGGGGCATGTCTGGATCTCCCTTTCCATCATGGCTTGAAACTCCTTTTTTTTTGAGACCAACTCTTTTTTTATTTTTCCAGAGTCTCGCTCTCTCGCCCAGGCTGGAGTGCAGTGGCGTGATCTCAGCTCACTGCAAGCTCCGCCTCCCGGGTTCACGCCATTCTCCTGCCTCAAGTAGCTGGGACTACAGGCGCCTGCCACCACGCCTGGCTAATATTTTTGTATTTTTAGTAGAGACGGGGTTTCACCGTGTTAGCTAGGATGGTCTAGATCTCCTGACCTCGTGATCCTTCCGCCTCAGCCTCCCAAAGTGCTGGGATTACAGGTGTGAGCCACCGCACCCAGCCTGAGACCAGCTCTTGCTCTGTCACCCAGGCTGGAGTGGAGTGGCACGATTTTGGCTCACTGCAACCTTGGCCTCCTGGGTCAAGCGATTCTCCTGCTTCAACCTCCCTAGTAGCTGGGATTACAGGTGCTCACCACCACACCCAGCTAATTTTTGTATTTTTAGTAGAGATGGGGTTTTACCATGTTGGTCAGGCTGGTCTTGAACTCCTCAGCTCAGGCGATCCGCCCCCTTTGGACTCCCAAAGTGCTTGGATTGCAGACGTGAGCCACCATGCAGTGGGGAGGCTGGGGGGCGGGAACTGCTTTTTCAGGCTGACTTTGAAATCCCCTTGGCTGAGAGAAGGGGTCCATTCAGATGTTTGTGTGGGGTCTTCACATTTTATTTTTGCTTTACAGTAACAATGAAGTACTAACCATATACAAGTTTAGCAAATGATTGAGCCCTCATCCACTGTGCTTATATTTATGTCCTGGTCTGAAAACCAATCCCAGTTCCCATTTTTAAATTGTTTTCGTAACTATTCCTGGATACAGGGACTCTACCGGCTGGGCCCAGTGGCTCATGTCTGTAATCCCAGCACTTTGGGAGGCTGAGGCGGGTGGATCACCTGAGGTCAGGAGTTCCAGACCAGCCTACCAACATGGAAAAACCCTGTTTCTACTGAAAATACAAAATTAGCTGGGCATGGTGGTGCATGCCTATAATCCCAGCTAGTCGGGAGGTTGAGGCAGGAGAATCGCATCAACCCGGGAGGCGGAGGCTGACAGTGAGCCGATATCGTGCCATTGCACTCCAGCCTGGGTGACAAAAGTGAAATTCAGTCTCAAACAAAAGAAAGGAAAAAAAAGGACTCTACCTGTCAGAGTTCACACAGGAACCGAAACCAAAGCAGCCAACACTGTGAGAGCCAAACTAATGTGCTGCCACCTTACTGCCAGGCCATAACCAGAATGACTGTTGACCTGTTTACTGTCTCGTGTCTCACCAAGTCGGACTACCATTGACAAAGACTAACTGTGACCCTGTTGGCAAGGCAAATTTAGAAATGGAGGTTTTAGGAGTCCAGGCCCACAATTCAACAGAGAAGACAGAAAGGCCTAAATGTGCCTAAGCACAAAGAATAAACACAGTAAAACAAAAACCAGGTGTGTTTTTAGAGCTACATTTAACAAGTGTACTCTTTTAACATAAAAATGCAACGCACTGTCACTGGACTAACTACAAGATTAGACAACACAAACATTTTATTAGATGACACGGTGCCATAGGCAATGAGGTCCTCTGATTGATCACAGTTTAAAAATTGAGACATGACCGTTTTCATTCCCATTCATGAAGCTCTGTGACTGTAGGTACAATCTCAGTTGGAGGGAAAATCTAACATCTAAATTTGAGGTTCTTCATGAGTCTGAGGCCTTGGACAATTGGACCTTCCATGGATATCCTCTCACCCCATTGGCTCCAAGCCTATACATCTTATTAGATTTAAGCTTAGTCCTCTGATTGGGGTCTTGCAACCAGGAGGCTGGCTCTTGGGATATCTTCATCAATGTTTTTTCAGATTTTTAGATACTTTTTTTTTTTCAAAAATAGGGACCAGAGGATAGCAGTTAAGTTCTAATGAGAGAATAGAGATCTGAAATATGAACAGGGGGTTCCCAATGTTGTTCCACTTATTTTTTAAATATCAGACTATGCAGTCTCATTCCTATTTCTCTGCATGGCCATTTGTACCAAGTACTTCCATAATATAATCCAACTTACAAATATTTATAATATGCAGCTGAATTCAATACTGTAAAACTTAAGAATCATATCTCTTTGAGTAACCCCTTAACAGCTATCTGATTATGGTTCAAATCCAGATATTCTAATTCATTCTGCAAGCAGATACCTCTCAGATGCACTCTGAGTATATTCAAGTCCTCCACAGGCTCACTCTAAAGGAGGCAAAGTTCTAGCTGCACTAGAAAGAAACATTTGAGTCATTCCAGATGTCCAGCATTGTTAAAGTCAGAACTTCAAAACACTTGAGTTCACTGGGGTCCAGCATCTTGACCTTTTTATGCCATATATTCACATATCCACTTCCCTATTTTGAAATACAAAGCATCACTAAATTCACAATTATCTTTTCTTTCCCCCACTTGAGACAGAGTCTCACTCTGTGGCCCAGGCCTGAGTGCAGTGCCACAAACACGGCTCACTGTAGTCTCGACCTCCTGGACTTGAGCAGTCCTCTCGCCTCAGCCTCCTCAGCGCTGGCACCAAGGTGCATGCCACCATCTTGGGTTAATATTCTTTATGTTTCATAGAGAGGGAGTCTCCCCATGTTCTCCAGGCTGGTCTCAAACACCTGAGTTCAAGCAGTTCTCCACCTCAGCCTCACAACTTGCTGGGATTACGGGCTGGGCCACCATGCCCATCGAAATTCACATAAATCTATACCCCCAGCTCAGACTCTGATGCCGCAGGCTTGTATTCCTTGTTATTTCTTTACGCCTGTTTTGGAAGCCCCCAGACAATTCTAAATCCAGTCTTACTCAACTTGAGCATTCCTTATCTTGGTTAATGGCCGCCAGAAAAAATAGTTTAGTACAATGCAGAAATTTTATCTTAGAATAAATTTTATTTTTTCTTGCTTCCTTTCTTCGTCTTCTTCCTTTTTTCCTCCCTTCTTTCTTAATCATAACCCTAAGCCTAAATCTATCCAGGTGAGTGAATACTTCATGTCATATAACTTGTCACCCTCTACATCAGCATCCCCCCTTCCCAGGAGAATTGCATCTTCCCTTTCACTTTGCTCAGCAGAGGTTTCCAGGTAAGTCCATCCAGAAAGATTCTCCTGGTGTTCCCCAGATTTTAAGGAAATGCATATTCCTCTCACAAGGCTGCTTATTGGTTCAAATTAGCACCATGACATTCATGAATTCTGTTACACTGTTAAATCAGAATTCTGCATTCAGAATCCTAAGTTCATAATGTCCCAAATCACCACTGATTTCTTCCCACAGGAAAGACACACACACGTAATTGTTAGTCAAGAGTTTATCAGGAGCTCTTGGAATGCGTCAGTGAATACAGCCCTAAATTACTAGAAGCAAATGGAACCAGGAAGAAGAAAGTCTGCAAAGTAACAGGAAAGAGAACACGTGTGGAGGTGCATTGGAGTGATAGTCACACGGCTCCTCAGTACCCTGCAGGGTCTAGTGTATCCTGGGTTTTAAAATCTATCAAACATTTGTGGACAATGTTTTACAAAAAAAAAAAAAAAAAAAAAACAGAAACAAACAAGAAAACTTTCAGCTACACAGTGAATGTAAACCAGAGGCTAGACAGGAAGGGGGAATTTTCAATCCCAGAGACCAACAGCAAATGGTTCATTTTTTTTTAGGTGAACCTAGTGACCTAGTGGAGTCCTGCTTTGGCACCAAGCATAATTCTTCACTTTCTAATTCCAGGTGACTTACCCTGGGGCATTTTTGCCTTTTACTTTCTGTCCAGCCTCCTCTATAGTCTTTGTTTTTACCTACTCTACTAGACTTACTGGTTATAAGTGTTAAATTTTTTTCTTAGCCTAAAATCAAGAGTCATTACCTGACAAAGAAGCAGATTGTTAAAACCAAGAGTTTCTCTGTATCTGGAAAGTATTAATATGGATTCCTGCCTCCTAATTCATTAGTTGCACAGCTTCTGGCAACATAGCCTCAACTCCCACCTCAGCCTCCCAAAGTGATGGGATTACAGGCATGAGCCACCACACCCAGTCTTTTAATATATTTATTGTCTCTTCATTAACAAATACTAAGTGTCTATATTGTGCTACATAGTGATCAAGGTCCCAGAGATAAGTGATCAACAAGCAGACATGGACTTGGTCATAAAGTGTTTGACACCTTCATGGGTTGAAAAAAATAGTAAACATGACAACAAATAAATAAATAAATAAACTGTTTATATGATAAACGCTATTAAGAAACTTAATGCAAGTTAGTTGGAAAGGTAACTAGGAGGATGCTATATTAGGTAGTGTAGTAAGGATAGAATTATCAGAGATACTTTCACTTTGATATGAATAATGCAATGAACAAAGAAAAAAAATCTGAGCCAGACACAGTGACTCACACCTGTAATCTTAGCACATTGGGAGGCAGATACAGTAGGATCACTTGAGGCCAGCCTTGCCAACTGTAGGGAGACCCCCTGAAACTATTGCTACAGAATAAATGATGAAATGCTCCTGATTATTGTAAATACAAAATTGCATGCAGGATTGTGTAAAGGCAATGCCAGGTTGGACTGCCAGAATGAGCCAACAGTGTGTGATGTGCTTCCCCCTGCAGAAAGCCTATGAACGGACGTGCAGTCAGGGAGGTTTCACTTCACCAAGATTCCTATCCCAGAAAAGCAGATGTTCATAGTTCTGGGAATGGAATGTGACCCTTGTGGAGAGCCTATAAACAGATGCATGAGGGGCGCCTGTTCATATGGATAAGATAGGGCTGTAAATGCCCTCATCTTGCCATGGTTCTTCCAGGCTTCTTTAGGTTAAGGCATACTCCCTTCTGAGAATTTCTGGTCTAACCGGTTGTCTAGCTTCACATCCTGTTTCTATTGATTGTTTGTAACCAGCTTTTGCTGCAACTGTTACTACTGATTAATATCTTGCTAATCGAGGGGGTGGAGCCAAGATGGCCGAATAGGAACAGCTCCAATCTACAGCTCGCAGCGTGAGCAATGCAGAAGACAGGTGACTTCTGCATTTCCAACTGAGGTACCGGGTTCATCTCACTGGGGAGTGTCGGAAAGTGGGTGCAGGACAGTGGGTGCAGTGCACCGAGTGTGAGCCGAAGGAGGGTGAGGCATCACCTCAACCGGGAAGTGCAAGGGGTCAGGGAATTCCCTTTCCTAGTCAAAGAAAGGGGTGACAGACAGCACCTGGAAAATCAGGTCACTCCCACCCTAATACCGTGCTTTTCCAACGGCACTTGGAAAATCGGGTCACTCCCACCCTAATACTGAACTTTTCCAATGGTCTTAGCAAACGGCACACCAGGACATTATACCCCGCATCTGGCTCAGAGGGTCCTATGCCCACGGAGCCTCGCTCATTGCTAGCACAGTAGTCTGAGATCAAACTGCAAGGTGGCAGCGAGGCTGGGGGAGGGGCGCCTGCCATTACCAAGGCTTGAGTAGGTAAACAAAGCCGCCGGGAAGCTCAAACAGGGTGGAGCCCACTGCAGCTCAAGGAGGCCTGCCTGCCTCTGTAGACTCCACCTCTGGGGGCAGGGCACAGCCAAACAAAAGGCAGCAGAATCCTCTGCAGACTTAAATGTCCCTGTCTGACAGCACTGAAGACAGTAGTGGTACTCCCAGCATGCAGCTGGACATCTGAGAACAGACAGACTGCCTCCTCAAGTGGGTCGCTGACCCCTGGGTAGCCTAAGTGGGAGGCACCACCCAGTAGGGGCAGACTGACACCTCATACGGCCAGGTACTCCTCTGAGAGAAAACTTACAGAGGAACGATCAGGCACCAACATCTCCTGTTCACCAATATCCGCTATTCTGCAGCCTCTGCTGCTGATACCCAGGCAAACAGGGTCTGCAGTGGACCTCCAGAAAACTCCAACAGACCTGCAGCTGAGGGTCCTGACAGTTAGAAGGAAAACTAACAAACAGAAAGGACATCCACACCAAAACCCCATCTGTACGTCACCATCAACAAAGACCAAAGGTAGATAAAACCACAAAGATGAGGAAAAAACAGAGCAGAAAAACTGGAAACTCTAAAATCAGAGCACCTTTCCTCCTCCAAAGGAACGCAGCTCCTCACCAGCAACGGAACAAAGCTGGAGGGAGAATGACTTTGACGAGTTGAGAGAAGAAGGCTTCAGATGATCAAACTACTCCGAGCTAAACAAGGAAGTTCAAACCCATGGCAAAGAAGTTAAAAACCTTGAAAAAAAATTAGACAAATGGCTAACTAGAAAAACCAATGCAGAGAAGTCCTTAAAGGACCTGATGGAGCTGAAAGCCAAGGCTCAAGAACCACGTGAAGAATGCAGAAGCCTCAGCAGCCGATGTGATCAACTGGAAGAAAGGGTATCAGTGATGGAAGATCAAATGAATGAAATGAAGTGAGAAGAAAAGTTTAGAGAAAAAAGAATAAAAAGAAACGAACAAAGCCTCCAAGAAATATGGGACTATGTGAAAACACCAAATCTACCTATGATTGGTGTACCTGAAAGTACGGGGAGAATGGAACCAAGTTGGAAAACACTCTGCAGGATATTATCCAGGAGAACTTCCCCAATCTAGCAAGGCAGGTCAACATTCAAATTCAGGAAATACAGAGAACGCCACAAAGATACTCCTCGAGAAGAGCAACTCCAAGACTCATAATTGTCAGATTCACCAAAGTTGAAATGAAGGAAAAAATGTTCAGGGCAGCCAGAGAGAAAGGTCGGGTTACCCAAAAAGGGAAGCCCATCAGACTAACAGCTGATCTCTTGGCAGAAACTCTACAAGCCAGAAGAGAGTGGGGGCCAATATTCAACATTCCTAAAGAAAAGAATTTTCAACCCAGAATCTCATATCCAGCCAAACTAAGCTTCATAAGTGAAGGAGAAATAAAATACTTTACAGACAAGCAAATGCTGAGATATTTTGTCACCACCAGGCCTGCCCTAAAAGAGCTCCTGAAGGAAGCACTAAACATGGAAAGGAAAAACCGGTGCCAGCCACAGCAAAAACATGCCAAATTATAAAGACCATCAAGGCTAGGAAGAAACTGCATTAACTAACGAGCAAAATAACCAGCTAACATCATAATGACAGGTTCAAATTCACAAATAACAATATTGCCCTTAAATGTAAATGGGCTAAATGCTACAGCTAAAAGACACAGACTGGCAAATTGGATAAAGAGTCAAGACCCATCAGTGTGCTGTATTCAGGAAACCCATCTCACATGCAGAGACACAAATAGGCTCAAAATAAAGGGATGGAGGAAGATCTACCAAGCAAATGGAAAACAAAAAAAGGCAGGGGTTGCAATCCTAGTCTCTGATAAAACAGACTTTAAAACAACAAAGATCAAAAGAGACAAAGAAGGCCATTACATAATGGTAAAGGGATCAATTCAACAAGAAGAACTAACTATCCTAAATATATATACACCCAATACAGGACCACCCAGATTCATAAAGCATGTCCTTAGAGACTTATAAAGAGACTTAGACTCCCACACAATAATAATGGGAGACTTTAACACCCCACGGTCAACATTAGACAGATCAACGAGACAGAAAGTTAACAACAATATCCAGGACTTGAACTCAGCTCTGCACCAAGTGGACCTAATAGACATCTACAGAACTCTCCACCCCAAATCAACAGAATGTACATTCTTTTCAGCACCAAACCACACTTATTCCAAAATTGACCTCATAGCTGGAAGTAAAGCACTCCTCAGCAAATGCAAAAGAACAAAAATTATAACAAACTGTCTCTCAGACCACAATGCAATCAAACTAGAACTCAGGATTCAGAAACTCACTCAAAACCACTCAACTACGTGGAAACTGAACAACCTGCTCCTGAATGACTACTGGGTACATAACGAAATGAAGGCAGAAATAAAGATGTTCTTTGAAACCAATGAGAACAAAGATGCAACATACCAGAATCTCTGGGACACACTTAAAGCAATGTGTAGAGGGAAATTTATAGCACTAAATGCCCACAAGAGAAAGCAGGAAAGATCCAAAATTGACACCCTAACATCACAATTAAAAGAACTAGAGAAGCAAGAGCAAACACATTCAAAAGCTAGCAGAAGGCAAGAAATAACTAAGATCAGAGCAGAACTGAAGGAAATAGAGACACAAAAAACCCTTCAAAAAATCAATGGATCCAGGAGCTGGTTTTTTGAAAAGATCAACAAAATTGATAGACCACTAGCAAGACTAATAAAGAAGAAAAGAGAGAAGAATCAAATAGACGCAATAAAAAATGATAAAGGGGATATCACTGCTGATCCCACAGAATTACAAACTACCACCAGCGAATACTATAAACACCTCTACGCAAATAAACTAGAAAATCTAGAAGAAATGGATAAATTCCTCAACACATACACCCTCCCAAGACTAAACCAGGAAGAATTTGAATCTCTGAATAGACCAATAACAGGCTCTGAAATTGAGGCAATAATTAATAGCTTACCAACCAAAAAAAGTCCAGGACCAGATGGATTCACAGCCGAATTCTACCAGAGGTACAAGGAGGAGCTGGTACCATTCCTTCTGAAACTATTCCAATCAATAGAAAAAGAGGGAATCCTCCCTAACTCATTTTATGAGGCCAGCATCATCCTGATACCAAAGCGTGGCAGAGACATAACCAAAAAAGAGAATTTTAGACCAATATCCCTGATGAACATTGCTGCAAAAATCCTCAATAAAACACTGCCACACTGAATCCAGCAGCACATCAAGAAGCTTATCCACCATGATCAAGTGGGCTTCATCCCTGGGATGCAAGGCTGGTTCAACATATGAAAATCAATAAACATAATCCAGCATATAAACAGAACAAATGACAAAAACCATATGATTATCTCAATAGATGCAGAAAAGGCCTTTGACAAAATTCAACCTTCACTGAAAAAACTCTCAAGAAATTAGGTATTGATGGGACATATCTCAAAATAATAAGAGCTATCTATGACAAACCCACAGCCAATATCATACTGAATGGGCAAAAACTGGAAGCATTCCCTTTGAAAACTGGCACAAGACAGGGATGCCCTCTCTCACCACTACTATTCAACATAGTGTTGGAAGTTCTGGCCAGGGCAATCAGGCAGGAGAAGGAAAGAAAGGGTATTCAGTTAGGAAAAGAGGATATCAAATTGTCCCTGTTTGCAGATGACGTGATTGTATATCTAGAAAACCCCATCATCTCAGCCCAAAATCTCCTTAAGCTGATAGGCAACTTCAGCAAAGTCTCAGGATACAAAATCAATGTGCAGAAATCACAAGCATTCTTATACATCAATAACAGACAAACAGAGAGCCAAATCATGAGTGAACTCCCATTCACAATTGCTTCAAAGAGAATAAAATACCTAGGAATAGAACTTACAAGGGACATGAAGTACCTCTTCAAGGAGAACTACAAACCACTGCTCAATGAAATAAAAGAGAATACAAACAAATGGAAGAACATTCCATGCTTATGGGTGGGAAGAATCAATATCGTGAAAATGGCCATACTGTCCAAGGTAATTTACAGATTCAATGCCATCTCCATCAGGCTACCAATGACTTTCTTCACAGAATTGGAAAAAACTACTTTAAAGTTCATATGGAACCAAAAAAGAGCTCGCATTGCCAAGTCAATCCTAAGCCAAAAGAACAAAGCTGGAGGCATCATGCTACCTGATTTCAAACTATACTACAAGGCTACAGTAACCAAAACAGCATGGTACCGGTACCAAAACAGAGATATAGACCAATGGAACAAAACAGAGCCCTCAGAAATAATGTCCCATATCTATAACCATCTGATCTTTGACAAACCTGACAAAAACAAGAAATGGGGAAAGGATCCCCTATTTAATAAATGGTGCTGGGAAAACTGGCTAGCCATATGTGGAAAGCTGAAACTGGATCCCTTCCTTACACCTTATACAAAAATTAATTCAAAGTGGATTAAAGACTTAAATGTTAGACCTAAAACCATAAAAACCTTAGAAGAAAACCTAGGCAATACCATTCAGGACATAGGCATGGGCAAGGACTTCATGTCTAAAACACCAAAAGCAATGGCAACAAAAGCCAAAATTGACAAATGGGATCTAATTAAACTAAAGAGCTTCTGCACAGCAAAAGAAACTACCATCAGAGTGAACAGGCAACCTACAGAATGGGAGAAAATTTTTGCAATCTACTCATCTGACAAAGGGCTAATATCCAGAATCTACAATGAACTCAAACAAGTCTACAAGAAAAAAACAAACAACCCCATCAAAAAGTGGGCAAAGTTATGAACAGACACTTCTCAAAAGAAGACATTTATGCAGACAAAAGACACGTGAAAAAATGCTCATCATCACTGGCCATCAGACAAATGCAAATCAAAACCACAATGAGATACCATCTCACACCAGTTAGAATGGCAATCATTAAAAAGTCAGGAAACAACAGGTGCTGGAGAGGATGTGGAGAGATAAGAACACTTTTACACTGTTGGTGGGACTGTAAACTAGTTCAACCATTGTGGAAGTCAGTGTGGTGATTCCTCAGGGATCTAGAGCTAGAAATACCATTTGACCCAGCAATCCCATTACTGGGTATATACCCAAAGGGTTATAAATCATGCTGCTATAAAGACACATGCACACGTATGTTCATTGTGGCACTATTCACAATAGCAAAGACTTGGAACTAAGCCAAATGTCCGACAATGATAGACTGGATTAAGAAAATATGGCACATATACACCATGGAATATTATGCAGCCATAAAAAATGATGAGTTCATGTCCTTTGTAGGGCCATGGATGAAGCTGTAAACCATCATTCTCAGCAAACTATCGCAAGGACAAAAAACCAAACACCACATGTTCTCACTTATAGGTGAGAACTGAACAGTGAGAACACATGGACACAGGAAGGGGAACATCACACATGGGGGCCTGTTATGGGGTGGGGGTAGGGGGGAGGGATAGCATTGGGAGATATACCTAATGTTAAATGACGAGTTGATGGGTGCAGCACACCAACATGGCACACGTATACGTATGTAACTAATCTGCACGTTGTTCACATGTACCCTAAAACTTAAAGTATAATAAAAAAAATCTTGCTAATCATAGGTTATGGAAAGACTGTGTTTCTGTTTTAAGGCTCTGTTAGAAATTAGTGATGCACACACTATATTGTAAATTCTTATCTCTGTATACTGTACTTCTGCATACCGATGTTATGTTAAAGAATTACTTTATCCCCACGTGAACATCTCACCTCATAATCAAACGACCCTAATCCCTCACTAACCTACCCCCACCCTCACTAAACTTAATAATAAATGCTGGTATATCCAGTGCATTGGTGGCATCGCAGGACCAGAGGTGGTGACCCCCCTGGACCCAGCTTTCACTATTTTGTGTGTGTCTATTATTTCTCGACCTGCCAATCCACCTGCGAACAAAGAAAGAGCCCCGTTGCATTGTGGACTGCCGGCCAGATCCCACAACAGCTAACATGGTGAAATCCCGTCTCTACTAAAATTACAAAAAACATTAGCCCTGAGTGGTGGCACACCCCTGTAATCCCAGCTACTTGGGAGGCTAAGGTGGGAGAATCAATTAAACCCAGGAGGCAGAGGTTGCAGTGAGCTGAGATTGGGCCACTGCACTCCGGCTTGGGAAACACAGCAAGACCCTGTCTCAAAAAAAAAAAAAAAAAAAAAAAAATTGAAGGTGGAGTTACCATCATGAGACGAGATTCTAAGACTAGAACAACTTTATTATGCGCTGGACATGGTGGCTGACACCTGTAATCCCTGCACTTTAGGAGGCTGAGTCAGGAGGATCACTTGCAGTGAGAATCCCAAAACCAGCCCAGGCAACATAGTGAAACACCATCTCTAGCAGAGAGAAAAAAAAAAAGCTTTTAATTAGCTGCGTGTGGTGGTTTCTGCCTGTAGTCCCAGCCACTCAGGAGGCTGAAGCAAGAGGATTGCTTGAGCCCAGGAGTTCGAGGCTGAAGTGAGATATGATGGTACCACTGCATTCTAGTCTAAGCTATAGAGTGAGACCTTGTGTCTAAATTTAAAAAAAAATTATTACAGCCATGAACAGAGATTAAAACAAAAATAGTCGCTTTCAGTGACCCAAGTGGGAGGTATCTAGACTAAAACAATCTTCTAGTCTTCTGCCCAAGATGGCCTGCTGGCCTCCAGGCAAACAGTTTTGATTTAGTTTTGATTGAATTGTTTAATTACTGATGATACAATGCCCACATGCATGATATTGACTCTATAAATTATGAGGTTGGCCAAAGATATAGCCAAGGCATTTTTAAGGAAGCTGTAACTGATGATGCTTGATGGTGTGTTCTACATTTTCTCCCTATGTATATCAGATTAGTTGACCCCTATATAAGCTGACCTCTTTATCCTCTAGGTTATGACACACTAATCTTCCAGGATATAACAGAAAATAAAGTGTAAAAGCAAAATACTCTAGGCAATTATTTAACCCATTTCTTCTTTGCCCTGAGAATACTGGCAGGTGGCGCATGCAGGTACAGCATTTACCAAGACCATTCATGGATTCCTTCTTTTTCTTTACATTTTTTTTTTTTTTAGAGGAGTTTCACTATTGTCACCTATGCTGGAGTGCAATGGTGCCATCTCAGCTCACTGCAACCTCCGACTTCTGAGTTCAAGCAATTCTCCCATCTCAGACTCCTGAGAAGCTGGGATTACAGGTGCACACCACCACACCCAGCTAATTTTTGCATTTTTATTAGAGATGGGGTTTCACCACATTGGCCAGGTTGGTCTCAAACTCCTGAGCTCAGGTGATCCATCTGCCTCATCCTCCCAAAGTGCTGGGATTACAGGTGTGTGCCACCGCACCTGGGCGGATTTTTTTTTTTTTTCAGATCATTTGATATCTGTTTTCGACTTTCTGTTCAACCAAGCTGTCCCAACTGCATCAGTCCTATTTTGATGTAATTCTCTGAAAAGCATTTCAGGGTAACATTAAGACTGTAACCTCTGAGTTGACCTCAGAGTAAAAAATATAGCTGCAAGTGCTGCCAGAGAGTATTATCAGGGCAAATGGGAAATGTGTTAGTTAATTAAAGGTCTCTTTCACTGTTACTGGAGGCCACTAGAACTTAGATTTAAGTATAGTAGTATAATTCTAGTATGTGTAAATCAAGATTCTTTAATAAAGCATCACCAGCCTTAGCAGTTTTTGTCTAGGGTAGCTGAAAAGAACTAGTACATTCCTTTGCACAGTTTGGAGGGAGAGGCAGGTCTGCATTAATGGCTGGACAGCAGGTCTTTGCCTGGGTAACATGGATCCCCTTTGGGAACTGTCACCCCTATGTGTGTTATACCCATCCAGAGCACTGCCGACTCTCTACAATGCAAGTTTCCATTCACTGTTCACTCCTAGAGAGACGTATCCAAGCTACATGCTCAAAGAAATGATAAAGCTAGTTTTCTGGGATCACCACTGGTGCTTTTCCAGTAATTACTGGCAGGTAGGGGTTGCTCCTGCTCCCAAGATCCACTCTCCAGACACCCAGAGTCCATAAACCTTTCACCTAACGAGAACTTTCAATCTTCTGCCTTCTATATCTATTATGTCATTCTTATTGCTTCATTATTTTTTCCTTTAGTTTTCTATAGTTGTATATTTTCCTCACTTCAAGTAAAAAAAAAAAACATGGCTTTGAAGGGAAGCATCACATTCAGACCTTGTCTTTCTGGTCTTCAAATCAGCTCCTGCAATAAACACTGAGTTAGCTGTGTTCTGAATGGCCTCTTGACAGCGTCTTTACTCACTCATCAGTTAGAGTTGTGAAAGCTGCAGCTAGTGTCTCATCTTTGTATTTGTGGCTCCCTTTACAGCACCTGGAACATGGTAGGGTATCAAAACATGCTTACTAAATGTTGGGATCAATCAGATTTTATAATAGTAAACAATAATATTTGATTAAGTAATTATATAATCTTATCCATTGATGCTTTGTAAATAGCATGTTTGAATCAAAGGAATTTCTATTTCACAATGGATATGAGAAGGAAAAAAATAATCCACAAAAAGAACACAACAAAGAATGATCCATTTTACATTTGTTCTGATTAAGGTTATCTTTCATTCCATGATAAAATCCACAATGATAATATTGTTAAAAACTGAGCAAATTACTTTCAACCAGATACTGTCTAAACATTAACTTTTGTTATGAAAAGTATTCCTGGTATTTACTTTGTAAAATGAGAGCACATTTGGCTTCCATTTCAGAGGTGGTTAATAAAGGCTACAGGGTTAGATAACATGTTGAGGGTCACTCATCTAGAAAGGCATATAACCTGTCTGTAACTTAGCCACTGGGTCCTGAGCCTTTAGCTTTTTGCTATTGTACACAAAAATGCTGAAATCTTTTTTGTTTTTTTTGGTTTTTTTTTTGAGACAGGGTCTCACTCCATTGCTCAGGCTGGAGTACAGTGGCTCAATCTCAGCTAACTGCATCCTCAACTTTCTGGGCTCAGATAATTCTCCTGCCTCAGTCTTCCCACCTCAGTCTTTTGAGTAGCTGGGACTACAGGCACAGGCCACCACACCTGAATAATTTTTGCATTTTTTGTAGAGACAGGCTTTCGCCATGTTGTCCAGGCTGGTCTCCAACTCCTGGGCTCAAGTGATCTGCCTGTGTTGGCCTCACAAAGTGTTGAGATTACAGGTGTGAGCCACTGCACCTGACTGAAATCTTCTTAATATAACAATTCAGTAGAAGACAAAACTGGGAGAGTGAAAGACCACACCAACAATGGGCAACTATCCTTACCCTGCTCCTCAATAACATCCCAAATCATACCTTGCACATTCCCCCCAAGCTTTTCTCTGCTGGTAGACAAGGTTTCAGTCTCTGCTCTTAAGACAAGCAATGTGATTTTGGCAATAATGAACTTTCTATAAGAAAGCCAGGCACCATAAAAACAGCTTTTCCTCCACAGACATAGTTGTACTTTTTCCTTTATTTCTGAGACAGAGTTTCCCTCTTGTTGCCCAGGCCGGAATGCAATGGCGTGATCTCAGCTCACTGCAACCTGTGCCTCCCAGGTTCAAGCAATTCTCCTGCCTCAGGCTCCCAAGTAGCTGGGATTATAGGCATGTGCCACCACACCCGGCTAATTTTGTATTTTGAGTAGAGATGGGGTTTCACCTTGTTGGCCAGGCTGGTATCGAACTCCTGACCTCAGGTGATCCACTTGCTTCCACCTCCCAAAGTGCTGGGATTATAGGCCACTGTGCACAGCCACTTTTTCCTTTCATCTGCTAAACCCATCTGTCACTAATCTAGATAATTTCATCCCAGATGATAGGATTTTATGTTAATATCATTAATTCCATTTTCTGAGGAAATTTTCTCCTAAGACTAAAGTCACACGCAGTTTCTGTTATCTGGCTAGAACCACTCAAGGGAGCAGAAGACTATAAAAACACAAATACTGGTGATTTCTGAGTTCCAGATACTCTGTCACTAGTTGTGAGATGGATGCAATGAAGCAGCACTTTCCTTCTGGGGTGCAGCAGGCCTGGGATTCAACAGACCAGGCTCTAGGACTCCAGAGGCTACCAACCCTGAGCCCAGGCCATTGTGTGCCTTGTCTGCTCCCTTGTATGTTATTGCACACATACACCCAAATTCTGCAATACTTTAAATTTAGCAATTCAACAGTAGATGACAAAACTGGGAGAGTGAAAGACCACAGTAAGAACTGGGGGCCGGGCACGGTGCCTCACACCTGTAATCCCAGCACTTTGGGAGGCCGAGGCGGGCAGATCACGAGGTCAGGAGACTAAGACCATCTTGGCTAACACAGCGAAACCCTGTCTCTACTAAAAAAAAAAAAAATACAAAAAAAAATTAGCCAGGTGTGGTGGCACGTGCCTGTAGTCCCAGCTACTCCAGAGGCTGAGGCAGGAGAATCACTTGAACCCGGGAGGTGTAGGTTGCAGTGAGCGGAGATCGCACCATTGCACTTTAGCCTGGGAGACACAGCGAGATTCCGTCTCAAAAAAAAACAAAAGAAAATAAAAATTGGGCAAAAAAAAAACAAAAGAAAACAAAAATTGGGCAACGACCACCCTGGGCAACATGGAGAAACCCCATCTTTAGAAAAACTACAAACAGAAATTAGCCAGGCATGGGGGCACACGCTCGTTTTCCCAGCTACTTTGGAGCTACTCTGGAGGCTGAGAGGGGAGCCTGCAGCTCGAGGCTGTCAAGAGCATGCCACTGCATTCCCACCTGATCTACAGAGAAAAACCCGGTTAAAAAAAAAAAAAAGCCGAGGCATCACATTACCTAACTTCAACTTCAAACTATTCTGTAAGGATACAATTATCCTAAGCAAATTAATGCAGAAACAAATATTGCATGTTCGTCTCACTTATAAGTGGGAGCTAAACCTGGTGTACGGGGACATAAAGATGAGAATAGACAACTGGGGACTCCAAAAGGAGGGAAGGAGGGACATAGGGAGGTAAAGACTGAAAAACTTCGCACTGGGGACTATGTTCACTCTCTAGGTGATGGGGTCAATAGAAGCCTCAGCATCACGCAATACATTTTTGTTACAAACCTACACATGTCCCTCTGAATCTAAAATTAAAATGTAAAAAGGTCAACATATCACAGAATAATAATATAATGAAACACCACAAAAATGATCTTTTGATTTAAAAAATGGGCAACTACTCTGGCCTCCTCCTTAGTAACATCCCCATCTTTAGGCATCTGACAAGCATTGCTCTGGGGCAGAAACGAATCCAGTCTGCTCCAGTACTAGCAATGCATTTGGAGGCAATAATGAACGTTCTAACCAGGGTCCCCCAAAACAGCTTTCCTTGCACAAGAAGTCAGTACTTTTTCTTTTCAATTTCTAAAGCAAAGTGTTTAACTAGATAACTTCATCCCAGATGATAGGACTTTACGTGAATCTCATTAATTCCATGTCTTGATGTAATTTGCTCCTAAGATTAAGGTTCCCACCCACCTCCCTGTAATCTAATTTGGACCGCTCATGAGACCAGAAGAGTATAAAAACGCAAAAGATGTTGATTTCTGAATCCCAGATACCCGGTGTCAGCTGGTGAAAGAAGGACGCGATGAAGTTGCTGTCTCCCCTCGGAGTTTGGCAGGCCCGGGATTCCACAAAGGAGTAGGCGCGGCCAGCCGCCTCCAGCCCTGAGCTCAGTAAATTCGGTGTCCTGAATGCTCCCTTCCTGTCCTTACCACTGCGAGCTCTCTTGGGACAGCTTTCTAGGTTCCACTGCGACCTACTTTCCGCTCCCTGAGTGCTTCTTTGCTGAAACTGCAGGCGAAAAGATCTCTTTCCCAGACCGCAGCGCACTTTGAGAAGGGGCTCAAAGTCGCCCGCTCTGAATCCGGCACCGGCAAATAGGAGTAGCCGCAGGCGCCCTCTGGAGAGCTGGAGACTGCAGAGGGTCCCAACGGACGCCTGCCCCCGCAGCATCCCTCTCAACTCGCCCCTTGCTTCGTGGACAGACGACTGGGGCCGGAGACGTCCGTCCGAGGAGACCTTTCAGAGTGTCAGCCTACTACTGTCCCGCCGAAGCCACCAACCGAAGTTCCAAGACTGCTGGCTGCAGATTGCATGCGCTTGAGGGCAGACGCCCTAAGAAGGTGTCCACCGCCGCCTTTGATGTCCTGAGCCCTGAGATTTTCTCTGAGATCCTTCCATTGACGATCGTCTTGTAACAGATGATGTTACAGTAACACCTGAGTTCTCTCAAACGCGATGGAAGAAGTTTTGCCTTCAAATCAGTTTGTGCCATTTTCTTTCCCCTTCTCAATAAAATTGTACACAAATGTGGCCGGGCGCGGTGGCTTACGCCGGTAATCCCAGCAATTTGGGAGGCCCAGTCGGGTGGATCACTTGAGGTCAGAAGTTCGAGAACAGCCTGACCAACATGGTGAAACCCCGTCGCTACTAAAAATACAAAATAAGCCAGGCATGGTGACGCATGCCTGTAATCCCAACTACTCGGGAGGCTGAGGCAGGAGAATCGCTTGAACCCTGAGGCAGAGGTTGCAGTGAGCCGAGATGGTGTCATTGCACTCCAGCCTGGGCAACAAGAGCAAAACTCTGTCTCAAAAATATAAAATAAAATAAAATAGGACACAAATGTTAAATTTCTGTTACCTGGGTTCCTGCTGATGAAGGTAAGGACGGGGCATAGGAGCGGGGCGGCTGGTTGCTGGTGCCAGGACTGGCACGGGACTCTGGGTCGCCTAGGTTTGCTGATTGCAGGGCAGAAGTAGTGTGTCTTATCCAGAGACTGGAGGGAAGGATCAGCCAGGAGTTGTGCATGGCAGGTGACTCACAGGCTGGGCCTACAGGAAATGTGGTTAACAGGCAGCAGGCCTGAGAACTTAGTGCAGGAAATTCTCTTGTTCCAAGTCCCTGGAACTTTTCCCTCTGAGGGTTTGCACTGTTATATCTTGAGAGCTTGCTAAACTCACTCATGAGTGCTGGAACTTTTCTTTTAGACTCCTTAAGATTTTCTACATAGACTCATATTCTGCAGGTATGGATATTTTCATTGTTTCGCTTCCAATTTTTATGATTTTTAACACATTTTCTCACCTTATTGCACTGGCAAACAATTCCAGTACATTGTTGAATAGAAATGGTGAGAGTGGATATTTGTGCCTTGTTCCTGATTCCATGGGAAAAACGTTGAGTCTGTCATTATTACATACCACGTTTGCTATAGGTTTTTGTAGATTTTTTTTGGTTGAGGAAATTCCCTCTGTTCCCATGATGCTGAGAGTTGGTTTTTAAATTTTAAATCATAAATGGTATAGATTTTAAGTGCTTTTTGTGCATCATTTGATAGGATTATACGGTGTTTCTCATCTAGGCTATCAATAAGGCAAATTATATTATTTGACTTTCGAGCATTAAACTAGCCCTCCATCTGGAATAATCTTACTTGGGCGTGGTATTGTTCTTTATTTTTTTTGAGACGGAGTCTCGCTCTGTCGCCCAGGCTGGAGTGCAGTGGTGCGGTCTCGGCTCACTGCAAGCTCCGCCTTCCGGGTTGACGCCATTCTCCTGCCTCAGCCTCCCAAGTAGCTGGGACTACAGGCACCCACTACCACCCCCGGCTAATTTTTTGTATTTTTTTTTTTTAGTAGAGACAGGGTATCACTGTGTTAGCCAAAATGGTCTCGATCTCCTAACCTCGTGATCCGCCGGCCTCGGCCTCCCAAAGTGCTGGGATTACAGGCGTGAACCACTGCGCCTGGCCCAAGGCATGGTATTGTTCTTTAACATATATTTCTGACTGCCATTTGTTAGTATTTTGGTGAGGATTTCTGCATCTATGCTTAGGTGCAATATTGGTCAGTAGCTTTCTCTTAGCGTACTGTGTGTGCCAGGAAAGTGCTGATCTCATAAAATAAATTGGGAAGTATTCCATATTCTTTTATTTACTAGAATAAGTCATGTAGAATTCATCTTATTTATTCTTTAAATATTTGGTAAAAAATAGTCAATGAAATTGTAAGAAACTCTAGGTTTGTTTTTTGGAAGATTTTTTGACCATGAATTCAATATCATTAACGATGACTGTGGATCTTGCAGGGTTGATCCATTCTATCTAACTTGTTGAATTTATGAGTATAGAGTTGGTTTTAGATCATTTAAAAAAGTTACCATTGTGGGCCAGGTGGGGTGGCTCACTCCTGTAATCCCAGCACTTTGGGTGGCCAAGGTGAGTGAATCACTTGAGGCCCGGAGTTCAAGACCAGCCTGGCCAACATAGCAAAACCCCATCTCTACTAAAAATACAAAAAATTAGCCAGGCGTGGTGGTGCACGCCTGTAATCCCAGCTACACAGGAGGCTGAATCACAAGAATCACTTGAACCCAGGAGGTGGAGGTTGCAGTGAGCCAAGATCAGGCCACTGCATGCCAACCTGGGCGACAGAGCAAGAATTTTTTCAAAAAAAAAAAAAAAAAGTTATCATCGTGAATACATTGATCAATATAAAGACACTGCTAGCTAACATCAGTTTGCCTCACTAGATCTGTTTACCAGTCTTCAGCCAGCTCTATCTTGCAAGAAGTAACCGTTATGGACTGCACTGGAGAGCTACTTTTGCCTCTGGGCTTCTGTTTGAGTTTAGGCCCTGAAAGACACCAGCTGTTCAGAGATATGGAGTAGTAATTTATTACCTTGCTTTGTTCCCCCTGGAGCTCAGGGTATTGAATTATTTTAAGTAAAGTCAAAAATAGTCTGGCTATGGTGGCACATGCTTGCAATCACAGCACTTTGGGAGGCCAAGGCAGGAGGATCCCTGGAGGTCAGGAGTTCAAAACCAACTTGGGTAATAGAGTTAGATCCCGTCTCCACAAAGAATAAAAAAATTAGGCTGGGCACGGTGGCTCACACCTTTAATCCCAGCACTTTGGGAGGCCAAGGCGGTTGGATCACCTGAGGTCAGGAGTTCGAGACCAGCCTGGCCAACATGGTGAAACCCTGTCTCTACCAAAAAATACAAAAATTAGCAGGGTGTGGTGGTGGACACCTGCAATCCCAGCTACTCGAGAGACTGAGGCAGGAGAATCACTTGAACCTGGGAGGTGGAGGTTGCAGTGAGCCAAGACTGCACCATTGCCTGGGCAACAAGAGCAAAACTCCATCTCATAAAAAAATAAATAAACATAAATAAATAAGTAAATAAATAAATAAGCCAGGCATGGTGCTATGTACCTGTAGCCACAGCTACTTGGGAGGCTGAGGAAGGAGGACTGCATGAGCTGAGATGGCGGAGGCTGCAATAAGCTATAGTTGTACCACTGCACTCCAGCCTGGGTGACAGAGTGAGACCCGGTCTCAGAAAAATAAAAGGGAAAAAAAAGGCCAAAAATACTGTGGAGTGGCCCTTCCAGCACTTGCTTGCTTTCTCTAACACCACTCATTCTCTTGCCCCTACTTAGCTAGGAATGGTAATGCTTTCTTCTGGTGAAAGTCTGGAGTGCTCCCTACCTCTTGTTTGTTTCCTTTTACCTGTCCACAAATGCTCATTGTAAGTAGTCAGTTACTTTATTAAACACTTCTCAACTACCCCTTTTTGTGCATTCATTTTATGCACCAACATTGATAATACAGATTCCACTGGCAAGTATAAAATTATTCCAAAATATTTAGCAAAGCAAAATATTTCATCCTGGGGCAGTTCAGAGTTTGGACAAAGAAAGTTGATGTGCCAGAGCAAACAGATTGAGTGTCTGCTGAAGCAAAAGAAAAGGGCAGTGACTTGTCATGGAAGCTGAAGAAATACATTTGCTATACAAAATGCTGAAGAGAGGTTGACATTTGTGGGAATAGGAAAATGAAATTGTGGAATGAAAGATTCATTATACAGGATTCACTGGGATGTGAAAATTGGAGATAATAAATATACAGTCCTTATGTTACATTTTTAACCTTTTATTTAAAATGATTTAAAATTTACAAGAAAAAATGCAAGAAGGAACCACAGAAATCCAGCTTTTTTTTTTTTTTTTTTTTTTTTGAGACAGAGTCTCGCTGGAGTGCAATGGTGCAATCTCGGCTCACTGCAACCACCACCTCCCGGGTTCAAGTGATTCTCCTACCTCAGCTTCGTGAGTAGTTGTGACTGCAGGCTTGAGCCACCACGCCCAGCTAAGTTTTGTATTTTTAGTAGAGATGGGGTTTCACCATGCTGGCCAGGCTGGTCTCGAACTCCCAACCTCAGGTGATCCTCCCGCCTCTGCCTCCCAAAGTGCTGGGATTACAGGCGCAAGCCACCGCACCCGGCTGCAGCCTACCTTTTATCCATATTCCCTCCCCTCCTCTCTTTAAAGAATTTGGGGCCACCACGGTGGCTCCCACCTGTAATCCCAGCCCTTTGGGAGGCCGAGGCGAGTGGACCACCAGAGGTCAGGAGTTCGATACCAGCATAATCAACATAGTGAAACTCCATCTCTACCAAAAATACAAAAATTAGCCGGGTTTGGTGGCATGCACCTGTAATCCCAGCTACTTGGGAGGCTGAGGTAGAAGAATTGCTTGAACTCAGGAGGCAGAGGTTGCAGGGAGCCGAGATCACACCACTGCACCCGCCTGGGCGACAGAGCAAAAATTTTTTTTAATTGTAAAAACACTGTACAACTTATGGCCAGTAAACTTTAATATTTAGTGTGCATTTCCTAAGAACAGGGATATTGTCTTACATAAGCTTACACAGTAGCACAGTACAGTTATCAATTGCAGGAAATTTAACCTTACTATAATACACTTCAGCATCAGCCTGGGTATTTATGTCTCCGGAGCTCGTGGGCGGAGGCAAGCCAAATATGAAACTCAATAGTAATAAATGCACTAAAATTAGTACACAAATGAAAAACGATAAAATTTTAGAAAGTACATAGAACCAAAACAAACCGTAATTCCGACGGAAAAACAGCGAGAAAAGAAAACGAAATGAAACTGACACTAAGCAGACCGTATAGAGAAGTAGCCCTACAGAACGCAGGGATTAAAGAGAGCTTCAGAGGCCAAGAACCACCTGTGTCCGGGAAATGAGCATTGCTGCCACCAGGAAACTGTCCGCTAGGGCTCGGCACTACTAAGGACCTCGCTAACAATAATCTGGCTGCGCTGGGACTCAGCAAGAGCAGACACCCAGCGGATTGCCCTGGTGTTGCCAAACAAATGTCCATTTAGGTGCCATAAATGGTGCTGCTAGAAAGAAACTGCGGGCTCTTAGATAGGAGTCCTGTCTGGAGAAATGAACTGACTGTGTTTAAATGTGTTGTGACAGAAAAATGTGTTGTGGCATCTTATTGTGTTTTAAGTCGTTTAATGTGTTTTAACCCGTTGTAATGTGCTGTGAGAGAAAAAGCCGCAGCTAACGGTGCTATGGAATTACTAGAGAGCACAGAGGCTGGGTGCAGTCACCGGTCTGCACCGTAAAAAGGGGTTCAGGAAGTTCCTACGAGATATTAGCGTTTCTAGGACCCAGAAAGAGACAGCACAGAGAATTTACGGGCCCCGAAAACATGAAACGTCCTGTTGGGCGCTAAGAATTGTGCACCAATTGAGAAAACGCCCAGTGGGCGCTACTGGCAAAAGTGCTGACGCAAAACCGACAGCTCCGCATAAGAAGCGGAGTCGCCAGACAGAACCCGGGACCTGGCAGCAGCAAGTCTGAGACCGAGATCGGCTCCCCGCGTCCTGAGCATGCAAGTCAAGGAGCACGAAGCTGAGACATTTAAAATCAGTAGAAAAAAATACATAACATTTAAATAGAAATACAATTTAAAAATAATAGAAGCCTAAAATGCAAGTAGAAATGAAAGGCAAGCACATCGGTAATGTCGTTCTCAGAGCAAGACACAAAAAGACAATTAAAAAATAAGCAAAAATTGCTGACAACCATTCCTACAAAGAAGAAATTACAAATGTTTGTAATGCAATCCTACGATTAGGATATCCCTATCCGATCTAAACCAGTACATGTTACACCTAAGTCTAAATTTCCTACCAAATTAAATAAATAAATAAATAACAGTCATGGTTAAACCTGTTTAGCTTAGACTATAAAATGGTAGGAAAAAAAGTCGCTTTCGGCGGGACTTGCTATTGTCAACTGGGGCTTGGCAAAACTGAAAAATCCCGTTTGCCTGCATTTCCTGACTTCCAGGGGAGTTTAAAAAACACAGGCCTAGCTAAGGCGGGACCCGCTATTGTGAAACCAAACTTAGTATAAGAGCTCCCAGGCCCTGCTAAACTGGTCATCGCTAAGCAAAAAAAAAAAAAAAAACCGCATTCGCTGGTACCCAGATTTCTACAGGAGTTAAACGTCTCCTGAGCAGCTAAAGCAGAGCTTACTAGTAAGAAACTTGCAATGACTAAGGAACTTGAGGCAGGGCTAACCCGGGGTTGTTAGGATTAGAATTCCGAGGCTACAGGAAACCCGGAATTGCTGAGATGTGAGTCACAGGGTGACTCAGCCTCGTTACGATGAAACAGTAACTTCCTACTACCTAGAAATCGCAGCCAGGGCCAGACCGGTGTTTGTCCTAAGTCGGAACTTGATTGGGCTGAGAAATCACATTGTGACTATTCCACGACTTGAACAAGGGGTAGAAATCGCAGGCACCGCGAAATAGAAACTTCCTAGGACCAAGAAGCCAACGACGCCCGAAACCGTGGGGTCCTGTCACAGAAACCCCAGCAGCGCAGCCACCGGACTGGGTTCTGGAGGCCGAGCCGCAGTCCGTGCGGCGGCGCTGGGAAGAGAAGGCGCCCCGGCAGCTCCCCTGCCACCGGCCCCGAGGAGCGGCTGGCTCCCCCAGCCCAGCGCCGCCGCCGCCCGGTAACTCCAGGCGCAACTGGGCGCAACTGGGGCAGCTGCGACACCGAATCCCTCACATCTGCAACCTGGGTGCTGCGGCCACTGAGAAAATGGAGGCGCAGACCAACGAGCGGTGCCGCGACCGAGAGACCTCGGCTGGCGAAATGGTGGTGCCGGGAGCCTGCGAGTGACGCCAGCCGGCGGGGTTGTCAAGGACAACATTCGTTTTGACGCAGCCAATGGCGCCGTCACCAAGAAACCATCGACTCTGAGAAAAAAGAGAGGTTCGGCCACCGAGAAACTCCGTACGACAAGTGCTGTGGCAGAAAAACCGCCTACTCCGCGCCACAGGCAAAACAGCCAATGGAAACCCCAGGTGCTGCGACCGTGACACCGGCACTAGAGGGTCTCGGATGGAGAAAGCGGCGCACGGAGACCAGGAAACTATGTGTAGCACAACTAGCAGAAAACCGTCTGGTCGGCCATCCGGGAGAAAGCGCGGATCAGAAACAAGCGACTTCGATGCAGGGAACCGCGCAGCCACTGAAGAAAGTGACCCACGTGGCAGTGGTGCCAGCGAAACACTGCAGTTTGGACGGCAGCTGTGGGGATGCCACAGAGAAACATGCACTGCCACTGAAGTACATCCAGCTCCGCGGAGCTAGTGTTCATATGATCAAGAAACCGCCAGTTGGGCTCTGCTAGAAACTTTTAGTCCTCCCTTAACGGCTATCCTACCCACAACAGACAATGCCTTTACCCAGCACCTAGCGGTGCTGAGACCCGCCTGGGCCAGCACAGAGCGCAGAGCAGTACGGGTACGGAGAAACGCCGGACTCAGTGAAACCAGCCTTGCCTCCAGCGGATTCCCCGGCTTCGCCGGACGCCACAGGCAGAGTGCCGCGGGGAAACCTCTGGCTCCCTAAACCGATTAGATTGTGGGAGTGGGGGGGACACTCACAAGTTGTGTGGAAGGGAACCAGCGGCAATGGGACCCGGCGAGCACTTGCCCGCAGCAAATGCCTGCGCTGCTGCAAAAAAAACAACTTTTGGCGCAAAGAATGTTGCGGCCAGAGAGCATCCGCTGTCGCTGACAAAGGAGTAGCAATGGCAATGAGAAACCGCCGGCGCCACGGCCGACCGCGGCGGCTCACGCCTATGATCCTTGCAGTTTGGGAGGCCGAGGTGGGCGCATTACTTGAGATCAGGAGACTAGCCTGGCCAACAAGGTGAAACCCCATCTCTACTAAAATACAAAAGATTAGCCGGTTGTGGTGGCAGGCACCTGTAATCCCAGCTACTCCGGAGGCTGAGGCAGAAGAATCGATTGAACTCAGGAGGCAGAGGTTGCAGTGAGCCAAGATCGCGCCACTGCACTCCAGCCTGGGAGACAGAGTGAGCTCCGTCTCAAAAAAAAGAAAGAAACCGCTGGCGCCGGGAAAGGAGCCGTGCAGCGATGGACCCATGGTGCGCTCCGTGCTACCAAAGTGCTGTGGCCTCTACCCACTCTCGATTCCCAAGGCTGTTTTTCGGGCTTAGGGAAGTCTGTTATATTTTTATTTCTGCTTCTTTCTTTTCTTTCTTTTATTTCTTTCTTTCTTTTTCTTTCTTTCATTCTTTCTTTTTCTTTTTCTTTCTTCTTTCCTTTCTTTCTCTCTTTCCTTTTTTTCTTTTTCTCTTTATTTCTTTTTTCTTTATTTTTTTTTTTAACAGTATCTTGCTCTGTTGCCCAGGCTGGTGCAGTGGCGTGATCACTGCTCAGTGCAGCCTCGCCTTCTTGGGCTCCAGCTATCCTCCCGCCTCAGCCTGTGGAGCAGCTGGGACCACAGGTGCGCGACACCACACCCGACTAATTTTTTGTAGTTTTTGTAGGGTCTCGTTTTGTTGCCTAGGCTGTTCTCGAACTCCTGAGCTCAAGCAGTCCGTCCGCCTGGGCGGACTAATATCACAAAGCGCTAGAATCACAGGCATGAGCCACCGTGCTGGGAGGGAAGTCTGTATTGTTGCTGCGTTCAACCCAGTGCATAGTGCATGAGAAGAGGAGGCAGTTTAGGGGCCCAGAACCAAGCGGATGGGGCTGGTTGCAGGAACAAAGTAAAAACCATTCTGATTGCCAACAGCTGCCTACGCAGGAAACACCCTTCCAACCTCCGTGGCGGGGCTCTCCCAGGCCACCCCTCGGTCCCAGAGTCTCCTCCCCGTCCAGAGCTCTCAGGATCCTACAGAAGGGGCGGACAACTCTTCCCTTCCAAACTGGAAAGTCGGCCTAGGTTTCCGAGGATAATGAAAGGCACAGCGTTTTTTGACCTCGACTTCAGGCCTGACCCCCCACTCTCTCGGTCCCGTACCTCTTCTGCGGGATGTAACTCTGTGGGAACCGCTCCTTTATTCTGATGATTAACTGTCTGATATCCTTGATATTTGGGGATAGTAGATGAAAGAGAGCAGGAGAGAAAAATGGACGGCAAGACTCCAGCTCAGAAGGTGGGAATGATGGCAAAAGTCCGCTACCTCTCCAAGCCCAATAAACATCTCAAACTGCTCTACACTTTTCTGTACCCTTGATCTGTGAAATGGATCACTGACGTTTTCTGTCTTTCGGGAAATGCAAAGCAGGCGAATTTTCAAGCGCTTGAATTCCCTCTTTTTCCTACTTTTCAGTCAGAGTGGAGCTAAAAACTCCTTCCCCATAGGAAATATGGAACTGCCTCTGCCCGGAAGAAAAACGTCCCTTTTCCCTAAGCTTTCACATTTCCCGAAAAATCTACACATCCGCATGAAATCCTCACAAGAGACCTACAGACCCTACCGGGAGCGTTCCTGTCACTACAAAAAATTTAAAAATTAGCCGGATGCGGTCGCGGGTGCCTGTAGTCCCAGGTACCAGGGAGGCTGAGGTGGGAGGATCTCTTGAGCCCAGGAGGTCCAGGATGCAGTTAACGATGATCCTAAGACCACGAGGCAATTGGAGGATCCTCAAATACCAGGGAGAAACTAGCTAGCAGACATAGTATGGTGGGAGGGGAAGATCAAGGCAAATGCCTTGGGAGTGGGTGAGAATTGCGACTTCATATTGGATCTCCTGACCTGTGAAGGCCCTTTTCTAGGCTCCTCTGGACCTGTCCTCTGCCCAGGTTCAACCAGAAAAGGATGGAGTTTGTTGCATGGTATCATCAGGGTGAGGTTGGGAGATGATGCGGGAACGCTCATCCCTGGTCTTAGGAACGGGAGAACAAAGGAAAAATGGCATCATTTCCACCTAAAAAGTTACAAGCACTTCACCAGAAGGAACAGCCCAGGCGGAGCCTTTGTAAAAGAAAAGCCCCACCCACTGCTTCGCACTCCTCATTTCCACCCAGCAGAGCATTTTAGTGACAAAGCTGAGCGGGAGCCAGAGTTCACTCCTGTAATCCCAGCACTTTGGGAGGCCCAGGCGGGAGGATCACTTTAACCCACGCGTTCAGGACCATCCGAAGCACATAGCAAGACCGTGCCACTACAAAAAATTTAAAAAATTAGCGGGATGCAGTCGCGGGTGCCTGTAGTCCCAGCTACCAAGGAGGCTGACGTGGGAGGATCTCTTGAGCCCAGGAGGTCCAGGCTGCAGTGAACGATGATCCTTCACGGCACCACTGCACTCCAGCCTGGGTGACAGACTGAGACTTTGTCTCAAAAAATAAAATGAAATAAAAATACAGCCGAGATTAGGAACTCTTTAAGAAGGGGTCACCTGAGACATTATTAGTATACCATTAACAGGAGAAAATGCTGCAAATTAAAGTATCATAATGGTAGGAGGCTACCCATTTAAAAATATATACCTGTTTCAGAGACACTAAAGTGAGAAAAAATTTACTCTAGAATTGATTAAATTCAGATATCCACTGCTTTATTTTAAACCTTAAGTGCCATTTTAGTTTATTTACCTCTTAGAAATAGCATGGAGATTGGAGTTGTAATTTTTTAATATTTATTTATTTATTTATTTAGAGACAGAGTCTGGCTCTGTTGCCCAGGCTGGAGTGCAGTGGTGTGATCTCAGCTCACTGCAGCCTCTGCCTCCCGGGTTCAAGCTATTCTGAGGCCTCATATCTGGGAACCTGCCCCAATAGTCACATAGGTTCTTTTCTATTTTCCCTAAGCATCGGCCGGTTTGAGAAATAAAGGGACAGAGTACAAAAGAGAGAAATTCTAAAGCTGGGTGTCTAGGGGAGACCTCACATGTCAGTAGGTTCTGTGATGCCCCACAAGCTGTAAAACCAGCAAGTTTTTATTAGGGACTTTCGAAAGGGGAGGGAGTGTACGAATAGGGTGTGGGTCACAAAGATCACATACTTCACAAGGTAATAGAATATCACAAGGCAAATGGAGGCAGGGCGAGATCACAGGACCACAGGACCGGGGTGAAATTCAAATTGCTAATGAAGTTTTGGGCACCATTGTCATTGATAACATCTTATCAGGAGACAGGGTTTTGAGAGCAACTGGTCTGACCAAAATTTATTAGGCGGGAATTTCCCCTTCCTGATAAGCCTGGGAGCACTATGGGAGACTGGGGTTTATTTCATCCCTACAGTCTCGACCATAGAAGACGGCCACACCCAAGGGGGGCATCTATAGACCCACCCTCAGGTGCGTATTCTCTTTCCCAGGGATGTTCCTTGCTGAGAAAAAGAATTCAGCAATATTTCTTCCATTTGCTTTTGAAAGAAGAGAAATATGGCTCTGTTCCGCCTGGCTTTTTCCCAGCGGTCAGAGTTTAAGGTTATCTCTCTTGTTTCCTAAACATTGCTGTTATACTGTTCTTTTTTCAAGGTGCCCAGATTTCATACTGTTTAAACACACATGCTCTACAATTTGTGGAGTTAATGCAATTATCACAGGGTCCTGAGGCGACATACATTCTCCTCGGCTTACGAGATGACAGGATTAAGAGATTAAAGTAAAGACAGGCATAGGAAATCACAAGGGCATTGATTGGAGAAGAGATAAGTGTCCTTGAAATCTTCACAATTTATGTTTAGAGATTGCAGTAAAGATAGGCATAAGAAATTATAAAAGTATTAATTTGGGGAACTAATAAACGTCCATGAAATCTTCACAATCCACGTTCTTCTGCCATGGCTTCGGCCGGTCCCTCCTTTTGGGGTCCCTGACTTCCCGCTACAGCCTCAGCCTCCCAAGTAGCGGGGATTACAGGCACCAGCCACAATGCTCAGCAATTTTTTTGTATTTTTAGTAGAGAGGGGGTCTCGCCATTTTGTCCAGTCTGGTCTTGAACTCCTGACTTCTATATGATTGTATTTGTTTTTTCACAATGTAGTTCAATACATTGAAATGGTTGGGCAAGTGGCAAAATCATATTCCTCACTCCTCTGGTTTTTTATAAGGTTCAATTTATCATAAATACTTTCCACTTCTTGCCTCATCTTTTACTTCTCCTCACATATTGAGTGGTTCATGGCACAAAAATCATTATTTGTGACAGACACTGTGCCAACTGTATTTTGTGCTTTATCTGATTTCATTCTCAACTGAAAACTGCGGCAAGCACATGCTTTGTACTGGGCTTGCTTCTCATTTCCATTTTGTAGATACACACCCTCACTTAGGGAAGTATGAGTTTGTACAGCTCTGCCTGTGGCTGAATAGATAAATGTAATTTTACCATTCAGTGTTAAATCAACTTTTAGTGTAAATTTAAGGCCCATCTTCTAACATAGGGGTACGTGTGATTTTACTGTGTCCCTTCTCCCTAACACTCCAGTTCAAGATAGCAACCTAAATTCTGAGTTGATTATTCTGGACACACTCCCTCAAAATGCGACTGTAAGACACCAGAATACACCACCCCAGTATGCCAATATATCAATATACCTCTGGCGTATTGATTATTTCAGGCCAGGCATGGTGGCTCACACCTGTAATCCTAGTGCTTTGAGAGGCCAGGAGTTCATGAGCAGCCTGGGCATGTAGGGAGACCCATCTCTATAAAAATATTTTTAAAAGATTAGCTGGGCATGGTGGCATGTGCCTGTAGTCTTAGCTGCTGGGGAGGCTAAGGCAGGAGGATGGCTTGAGCCCAGGAGTTTGAAGTTGCAGTGAACTCTGATTGCACCACTGCATTCTAGCCTGGGTGACAGAGTAAGACGCTATCTCTTAAAAAACAAAACAAAACACTCACGCCTGTAATCCCAGCACATTGAGAGGCCAAGGTGGGCAGATCACTTGAGGTCAGGAGTTTGAGACCAGCCTGGCCAACATGGTGAAACCCCGTTTCTACTAAAAATACCAAAATGAGCCAGGCGTGGTGGCACGCAGCTGTAATCTCAGCTACTTGAGAGGCTGAGGTGGGAGAATTGTTTAAACCCAGGAGGCAGAGGTTGCAGTGAGCCAAGATCGCACCAAACCACTCCAGGCTGGGCAACAGAGCAAGACTCCATCTCAAACAAAACAAAACGAGATGAGAGAAAAACCTCAACCTGTACACCTCTTTATGACAGAACAACACAGAAAGAGAAAGACAAAGAAAAGACTACTCTAGGAGGAAATGGATGAAACAATATGATTCTTACCACAAAGTACCAGAAAGTACACCATAGTCAATACACCAGCACTGGTCACACAAATCCTTTTCTCCCATCAGTCAAAATTTTGGACAGGAAAAATGAACAGAGTGATATTTACTGTCTACTTGACCAAATTCCACAGAGAGGGGCCTGGAATCTGACTGGTAAGAAATTCTTATCCTTAGGCTGGCTGATTAGCTCCTGGTTTTCCTTAACTGTGGGCTTCCAAAAGAGCCAACCTTTGGGTTCCTGCTTACAACACCAAATTTCTAGGGGCCAAGGGAAATCTTTCTCTTAGCACTCTGAAAGTTTGTTGTAAAATCGACTTGCAAAAACAGAAGATTAACAGGAGAAAACACATACAAAATGTATAATTGCCCAAACCCCCAGTGAGGTGCAGGAGCTTATATATCATCTTGAGATTACAGAAAGAAGTGGATCATGGCAGAACTGGTTATAGGAGGGAGAGAAGATGAGGTCTGCTAGCAATGGTAGTCTTGTTATGTACATGAAACCTCACAGATAGCATCCCTCAGAGAACTGTTTCCTTAAGACCTTTAAAGGTGTCAGACTCTCATTAATCCTTCCTACATCTGGAAAAGAGAAGGCCTGTATATATCAATGCACGATGGCATTGCAGGGCTACTTCTTTTGCTGCCTCTGACAGCCATCTCAAAATATGTCAAAGAAATATATTTTGGGGTAAAACATTTTTCTTTCTTTCAAAGTGGAATATTAAGCGTACGTCTCTTATAGATACACTTTTAAATAAATAAGGGAATCCACTTTTTCTAATTTGTTAAGATATTTTTTGTTTTAATAATGAAGAGAGGTTAACTTTTAAAAAGGTTTTCTACATCTACTGATATTATCATGTGGTTTTATTTCTTTTTACTGTTAATGCGGTGAATAATATTGATTGATTTTCAAATGCGAGTTCCTGGAGTAAATCCCACTAGGTCATGATGTATTTTTAAAATATATATATTGCTGGATTCAGTATGCTAATGCATTATTCATAATTTTTAACATCTGTGATCATGAGAGACATTGGCTGACCAAAAATGGGAAATTGACAAGAGTAATAAACAAAATGGGCTTACAAATATTCATACTTGCTTGATACTTAAAAAGGCCTTTTAATGTATTTTTCTGCCCCACTCAAGCAGACTTTTTAATTTCTGGCAAGAGGTCTCATTCAGGCTGTTCAAAGGTCAATATTAATCTGAATCATTCCACATTTGTAGGCATCCTCATTATCTTTTCAATACAGATTGAATTATTGGGGATTCAGACAGCAGAGGAAAAAAGTCAAAGCATATAAGGTAAGCAGAGCAGCATATTTTATTGGTCTGGCTTCCCTAGGAAGCATTAGCTAAAGTGAAAACTTATGTGAGACTTTTTAATTCAAAAGTAGTTTTTTTTTTTAAGAAAGTGGAATTTAAGAGAGGGAAGTGGAACAGGAAGGGGTAAGGGGCAATTCAATGCTGTGCTACCTCATTGGCCCATGTGGGGTATCATGCAGGGCCACAGGCAAATTAACCATGCAGGTAAGGAAGCTTAGCTTTTAGGAGTCCTTCGAACAGGTCTGTAATTTTGTACTGTAAATTTTTATTCTTTTTTTTTTTTTTGAGTTGGAGTCTCACTCTGTCGCCCAGGCTGGAGTGCAGTGGCATGATCTCGGCTCACTGCAACCTCCACCTCCCAGATTCAAGTGATTCTTGTGCCTCAGCCTCCCAGTAGCTGGGATTACAGATGCCTACCACCATGCCCGGCTAATTTTTGTATTTTTAGTAGAGACAGAGTTTTGCCACATTGGTCAGGCTGGTTTTGAACTCCTGACCTCAGGAGATCCACCTGCCTTGGCCTCCCAAAGTGCTGGGATTACTGGCGTGAGCCACGGCACCCGACCATCTTTTTTAAAAAGAGAATCCTCTACTACTTGTGTGAACATTAGGTTCTACGAACTGAACCCACCCTGAACATAACTGTTTGCTTGATCACATGGAACCATCTTCTGGGAAGCCCTGACTATGACTGCTTCTAAGAATAATCCATTTAGAAGGAAAGAAAGGAGAAGAATATATCCACTGTGGGAGAAATAAAACAATCCTGACCACGAAAAGGCCCCTGACTACCCAGTGGAGAGAGAGAACACTAATTGAGTTAGCCTTAACAGATTTACATGCATGTAAGGTAGCATGACAACAACTATAAAGCTGGGCCATATCTCATGTGTTTTGAGCAGAGCCTCAGGAATTATGAGAACTTCTTTTACTGCTTCAAAAGAAAAGAAGGCACACTTTGTGACAGTTTCCTGTATACTGAGAGACCCTCAGCTCATCCTGTGGGTGCTTTTTAAAAACATCTGGATGTTATTTTCCTATGGTCTTGGGTAAATTCTGGAGACTGGGCTTAATCCCTAGAGATATTATATTTCTACTGGTAGAACAAGGATTTAGAGTTACCATGTTGAATGTAATATCACTGTTTTATTTTCTTCATGGTTTTTAGGAACAGAAACACACTCAGACATGAAAAATTGTCCTGGTTTAAAAGGGTTCCTTTCCTTACAGGTGAGTAAGAATTGTCACTTCCTGACAGGACCAGGAACATCAGGATATTTGGAGAATCTTAACAAAAGGAGAATTCATCCAAATCTCTAGGTATTGCAGGCAAAGTATGATAGCAAGATCCTGGTTTGGTTTCCTAGCATCTGGACGCTTTTAAAAGTCTAATTTGAGATTCCTTATGAAAATGTCCAGGTAAGTCAACTTAAAGAGAGCCTACACTGCAGCATAAGTTCCTAGTTATCATTGCTAAAGTAAAGTTATCATTGCTGAGAGTACCATATCATCCTCTGGAGAAACTGAACCTCTATAGAGTTAGTTCTACTTATAGTGCAAAACAGTGCTTCAAGTTAGAGTCAGCATATTTACTGATTCTATGCAGTAACCAGTGTTATCTATGTTTCTCCAGACTTGTCAAATTATACCTTTTTCTTTAATCAGGGTGGGCTCATAGTTGTCACAATTTGTGTACTAGGGGTGAGAGAAACTGTGGTTCTTCTCTCTAAAGAGCTCGAATTTTGTCTGACCTCGTTTTCTTTTTTTTTCTTTTTTTTTTTTTTTCAGTGTTTCTTTGTTGCCCAGGCTGGAGTGCAATGGCATGACCTCAGCTCACTGCAACCTCCACCTCCCCAGTTCAAGAGATTCTCCTGCCTCAGCCTCCTGAGTAGCTGGGATTACAGGCATGTACCACCGTGCCTGGCTAATTTTGTATTTTTTAGTAGACACACGGTTTCTCCATGTTGGTCAGGCTGGTCTCGAACTCCTGACCTCAGGTGATCCACCCGCCTCAGCCCCCCAAAGTGCTGGGATTACAGGTGTTAGCCGTGGCGCCCAGCCCTGTCTGACCTACTTTTCAAAACCAAAAAGATGAGCAATAAGAGGGCAGTTAATTAGCAAGACCTCCTTCCCTAAGATCTTATTCTAAGGTTGGGAGATAGGACAACAGACAGGAAGAAAGACGTCAGAAATATACATTTAAGAGAAAAATGTTCTTTTGGCAGGCCTAAGACATTTTCTATTAGAGTGTGTTAAGGGTCTCTACTAGCATCTTCAGATTGTTCTGTCATCACCACCAGTGTTTTCTGAAACCCTCCTCCTTTTCCCACCCCCTCCCTCCCACTCCAGAAAAACCACACACAAGGTTAAGCCTCCTATCCAGTGTCTCCTGGAAGTCTAAGGAAGTCACAGGTGCCTCTGTGGTCTGGGGATCCCAGTCTTGGAATGGGAGTGAGTTCTGGGACAAAGGTGAAATCAGACATGGTAAATCAGATACCTAGCCTGTTGTAGGCTGGTGGTTTAAATGTTAGGATTCTGGCGTGATCCTGCTGTGGTTCAAATTTCTCACCTCTTTGACTTTCAGAAGTTAGTTTAATCCTTGTGTTTCATTCCCATTGTTAGTAAAACCAGATATAATTGCGGTACTCATTATATCAGTGAGGTTAATGGGTATCCTTCCTTAAGCATAGTCTAGCACCATTTAAAATAATAAATATTAACTAGGATTTTATTCTAATTACTCCTTTCCAGCAATTCTGGGGGCTAAGTTTTCCCCAGTGTTAGTTCTGTAGTGCGTGAAAGCTCAGACTTTCTTCTCTGGAAGCTACTTTCTAAACTCCTTTCACCCCACCTCTTTATTAACTAAGATATCCACCTCACCCTTTCCATCTTTTCCTGTCACCAACATTCTCTGTGCCTCCCTCACTGTTCTGAGGCTGTATCATATCCAGAAAATAATCATCAGTCATTTCATAGTAAATTGTAAGAGCATTGCTAGTGTTCACATGTTTAATCACGGGATGATACTTCTGCCATTTCATCCTCAATTCTGATACCTCCAGTTCGTGTTTGCTTATGAAACAGGGACCACTTGAGGGACTGATGAGTTTGTTGCATGTTGTAGGCACTGATGTGCTTTTATTTAACTACACTGGTTTTCTGGTTTTATCATTTTTCTCATAGTTGTCACCAACTTGTGGTCTCATAATTGTTACCAACTTGTGAAGTAGGGGTGAGAGAAACTGTGGTACTTCTCTCTAAATAGCTTGAATTTCGTCTGACCTAGTTTTCAAAAGCAAAAAAAAATGAACAGTAACAGTGCAGTTAATTAGTAAGACCTCCTTACCTAAGATCTCATTCTAAGGTCTGAGAGATAGGACAACAGACAGGAAGAGGGTTGTCAGAAAAATACATTTAAGACAGAAATGTTCGGCCAGGCACCGTGGCTCATGCCTGTAATCCCAGCACTTTGGAAGGCCAAGGCGGGTGGATCACGAGGTCAAGAGATCAAGACCATATACAAATACAAAATTAGCTTGGCGTGGTGGTGCACACCTGTAATCCCAGCTACTCTGGAGGCTAAGGCAGGAGAATCACTTGAACCAGGGAGGCGGAGGTTGCAGTGAGCCAAGATGGTGCCACTGCACTCCAGCCTGGTGACAGAGCAAGACTCCGTCTTGAGAGAGAGAGAGAGAGAGAGAGAAATGTTTTTTGGCAGGCGTTAAGACCCTAATGGAACACATGTTTAAAAAAAATGGTGGGGGGGGGAAGAGAAAAATCATTAAAGATGAAAAATTGCCAGAAATTCCCCTGTGTACTTTTCCCCTTGCCTCTTACTTTCTGGTTTCTGAAACAATAACTGATCAATGGGGTGTGGTGAGGGAGTAGAGAAAGAATGAATAGCCCTGAATGCACTGATAATAGACTGCTTGCCAATAACCACTGATAGAGTTTGAATACAATTCTACAATGGGAAAAAATGTTTTTAAACATATGTCTGATGAAGGATTGCTATCCAGAATAAATTAACACTTTCTAAAACTCATCATTAAAAAACAAACAACCCATTTCAAAAATGGGCAGAGGACTTAAATAGACATTTCTCCAAAGAAGACATACAAATGGCCAATAAGCACATGAAAAAAATATGTCCAGCATCACTAATTCTTAGGGAAATGCAAATCAAAACTACAGTGAGATACAGGTACCACTGCACATCCACTAGGATGGCTACTATCAAAAAAAAAAAAGATAATAAGAGTTGGCAAGGATATAAGGAGTTTGGAACCCCTATGTATGCACTGTTGTAAGCATGTAAATTGGTACAGCCAATGTAGAAAACAGAAAGTTCCTCAACAAATTAAAAATAGAATTACCATATGACCCAGCAATTTCACTTCTGGACATATACTCAAAATAATTAAAAGCAGAGTCTCAGGAAGATATTTGTACACCCAAGTTCATAGCAGCATTACGCATAATAGCAAAGATGAGGAAGCAACTCAAGTGTCCATTCACACATGAAAGGATAAGCAAGACATGGTACATATAGACAGTCAGCCTTTAAAAAGAAGGAAATGCTAATATGCTACATCACAGATGAACCTAAGGGACATTATACTAAATGAAATAAGCCAGGCACAAGAAGACAAATACTGTATGATTCCACTTACATGGGGTACTTAGGGTAGTCAACATCATAGACACAATGCAGAAAGGTGGTTGCCTGGCATGGGGGAGAGGAAAGTAGGGAGTTATTCTTTAAAGGATACAGAGTTTCACTTTTAGAAGACACAAAGAGTTGTGGAGATGGATGATGACAATGGTTGCAAAGCATTATGAACTGTACACTTAATGGTTAAGATGGTAAATTTTGTGTGTATTTTACAGAGAGAGAGAGAGAGAACTGGGCACCCGCTCTTGCATTCTCTTCACTAAAATCCCAAATGTTCATTTACAGATAGTCACCCATAAGCGTTTTTCTCCCAGCAGAACAGAATTCCAGTCTCTGCTCAGGAGTAGCAATCTGACTTGGGGAAATGATAAACTTTCTATAAACCAGGGTCCCCCAGAACAGCTTTCTCTTCATAGGCCCAGTACTAATTTTTCTTTTCATCCCCTGAGACAAACTATTTGTCTCTGGATAGCTTTCACATGAGATGATAGAACTTGATGTTAATGTCATTAATTCTGTTTTCATATGCAATCTGCTTCTAGGATTAATGTCACCAGCCAGGTTCCTAACCTATGTGGAACACCCAGGGCCAGAAGAGTCTAAAATTGCAAAAGCTCGTGGCTCCTGAGTCCAAGAGTTCCTGGTTTTCCTGGACACAAGCGATAGCGCAGCACTTTCTTCCCCATGTGCCAGAGGCCTAGGGTTCTGCAGAAGAGGCCCCAAGGCCCCAGACGCTGCAAGCCCTAAGCTCAGTATATTCTAGGCCCTGTCCTCTCACTTTCTATTTCTTGTGTGGCCCCCAAACTTGTGCCAGCTATCCTGGAACAGCCAAGAATTCAACTGTGACCTGCTTCCTCCCTCAACCTCTTCTCCCCAACCTCCCCACCACACTTCTTCTTTGGGAAGATTTGTAAAAATTAAGGTTATTATATCCATGTAACTTTCTGTATTTCTTTTAAACTCCTTGTGCTACTAAGTCACACAGGTTTGACTCCTGGATCTAAAAAAGTCACCAACTCTGGCTAAATCTTAAACATTGACAGCAATTGAAGCCTCATCTTCAGACCTAGGAGAAGATGAAAATCAGAATAAGCTGCAGTCATAAGACATGGGTCCAGAAATTAAAACTATTCAACCCCTCTAGTCCCAGGGACTATTGCAGAAGAAGTGGGTGTGTGAGCTTGTAAGGATCCATTTTAAGAGATAAAATTAATTCAGAGTTTCTCTATAAATTAAACAGTTGCATTTGTTGTTGTTTTGAGACAGTCCAGCTATGTCATCTGGGCTGGAGTGCAGTGGCATTATCCTGGCTCACTGCAACCTCTGCCTGGCAAGATTCCTGGCACCTCAGCCTCCCAAGTAGCAGGGACTACAGGGGTGCACCACCATGCCTGGCTAATTTTTGTATTTTTATAGAGACAAGGTTTCACCATGTTGCCCAAGCTGGTCTCAAACTCCTGAACTCAAGATATCCGCCTGCCTAGGCCTTCCAAAGTGCTGATTTTACAGCTATGAGCCACCGTGGCCAGCCTATAAATTAAACATTAATGTCAAAGGAACACTGATGCAAGACAAGCATGTGGGTCCCTGTGTCAGATTAACAATGTTTTCTTGGAGCATTAACACATTCCTTACTTAAAAATTATGAAAGGTTATGAGAAGGTTTACAAAAATTATATCTTACACTCAAGATTATTAAAATTTAATAGATTTGTCTGTAAATTTAATTGACTTCATCCTGTCTTTATTAGGTTTTATTGTTTGGGAAAGTAAGTCTCAAAGAGTAAAAGTTTTTGCCTTTTTGTTTTTAAAATATTTGAGTTACCACTTTGACTAAATGAATGACTTATTTTACAATGACCTGTGATGCTATTTTGTGATATTGTGTTTTCAACCTTTGATGTTTGACAAACTTTCCAAAATCTAAATCTAAATTCAGGGCTTTGGTCTCACTAATTTTTTTGACATTACATCCCCTGAAATCCAAAGAGACATATTTGGCTTACTTGGTATAATAAAATCTTCGTTATCAAATATGAAATGATGTGTAAACTTTTTTGGCTTGTATTTATATAAATGTGTTATTAGTATGTGTTCCAAAATTGTATGAGATTCTTGTGATTCTGATATGTCTTAGAATATGTTATCAGAACTAATTATGATTATTATATTAAATTGTTATGTGCCGTAGATACAACCAAATTTCCTTGTCAATTGTGTCTTTAACCATGGCTGTTCTAATTCTTTTGTCATCCACAATCATTGTTTTACTTTGATCCTTTCTTAAGGTGGTTTATAATCAGTTATAGAGCTCTGAGGACTACTCTTTCTTTTTCTTTCACTTTTATTTTTAATGAGATGGGTTCTCGGTCTGTCACCCGGTCTGCAGTGGGGTGGCATCACTGTTCACTTCAGCCTCAGTCTCCTAGGCTCAAACAATCCTCCCACCTCAGCCTCCCAAGTAGCTGAGACTACAGGTGCACACCACACACCCAGCTAATTTTTAAAATTTTTGCAGAGATGGAATCTCCCTATGTTACCCAGGCTGGTTTCAAACTCCTGAGTTCAAGCAATCCTGCCACCTCAGCCTCTCAAAGTGCTGGGATTACAGGCATGAGCCACCACACCCGGCCTTTTAATACATTGTCTCTTCATTAACAGATAGTAAGTGTCTATATTGTGCTACAAAGTGATCAAAGTTCCAGACATAAGTGATCAACAAGCAGAAATGGACTTGGCCATAAAGTGTTTGACACAATCAGGGGCTGAAAAAAAATAAAGCAGGAAGCATGACAACAAATAAATAAGACAGTGTTTATGTGATAAATGCTATCAAGAAACCTAACGCAAGTTAGATGGAAAGGTAACTAGGAGGATGCTATATTAGCTAGTGTAGTAAAAACAGAATTATCAGAGATACTTCCACTTTGATAGGAATAATGCAACGAACAAAGCAAAGAAAAAAAAAATCCGGGCCAGGTGCAGTGCTCACCTATAATCCTAGCACTTTGGGAGGCCAAGGTGGGCAGATCATTGAGGCCAGGAGTTTGACACCAGCCTGGCAAACATGATGAAAATTCATCTCTACTAAAAATACAAATAAATCAGCTGGGCATGGTGGCCCGCACCTATAATCCCAGCTACTCAATGGCTGAGGTGGGAGAATCATTTGAATATGGGAAGTGGAGGTTGCAGAGAGTCAAGATCACACCACTGCACTCCAGCCTGGGCAAGAGAGCAAGACCCTGTCTCAAAAAAAAAAAAAAAAAAAAAAAAATCTGAAGGTGGAGTTACCATCATGAGAGAATATAAATTACAAAGATTCTAAGACTAGAACAACTTTAGTATGGGCTGGGCATAGTGGCTCACACCAGTTATCCCAGCACTTTGGGAAGCTAAGGCAGGAGGATCACTTGAGGCTAGAATCCCAAAACCAGCCCAAGAAACATGGTGAAACCCCATCTCTACACACGCAAAAAAAGTTTTTAATTACCTGGATGTGGTGGTGTCCACCTGTAATGCCAGCCACTCAGGACGCTGAGGCAAAAGGATTGCTTGAGCCCAGGAGTTGGAGGCTGAAGTGAGCTATTATGGTACCACTGCATTGTAGCCTGAGCTACAGAGTGAGAGGCCCAGTCTCTAAAATTAAAAAAAAAAAAAAAAAAAAAAAAAAGTTGGCCAGGCGCAGTGGCTCACACCTGTAATCCCAGCACTTTGGGAGGCCAAGGCGGGCAGATCACAAGGTCAGGAGTTTGAGACCAGCCTGGCCAACATGGTGAAACCCGGTCTCTACTAAAGATACAAAAAATTAGCCAGGCATGGTGGCAGTCACCTGTAATCCCAGCTACTTAGGAAGCTGAGGCAGGAGAATCGCTTGAAACCTGAAGGCAGAGGTTGCAGTGAGCCGAGATAGCTATTGCAGTCCAGCCTGGGTGACAAGGCAAGACTCCATTAAAAAAAAAAAAAAAAAAAAAAAAAAGTTTATTACCATCAGAGTGAACAGGCAACCTACAGAATGGGAGAAAATTTTTGCAATCTACTCATCTGACAAAGGGCTAATATCCAGAATCTACAATGAACTCCAACGAATTTACAAGAAAAAAAAACCCCATCAAAAAGTGGGCAAAGGATATGAACAGACACTTCTCAAAAGAAGACGTTTATGCAGACAAAAGACACATGAAAAAATGCTCATCATCACTGGCCACCAGACAAATGCAAATCAAAACCACAATGAGATACCATCTCACACCAGTTAGAATGGCGATCATTAAAAAGTCAGGAAACAACAGGTGCTGGAGAGGATGTGGAGAAATAGGAACACTTTTACACTGTTGGTGGGACTGTAAACTGGTTCAACCATTGTGGAAGATGGTGTGGCAATTCCTCAAGGATCTAGAACTAGAAATACCATTTGACCCAGCAATCCCATTACTGGGTATGTACCCAAAGGATGATAAATTATGCTGCTATAAAGACACATGCACACGTATGTTCATTGCAGCACTATTCACAATAGCAAAGACTTGGAACCAACCCAAATGTCCAACAATGATAGACTGGATTAAGAAAATGTGGCACATATACACCATGGAATATTATGCAGCCATAAAAAATGATGAGTTCATGTCCTTTGTAGGGACATGGATGAAGCTGGAAACCATCATTCTCAGCAAACTATCACAAGGACAAAAAACCAAACACCGCATGTTCTCACTCATAGGTGGGAAATGGACAATGAGAACACATGGACACAGGAAGGGGAACATCACACACGGGGGCCTGTTGTGGGGTGGGAGGAAGGGGGAGGGATAGCATTAGGAAATACACCTAATGTTAAATGACGAGTTAATGGGTACAGCACACCAACATGGCATATGTATACATATGTAACTAACTGCACGTTGTGCACATGTACCCTAAAACTTAAAGCGTAATAAAAAATAATAATAATGATAATTTTTTAAAAAGTTTATTACAGCCATGGACAGAGAGAAAGCAAATAACGGCTATCAGTGACCTCAGTGGGAGGTATCTAGACTAAAAAATCTTGTAGTCTTCTGACAAGATGGCCTACTGGCTTCTAGGCAAACATGATACGTAATTAGATAAAGATGGAAGTTTTGATTTAGTTTTCATTGAATTGTTTAATTACAGTGTTTACTAATTTCTGACAGCAACTTCTTTTAGGGAACCAGTTTGTAATGTGGCTCAGAAAATCATTCCCTGACATTCAGCCTAAAATCTGTGTCTACACCTTTCTATCAGATTTTAAGTGACTTTTATCCCATAATAAATCTTTTTATGCTTATACTATTTGAGAGTGTTTTGTTTCTTTTCCTACACACCATATAAAAATGCAACAGTAACATCACATTTAATATGGTGAGTCTTAATCCGTAGTTGAGCCATTGGAATTTAGATTAGTCCTTCTAAAGGTAAAGCTGAATCTCAAGTTTTTACAATGTAGCAATTTATCCAAGGTTATGCGACAAATAATATGTAGACATTTCTTGAAAGTACCCCTACAATGAGCTGAGGGTCTTTCAGCAGATAGCAAGATGCTATTGTAAGGTGTTCTCTATTTGAAGAAAGAAAGGAATTCATCCTGCTTCCCCCTGCTCTGCTGAAAATGTATGAGATGACTTTGTAGTTCTCAGGCTACCTTACATGCATGTTAAATGCAAACTCAATACTAGTATTCCCTCTCTCTTCTATTTGGTACACTGGGGTCTTTTGTTGGGAGAATTGTGTTATCTCTCCAACAGTGGATATATTCCATCCTTTTATTCCTCCTAAGTGGACCGTACTGAGAAGCAGTTATTCATACGGCCTCTCAGAAGATGGTTCATAAGATCGAAAAATCAGTGGTGTTCAGAGTGGATTCAAATTTGTGGAATCAGTATTCATACAGGTAGTAGAGGATTTTCTTTGAGAGAATTACAAAAATGCTTTAGGACAAAAGTTTTACAAACTCTTTGGAAGTTTGCCTTAAAGTTAAACTTTATAAGTTTGATAATAAAGTCACCTCTGGTCATGCTTGATACAAGATTGAGCAACTAGGAAGCATAGCATTGAATATGCTCATCCCTGCCCCTCTCCTCTTTCTTCTCACTCCCACTTTCTAAGGACAGCACTCTTTAATAAAGCAATCTCACACAAGTGTTTATTTCAGTAATATTTTGAGGGGAAAGCCAGGCAAATAAAATATGTCTCTCTGCTCACCTCATATACCTCAGTGCTTTTCCCCTGCTGTTGGAATACTCAAAAATTCACTCTGTATTAAAATTTGTTTCAGAGTCTCTTCAAAAATAGAATTGACTGAGGCCAATCTTGACTGTTGACACGCTGCAAATGAAACATGGCCCCTGTATTTGAAAAGTCTTTGGCTGAGTGGGACAACCACATACATAGAAAGGCCTTTTTAAATATCAACAAGTTTAAGTATTTATATGCACATTTCATTCATCACTCTAGTGCCCCCTCCTCAGTTTTTTCATCAGGGAATATTTCTCAAAATTACAGGGCAAAATCATAATATGTTAGCATTCTGAATCCAGTAATATACTTTTTAAAAATGCATCATAATCTAATGGAGTTTATCAGGAAGTCAACTTGGGTCTGTCATTTGAAAATCAATTTGTTATTGTCCACATTAGCAGTAGAAAAAATATATGATAATCTCAGAAGATACAAAAAAAAGCTATTTGAAAATTCAACCCTGTTTTATTATTAATATAAAAATCATCATAGCAAATTGAAAAAGAGAATTCCCTTAATCTGATAAAACATATCTGTAAGAGGTGTACACCTAACATCTCATCTAATCGTGAAATATTGAAAACTGCCAATTTCTTATTGAAATGAAAAAAAACTGCCAATAACTGGACCCATTTTCTCACCCCCGCCCCCCCACCCTGTTACCACCTGATCCAATAAAAACCCAAGGACTTTCAATAGGACCTTCCGGAATGATAACATTTTCACCATAATCCTTTCACGGTCTGAAGCAATGAGCAAGGCAAATAAGTGTTAATCCCCACATGATTGGATTATGTCCGACTTCCTGTACAAGACAGAATGCTATAAAAACCCACAGTCAGTGATGGATTGAGCCATTTGCTCTATTCCTAGACTAGCTAGGCCTGGTCAAGTCTTGGAAGGCTGAAGCTATGGAGTTCCATCCATCAACCTTGGAAGAGCTGTCTTGGAGGCAAGCAGGTCCAGAGCCCCATATACCACGGGACCTGAACCGAGAGCAAGCCTGGGCCTGGGCACTGGATAACTTCCCTGTGCTGAGCCGCCACTCCTGCCAATGCCATCAGCTCTACGGGAGCTCTGCTGGGAGCTGGCGGCTGCACCGCGCCTCCACCGGGCACGGAGCCCTTCCCGGAGATGAGAGGGGCCAAAAACGGCCTCGAGACTCCCATGTCGAGGAATCAAAGGCTGAAACCACAGACGGGCTCCAGTCACCTCAAGAAGACGCAAATGCTACCGACGGCGAAGTCCAAAGCTGCCTGATGCAGCCTGGAGATGCCAGCGCCTGCGGAGGTGGAAGGACACAAGCCCATGGCGCCCTCTGCAGTTCAGGCCGCCCCCGGAAGCTGCTGAAAACCCAGGGTTCCATCAGGAAGGAACCCGGAAACGAGAGGAACCCCAGCCTTTCTGCAAGCCTGCGACACTACCCGCTTCAAGGAACACTGTGCTGGAAGGAGCCTGAGGCACACCAGTGGGGACCCTCATTCTGTCCCTGCGGACTTTTACACTGGAACTGTGCCCTGCACCCACAAGAGCCTGGAGGTCTCTGCTGTGGAGATCATTCCTTAATTGGTTCTTCCTCTCCTGAATGTCCTAAACATTTTTCATTTAGAGAAACTCTCTTCATGTAATGAATATTATGCAATGAGCTAAAGAACTGTTCTTGTAGATGTACTCAAAATTGCTATGGCTCTTCCATTGAAACTGTACATGTATTGAATAAAGCCTTTCCCTATTCTCCACCTGTGGAATTGATTTCAAGCTGGTAAATCAAGATTGGTATAGATGGGCCTGAAGCAGACAGAAAAGGGGCAGGGACCCAGCTCAGAGGCCTTTTTTTTTTTTTTTTTTTTTTTTTTTTTTTTGATGGTGTCTTGCTGGCTGGGTCGCCCAGGCTTCCGTGTAGTGGCGCAATCTTGCTTTAGTCTAAATTCCAGGGGGCCTTTAAGGAGCTGTGGATACTAACACAGTGGGAGGGGACAGCTGGTTGGATCACTTGCTGGAGTTGCTTCAAAACTGACTGTGGCCCTCCAGATGAAGCCAGGAAATAGACATTAACAGTGTTCTTTACATCAGGGGCCCCTAACCTTTGTGACACCAGAGACTGGTTTTGGGGAAGGCAATTTTTCCATGGGTGGGGGGTTGGGGAGACAGGGATGATTTGGCGATGAAGCTGTCCTACCTCAGATCATCAGGCGTCAGATTCTCAGGAGAAGTGCGCAAGGTAGATCCCTCGCATGCGCAGTTCACGATAGGTTTGGCGCTCTTATGAGAATCTAAGTCACGTCAGATAAGCGGAGCTCAGGCGGTAGTACTCGCTTGCCTGCCAGTCACCTCCTGCTGTGTCGCAGGTTTCCTAACAGCCACCGACCGCTAAGGTTCGCTGCCTGGGGAGTTGGGGATCCCTGCTTTAAATGGTTTAAAGGTTACCTTGTCATAAGGGGTGAAAGAGGGGTTTGGGAAGTCCCTCGGGTGAGGCCGATGGTGCCCGCATACTGCGAGGCTGGCTGCAGTGCTCTTTATGGCGTGGGGCAGATGTAACCTCTTTGCCTCATTTTCCCCTGCGGTCCCCAGACATTTCTCGGACTGTCTGCAGCATCAAGATATGGGCTTCAGAGCACGTTTTTAGCACCCGTGGGAAACTGTTACAACAGCTGCAATGCAGAAATATCCAAGCCCTGTGAACCCGAGCGTGGTGTGGGTTGACGTGTTAAACAGACGTATAGATCCCTCCAGAGAGTTGCACAGACTTCTCCGCACAGTGGGAACTGCAAAACTCTTACTGGTGCAGCAAAACGCAAAACATATATACTAGAATATTCTGTAGTTAATCCTGTAGAGAAAACAATGGAACTTAAATCTACTAATATTTCACTTACAAATATGATTTCAGTAGATGAGAGATTTATACACAAACCACATCATCGGGACCCCCCAAAAAACTATTTTGACTCAAGAAGCCATAATCACTGAAGAGAGGTAGCCTCAGCAGTTACCTTGAAGGACTGATGGCAAGAACTATACCTTCAAATGCTAATAAAGGCCGAGAAGCACTGAAATGGGTCATACATAAATTACATGTTAAGACTGAAGAATTGACAGCTTCCGCCAAGAGGAAGCATAAGAACTTCGATGGCAGCGGCGGCGGCAGCATTTGTAGAGAATTGATAATGAAAATGTGAAGACAACGTCAAGTACTCCACGTCTCTCCAAGCGGGCAATATATTTATTTTAAAAATATAAATATCTTTTAAGTAGAATTTTTTAAAGTAGGCTGATATAAGAATGTGACATTACATCAAAACAAAGAGATGCATGGCTTCTAAATAAAAGCGATCACCTGAAATTCGTGTTGTTTGAAATGACTGTCTGATTTTGAGGATTCCAGTATTTATGTGAAAATATAACGATTTTTTGAAAGCAATCCTTTTTAACGTTCATTTTAACTTCAGGGTGCATGTACAGCTTTGTTAAATAGATAAACTTTTGTCATAGGGGTTTGTGTACACATTATTTTATCACCCAATTATGACGTCTCCTGCCCATTAGTTATTTTTCCCAATCCTCTCCCTCCTTTCACCATCCACCTTCAATGGCTCCAGTGTCTGGTATTCCCCTCTTTGTGTCCATGTGTTCTCATTATTCAGCTCCAGCTTATAAGTGAGGACATACGGTATTTGCTTTTCTGTTCCTGCATTAGTTTGGTAAGGATAATGGCCTCCAGTTCTGTCTATGTTCCTGAAAAAGACATGATCTTGTTCTTTTTAATGGCTGCATTGTATTCCATAGTGTATATGTACTATATTTTGTTCATCCAGTCTACCTTTGATGAGCATTTTGGATGATTCCATGTCTTTGCTATTGTGAATAGTGCTGCAATGAACATACACATGCATGTGTCTTTATGATATGACAATTTATATTCCTTTGGGTAATACCCAGTAATGGGATTTCTGGGTCAAATGATATTTCTGTTTTTTGGTCTTTGAGGAATTACCACACTGTTTTTCACTAAGTTTGAAATAATTTACACTCACCAATGGTGTATAAACAACATTTTAACATTTTTTTAAAGTGCTTGGAAGGTGGCATTGATGTTGAATCAAGATAGAATTTTAAAACTTTTCACACATTGCACCCCTACCTGGCTTTGGTCCCATGCCAGAACAAAGCAGAGCCATCTCTTATATACACTCAATTGTCCTGTTGCTGTAAACTTCAACAGCTTGCATGAGGGAATTCAATTTAAAAGGAGAAACTGTGTAGTTTTCAAAGACCTTAATTCGTATAAAATAACTTGCTCTGCTATAAACCATTATTAAAAACCAGTGTTTTGGTTTAGTACTTAAATATATTTGGAGCGAAAATTATCACTAGAATAATATATGTCTCTAATAAAAATATGCTTTTATTGTAATAAAAAGTACTACATTGATTTCCCAAAGTTTTGCAACCCAATAAAGACGTTACCTTTCTTGGATTTGTACTTCTTGGTTTAATATACTGTGGCATGGGCTGGTTGGTTATGTTAACTGGGAAAATAAATTCCTTACTTGAAAATCAAAATAAGACAAATAACAAGGAGTGGGGGCAGATTAAAGAGGACCAGAGGAAGATTCTTAGCTTTGTGCCTTCTGAGTTAACAACCACAGCATTCCAGGGCATTAATTCCAGATCAGACAATTCCAGGCAGCTACAGAAGTCTGCCCTGGTGAGTCTTGCCCAGGATCTGGAAGTGCAAGATCAAAGCGCCAGTGATTCAGCTCCTGGTGAGGGCTGTCTTCCTGTCTTGCTGATCGCCATGTTGTAGCTGTGTTCTCACATGGCACAGAGAAAGAGGGAGAGACAGAAAGGGGGAGAAAGTGAGAGATGGAGAAGGGTAGAGAATGAGAGAGACATAATATCTCTTCCCCTTCTCATAAGGGCACTAATCCCATTATGAAAGCCCAACCCTCATAACCTCATCTAAACACAATTGTCTCCCAAAGGCCCCATCTCTAAATACCATCACCTTGTGGATTAGCTAAACGAAATTATCATGAATTTTGGGGAACACAATTCTGTCCATAGCACCAAGTCTATGTGATGCTCGCTCTCATAATCTCTGCCCATCTCAGGACCTACAGCAACTAAGACTCATTTCTTTCTGCAGGCATTTCAGAAGACTGTGATATAAAAATGTGCCATAGAGAATACATTCATTTGGGACTTTTAAACTCTCCTCTTCCCTCAAATACCTTAATTAATAAATTAATTAATGTTAACATCTAGTTTATGGGTTCCAATTTAACACCCATAAACTAGATGTTGACACTAAATTATTTATTTATAAATTTATTTTAATTTATTGTAATAAAATAATTGATTAATTAATTTTGAGATAGTGTCTCACTCTAACACCCTGGATTATTTGGGTTATTTCAGAGTGTCCCTCTGGCAGGTGGTATTGTTTCACATTCATTGCTCGCCTATATGGGGGCAAGTATACAGGCATCCATTGGGTCCATCCCTGTTTATTCCTTGATTACCTTCCAGACTGGACCTTATTCAGCTCACTGAGATTCACTAATGCTTAACTCGTAGCATAGACTTTATTTCACATTAATTGGTTTAAAAGTGTGACCAATGCCCTATGTCATAATTCTTTTTAACTCGGAAATAACTCAGACATTCAATGGTATCTGAAATAATTTTAAGATTTTAAGTTACATTAAAAGATCACTGGCGGGGCGCGGTGGCTCACGCCTGTAATCCCAGCACTTTGGGAGGCCGAGGCGGGCGGATCACGAGGTCAGGAGATCGAGACCATCCTGGCTAACATGGTGAAACCCCGTCTCCACTAAAAAATACAAAAGATTAGCCGGGCATGGTAGCACGCACCTGTAGTCCCAGCTACTCCAGAGGCTGAGGCAGGAGAATGGCGTGAACCCGGGAGGCAGAGCTTGCAGTGAGCCGAGATCGCGCCACTGCACTCCAGCTTGGGCGACAGAGCAAGACTCCGTCTCAAAAAAGAGAGAGAAAAAAAAATTAACCTACAAGCATTGATTTTATTTATATTTACTCAATTTATTCATTTGTAGCAGTTTATCTAGATTAGTTGTTAGAACTGAGACATTAGACAATCATCGCTCAAAGTTTTTTTTTTTTTTATTAACCATTTGCATAGCCTGTGAATATCAGGTGTTTGCCTAAGCAAAAATCTTAAACACATAGGCATTTTTGCTGATAATTCAGAAAAATTAGCTGTTCTTATGGAACCAACAATGTTAAATTTGTCTTATTTATCAAAAAAGTCATTCAAAGAAAGAGGATTCTGTTTTTGGTTGAGTTTACGGTCTTATAATACTCATGTCAAATCCTTGCTCTTTAAAATATCTAGCAAAGGCAAATATAAAACTCATCTAATTAGTAAACCCAGACAAAAATGTATGCCTACAATTCTGAAGACATTTCTATTTTTATTTTGTCAATAATTTTAAGGCAAGCTTATTATTAAAGATTACTAAATTCACATAAATTTGAAAAGCATTTGGGCTTTCTTACTAAATTTATGAGCACTCATTTACTTATAAACCAATGTGGTGCCATTGTAGACATAACAGATAATACATGTAACATACACAGAAAGACGTATCCATACACACAAAGATCAAATGGATGTTACTGTGAAACTCTAGCCATGACATGGCATCAGAAACTCATTATTTTACAGAAGACAGCTGGATCCGAATTATTTCTGACAAAATTGGGACCTATCCTCATGGCTAAACTTTATCTGCCCTGATAGGTAATCCAATTAATGCTGTGGACAAAAACTTTGGGTAAAGCAGTTTCCAAAGCAGTTTTATTTTTAAAACTTTCTTAAACCTTTTTGTTTGTTTGTTTGTTTCAAATACGTTTCCAATGTTTACTTCTTAGCTAGAACTGGCTGAACGGCATACAAAAAACAAGCTCTCCAATAGCCTTGAATTAGCAGTATTATAAAAGGTAAGAGCACGAAAATGGGCCTTAGCTTCTTCTCAGTTTGGGAAGATGTTACAGTGCCAGTATTATCTCATAACAATTGTAATCATGAACAGAATCTGATAAATCAAAATGGTGAATCAGGAATGGGCATCTGTGGAGGGGATCCTCTGGCGATCAACATCCATATGGGGTGAAGTTGCCTGACTCAACAATTGTGGGCCGCTGCTATTTTCACCCTTTCAGTGATTAAATGTTAAAATACCTGACAATACCAAGTGTTAGAGAGTATATGAAACTTTAGAGTATCTTATGTATTGTAAGTGGGAACATGTGTGGTACCATCACTTTGAAAAAGAATCTGTTGTCTTATGAAGCTGGAAGTCACATATCTCAAAACCTACCAATTCCATTTCAGAGCACACTCCCAAGAAAAGTTCTTGCACATAAATGCATACCAGGAAATATGTAAAAGAATGTTGGTATCTTCGCTTTTAACAGTAACAAAAACCTGATGGAAAGGGAGGATCCAAAACTCCATTATTAGGAGAGTGGATGAAAATTATTATGGTATATTTTCAAAATGGAGTATTTTACAAAGTCCAAATAAGTAAATCAAATTACTCAAAAGTCTGGTTGCACCATAACAATATAATGTTCAGTAAAAAAAAAAAAAAATGGTTGATAAGACTACATAAAGCATGGTTATATTTTATAAAGTTAATATTTTTAAAATGTCCATTAAAATATGTAGATACATAATGATAAATAAATCTAAATTAAAAATAAGCAATTGAATAACGAACTCAGAATTCGCCCTGGTTATGTTGATTTAGAGAGTTGGGAGAAGGGATACAAAAAATTATATCCACAAAAAATTAAATTGAAAGATAGACCTTAAATTTACACCAAAAATGAATTTCTTAACACTGAATGGCAAAATCACATTTACCCATCCATCCACAGACAAAACTGCACCACCTAAAATCTCCCTGAGTGAGGCTGTGCCTCTACAAAATAGAGAAAATGGAAAAGCATGCACACTACAAAACTACAACAAAGTGTATTTTCCAAGCAAAGCAGACTAAAAGAAAGGGAACAGAATTGGAGCGACCAAACTTTTTAAGTCCAGGTCTGCTCCCAAGCTCTACATCAGACAATATTTGCGTTAGATAATTCTCTGTGCCATGATTTCCAGTTGAGAAGTAAATAAGGTAAAGTAGAAACTACACTTGGCAGAGGGCCTGTCACAAATTACCATTCAATATGAACTACTCAATCTTGGGGGAGAACTAAAAAATAGGGCAAGAATATAAAATTGCTTATAAGAAGTTACTTTATGGAAATTGGAGGGGGGAAATCATTTCCCCACATAAACAATTTTTTTCAATGTTTTGAACTACTCTGTAAAAAGAGAAATGCAATCATATTAATATATTTTAAAAATTACAACTCTAAGCTCCTTGTTATTGACAAGAAGTAAACAAAGTAAAATGACACCAAGAATTAAAAATAAAGAACTGAATACCTGAATTTAATCAATTTTAAGGTAAGTCATAAGATAAGTCGTTTGCCATTTTCATATCTCTGAAACAGGTATACATTTTAAATCTGCTGATCTTTCAGGACTGTGACATAGTTTAATTAGCAGATTTTTCTTAGTAGTATTGAAATAACGACACATCCCTCTCCCTCCCCCTCCCCCTCCCCCTCCCCCTCCCCTTCTCCCTCTTTGCACCGTCTCCCTCTGATGCCCAGCCGAGGCTGGACTGTACTGTCGCCATCTTGGCTCACTGCAACCTCCCTGCCTGATTCTCCTGCCTCAGCCTGCCCAGTGCCTGGGATTGCAGGCGCGCACCACCACGCCTGACTGGTTTTTGTATTTTTTGGTGCAGACGGGGTTTCGCCGTGTTGGCCGGGCTGGTCTCCAGCTCCTGACCGCGAGTAATCTGCCAGCCTCGGCCTCCGGAGGTGCCGGGATTGCAGACGGAGTCTCGCTCACTCAGTGCTCAATGGTGCCCAGGCTGGAGTGCAGTGGCGTGATCTCGGCTTGCTACAACCTCTCCCTCCCAGCTGCATGCCTTGGCCTCCCAAAGTGCCGAGATTGCAGCCTCTGCCCGGCCGCCACCCCGTCTAGGAAGTGAGGAGCGTCTCTGCCTGGCCACCCATCGTTTGGGATGTGAGGAACCCCTGTGCCCGGCTGCCCAGTCTGGGAAGTGAGGAGCGCCTCTTCCCGGCCGTCATCCCGTCTAGGAAGTGAGGAGCGTCTCTGCCCGGCTGCCCATCGTCTGGGATGTGGGGAGCGACTCTGCCCCGCCACCCGTCTGAGATGTGAAGAGCGCCTCTGCCCGGCCGCGACCCCGTCTGGGAACTGAGGAGTGTCTCTGCCCCAACGCCACGCCGTCTGGGAGGTGAGGAGCGTCTCTGACCGGCCGCCCCGTCAGAGAAGTGAGGAGCCCCTCCGCCCAGCAGCCGCCCTGTCTGGGAAGTGAGGAGTCCCTCCGCCCGGCAGCCGCCCTGTCCGGGAAGTGAGGAGCATCTCGCCCGGCAGCCGCCCCGTCCGGGAGGTGGGGGCAGCCCCAGCCCGGCCAGCCGCCCCGTCCGGGAGGTGGGGGCAGCCCCAGCCCAGCCACGGCCCTGTCTTGGGGGTGGGGGGCGCCTCTGCCCAGCCGCCCCGTCTGGGAAGTGAGGAGCCCCTCTGCCCAGCCGCCACCCCGTCTGGGAGGTGTACCCAAGAGCTCATTGAGAACGGGCCATGATAACGATGGCGGTTTTGTGGAATAGAAAAGGGGGAAATGTGGGGAAAAGAAAGAGAGATCACCCCTCCCCCTCCCCCTCCCTCTCTCCATGGTCTCCCTCTCCCTCTCTTTCCACGGTCTCCCTCTGATGCCGAGCCGAAGCTGGACTGTACTGCTGCCATCTCGGCTCACTGCAACCTCCCTGCCTGATTCTCCTGCCTCAGCCTGCGGAGTGCCTGCGATTGCAGGCGCGCGCCGCCACGCCTGACTGGTTTTCGTATTTTTTTGGTGGAGACGGGGTTTCGCTGTGTTGGCCGGGCTGGTCTCCAGCTCCTAACCGCCAGTGATCCGCCAGCCTCGGCCTCCCGCGGTGCCGGGATTGCAGACGGAGTCTGGTTCACTCAGTGCTCAATGGTGCCCAGGCTGGAGTGCAGTGGCGTGATCTCGGCTCGCTACAACCTCCACCTCCCAGCCGCCTGCCTTGGCCTCCCAAAGTGCTGAGAGTGCAGCCTCTGCCAGGCCGACACCCCGTCTGGGAATTGAGGAGCGTCTCTGCCTGGCCGCCCATCGTCTGGGACGTGAGGAGCCCCTCTGCCTGGCTGCCCAGTCTGGAAAGTGAGGAGTGTCTCTGCCCGGCCGCCATCCCATCTAGGAAGTGAGGAGCGCCTCTTCCCGGCCGCCATCCCATCTAGGAAGTGAGGAGCGTCTCTGCCCGGCCACCCATCGTCTGAGATGTGGGGAGCGCCTCTGCCCCGCCACCTCATCTGGGATGTGAGGAGCACCTCTGCCCGGCCGCGACCCCGTCTGGGAGGTGAGGAGCGTCACTGCCTAGCCGCCCCGTCTGAGAAGTGAGGAGACCCCCCGCCTGGCAACCGCCCCGTCTGAGAAGTGAGGAGCCCCTCCGCCCGGCAGCCACCCCGTCTGGGAAGTGAGGAGCGTCTCCGCCCGGCAGCCACCCCGTCCGGGAGGGAGGTGGGGGGGTCAGCGCCCCGCCCGGCCAGCCGCCCCGTCCGAGAGGGAGGTGGGGAGGGTCAGCCCCCCGCCCGGCCAGCCGCCCCGTCTGGGAGGTGAGGGGCGCCTCTGCCCAGCCGCCCCTACTGGGAAGTGAGGAGCCCCTCTGCCCGGCCACCACCCCGTCTGGGATGTGTACCCAACAGCTCATTGAGAACGGGCCATGATGACAGTGGCGGTTTTGTGGAATAGAAAGGGGGGAAAGGTGGGGAAAAGATTGAGAAATCGGATGGTTGCCGTGTCTGTGTAGAAAGAAGTAGACATGGGAGACTTTTCATTTTGTTCTGTACTAAGAAAAATTCTTCTGCCTTGGGATCCTGTTGATCTGTGACCTTACCCCCAACCCTGTGCTCTCTGAAACATGTGCTGTGTCCACTCAGGGTTAAATGGATTAAGGGCGGTGCAAGATGTGCTTTGTTAAACAGATGCTTGAAGGCAGCATGCTCGTTAAGAGTCATCACCACTCCCTAATCTCAAGTACCCAGGGACACAAACACTGCGGAAGGCCGCAGGGTCCTCTGCCTAGGAAAACCACAGACCTTTGTTCACTTGTTTATCTGCTGACCTTCCCTCCACTATTGTCCTATGACCCTGCCAAATCCTCCTCTGCGAGAAACACCCAAGAATGATCAATTAAAAAAAAAAAATAAAGCTGTTTAAACACAAAAAAAAAAAAAAAAAAAGAAAGAGATCAGATTGTTACTGTGTCTGTGTAGAAAGAACTAGACATAGGAGACTCCATTGTGTTCTGTACTAAGAAAAATTCTTCTGCCTTGGGATGCTGTTAATCTATAACCTTACCCCCAACCCCGTGCTCTCTGAAACATGTGCTGTGTCCACTAAGGGTTAAATGGATTAAGGGCGGTGCAAGATGTGCTTTGTTAAACAGATGCTTGAAGGCAGCATGCTCGTTAAGAGTCATCACCACTCCCTAATCTCAAGTACCCAGGGACACAAACACTGCGGAAGGCCGCAGGGTCCTCTGCCTAGGAAAACCACAGACCTTTGTTCACTTGTTTATCTGCTGACCTTCCCTCCACTATTGTCCTATGACCCTGCCAAATCCTCCTCTGCGAGAAACACCCAAGAATGATCAATTAAAAAAAAAAAATAAAGCTGTTTAAACACAAAAAAAAAAAAAAAAAAAGAAAGAGATCAGATTGTTACTGTGTCTGTGTAGAAAGAACTAGACATAGGAGACTCCATTGTGTTCTGTACTAAGAAAAATTCTTCTGCCTTGGGATGCTGTTAATCTATAACCTTACCCCCAACCCCGTGCTCTCTGAAACATGTGCTGTGTCCACTAAGGGTTAAATGGATTAAGGGCGGTGCAAGATGTGCTTTGTTAAACAGATGCTTGAAGGCAGCATGCTCGTTAAGAGTCATCACCACTCCCTAATCTCAAGTACCCAGGGACACAAACACTGCGGAAGGCGGCGGCGGGGCGCTCTGCCTAGGAAAACCAGAGAGCTTTGTTCACATGTTTATCTGCTGACCTTCCCTCCACTATTGTCCTATGACCCTGCCAAATCCCCCTCTCTGAGAAACAGCCAAGAATGATCAATAAATACTAAGAAAATAAAAAATAAAAAAAGAAATAATGACACATCTTACAATGACTAGTTTCTTAGATTGAGGAAATTATAATTCCAGACAAATGTTAAGCCAAAGAAGGCCAGTGTAGCTCTAGTACTACATTGGCTTAGCCTCTCTCTTCAAATTACTTAGCTTGCTGAAATAATCCAATTAGGCCATCTGGAAAAAAAAAAAAAAAAAAAAAAACACAAGACAAACCAATACAAAAGATGTGCCTGATCGTTACAGGACCAACAGGTTTGGATATCTGCTGTGCAGTAACATAAATATATACCAAAACACTGAAACAGCAGGGCTTACAGCAGAAAAAGAATGTAATGATAGCAGGGCAGCCAGGTGAGGAAACAGGAGGGACCCTCAAATCCACCTCCCTGAGAAATTCTGGTCTGGAGGTGTTTGTTTTTGTTTTGTTTTGTTTTGTTTTTAACAGAATCTTGCTCCATCACCCAGGCTGGAGTGCAGTGGTGTGATCTCAGCCCACTGCAACCTCTGCCTCCCGGGTTCAGGCGATTCTCCTGCCTTAGCCTTCTCCTGCTTCAGCCTCCTGAATAGCTAGGATTACATGTGTGCACCACCACACCCGACTAATTTTTGTATTTTTAGTAGAGATGGGGTTTCAGTGGTCTCGTACTCCTGACCTGGTGATCTGCCCACCTCAGCCTCCCAAAGTCCTGGGATTACAGGAGTGAGCCACCGTGCCCCGCCCAGCTCTGGAGTTTTTAAGGAGATTGTGGAGAGCAAGAAACTGAAAAATTGGGGTCATTGATTGTTTGGGGTAAAGGGGATGAAATCATCAAAATATAGAAACTGCATTCTTCGGTGAGCCAGCTCCTCATGGGGTCTTTCAGACTAGCTGGCATCAATAGTTTTATCAGTCTTCAGGACATAAGAGAATATATCAAATGAAAACCTTGACATTTTACAATGTTAAAGGTGTTCTCTACAGAGCAGTTAAGGGAAACTATAATCTTGTGATTGGGTCTGCATAATTCTGACAGGGTATAATTATTCTGCATAATTATTCTCATAGTTTGGGGCAATAAGCACCAAAGAACTATGAGCAAGAAGGCCAGAGAGCAAGGTGACCTAATCATTAATGCTGAATGTACTGCAGTCTTGATATATTTTTTATTCTCCTTCTCCCATTTTCCCTGATTAACTTTATAAAGTTTATAGGAATGGTTTCATGACTGTCATTTCCATTCAGAAATTAATTTAAAGGAAAAATGTTAAAATAATTCCTGGATATCTTTTCAAATAATGTATTATATTTTATTTCTATTATTTCATTGTGTAGCAAACACCACTGTTAGGAATACATTTGAGAATATATTTGGAAATGCAAAATGGCAAAAGGCATTACATCACTCGTCCAAGGTGCAACATTAGCATATGCAGCCGAGACTCCATCCACCTCTTTTTTGGATAATGTAATGTTAAAACTGGTAGTTACTGATGAGAGGAATTGCAGTGGAAGTAGGAATAACAGAGGAAGGAGAATAACTTAAAAAAATGCATATAATCACATAACATATAAGGGTCTTGAAAAAAAATACTGTAAAAAGCATCATATTAGCTCAACATATTTGCCCTTTTTTTTATTTTTATGTTTTTTGAGATGGAGTCTCGGTCTGTCGCCCAGGCTGGAGTGCAATGGCGCGATCTCCGCTCGCTGCAAACTCCGCCTCCCGGGTTCACGCCATTCTCCTGCCTCAGCCTCCGGAGTAGCTGGGACTACAGGCGCCCACCACCGCACCGGATAATTTTTTGTATTTTTAGTAGAGACGGGGTTTCACCGTGTTAGCCAGGATGGTCTCGATCTCCTGACCTTGTAATCCGCCTGCCTCGGCCTCCCAAAGTGCTGGGATTACAGGCAAGAGCCACCACGCCCAGCCAAAAAAATTTTTAAGGTACAATTTTATGTAAGGCATAGGATTCTTCTTTTTCAAAACCCAACCTAATTATTTCTTTACTCATTTCCCTACTTGATATGAATGCCTGATAACCTGGGACTTCAATCCAGCTCCAGCATGAACTACCTTTGTGATCTTGGACTGTGGTGTAAACTCACTGAGCCTCATCTTTAAACCAAGCAATACCTCTTTGATATGCTAAAACATCAAATATAAGTGTATTTTGTCTAGGCATGCCTGACACACAGAGTTTCTAGAGGAAAGATCCTGCCCTCTAAGCCCTGGTGCAACAGACATCACCACACCCATTCCTGGGATCCCTGACTGTACTTCCTGCTTCCTGGATATCTTTTCAAATAATGTATTATATTTTATTTCATCTCTGAATGATTAAATAAGAGGTCAAATTTGCTCCTATTTTACAAAGTCCCTTTCATGAATACATTCCTAGTAAAAGTTAATGTTTAGAGATTGCTTGGCAGAAAATAATCTTCTCAGTTGGTAATAAAATCACTAATTTTTGTTTTTTATGGCTTGAAAGATAATTGTAATAAGAACAAATATAAAATGGTGACTTCTTTGGTGTATTTTTTCTGTAAGTCAATTTTTTCCATTTCAGGTCATATCCATAGTGAAATTATAATATGTCTTCATCAGAGTCAAATATTCTATTTACAAAAGCATCAATGTAAATAGAAAATATTCTATTTACAAAAAAAAACAATTTCATGATCAGATATTATTCTTTACTGTTAATAAAGTAATAACATGCCAGACTGAAGCCAACATTTCACACCCATGTGTTAATATTCTACCATGGGCAGGGTATGGTATCTCACACATGTAATGACAGCTCTTTGTGATGCAGAGTGGGGAGGATACCTTGAGGCCAGGAGTTTGAGACCAGCCCAGGCTATATAGAAAGATCCTGTCTCTACAAAGAAATTATTTTATAAATTAGCCATGGGTGGTAGCACACAGACCTAAAGTCCTAGCTATTCCGAGTGCTGAGGTGGTAAGGTTCCCTTAGGTGTAGGAGGTAGAGATTACAGTGAGCTACAATTGTGCCACTGCATCCCAACTGTTACAGGACCAACAGATTCATATGCCTGCTGCACACTTACATACCAATTACACTGAGACAGCAGAGTTTGCATCAGAGAAAGAGTTTAATGATTACAGGCTTCTGAGTGAGGAGACAGGAGCAAACCTTCAAATTCATCATTCCAGAGAGTTCTGGGCTACAGTTTTTAAGGGGATTGTGGAGGGTGAGAGGCTGGAAAATTGGAGAAATTGATCAGTTGGGGTAGGGAGATGAAATCATCAGGATGTGGAAACTGCATTTTCTGGTGACTCACCTTCTCATGGGATCCTGCAGAACAGCTGACATGAGTAGTTTTACTGGCATGCAGGACCTGAAACAATATTTCAAAGGGAAAACTTAATGTTTCCTTAATATTTAAGTTGTTATCTATAAAGTAGTTGAGGTGAACTATGATCTTGTAGCAGAGTCTACATACTTCTGAGAAAATAGGCAGTAAACAACTATAAGGAAGCAGGTCAGGGACAAGTTGACCTAATGATTAATGCTGAGTGTGCTGGGATATAGTATGGATGTTTGTCCCTGCTCAGATCTCATGTTGACTTATAATCCCCAATGTTAAAGGTGGGACTTGGTGGGAGATACAGGGTCATGGGAGTGGATTCCTCCATGGCTTGATGCTGTTTTTGCAATAGTAAGCTTTTGCACCATCTCATCGTTTAAAAGTGTGTGACAACTCTCCACCACTCTCTCTCTCTCTTGCTTCCACTCTGACATGTGATGTTCCTGCTCCTCCTTTGCCTTACAACATGACTGGAAGCTTCCTGAAGTCTCCCCAGAAGCAGACGCCACGATGCTTCCTTGTACAGCCTACAGAACCATAAGTCAATTAAACCTTCTTTTGTTTTGTTTTGTTTTTTACAAAATGCCCAGTCTCAGGTATTTCTTTATAGCATGCAATAATAGCCTAATACATGCTACCTGCGGAGTTTACATTCATTTCTCTCTGATAAAGTTTAGATGACGTTTCTCCTCCAAATATCATGTTGAAATGTAATCCTCAATCTACAGATGGGGTCTGGTAGGAGGTGTTTGGGTCATGGGGGCAGATCCCTCATGAACGGCTTGGTGCCCTCCCCGCCATAATGAGTTTACAGGAGATCAAGTTGTTTAAAAGGAGGCCCGGTACCTCTCCCTCTCTCTCTTGCTCCTTCTTTCACCATGTGATACACATGTTTTTCCTTTGTCTTCCACAATAAGTGGAAGCTTCCTGACACCCTCAACAGAAAACGCTAGTGTCATGCTTGTACAGCACAAAACTGTGAGCCAAAATAAAAATCCTTTCTTTATAATTTAATCAGTCTCAGTTATCCATTATAGTGTGAACATCAAATATCTGAGACAGGTCTCAGTCAATTTAGGAAATTTATTTTGCCAAAGTTAAGGGCACGCACCCATAACACAGCCTCAGGGAGGTCCTGACCACATATGACCAAGGTGGTCATGGCACAACTTGGTTTTATATACTTTGGGGAGATATGAGACATCAATCAATATACATAAGATGTACATTGGCTCCGTCCGGAAAGGCGGAAAAACTCAAAGTGGAGAGGGGGCTCCCAGGTCATAGATTGGTAAAAAACAAACAGATGCATTCTTTTGAGTTTCTGATTAGCCTTTCTAAAGGAGGCAATCAGTTATGCATTTATCTCAGTGAGCAGAGGGATGACTTCGAGTTCTGTCTGTGCTTTGTCCACAAAGAAATTCCTTGTGAGGGTGAGGGAGGTATGTGGCTTTTTTTTTTCCTTTGAGAGCAAGTTTTGCTCCTGTTGCCCAGACTGGTGTGCAATGGCAGGACCTCAGCTCACCACAACCTCCACCTCCCAAATTCAAGCAATTCTCCTGCCTCAGCCTCCCGAGTAGCGGGGATTACAGGCATGTGCCATCACACCCGGCTAATTTTGTATTTTTGGTAGAGACGGGGTTTCTCTATGTTGGTCAGGCTGGTCTCAAACTCCCGACCTCAGGTGATCCGCCCACATCAGCCTCCCAAAGTGCTGGGATTATAGGCGTGAGCCACTTTGCCTGGCCGGTATGTAACTTTTTCAACTTAGCAGCTATATTCTTTAGGAATAGAATGGAAGGCAGGTTTGCCCTAAAGCTCCCAGCTTAACTTTTCCTTTTGGCTTAGTGATTTGGGGGTCCCTGGATTTATTTTCCTTTCACATTTCCTCCCGTTTCTTTTTAAATTCTTTCAGATAAAGCATTTTACAAGAAAGTGAGTCTCCTCTAACATGATATTTGGAGGAGAAGAGCCATCTGATCTCTCATGGCTACGATGGTTTATTCCCAGTTGGGTAGGACACACATTATTAGGAGGGCTCATTTTTAGCAGGTTGTGAAGTCTCACATCCTATGAAGAGAAAATATGGGTAGGAAAGGAGAAAAACAGCGACAAACAAACCAAAAAAGATAATTCTGGAAAATCAATATGGGCCATAATACTTTGAAGTCCATACATCAGCAGGCAGGTATGAGAGTGGTTTATGTATGTACATAGGTTGTTCTTATTTACTTCTGAAGTTTAAGTTGTCTAGCTTCATTTTGCAGGGCTTTAAGAAAGCACAGTTTAGTTTTCAGTGATTTAAAATTAGGAAAAAATGGGTAAGGGAAAGGAAAAGAAAGAAGAAAATAATTGAAAACATCATTTTGGAGACTTTTAGCCAGAAAAAAATTTTGGAATTCAGTCCAAACTGTAGAAAATAATAAAAATTAAATAACATTAGGCAAGACTAGAATCTAACAGCATGTATACTATAGTTGTTGAAACATAATTTTTCTCTCTCCAGTTTCCCATTTTTACTAAAGAGAAATCATGGTAGGACCTATTCGCTTTATTATACTTGGTCTGATTATTTGTATAAAGTGCCGCAAGAACAATTATTTTTCACACAAGCCTTTTTAAATGACTTTGATGGAACTCTATTCCATAGAAAAAGTCTCAGATAAGACTTTTTAAAAGCCGAGCCCGGCCATGGCTTTGTACCATCGAATACATATGAGTTGGGTAAATTCCCCTCCTCTAGAGGTCCCAAGATCACTTGGGGCTCCTGGGCTTGTCAAAAAGTGACATTCTTTACTTACCACAAATCAGAAACCCTGTATAGGGTCTGTGTAGACAAGGTTTGGGGCCTGTTTTCCCAAGGAGCTTTTATTGGCTCTGTAACTCAAGTTTGACTCCTTAAAGAAAAGCACACCATTTCAGTCAAAGCCTTGGTAAAATAACCAGTTTCTCCAATGGTGTTCTGTTGCAAAAGAAAACATTCTTATTGCACTTATGCAAATAACTACATTGACATAAGTTAAGAATATTCACAAATAGTTTCCAAATTCTGGAGAAATCAGGTAAAGAGAAAGAAATATGCTCCAAATTTTGTTCACTGGAGTATACTTTACTGAATTGTTAAAAGCTGTCAATAGCTCAAAAGTAAAGTTTCCTTGACTCAGGAAAACATAAAAAAGGATCAGCAATTTTTTAAGGATCAGCAATTTTTTAGCAAAAAAGTCAACAATATCATTTCAGTCTTCTATTTGTTCGGTCCATGCAATTAACTCCTGTTTGATATTCACGAATACTTCAGCTCTCCATGAGAGTCCTAAAAGTTTACTCCTCTATTCCACTTTAAAAAAAAAAAAATGTTCCCAAGCAGACTCATGTCACATTTTTCTTTATTCTAATGTCACAATCTCCAGAGTAATTAGAAACCTGCATTCAAAAACACCTATCAAAATCCAATAGCTAATTATAAACGACCTTTTGAAGAGGACTGAAAATAAGACAATTGTCTGTGGATGACAAAGTCTTAGGACAGGGTTTTATAATCTATCAAACATTTGTGGAGAGTGTTTTACAAAAAAAAAAAAAAAAACAAACAAAAACCTTTGAGCTACACAGTGAATGTAAAGCTGAGGCTAGACAGGAATGGGATAGGGTGAATCTTCAGTCCCAGAGATCAACAGCCAATGGTTCATTTTTTGTAGGTTAACCTGACCTGGTGGAGTCCTCCATTGGTACCAAGCACAGTTCTTCACTTTCAACTCTAGATGACTTACCCCGGGGCACTTTTACCTTTTGCTTTCTGTCTAGCCTCCTACACAGTCTTTCTTTTACCTACTCTACTAGACTAAGTGATTATAACTGTTATCATCTTTTCTGAGCCTATAATCAAAAGTCAGTATCTGACAAAGAAGCAGATTGTTAAATCCAAGAATTTCTCTGTATCAGGAAAGTATTAATATGGATTCCTGCCTCCTCATTCATTAGTTGCACAGCTTCCTGCAACATAACAACTGGCCAGAAGATTCACCTGTGCAAATTGCCTGAGTGTTGGAGACTGCTTTTATTTGATCTCTCCCACCATCCACCCCGTTTTTGTTTTGTGTCACTTTCATTTGGTTAATAATATTCTAACAATATTTATCATTATAGTTATCTTGATTTGATGCAATTTTTCTTAATGAGATTGATAAAAATATTAGTCTTTCTTAATTCTTTATTATTTATTGTTTTGGATAACACACTGGAAAGGGAAATAGGAAAGGCTCTACATCGTTTGTCATATGTGCTCCACAATTTGCCCTCAAGTTTGATTCCTAGGTCCTACCACCCACACAAAACTGCCATCACCAGCCTGCTCCAATTCTACCCAATTACTAGCCATTGTCATAATTCAAAGTTCCTATGACCTCCTCCAAAGGAGCACAATTTTGTATTTGATCACTTTCTGACCTCCCTGGAATCTACCCCACCTCCAATCACACTAGGATTAGAATCTAAATTCTGCAGCTACCTTGATATCAGTCTCTGTAGGGAAGCAGCCTGCAGCCTCCTATGGACTCCCATCAAGACAGGTTACCTTTTCCCGCTACAGGGTGTTGCTCACAGATTTTTTTTACTAAGATGGGAAGCTGGAGTAGAAATGGGAACAGAGGGCCGGGCACGGTGGCTCACACCTGTAATCCCAGCACTTTGGGAGGCCAAGGCGAGCAGATCACGAGGTAAAGAGATCGGGACCATCCTGGTCAACATGGTGAAACCCCGTCTCTACTAAAAATACAAAAATCAGCTGGGCGTTGTGGCACGCTCCTGTAGCCCCAGCTACTCAGGAGGCTGAGGCAGGAGAATCCTTGAACACGGGAGGCAGAGGTTGCACTGAGCCGAGATCGCGCCACTGCACTCGAGCCTGGTGACAGAGCAAGACTCTGTCTCAAAAGAAAAAAAAAAGAAATAGGAAGAGAGAACTGATGGTAGGTATTTTGCTTTGCAATGACTCCAGACTGCTCTTCTATTTCATAGTGTCTGTAACTATGTGGGTGAGAACAGTGTAGTTTTTCCTTTATTCTTGCAACCACAGGACCAGGAGGCAATTGGAGGAGCCTCAAATAGCAGGGAAGGTTTTGGCTAGCTGAAGAAGGGGTATGGTGGGAGGGAGATATTGAGGCAAATCCCTTGGGAGACAGAATTGCAAGGGCAAAATAGATTTCCTTACCTGGCAGTGCCTTCTCTGCCTTTGTCCTGCCATCGCTTCTGCCTAGGATCCCCCAGAAAAGGATAGTACTGGTTTGCACAGGAGCAGAAGTGGTGAAAATGGGAAATGATGAGTGTGGATGGAGATGCTCATGGCAGGGTCTGTAGGTCTCTTTGAGGGGGCTCAACTCACAAAGTGCAGATTTTTATTGAAATATGAATGCTTGTAGAAAGGACATTTTCCTACTGAGCAATGGCAGTTCCATATTTCTTATCAGAAAGGAAGTAGGCCTCAGTCTGATTGAACAGTGAGGAGAGGGAGGATTCAACACTTACAAGTTCACCTGCATTGCATTTCCCAGAAGAAAGAAGAAAATCAATAACGCATTTCAAAGATCACGGTGCTAGAGACAGAGAACCACAATTTAAGCTTTTCCCTGGGCTTAGAGGCGGATGTCTCACTGCCAATTTCACGTCCAACACCGGAGCCTCGCAGTCCATTTTTCTCCCCAGCTGTTTTAGAAATATCCCCAAATATCAAGGACATCTGAATGAGTGAACCATCAGAATAAGGAGCGATTCCCACAGAGTTCCATCCCACAGGGAAGGGACGGGACCAGCGGGGCAGGCCTGAAGCCTGGGTTGAGCGGCGCTGTGCCTTTCATTCTTCACCGAGATCTCGGACCTAGAGTTTCCAGGTTCCGGAGGGATGCGGTTGTTGACCGCTAGCCTAGAATCCGTGAGGGCTGAACCGGGACGAAGGCCTAGGACAGAGAGGTGGTGTGGAAGGACCCAGCCGCGGCCACTGGAAGAGCAGCTTCCTGCAATGTAAAGTGTTCGCGACCTGCATTTGTTTTGCTTTCTTCCTGGAGGAGCCAAATCCGTCCCATTCTGGATCCTTATTCCAGCTCCTTTCCCTCTGCGAATCGCACTTGGTGGGTCGCGGGGCCCTCAGTAATTAGGGATCACGGATCAGCCAAGAAAAATACAGGTTTTCTTAAGCCTGAAGCCACTGACTTGAGGAGGGAGCGTGGGAGTAATGTCAGTAGCAGTTTTTTATTTCGTTTTCGTTTTTATTTTCTAGTCACTAGGCCACCAAAGAAAGTTCCACCCAACGGCCAGTCGATCCGTCGCAGCGACTCTCTTTTCCCTGAACGGAGGGTTTATGGCTGACACCTCCACTTGTTTCTCAGAGCCGGGGCTGACTGCCGGCTGCATCTTTGAATGGCGACCAAAAAAGACATGCATTTGTCTGGCAAAGTCGCTGGCGTTCGCCTGGTGCCCGCGCTTGCCGGGTCCTAGAGCAGCCAGATTTTCACACCAGCGAGTCCAGCGCCCAGCGCCACTCCGCCTTCGGATCACCGGTTTCTCACATCCGCAGCAGCACTGGCCTGACAGTTTTCCGGTTGCGACAGCGCTAGTTGAGCCAAACAAAACGTTTTCCTGCTTGCTCTGGGCGTCCCATTCTCCATCCGAGGCCTTCTAGTCCCGGTGTCACTGTCGCAGCACCTGGCGTTCGTTAGCTCTTTCACCAGCGGCGCGGAGCGGGCGGTTTTGCTGTCACGGCACATGTGGCACGGAGTTTCTCGGTGGCCGAAACCCTCTTTTTTCTCAGAGTCCAGTTTCTTGGTGACAGCGCTGTTGGTTGCGCCATAAGGAATGTTGTCCTTGACAACCCGCCGGCCGCAGTCATTCGCAAGCTCCAGGCACCGACATTTCGCAGAACTGAGGTCTCTCGGTCTCAGCACAGCTCGTTGCTCGATGCCTCCATTTTCTCGGGGCGACAGCACTCAGGTCGCCGATCTGAGGGATTCGGAGCTTCCCCAGCTGGGGTGAGCCTGGCGTTCCCGGGCGGCGGCGGCGGCGCTGGGCTAGGGGAGCCCGCCGCTCCTCCAAGCCGGTGACAGGGGAGCTGCCCGGGCGCCGTCTCTTCCCAGCGCCGCCGCAGAACCCGCAGAACAGCTCGACCTCCAGAACCCTGTGCTGTGGCGGCGGGGCTGGCGTGTCTGTCGCAGGACCCCGCAGATTCGTCTGTCGTTGGCTTGTTGGTCCTAACAAGTTTCGATTTCAGGGTGCCTGCGTTTCTTTTTCTTTTCTCTTCTTTTCCTTTTGTTTTGTTTTGAGACAGAGTCTCGCCGTGTCGCCCAGCCTGGAGTGCAGTGGCGCGATCTTGGCTCACTGCAACCTCCGCACCCCAGGTTCAAGGGATTCTACTGCCTCAGCCTCCTGAGTAGCTGGGATTACAGGCGCTCGCCACCACGCCCGGATAATTTTTGTATTTTTACTAGAGGCGGTGTTTCATCATATTGACCAGGCTGGTCTCGAACTCCTAACCTCAATAATCTGCCCGCCTCGGCCTCCCAAACTGCCAGGATTACAGCATGAGCCGCTGCGCCCAGCCGGTGACTACGATTTCTATCCCCTGGTTCAAGTCGGGGAATAGCCAAAATGTGATTTCTCAACCCAAGCAAGTACCCACTTAGGACAAACACCAGCCTAGCCCTGGCGGCGATTTCTAGGTCGTAGGAAGTCGATGTTTCGCCACAGAAAGGCTGAGTGACCCTGTGACTCATTTCCCAGCAACTCCGGGTTTCCTGTAGCCTAATCATAACAAACGCAGAGTTAGCCCTGCCTCAAGTTTCTTTTTTCTTTTTCTTTTTTTTTTTTTTTTTTTTTTTTTTTTTGAGACAGAGTTTCTTTCGTCCAGGCTAGAATGCAGTGGCGCCATCTCGGCGATCTCGGCTCACTGCAACCTCCACCTCCCGGGTTCAAGTGATTCTCCTGCCTCAGCCTCCCAAATAGCTGGGATTATAGGCGCCCGCCACCACACCCGGCTAATTTTTGTATTTTTAGTAGAGACGGGGTTTTGCCACATTAGCCAGACTGGTCTCAAACTCCCGACCTCAGATGATCCACCCGCCTTGGCCTCCCAAAGCCTCAAGTTTCTAAGTCGTGGCAAGTTCCGGCTTCCTACTAGTACGGCTTGCTTTAGCTGCGCAGGAGATGTTCAACTCCTGTAGAAATCTGTGTACCAGCGAATGCGATTCATTTAGGTTTAGCGATGACCAGTTTAGCAGTGCCTGGGAGCTCTTACACCAAGGCTAGCTGCGCAACATCAAGTCCCGCCTTAGCTATGTTGGTGTTTTTTAAACTCCCATGGAAGTCAGGAAATGCCGGCAAAAGCGATTTCTGGTTTACGAAGCTCGGTTTGACGATAGCAATTTCCGCCGAACGCGACTTTTTCCTCTTGTGGACCAAGTCGGGATATATCAGCTACTACGATTTTTTAGTCGTAAACAGGTTTAACCATGACTGGGTTTTGTTGGTTTCTTGTTGTTGTTGTTGTTTGTTTTTGTTTTTGTCCTAAGAAATGTAGACTTAGGTGTAACATGTACCGGTTTAGATCTAACAGGGATATCCTAATCACAGAATTGCTTCTTTTGGCAATACTTGTAATTTCTGCTTTGTAGGGTTGGTTCTCTCTAATTTTTGCTTATTTTTAAATGCTCTTTTTGTGTCTTTTGCTCTGAGAACAATGCTACCGGTAGTTTCCAGTGTGTTTGCTTTGCCTTTTTATTTGAATTTTAGAATTTATTATTTTAAAATTTTATCTTATTTAAATGTTATTCATTTTTCTTCTACTAATTTTGAGTATCACAGCTTCGTACTCCTTGACTTGCATTCTCTCAGGAGCTGGGGAGCCAAGCTCGGTCTCCGCTTCGGTGGTTTCAGGTCCCGGGTTCTGTCTGGCGGCTCTGCTTCTAATGCGGAGCTGGCGGTTTTGCAGCAACGCTTTTGCCAGTAGCGCCCACTGAGCGGTTTTTCAGTTGCTGCACCGTTCTTAGCGCCCAACGGAACGTTTCCCGTACGCGGAGTCCATAAGTTGTCTGTGTCGTCACTTTCTCGGTTCTGGCACCGCTAGTATCTCCTAGGAACTTCCTAAACCCGTTTTACGGTGCAGAACGGTAATTGCACCGAGCCTCTGTGCCAACTAGTACTTCCGTAATACCGTTAGCCGGCTCTTTTCCTGTCACAACACATTAAAACGTGTTAAAACACATTAAACGGATTAAACACATTAAACGGATTAAAACACATTAAAACGTCACAACACATTTAAACAGAGTCGGTCCATTCCTCCAGACAGTATGTTTCGGGATGGAAGCACCCCTCCTAAGAATCCGCAGTTTCTTTCTAGCAGCACCGTTATGGCGCCTAAACGGATATTTGTTTGGCAATACCAGCGCTATCCGCTAGGTGCCGGCGCTTGCTGAGTCTCAGCGCCGCCAGATTCTTGCTAGCGAGGTCCAGAGCAGTGCAGAGACCTAGCGGACAGTTTTCCGGTGGCAGCAATGCTCATTTCCCGGACACAGATGGTTTTTGGCCCCTGAAGAACTCTTTAATCCCTGCGTTTTGTAGCGCTCGTTCTCTGTAAGGTTTGCTTAGTATCCGTTTCATTTCGACTTCTTTTCTCGCTGTTTTTCTGTCGGAATTACGATTTGTTTTGTTTCTATGTGCTCTCTAGAATTTTACCGGTTTTCATTTGTCTACTAATTTTCGTGCATTCGTTACTATTGAGTTTCATAATATCTGGGTGCCCTCTGCCCACGAGCTCCGGAGAGCATAAATACCCAGGCTGATGGTAGTGCTAAAGGTTCTGCTTCATCTCGTCAATCAGCGCAAACGCTTATGTCCTCCTGCTCTGAGGCTTAATTAAGCGATGGAGCAACATTTTCTTGGCTATGTGAAGCCTGCTTGAGATTCCGCAGAGGTGGTGCCTGAGCTCCAGCCTCGGCCTATTTTGAATTCAGAAGACTGTGATATTACTGTGTGAGCCACCACTTTGGGAGGCCAGCATGGGCAGATCACTTGAGGTCAGGAGTTGGAGACCAGCCTGGCCCAAGTGGTGAAACCCCATCTCTACTAAAAATACAAAAATTAGCCGGTGATGATGCATGCCTGCAATCCCAGCTACTCAGGAGGCTGAGGCAGGAGAATCTCTTGAACTCGGAGGCAGAGGTTGCAGTGAGCTCAGATCGTGCCACCGTCCTCCAGCCTAGGCAGACTGAGACTCCGTCAAAAAAAAAAAATCTTAGAGTTATATTTTATGAAATAATAGGTAGTCATTAAATGTCTGGGTCATTCTCAACTTTACAAAAGTACTGTAGGCAAACATTTTTCCAAAGAAAAAGTGTTATTATTAAAAGGAAAATAGTTTTATCTAATTCAAAGGTTATTTAGGAAAAAGGTAAAAACATACTGTACATTTTATCAAAATAATTCCTGTGTAATTATTACTAGGTTTTTATTTGCTTAGAAAAACTGAGATTAAAAAAGGTTATTATATCTACATAACTTTCTGTAATTCTTTTAACGTTTTTGTGTTACCAAGTTACAGGGCTTTCACTCCTGGGTCGAAAAAGGTCACCAACTCCTACTAAATCTTAAACATTAACAGCAACTGAAGCCTCATCTTCAGACCTAAGAGAAGATGAAAATCAGAAGAAGCTGCATTCACAAGACCTGTGTCCAGAAAATTAAACTATTCAACCCCCTAGTCCCAGGGACTATTGCAGAAGAAGTGGGTGTTTGGACTTGTAAGGACCTACTTTAAGAGAGAAAGTTAGTTCAGTATTTCTCTATAAACAGTGGTTTTGTTTTGTTTTGTTTTGTTTTGTTTTGTTTTGACAGGAACTAGCTCTGTCACCTGGGTTGGAATGCAGTGGCATGATCCTGGCTCACTGCAACCTCCATCTCCCAGACACAAGCGATCCTGCCACCTCAGCCTCCTGAGTAGCTGGGACTGCAGGTGTGTACCACCATGCCTGGCTAATTTTTGTATTTTTTGTAGAGACAGTGTTTCATCACATTGCCAAGGCTAGTCTCAAACTCCTGAGATCAAGGAATCCACCCACCTATGCCTCTCAAAGTACTGAGATTACAGATGTGAGCCACAATGGCCAGCCTATAAAGATTAATATAAAAGGAACACTGATGCAAGACCAGCCTGTGGGCCCCTGTGTCAGATTAGCAATGTTTTCTTGAGGTATTAACCCATTCTTTTTTTAAACATTATAAAACGTTATGAAAGGTTTATAAAATTATTGCTTCTGGTCAAGATGATTAAAATTTAATACACTTGTCTATAAGATTTGAGAAATAGATTTAATTGGCTTCATTCTATCTTCATTAGGTCTTATTTTTTGGGAAAGTAAGTCTCAAAGAGTAAAAGGTTTTGCCTTTTTGTTTTTGAAATATTTGAGTTACCACTTTGACTAAATGACTGACTTATTTTACAATGACCTGTGATTCTATTTTGTGATATCAAGTGTTTTAAACATTGACCTTGTTTTAAGTATTTGACAAACTTTCTAAAATCCAATTCTAAATTCGGTCTTTTTTACCTCATTAATTTTTTTGACATTAAGTCCCCTGAAATCCAAAGAGATATATTTGGCTTATTTGGCATAATAAGATCACATAAGATGCATTATCAAATATGAAATGATATTTAACTTTCTTTAGATTGTATTTATATGAATGTCTTATTAGTATGTATTACAAAATCGTATGAGATTCCTGTGATTCTGAAATGTTAGTGTATGTTATCAGAACTAATTATGATCATTATATTAAATTGTTGTACGCCATAGCTATAACCAAATTTCCTTGTCCATTGCATCTTTAACCCTTGCTATTCTAATACTTTTGCCATCAACAATTATTGTTTTACTTTGATCCTTTTATAGGATTATAATCAGCTATAGACCTCTGAGACTACTGTTTTTTGTTTCTTTTTTTTTTTTGAGATAGGGTCTCATTCTGTCACCCAGGCTGCAGTGTGGTGGCATGATCACTGTTCAATTTACCCTCAATCTCCTAGGCTCAAGCAATCCTCCTACCTCAGCCTCCCAAGTAGCTGAGACTACAGAGGCACACCAGGCACCCAGCTAATTTTTAAATTTTTTGTAGAGGTAGAGTCTCCCTATGTTACCCAGACTCGGCTCAAACTCCTGGGCTCAAGCAATCCTCTCATCTCAGCCTCCCAATGTGCTGGGATTTCTGGAATGAGCCACCACACCCAGTCTTTTAATACATTTATTGTTTCTTCATTAACAAATGCTAAGCATCTATATTGTACTACAAAGGGATCAAGGTCCCAGAAATAAGTGATCAACAAGTAGACATGGACTTGGCCACAAAGTGTTTGACACCTTCATGAGTTGAAAAAAGACAGTAAACAGGAAAACAAATAAATAAATAAGACAGTATTTATATAATAAATGCTTTTTGTTGCTGTTGTTGTTGTTTTGTTTGTTTGTTTTTAAGACAGTCTCACTCTGTTTCCACTGCTGGAGTGCAGTGGCATGATCTCGGCTCACTACAACCTCTGCCACCTGGGTTCAAGCAATCCTCCCGCCCCAGCCTTCCGAGTAGCTGGAACTACAGGCGCTCAACATGCCTGGTTAATTTTTGTATTTTTAGTAGAGACAGGGTTTAGCCGTGTTGGCTAGGCTGGTCTTGAACTCCTTACCTCAGGTGATCCACCCACCTCGGCCTCCCAAAGTGCTAGGATTACAGGCATGAGCCACTGCGCTCGGCCGTGATAAATGCTATCAAGAAACTTAACATAAGTGTATAGTAGGATGCTATATTAGGTAGTATAGTAAGACTAGAATTATCCGCGATTTTCCACTTCGATATGAATAATGCAATGAACAAAGCGAAAAAAAAAATCTGGGCCAGGTGCAGTGGCCCACATCTGTAATCCTAGCACTTTGGAAGGCTGAGGCAGGAGGATCACTTGAGGCCACGAGTTTGAGACCAGCCTGGCCAACATAGTAAAACCCCCTCTCTACTAAAACTACAAACATTAGCCAGACATGGTGGCATGAAACTGTAATCTCAGATACTCGGAAGGCTAAGGTGGTAGAATCATTTAAACCCAGGGGGCAGAGTTTGCAGTGAGCTGGGATCCTGCCCCTGCACTTCTGCCTGGGAAACAGAGCAAGATGTTGTAAAAAAAAGAAAAAAAAACGAAAAAAAAAAACCCCAAAAACTGAAGGTGGAATTACCATCATGAGAGAAGAATCTAAGACTAGAACAACTTTATTATGGGCTAGGCATGGTGGCTAACATCTGTAATCCAAGCACTTTGAGAGGCTGAGGGAGGAGGATCACTTAAGGCCAGAAGTCCAAGACCAAACCAGATAACACAGTGAAACACAATTTCTACCAAAAAAAAAAAAAATTATTAGCTGGATGTGGTGATTCCTGCCTGCAGTCCCAGCTGTCTGTAGTCCCAGCCACTCAGGAGGCTGAGGCAACCACCAAGCTAGCAGCATGGTGAAAACCCATCTTTACAAAAAATACAAGAAAAATTAGCCAGGTATGGTGGCACATACTTGTATTCCCAGCTACTCTGTAGGCTGAGGGGGGAGGATCACCAGCTACTCTGGAGGCTGACGGAGAGGATCCCTTGAGCCTGGGAGGTCCAGGTTGCCAAGAGCATGACACTGCATTCCCACCTGAGCTGCAGCAAAAACCCTGTCTCAAAAAAAAAAAAAAAAAAAAAGACAATGAATAGGCAAAGCATCCCAAACAATAAATAAATAAATAAATAATGAAGCCCAAAGCATCACATTATCCAGCTTCAAGCTATTCTATAAGGATGCCATTATCCTAAACAAATTCATGCAGAAACAAATATTACATGTCCTCACTTAGAAGTGGGAGTTCAGCCTGGTATACAGGGACATAAAGATGAGAACAATAGACCACTGAGGACTCCGAAAGGAGGGAGGGAGGGACATAAGGGGGTAGAGGCTGAAAAACTTCCTCCTGGGGATTTAGTTCACTCTCTGGGTGATGAGATCAAGCCTCAGAATCACGCAATATATTCTCATAACAAACCTACACATGTACCTCCTGAATCTAAAATTAAAATGTAACATGAGTCAACGTAACACAGAATAATACAATAATAAAATATCTCCCCAAAAAATGATCCTCTAATTTTAAAAATGGGCAACTACCCTGGCCTGCTCCTCAGTAACATAGCGATCTTTAGGCATCTGACAAGCACTACTCTGAGGCAGAAAGGGATCCTGTCTGCTCTAGTACTAGCAATGCATTTGGGGACAATAATGAACTTTCTAACCAGGGTGCCCCAAGACGGCTTTCTCTGTACAAGAAAGGTGATATTTTTTCTTTTCAATTCCTAAAGCAAATTGTTTAACTAGATAACTTCATCTCAAATGATAGGACTTTATGTTAATCTCATTAATTCCATGTCCTGATGTAACTTGCTCCTAAGAATAAGGTTCACACCCACCTCCCTGCAATCTGATTTGGACGGCCCATGAGACCAGAAGATTACAAAAACGCAAAAGATGTTGACTTATGAGTCCTAGATACCCTGTATCCGCTGGTGAAAGGACGCGATGGAGTTGCCGTGTCCCCTCCGAGTTTGGCAGGCCCGGGATTCCGCAAAGGAGGCGGCGGGACCAGATGCCTCCAGCCCGGAGCTCAGTACATTCGGTGTCCTGGATGCTCCCTTCCTGTGCTTACCACTGCGAGCTCTCCTGGGCCGACCTAGATTTCCACTGCCACATACTTTCCGCTCCCTGCGTGCTTCCTTGCTGAAACTGCCGGCGAAAAGATCTCTTTCCCAAGCCTCAGAGTACCTGGAGGCGGGGCGCAGAGTCGCCTGCTCTGGATCCGGCGCAGGCAATTCAGGAGGAGCCGCAGGAGCCCTCGGGAGAGCAGGAGGCTGCATAGGGTCTCAACATACGCCCGCCCGCCCCCGCAGCCTCCCTCGCAACTCGCCTCTCGCTTAGTGGACAGACGACTGGAGCCGGAGACTTCCATCCGAGAAGACCTTTGAGAGTGTCAGCCTACTGCTGTCCCCTGGTGCCACCAACCAAAGTTCCAAGACTGCTGGCTGCAGATGGCATGCGCTTGGGGACAGACGCCCTGAGACTGTGTCCACGGCCCGCCTTTGGAATCCTGGGCCCTGAAACTTCCTCTGAGACCTTCCATTGGATGATCCTCTTGTAAATAAATAAATAAATAAATAAAGTTACAATAATACCTGAGTTCTCTCAAATGCGATGGAAGAAGTTTCGCCTTCAGATCACTTTATGCCTTTTTTCCTTCCTCTTCTCAATAAAATTGTACACAAATGTGAAATTCCTGTTACCTGAGTTCCTGCTGATGACGTTGAGTAAGGATGAGGCTCAGGGGTGGGGTGTCTGGTTGCTGTTGCCAGGACTGGCAGGGAAACCTGGGTCGCCTGGATTTGCTGGTTGCAGAGCAAAATCAAATACAAAAAGTGGTGTGTCTTATGCAGAGATTGGAGGGGAGGACCGGCCCGGGGTCATGCAGGGTGGGGGACTCACAGGCTAAGCCTACAGGAAATCAAGTGAACAGGCAGAGGACCTGAGAACTTACTGCAGGAAATTCTCCTGTTCTAAGGCCCTGGAACTTTTTCCCTCTGAAGCTTTGCACCCTCCTATCTTGAGACCTTGCTAAACTCACTCATGAGTTCTGGAAGTTTGCTTTTAGACTCTTTAAGATAGGCTCATGTTCTGCAAGTATGGATAGTTTCATTTTTTTTTACTTCCAATGTATATGCTTTTTAACTCCTTTTCTCACCTTATTGCACCAGCAAACAATTCCAGTACCTTGTTGAATAGAAAGACTTGGAGAGGATATCTTTGCCTTGTTCCTGATTTCATGGGAAAGCATTGAGTCTGTCACTATTACATACAATTTAGCTATAGGTTTCTGTAGATGTTCTTTGCACAGTTGAGGAAATTCCCTCGATTCCCACATTGCTGAGAGTTGGTTTTTAAATTTTAAATCATGAATGGGTATAGTTTTTCTTAAAAGCATTTTTTGAATCATTTGATAGAATTGTATGATGTTTCCAATCTAGACAATCAATAGGGTGAATCATATTGATTGACTTTTGAGTATTAAACCAGCCTTACATGTGGAATAAACCTTACTTGGGCATGGTATTGTTCTTTAACATGCATTTCTGATTTCTATTTGTTAGTATTTTGGTGAAGATTTCTGCATCTATATGTAGGTGCAATATTAGTCAGCAGTTTTCTCCTAGTGTACTGTGTTTGCCAGGAAAATGCTGATCTCATAAAATAAGTTGGGAAGTATGCCATATTCTTCTATTTTCTAGAATAAATTGTGTAGAATTCATCTTATTAATTATTTGAATATTAGGTAAAATTAGTCAGTGAAATTGTAAGAACCTCTAGGTTTGTTTTTTGGAAGACATTTGACCATGAATTCAGTATTTTTAATAATTTCAAAAATTTACAGATTATTTTGTGTGATTTGGGTAGACTGTGGATCTTGCAGGATTGATCCATATTATCCAATTTGTTAAATTTATGAGTATAGAGTTGTTTTTAGACCATTTTAAAAAGTTACCCTTGTAGGCCAGGCAGGGTGGCCCACACCTGTAATCCCAACACTTTGGGAGACTAGGGTGTGTGGATAACTTGAGGCCCGGAGTTCAAGACCAGCCTGGCCAACATAGGGAAACCCCATTTCTACTAAAAATACAAAAACATTAGCCAGGCATAGTGATGCATGACTATAATCCCAGCTACTCAATAGGCTGAATCACAAGAATCACTGGAACTTGGCAGGTGGATTTTGCAATGAGAGCCAAGATTGTACCACTGCACTCCAGCCTGGGTGAGAGAGTGAGACTCTATCTCAAAAAAAAAAAAAAGTTACCACTATGTATATGTTGATCAACCTGAAGACACTGGTAGCTAATATCAGCTTGCCTCTCTAGATCTGCTTACCACTCTTCAGTCAGCACTATGGTACAAGAGGTAACTTAAAGGGGCGGCACTGGAGATCTACTTTCCCCGCCAGGCTTTTGATTGAGTTTAGCACTGAAAGACATCAGTTGTTCAGAGATACAGAGTAGTAATTTATTATCTTGCTTTGTTCACCCTGGCCTCAGGGTACTGAATTATTTTATCTAAAGTCAAAAATAGGCTGGCTGTGGTGGTTCATGCCTGAAATCACAGCACTTTGGGAGGCTGAGGCAGGAGGATCAGTTGAGGCCAGAAGTTCAAAACCAACTTGGGTAACAGAGTGAGATCCTGTCTCCACAAAAAATTAAAGAATTAGCCAGGCATGGTGGCACGTACCTGTAGTCTCTGCCACCTGGGAGTCTCCATGAGCTGAGGTGGTTGAGGCTGCAGTGAGCTATGCTTGTGCCACTGCACTCCAGCCTGGGTGACAGAGTGAGACCCTCTCTCTCTCAAAAAAAAAAAAAAAAAAAAAAAAAGCGAGAAAAAAAGAAAGAAAGAAAAAGAAAGAAAAAAAAATACTGAGGAGTGACCCTTTCCTTTAGCAGTTTCTTGCTTTCTCTAACACTACTCATTCTCTTGCCTCTGCTGAGATAGAAATGGTAATGCTGGCCGGGCGCGGTGGCTCATGCCTGTAATCGCAGCACTTTGGGAGGCCAAGGTGGGCAGATCATCTAAGGTCAGGAGTTCGAGACCAGCCTGACCAACATGATGAAACCTCATCTCTACTAAAAATAGAAAAACTAGCCAGGCGTGGTGGCAGGCACCTGTGATCCCAGCTATTCAGGAGGCTGAGGCAGGAGAATTGCTTGAACCTGGGAGCTGGAGGTTGCGGTGAGCCAAGATTGTGCCATTGCACTCCAGCCTGGGCAACAAGAGTGAAACTCCATCTCAAAATAAATACATACATACATAATTTTTTTCTTATTTTTTACACATTTTATACTTTGCCATGCCCTTGGTTTTTGCCCCCAGTTTTCCAAGTGCAAAAATGAATGTAACTACCTATTAAAAAAAACCAGATGGCTATTAAAAAAAACCAGAAGAATGTGGAGCACTTGGAACTTTTGTGCACTGTTTGTAGGAATATAAAATGATGCAGCCACAATGGAAAACAGCATAACAGCTCCTCCAAAAATTAAAAATAGAATTAGCATGAGATCCGGCAATTCTCTTGCTGGGGATATACACAAACATTTGAAAGCAGACACTTGAATAGATATTTATAAACCTGTGTTCATAGAAGCACTATTCACAAAAGCCAAAAAAATGAAGGCAACCCAAGTGTCCATCAATGGATGAATAAATAAACAAAATGGAGTATGTATATACAATGGAACATTATTCAGCTTCAAAAAGGAAGAAAATTCTGACACATGCTGCAACATGGATTTACCTGGAAGACAACATGTTAAGTGAAACAAGCCAGTCAAACAGGACAAATACTGCATGATTCACTTGTGTGAGGTACCTAGAGTAGACAAATTTATAGCAACAAAGTAGAATAGTAGTTTGCAAGAACTGGAGTTTGCAAGAAGCTGAAGCCAGCTTCCTGGGGTCACCAGGAGAATTCCCCCAATAAGCACTCGCCATCTGGGGCTGCTTCTTCTCTCAGGGTTCATTCTGCAGACACCTAGAGTCCACTTCCAGGAATTCTTTGCATTTCTGGTCCCAAGGAATTCCCATCCTTGCTTTTAATGGAGAGTATACATTTTCTAATGTTAATAACATTTGCCTCTTGTTTGTCTAGATTTGACATTGCACTGGAGTGTGCAGGTTCATTTCTCCAAATTTGGGACCGGATGGAAACTCTTTGGAAACCAAGTTATTTTCCAGTATCTTACAAAGAATGGACATTATTTTTATCTTTCTTTACTAAAAAAATGAAGAAGAAAAGGCCTGGTGAGGTGGCTTATGCCTGTAGAAATGTGATGCTTCCAAATTAAATGAGTGAAAGTTAAAAGCAACATGTATATTTTCCCTGAGAAACTACAAAGATCATTTAATTATACCCAATATTACTAGAGATGTGTGGCAAAATGCACTCTATTTTTACACAAGTATTTATATAATTTTGCCTCAGCAACTACAAAGATCATTTAAATTATTATACCCAATGTTACTGAAGGTGTGGGGCAAAATACACTCTAGTTTTGACAAGTATTTTATGAATTAAGTACTATATTTTCAAGAACGATATAGGAGTATCAATTAAACTTATCATACACAGTCATAATCAGAGGGTTTTATTTTTCTTTGAGGACTGTATCCTTTAAAGGCTTTCCCACATGGAAAGAATGGTGACAGACAAAACTTAAAGAGAGAAGACTTTCTAACAATAAGAAAACAATAATCACAATACATAGCCTTATCATAGTTCAGGGCAGGATCTCCTTGCAAATGAGTATAGAGACAAAATTTATACTCTATTAAAAAAATCCAAAACATTACCTTTCAAAACTCTAGGAACTTCCAAGTTGTTAATAAGGAAACTTATTATGGGACTCTATTCGATACTTCCACTTTCAAATAATTACAGAAATATTTGAAACTACTTCCCCTCCCCAATGATGAAGTATTACTCTCCAAATTTGGGGGAAGTAAAGATTTTTTTAAAAATTCCTGGCACCCTCTAAACTTTCTTCTTTCTTGCCTTTCTCAGATACTTTTTTTTTAGACAGGGCCTCGTTCTGTCACCCAGACTGGAGTGCAGTGGTGCAATCTCGGCTCACCGCAACCTACCTCCACCTCCCAGGCTCAAGTGATTCTCCTGACTCAGTCTCCCGAGTAGTTGAAATTACAGGCAAGCGCCGCCACGCCTGGCTAATTTTTATTTTATTTATTTATTTATTTATTTTATTATTATTATTTTTTGAGATGGAGTCTCGCTCTGTCGCCCAGGCTGGAGTGCAGTGGCGCGATCTCTCGGCTCACTGCAAGCTCCGCCTCCCGGGTTCACGCCATTCTCCTGCCTCAGCCTCCGGAGTAGCTGGGACTACAGGCTCCCGCCGCCGCGCCCGGATAATTTTTTGTATTTTTAGTAGAGGCGGGGTTTCACCATGTTGGCCAGGCTGCTCTTGAACTCCTGACCTCAAATGATCCACCCGCCTCGGCCTCCTAAAGTGCTGCGATTACAGGTGTGAGCCACTGCGCCCAGCCTCAGATACCTTTATTAGAAATAAAGGCCAATCAGAAATGAACCCAAAGTATTTAAGAACCATTAACGTCCCTGCTAGATGTCATTTTCATCAATTCCTCGTATGTGTGAATATGCTTTAGCCAAAGACCATCAGAAACTGAGTTTGCAGTTGAAGAAACTAGATTTGTTACTCCTCACCCAAGAACTTATCATAGAGAACCACGAGCTGTCTCAAAATGAGGGTGTTAGAAAGGACATTTTAGTGGATTCAGGCTTGTGTTTGGTGATTTGAGGTATAAAAAAAATCACTGAAAAAGAACAGTTATGTAAAGTAATTGTAATTAATATATAATGAACATTTACATTGTGCTAGAGTGTTCTAAGATCTTTCAATAGTATATAACTCAGGAAAAAAGTGGACACCATGATTAGTGTAATATGCCACTGAGTTTACTGAAAAGGAATATGAAGCATAAGATTTCAGTTTACTTCTGAAATGTTACACCTTATAGTGTATAAGTGATGGAGACCTGGTTTCCTAGGTCTTCACCACCAAGGTATACAGGTCTAGTCGCCTTGGCTTTACAGTCTTTAGGTAATCATTGCCTACCTAAGCTGCCCCACTCACATTTCAACTAGCCAACATTTCTGCCAACCCACCCTCCAGAACAGCAATTTGTAGAGCTGGGGACTACTGTACCACTTCCCAGGCACTTGTCAGAGCCCAGGAAGAACTTGGAAAGATAAAAGCTTTTGGCCAAAGACAGTCCTACCAAGTATGTGCTTGGGTTGAGGAATCAAGGAATGTAAGTGGGAGGAGTCCTGGCTTCTTTCCTACCTGCACTCCTTACCCAGCAACAGACCTCTGACTTGGTCTTGATCCTAAAACAACAACAACCAAACAAAACAAAAGAAACAAAAGGCATTTGATGTTTCTCTATTATTTTATTGAGAAAGACAACCAAACGTTGATAAAGAATAGTGAAGGCAAACTTTTTTAAAGAACATGGATAGACATTATTATTATTATTATTATTGAGACGGAGTCTTGCTCTGTTGCCAGGCTGGAGTGCAGTGGCAGGATCTCGGCTCACTGCAGTCCTCCCGGTTCAAGCTATTCTCCTGCCTTAACCTCCCAAGTAGCTCGGACTACAGGCGCGCGCCACCACGCCCGGCTAATTTTTGTACTGTTAGTAGAGACGAGGTTTCACCATGTTGGCCAGGGTGGTCTCGATCTCCTGACCTCGTGATCCACCCTCCTCGGCCTTCCAAAGTGCTGGGATTACAGGTGTGAGCCACCGCACCCGGCCCGGATAGACATTATTGTAAGTGATAATTATTTCCAAAAGGATGATCCAGTAGAAGCGCTAAAATCTCAGGTAATCTAGTCCCCGAAATCCCTGGATAATGCGGCCCGGAGAGTGGGGAGAAGTAAACATCAATTCTTCCCCAGGAGGGAGGAGAAAGCCAAGTGCAGCATCCGCGGACGTGGCACTGCAAAGGACGTCTTTCCTAAATATCCAACCCTCGGGGTTCTTCCTTTGCAGGAGTCTGTTCTTTTTGCCCCGTAGCCGAACCTAGGCAGGCAGCGTGGGGTGGAGTTGGCAAACGTCCTGCAACCCATGAAGAGCCGCTATGGTACCACTAGCGGTTCTAGGACCCAAAAACTAACGAAACTGCTCAGGAGAAGCTGCAGGCTTGACCCACCAGAGGTGCTGCCACCGAGATCAATTCTGCTCGGACGAATGAGCGGTGCTATGACTCAGAAAGTGCCAGTCCGAGGAACCAGGGATACTGGGACATAGTGAAAGGAGTTAGCCAGCTTTAGGGAGACTGTAAGGGAAGGGTCCCCAGAGAACCTCCGACTGGTGTTTTGTGCAGATAAGGGAACTTGCACAAGGGACTTGCCTAAGCATGCCTGCTGCGGATTAAGAGCGCGCATGCGCACTGGGGGAATGGGATGGAGCCACCCGGGATTCTCGCCTTATACAAACAGGGAACCCAGCCTCCTTAGCTTTCATATAAAAGCCTTTGTATTCAGCCGTTAAGGAGCAACCGGCAACCTGCTTTCAGGACCCTTGTTTTTTATGAGAGCTTTCGTTTACGCTTAATAAATTCTACTCCACTCACTCTTCGATATCCGCGTGCCCACTTCCTCCTGATCGTGAGACAAGGACCCGGATATAGCTGAGCTTAGAAGCAAAAATCCTGCATCAATAGCAAATGCGGACACTGAACGACTAGCGGAGTACCCAGCGGCAAACTTTAGTTTTTGGTGCAGTTAAGGTATTGCCACTAAGAAATCGTCGTCTCTGAGAAATATCGAGGCTTGGAAGGTTGTACAGTGCTTCCACCGAGAAAGCACCTACCCAATGAAACGCCTGTGGCAGAAAAACCGAGCCCAAGCCCTTCCAGCGAAAGTGCTGAAAGAGCGCCTCCTCGGCCAATCACTGGGCTGAGACCGTGAGACAGCCAGCCCGGGGAAAGTGGCGGCGCTAGGAGAGGGGAAGCGTTACCACAAAGCACTTCTGAGTCTTGTGAACAAGAAACGTTCTGGGTTGTTTTGTTTTTGAGAAGGAGCCTCGCTCTGTCACCCAGGCTGGAGTTCAGTGGCGCAATCTCGTCTCATTGCAACCTCCGCCACCTGGGTTCAAGCATACTGCCTCAGCCTCCCGAGTAACTGGGATTGCAGGCACGCGCCACCACGGCCAGCTAATTATTGTATTTTTAGTACAGACGGGGTTTCACCCGCTGGCCAGGCTGGTCTCGAACTTCTGACCTCGAGTGATCCACCCGCCTCAGCCTCCCTAAGTGCTAGGATTACAGGCGTGAGCCACAGCGCCCCGCCGAAACGTTCTGTTGTGTTCAGCGCTTCCAGCGGTGCAGCAGCCGAGAAAACACTGAGTCTCCGCTATTGGCGAAAGTGCTGATGCGAAACTGCTGGCTCGACATAGGCACAGAGCCGCGGAAGAGAACCCTAGAGACCAGGCACCAGCTCTGCTCCCCGACTCACGGGAGAAAGCTAGTTAGTAGGAAGCTGAGACATGATACTCAAAATCAGTAGAAGAAATTATGCCACATTTACTCTCCTGGGGAAGGCAGTGGGTAAGAAAAAATAAAATACATAACATTTACATAAAAAATAAAATAAATTTTTAAAGCAAACAGAAATGAAAATAAAATACACCAGTAACCTCGCTCCCAGAAAAAGACACATCAAAAAAAATTTTTTTGAGTATACAAAACATACAAATAACCCTACAAAGAAATTGCAGTGTTGAACGATGCGATCCTACGGCTATATTTGTATTAGCACTAAACCTGTGCCTCTTGCGCCTATTCGAAAATTCCTCGGATTAAGAAGAAACAGCCATGGCTAAACCGGTATTTGCGACACCAAAAAGTTCCTGTAGCCTAGACACCTCAACTTCTGCATGAGTGAAAAATCACAAGCACAGCCAGGGCGAGAATCTCTATTGTGAAATCACACTTGGTATGACTAAAAGATTTCAGGCACTGCTAAATTTTTTTTTTAATTACATTCTCCAGTACCCAGATTTCTACAAGACTTAAAAACCGTACGAACGGCTATAATGGGGGTTCCTATTACAAAACAGGAACTTGCAACGACTACGTAGGCACGGTTAAAGCCAGCATTGTTACAACTAGAAATCGAAACTGGAATAAATCTCAACTTGCTACGCTAAGAAATAGCTAAACCCTGACTTGGTCAGACTAAGAAATCGGGAGTTTGAGAGCAGCCCGGGCAACATGGCGAAACCCCGTCTCTACAAAAAATTCTGGGTGTGGCGATGGGGAGCCTGTAATCCCAGCTGCTGGAAAGACTGAGGCGGGAGAATTACTGGAGGTTGCAGTGAGCCGAGATCGCACCACTGCACTCCAGCCTGGGAGACAAAAATGGACAAACAAACCAACAAACAAAGTTAACATTCTGAATAGGTTTATCAACATAAAGACACTGCTAGCTAACATTGGCTAGCCTCTCTAGATCTGCTAGAGATGTTTGCCTTTCTAGATCTGCTTACCATGCTTCAGTCACCTCTATGTTGCAAGAAGTAACCTGCATGGACTGCACTGGAGAGCTACTTTTGCTCCCAGGATTCTGATTGAGTTTAGGCACTGAAAGACACCAGCTGTTCAGAGATATGGAGTAGACCTTGCTTTGTTCCCCCTGGGCCTCAGTATATTGAATTATTTTACCTGAAGTCAAAATTAGGCTGCACTGCGGCTCCAACAGTTCCAGCAGACACAGGGAGGGCAGCACTGAAAGGGCAACACTTCGTCCTGGACATCTCAAAGTCCAGCCCCCGGTGATCCCGGCAGCCATCCGCCAGACCCTCTGAGGCCACATCTGCCTCACTTCTCAACTGAGCCATCTTCCCAGCATAAACAGCCGCTGCTTCCTCCTCCTCCGCCCTCTCCTCACATCCCCTGTGAATCTGAAGCCTGCAGGCAGGAAAAAGCAGCCCTTTTTCCCTCCAACATCCCCACCCTCACCTCTCAGGAGTAGAGTGTGCTTAGTGCGCCCCCAGCCCTGTCAGTTCTTCCGACTCTTATTCCAACTCGGGAGCCCTCCCAGGCGCCTATCCTAACTGGACCTTAGGGACCTTGAGTCTACTGAAGCCAGGAAGCCCACCCCTTGAAAACCTCCGGTGACTTCACAAGGATACCCAGCCCCTAGTCGGGCAAGAGACCATTCTCTGGGGAAAGAAAATTCTGTGGTGGCTTGTAGGTTCCTCTTTCTTTTCTCTGACCTCTTTTCTCAGTTCTGCTCATTTCACTCCTCTAGTGGGAAGACCTCAACCCTCCTCTCCCTTCCTCTACCCACTGTCAAGGTACACACACACACACACACACACACACACACACACACACAGACACATCCACCTGGGGCTGCTCGACGTTTTCCTCCTCTGTCTTCCCTGGAGTCTTCCCTTGTCTTTCCTGTGCAGCAGAAGGTGGATGGTGATTCTCATCCACCTTCAATGCCCTATACTCCCCACACGGAGGAGACACATTGGTGAAATAGGATTGATTTTTGTCCCCTGGTGGACCAGCAGATGTCCTGGTTTCTGCCTCACACACCAAAGGAAGTGCTTGACTGCTTTTTTCAGCTTGGGTTAACCTGCTGATCCATCAGCATAGCTTGTTACAGATATAATCCAGGTTATGTACGTGTGCTGGAGACAGCCACATGCCACCCTGGAAGTCCCTCACGGCTCTTCCTGGTCTTCTTTTCTCAGCCAGGAGATAGAGGAAAAGCGTCAGTGGGGCTGGGAAATCAATGACTGCCTGAGTTTCCTAACTTCCACATCACTTCTGGAGCCATGCCAGTTAGGGATCTCACCAGTCCTTTAATGTGCCCTGGGGGAGACCATTGTAATAGCACTTGAAATCCCAGAGACAGCAAGGGTCCCACTGAAAGCACCTGGCACAGTATTCTCTGGTAGAATTTGGAATCCAGTTTTCCATTGACTGTTGTCAATTTTGAAACCCAAAGAAATCAGCACATGTGCTGCTGCTCTTCTGGGAGGTCCAGCAGACACAGGGTCAAATTCTGTAAAATAGTTGATGAGATTTATTGTGAACCAAATGTGAGTGACCATTAGCCCATGAAACAGCCATCAGGAGATCCTGAGAACATGTGCTTCAGGTGGTCAGTGCACAACTTGGTTTATATATATTTTAGGAAGTCATGAGATCAATACATTTAAGGTGTTGTACATTGGTTCAGTCCAGAAAGGCAGTACAACTGGAAGCATGATCTTTCAAGTTGGAGAGGTTCAAAAATTTTATGATTGGCAATTTGTTGCAATAACTATTATCTCTAGAAAGGAATGCCTGGGTTGCCATAAGGTGTTCCAGAGACAAAGGTGTCGCAGATGAAGCCTCCAGGTGGAAGACTTCAGAGAGATAGATTGTAAATGTTTCTAACCAGACTTAAAGAGTCTGTTCTATCAATAATTTTAAAAGAGAGGAGAATATAATGAGGCATGTCTGACTCCCCCTTCCCAGCATGGCTTGAAACTACTTTTTCAGTCTAACTTTGGAATGCCCTTGGCGGAGAAGAGGGGTCCATTCAGATGTTGGTGGCAGGGGGCTTCAAATTTTATTTTTGGTTTACAATAGCAATGAAGTAATAACCACATTCAAGTTTAGTAAATGAGTGAGCCCTCATCTACTATGGTTATGTTTGTGTCCTGGTCTGAAAACCAATTTTTTTTTTTTATTGTTTTCTGGAATTATTCCTGGACATGAGGACTCTACCTGTCAGAGTTCAGTTAGGAAAAGAAACCAAAGCAGCCCACACCGTGAGAGCCAAGCTAATGTGCTGCCATCCCACTGCCAAGCCATAACCAGAATGACTGTTCATCTTTTTATTGCCTCATGTCCCACTAAGCCTGCCTACCATTGTGACCCTGTTGGTAAGGCAAATTTAGAAATGGAGGTTTTAGGAGTCCAGGCCCACAACTCAAGGGAGGAAACAAAAAGGCATAAATGTGCCTAACCACGAAGAATAAACACAGTAAAATAATAACTAAATGTGTTTTAAAAGCTAAATTTTAAAGATGTTTTTTTGGGTGGGGGAGATGGAGTCTTGCTCTGTTGCCCAGGCTGGGGTGCAGTGGCGGGATCTCAGCTCACTGCAACCTCCGCCTCCCAGGTTCACACCTTTCTCCTGCCTCAGCCTCCCAAGTAGCTGGGACTACAGGCGCCCGCCAACATGCCCGGCTAATTTTTTTGCATTTTTAATAGAGATGGGGTTTCACCGTGTTGGCCAGGATGGTCTCGATCTCCTGACCTTGTGATCTGCTCGCCTCGGCCTCCCAAAGTGCTGGGATTACAGGCGTGAGCCACCGCGCCCAGCCTTTTTTTTTTTTTTTTTTTTTTGAGACAGAGTTTTGCTCTTGTTGCCCAAGCTGGACTGCAGTGGCGCAATTTTGGCTCACGGCAATCGCTGCCTCCCGATTCAAGCGATTCTCCTGCCTGAGCCTCCCGAGTAACTGGGATTACAGGCATGCGCCACCATGCCTGGCTAATTCAGTAGAGATGGGGTCTCATCATGTTGGTCAGGCTGGTCTTGAACTCCTGACCTCAGGTGATCTGCCTGCCTCGGCCTCCCAAAGTGCTGGGATAACAAATGACTTCTTTTAACACAAAAACCCAATGTACTATCACTGTACTAACTACAAGATTAGACAACAAAAAAACCATTTTATTACATGACACTATGCCATAGGCAATGAGTTCCTCTAATTGAGCACAGTTTAAAAGTTGAGACATGACCATTTTCATTTGCATCCATGAAGCTCTGTGGCTGTATGTATAATCTCAATTGGAGGAAAAATCTAACATCTACATTTGAGGCTCATGAGTCTGAGGCCTTGTTCGATTGGCCCTCCTGTGGATATCCCCTCGCCCCACTGGCCCCAAGCCTACACATCTTATTAGATTTGAGCTTAGTCCTCTGAGTGGGGTCTTGGAACCAGGAGCCTGGCTCTTGGAATATCTCCATTAATGTTTGCTGAGTTTTTAAATACATTTTTTCTTTTTTTTTTTTTCTGAGACGGAGTCTCGCTCTGTCGCCCAGGCTGGAGTGCAGTGGCGCGATCTCAGCTCACTACAAGCTCTGCCTCCTGGGTTCACGCCATTCTCCTGCCTCAGCCTCCCGAGTAGCTAGGACTACAGGTGCCCACCACAACGCCCGGCTAATTTTTTGTATTTTTAGTAGAGATGGGGTTTCACCATGTTAGCCAGGATGGTCTCGATCTCCTGACCTCGTGATCCACCCACTTCGGCCTTCCAAAGTGCTGGGATTACAGGCGTGAGCCACCACGCCCAGCCTTAAATACATTTTTTCAAAAGTAGGGATTAGAGGATAGCAGTTAGGTTCTAATGAGAGAAAAGAGATTGAAAATGTGAACGGGGTTTCCAAATGCTGCTCCACTTATTTTTTAGATATCAGACTCTGCAATCCCCTTCCTACATTTATCCCTGCATGGCAATTTTTACCAAGTGCTTCAATAATATAATCCAACTTACAAATATTTATAATATTCACCTGAATTCAATATTGTGAACTTAAGAGCCATATGTCTTCAATAACCCCTTAACAGCCATCTGATTATGATTCAAATCCAGGAATTCTAATTCATTCTGGAAGCAGATACCTCTCAGATCCACTCTGAGTATACTCAAGTCCCCCACAGCTTTACTCTAAAGGAGGCAAAAGTTACAGCTGAACTAGAAACATCTGAGCCATTCCAGATTCTTCAGCCTAGCAAGGTTAAAGTCAGACCTTGAAAACAATTGAGTTCACTGGGGTCCAGTATCTGGACCTTTTATGCCATATATTCGTATATCCACTTTCCTATTTTGAAATACAAAGCAGCACCAAATTCATACAAATCTTTTCTTTCCCCACCTTCAGACAGAGTCTCCCTCTGTGGACCAGGCAGGAGTGCAGTGCCACAAACAGGGCTCACTGCAGTCTCAACATCCTGGACTTAAACAATCCTCTCACCTCAGCCTCCACAGTAGCTGGCAGCAAGGTGCATGCCACCACCTTGGGTTAATATTTTTTATTTTTTTGTAGAGATGGGGTCTCCCCATGTTGCCCAGGGTGGTCTCAGACTCCTGAGCTCAAGCAGTCCTCAACTTCAGCCTCCCAAAGTGCTGGGATTACAGACCTGAGCCACCATGCCCAAATTCACACAAACCTATGCCCCCAGCTCAGACTCTGGTGCTGCAGGCCTGTATTCTTTCTTATTTACTGAATGGCTCTTTTGAAAGCCCCCAGACAATTCTAAATCCAGTCTTACTCAACTTGAAGATTCCTTATCTTGGCTAATGACAGCAAAAATAAATAAATAAATAAAATAAATAAATAAATAAATATATATAGTTTAGCAAAATTCACAAATTTTATCTTAGAATAAATTTTATCTTTTCTTGCTTCCTTTCTTCCTCTTCTGCCTTTTTTCCTTCCTTCTTCCTTAACCATAACTCTAACTCTAAATCTAACCAGGTGACTGAATCCTTCATGGCATATTACTTGTCACCCTCTACATCAGCATCCCCCCTTCCCAGGAGAAATTGCATCTTCCCTTTCACTTTCCTTAGCAGAGGATTCCTGGTAACTCCATACAGAAAGATTCTCCTGGTGTTCTTCAGACTTGAGGAAAAGCAGATTCCTCTCACAAGGGTGCTTGTTGGTTCAAATTAGCATCATGACGTTCACGAATTCCATTATACTGTTAAATCAGAATTCTGCTTTCAGAAGACCAAATTCACAATATCCTGAAGCACCACTGATTTCCTCCTACAGGAAAGACAAACACACACACATAATTGTTAGTCAAGAGTTTATCGGTCACCAAAATTGGGTAAACTTTTGGAACTTGTCAGTGAATACAGCCCCAAATTACTACAGCAAATGGAACCAGGAAGAAGAAATTCTGTGGAGGAACTAGGAGGAAGAACATGTGTGGAGGTGCATTGGAGTGGTAGTCACAGGGCTCCCCTGCACCTTGCAGGGTCTAGTGGATCCTGCGGTTTATAATCTATCAAACATTTGTAGAGAGTGTTTTACAAAACAAACAGACAAAACAAACAAAAAAACAGACACAAAACCCTCTAAGTTACAGGTAAGCTTAGGACAGGCAGGAAATTGGGAGGGTGAATCTTCAATCCCAGAGACCAACAGCAAATGGTTCATTTTTTGTAGGTGAACCAGAGGCATGGTGGAGCCCTCCGTTGGCACCAAGCAGAATTCTTCACTTTCTTACTCTAGATTACTTACCCTGGGACATTTTTGCCTTTTACTTTCTGTCTAGACTCCTGCATGATCTTTGTTTTTACCTGCTCTACTACAGTTATAACTGTTACCATCTTTTCTGAGCCTAAAATCAAGAACCAATACCTGACAAAGAAGTAGATTGTTAAAACCAAGAGTTTCTCTGTATCAGGAAAGTATTCATATGAATTCCTGCCTCCTAATTTATTAGTTGCCCAGCTTTCTGCAACATACCAACTGACCAGAAGATTCACCTGTACACACCACCTGAGTGTTGGGGACTTTTTCTTTCTTGGCCCTCCCACCTCCCACCGTTTTTCTGTTTTGTGTCACTTTCATTTGGTTAATAATATTCTAACAAGATTTGTCATTATAGTTATCTTAGTTTGATGAGATTTTTCTTCATGAAATTGAACAAAAATATCAGTCTTTGTTAATTCTTTATTATTTATTGTTTCGGATGACACAGCAGGAAGGGAAATAGGAAAGGCTCTACATCATTTGTCGTATGTGCTCCACAATTTGCCCTCAAGTTTGAATCCTAGGTCCTACCACCCACACAAAACTGCCATTGCCAGCCTGCTCAATTCTACCCAATCTCTAGCCATTTTCATACTGCAAAGTTCCTATGACCTCCTCCCAAGGAGCTCAATTCTGTACTTTACCTCTTCCTGACCTCCCTGGAATCCACCCCGCCTCCAACCACACTGTAATTAGAATCTGAATTCTGCAACTACCTTGATGTTAGTCTCTGTAGGGGAGCAGCCTGCAGCCTCCTATGGACTCCCATTAAGACAGGATATTCCTTCCGTCTAGGGGGTGCTGATTGCAACTTTTTTGCTAAGATGAAAAGCTGGAGTCGAAATGAGAAGAGAGGAGTTGTGGCAGGTATTTTGTTTTGCAATGGCTCCAGACTGCTCTTCCGTTTGATAAAGTGGCTGTAACTATGTGGGTGGGAACAGTGCAGTTTTTTCTTTATTCTCCCACCCACAAAACCAGGAGGAAATTGGAAGGGCCTCAAATACCAGGGAATGTTTTGGCTAGCTGAAGACGGGGTAAGGTGGGAAGGAGATATTGAGGCAAACATCTTGGGAGAGGGTGAGAATTACAAGGCCAAAATGGATTTCCTTACCAGGCAGGCATATCTCTGCCTTTGTCCTGGCATGGCCTCTACCTAGGATGCCCCAGGGAAAGGATAGTTTGGTTTGCACAGGAGCAGCAGTGATGAAAATCGGAAATGATGAGTGTGGTTGGAGATATTTGTGGCAGGGTTTGTAGGTCTCTTTGAGGGGGCTCAACTCACAAAGTGCAGATTTTTATTAAAATATAAATGCTTGTGGGAAAGGACATTTTCCTACTGAGCAGTGGCAGTCCCATATTTCTTCTCAGATTTAAAAAAAAAAAGGCCTCAGTCTGAAAAGTGAGGAGATGGAGGATTTGAGCACTTACAAGTTCACCTGCATTGCATTTCCCAGAAGATAGAAATCAATGATGCATTTTGAAGATCATGCTGCTAGAGACAGAGAACCACAACTTGAGCTTTTCTCTGGGCTTAGAGAGGAGGTGTATGTCTCGCTGTCAATTCTACATCCAACGCTGGAATCTTTCAGCCCATTTTCCTCCCCGGCTGTTTTTGAACTACTATCCCCAAATATCGAGGATATCTGACAGAGTGAACCATCAGAATAAGGAGCGATTGCCACAGAGTTCCATCCAGTAGGGGAGGGACTTGATGTGCGGGGCAAGCCTGATGCCCGGGTCAGGCGACTGTGCCTTTCATTCTCCACGGAGATCTTGAACCTAGAGTTTCCAAGTTCCGAAGAGATGCGGTTGTCGACAGCTCTCCTAGAATCTCTGATGGCTCTGAACGGGGACAAAGGTCTAGGGCAGAGGGATGGTGTGGAAGGACCCAGCCACGGCCATTGGAAGAGCAGTTTCCTGCAATGTAATGCTGTTTGCGACCAGCATAAGCTTTAGCTCTCTCCCAGGACGAGCCACATCCGCCCCATTCACGGTCCTTATTCCAGCTCCTTTCCCTCTGCGAATCACACTGGGTGGGTCGCTGGGGGCCTCGGTAATTACGGATTATGGCACAGCCAAGAAAAATACAGGTTTTCTTAAGCCTGAAGCCACTGACTTGAGGGGGGAGAGTAGGAGTAATGCCAGCAGCAGTTTTGTATTTGGTTTTTGTTTTTATATTCTAGTCTCTAGGCCACAAGACAATGTTGCACCCAGTGCCAGTCGATCCGTCACGGCGCCGCAAACTTTCCCTGAACGGAGGGTTTGTGGCTGACATCTCTAGTTTCTCAGAGCCTGGGAGTGATCACTGGCTGCACCGCTGATGGCGCCCAAAAGAACGCGCATTTGTCTTTGGCAACAGCGCTGGGTTTCGCCTCGTGCCCGCGCCTGAAGGGTCCTAGCGCCGCCAGATTCTCACACTCGCGGGTCCAGCGCCCAGCGCTGCTCCTCCCACCAGTCATCGGTTTCTCACACGCACTTCATTGGCAGCACTGGCGAGTCAGTTTTCCGGTGGCGGCGGCGCTAGTTGGTCTGCACGAAACGTTTCCCTTCTCGCTCCGTGTGTCCCATTCTCCATCCCACGTCCTCCAGTGCCGGGGTCATGGTCGCAGCACCCGGCGTTCCCGTTGGCTCTTTTGCCGCTGCGCGGAGCCGGCGGTTTTTCTGTCACAGCACTTGTACGGAGTTTCTCGGCGGCCGAACGTCTCTTTTTTTCTCAGAGACGACGGTTTCTTGGTGACAGTACCGTTGGTTGCGCCGTAACGAATGTTCTCCTTGACAGCCCCACCAGCTGGCGTCACTCGCAGGCTCCAGACGCCGCCATTTCGCCAAGCCGAGGTCTCTTGGTTGCGGCACTGCTTCTGGCTCGGTGCCTGTATTTTCTCGGTGCCTACAGCGCCCAGGTCGCCGATCTGAGGGCTTCGGAGTACCGGCCGGGCGCGGTGGCTCACGCCTGTAATCCCAGCACTTTGGGAGGCCGAGGCGGGCGGATCAGGAGGTCAGGAGATCGAGACCATCCTGGCTAACACGGTGAAACCCCGTCTCTACTAAAAATACAAAAAAATTAGCCGGGCGTGGTGGCGGGTCCCTGTAGTCCCAGCTCCTCGGGAGGCTGAGGCAGGAGAATGGCGTGAATCCGGGAGGCGGAGCTTGCAGTGAGCCGAGATCGCGCCACTGCACTCCAGCTTGGGCGACAGAGCGAGACTCCAACTCAAAAAAAAAAAAAAAAAAAAAAAGAAAAGAAAAAGAAATCTGGGTACCCGCGAATGCGATTTTTTTTAGGTTTACCGATGATCAGTTTAGCAGTGCCTGGGAGCTCTTATACCAAGTTTGTTTTCGCAATATTGAGTCCCACCTTAGCTAAGCTTGTGTGTATTTTAAACTCCCATGGAAGTCAGGAAATGTCCGCAAACGCGATTTCTGGTTACCAAGCTCCGTTTGGCAATAGCAAGTCCTGCCGAACGCGACTTTTTCCTCTTGTGGACCAAGTCTGAATAGACCAGCTACTGCGATTTTTAAGTCGTAGTAAAAAAGGTTTAACCGTGACTGCTTTTTTTTGTTGGTGTTGTTTGTTTTTGTTTTTGTTTTCGTAGGAAATGTAGACTTAGGTGTAACATGTACCGGTTTAGATCTGACAGAGATATCACAATTGTAGGATTGCATCTTTTAGCAAGGTTTGTAATTTCTTCTTTCTAGGATTGGTTCTCTGTAATTTTTGCTTATTTTTAAATTCTCTCTTTGTCTTTTGCTCTGAGAACGATGTTACCGATGTGTTTGCTTTCCATGTTTACTTGCATTTTAGCCTTTATTTTTTTAATTTTGATTTTATTTAAATGTTATGTATTTTTTTTCTACTAATTTTGAGCGTCTCAGCTTCCTGCTTCTTTACTTACATTCTCTCAGGATCCGGGGAGCCGAGCTCGGTCTCAGTCTCCCTGCTGTCAGGTGCCAGGTTGTGTCTGGTGGCTCTCCTTCGTATGCGGAGCTGATGGTTTTGCATCAGCGCTTTTGCCAGTAGAGCCGACTAGCGTTTTCTCAGTTACGGCACCGTTCTTAGCGCCCAGTGTGACGTTTCCCATTCGCCAGGTCCTTATGTTCTCTGTGCTGTCACTTTCTTGGTTCTCGCACCGCTAGTATCTGCTAAAGAACTTCCTAAACCATGTTTTACTGTGCAGAACGGTGATTGCACGGAGCCGCTGTACGCACTAGTAATTTCATAGCACCGTTAGCTGGCGCTTTTTCTGTCACAACACATTAAAACGGGTTAAAATACTGCAAGCGGATTAAACACATTAAGAGGATTAAAACATTAAAATGTCTCAACACATTTTTCTGACACAACACATTTAAACGGAGTGGGTTCATTCCTCCGAAGAGGATGTTTAGGCGTGGAAGCACCGCTGTTTCCCAAGAGCACGGTTTCTCTCTGGCAGCACCACTTATGGCACCAAAACAGGTATTTTTTGGCAACACCAGCACTATTCGCTAGGTGCCGGCGCTTGCTGAGTCCCAGCGCCGCCAGTTTCTCTTTCGGTCGTTAAGTAGCTCAGAGCCCTAGCGGACAGTTTTCAGGTGGCAGTAATGCTCATTTCCTGGAACAGATGGTTCGTGGCCCTTGAAGCGCTGCGATCTGTAAAGCTAGTTCTCTGCAAGGTTTGCTTAGTGTCTGTTTTATTTCGGTTTCTTTTCTTGCTATGTTTATCTGTCGGAATTACAGTTTGTTTTGGTTCTATGTAATCTCTAAAATGTTATCGTTTTTCTTTTGACTACTAATTTTTGTGCATTCATTACTATTGAGTTTCATAATACCTGGCTTGCCTCCGCCCACGGCCTCCGGAAAGCATAAATGTCCAGGCTAATGGGAGTGCTGAAGGCTCTGCCTCGTTGATCAGCACAAACGCTTGTGTCCTGCTCTAAGGCTTAAGCGATGGAGCAACGTTTTCTTGGCTGTGCGAAGGGGGCTTGGGATTCCGCAGAGGTGGCGCCAAAGCCCCAGCCTCCACCTGCTCTGGGTTCAGAAGGTTGTGGGCGGTGGCCTCTCCCTTTTTATCCAGTACTGGGAGAGTACTCATTGGACAGCTGTAATTTGGGACTGCTTTCCAGCCCTTGTTAGTGGCTTCAATTAAATACTTTATCAGAAAAATAGAAACTTTAAGCCCAAATGATTTTTCAGGTTCACTTGATTTAAGTAAATCTTTGACAAATAAGCTGCATTTAAAATTATCAGTAAAATAAAATTAGAAATGTCTTCAGAATTGTCAATATACATTATTGTTTAGATTTATTGGTCAGCGGTTTCTGATTTATCTCTGCTAGATATTATAAGGCGTGAAAATTTGGCATGAAGGTTATAAATCTATAAATGCAACCCCAAACAGAATTATCTTTGTTCATGTAATTTTGGTAAATAAGGCATTTAATATCATTGGTTTAAAGAAAACAGCTAAATCTTGGGTTACTGACAGAAGAGAAAAATCCATTTATTTAACCTTAAGGTTCTTACTTAGGTAAACACCTGATATTCACAGTCTATAATAATGGTTGACAGGGACATAACTGTAACTGGCCCATATGTTCATTTTGCCTGTTGCCCAGATAGAGTTGATTTGTCAAGACAGCGAATTGCAATAAAGAGTTTAATATGGGCAGAGTTGGCTAAATTGGAGACCTGAATTTTATTATTACTCAAATCAGCCTCCCAGAAAATTCAGAAGCCAAGGTTTTTCAAGGATAGTTTGGCAGAAGGGTGCTGCTGCTCAGCTGAGGAACAATCACAGGGGTGTGGAAAACAGTCCTCCTGCACTCAGTCCATTTCTTGAGTGGCGGCCACAGAGGAGTGGCTGATGCTGTTGGGGCCATCAAAGTCTGAAAAGTCATCTCAAAAAGCCAAACCTAGGTTCTAGTAATTAGGGAAGTTGCAAATCTTGTGACCTCTGGAATAAAGGCTGGTAATCCTTTAACTATGCCCACATCTTAGCAGAAATCAGGCCCTTCTCATCCTCCTAACCTGGTGGGCTTTCATCAGCTTTACAAAGATGGTTTAGTTTTGGGAAGGGCTATTATCATATAAACTATAAACTAAATTTCTCCCTAAGTTAGGTTGGCCCATGCCCAGATCAAGGGCTGTTTGGAGGTTAAAGGCAAGATGGAGTTCGTTAGGTCAGGTCTCTGTCACTGTCAATATTTTCTCACTGTTAAAATTTTGCAAAGCTGGTTTCATGACTTTAAATGATAGCTAGCTATGTCTAATATCACAGATTTTATAAGTAATCTAGGTAAACTATTTTAAAAAATAAATTAGTTAGGTAAATGTAATGGAATAAATGCTTATAAGTAAACATACAATTTAGAATCTTAAAGTTAAATTAAATAATAGTCATTAAATGTCCAGGTCATGTCCAATTTTTAAAAAATTGTAGGAAAACATTTTTCCAAAAAAAGTGTTCTTATTAAAAGGAAAATAGTTTTGTCTAATTCACAGATTATTTGTGAAACAAGATAAAAGAAACCAGAAAAAAGAGAGAGAGATAGGCCAGGTGTGGTGGTCTGTAATCCCAGCATTTTGGGATGCTAAGGGGGGCAGATCATTTGAGATCAGGAGTTCAAGACCAGTCTGGCCAATATGGTGAAACCCCGTCTCTGACAAAAATACAAAAATTAGGCCAGGCACAGTGGCTCACGCCTGTAATCCCAGCACTTTGGGAGGCCAAGAAGATGGATCACGAGATCAGGAGATCGAGACCATTCTAGCTAACATGGTGAAACCCCGTCTCTACTAAAAACACAAAAATTAGCAGGGCGTGGTAGTGGGCACCTGTAGTCCCAGCTACTTGGGAGGCTGAGGCAGGAGAATGGCGTGAACCTGGGAGGTGGAGCTTGCAGTGAGCTGATATCGCACCACTGCACTCCAGCCTGGGCAACAGAGCAAGACTCCATCTCAAAAAAAAAAAAAATTATGTTATCTAGTTGGCTATAAATAAAAGGAAATTACAACAGTCTTTCTAGAGATTGGGCTTTGATACAAAAAAATACATTAATACTCAAAAGACTTGGTTAGAACAACATTTTTGTAAAATATTATTTACTCTTAATAAGTTATATTTTAATTTACCCAAATTTTCAACTTTTATTGCATCTCAATGTTTTCAGCTTTCTCTCTATTATTTATTTATTATTATTATTATTATTTTCTGTCTTTTTTTTAAGACGGAGTCTTGCTCTGTCACCATGCTGGAGTGCAGTGGTGAGATCTAGGCTCACTGCAACCTCCACCTCCCAGGTTCAAGCGATTCTCCTGCCTCAGCCTCCCAAGTAGCTGGGACTACAGGTGCACACCACCACGCCCAGCTAATTTTTGTATTTTTAGTAAAGATGGCGTTTCACCATGTTGGTCAGGGTGGTCTCCATCTCTTAACTTCGTGATCTGCCCGCCTCAGCCTCCCAAAGTGCCGGGATTACAGGCTTGAGCCACTGCGCCAGGCCTCTCTCCTTTTTAAGGCCTGAGATAATAACTTTCCCTTCAACTTTTTTGTCAGCTCCTGTAACTTTTTTCCTTAGGTTTTAACTGTTGTTGTGGTCTGATGCTAAAAAACACTTCATCTTTAGGATCAAAACGAAATGTATTCTTCCAATATAACATTCTGTGCTCTTGACTTTTTAAAATATATCTAAATTGTTCTATGAAACCAAAAAACTTCACTTATGTCCTGGGACACACTCTTCCTATGTCTAATTAATTCAAGTGCCCTTTTCATTAGTTTTGACTTGAAGGTTGTCTAAATGGAATCCCATATGGAAAAGCACATCCTTTTTTGCCTTTTGGTAGCCAGCCTGAGAATAACATATTTTACATTTTATCAAAATAATTCCTATGTCATTACTAGGTTTTTATTTGCTCAGAAAAACTGAGATTTAAGGAGGCTGAGGCAGGCATATCACGAGGTCAGGAGTTCAAGACCAGCCTGGCCAACACAGTGAAACCCAGCTCTACTAAAAATACAAAAAATTAGCCAGAAGTGGTGGCGGGTGCCTGTAATCCTAGCTACTAGGGAGGCTGAGGCAAGAGAATCACTTGAACCTGGGAGGCGAAGGTTGCAGTAAGCCAAGATCGAGCCACTGCATACCAGCCTGGGTGACAGTGTGCGACTCTGTCTCAAAAAAAAAGAAAAGAAAAAGAAAAGAAAACTGAGATTTAAAAAAATTAAGGTTAATTAAGGTTATTATATCCATGTAACTTTCTGTATTTCTTTTAAAGTTCTTGTGCTACTAATTTTCAGGGCTTTGACTCCTGAGTCTAAAAAGGTCACTAACTCCCGCTAAATTGAGAGCAATTGAAGCCTCATCTTCAGATCTAGGAGAAGATGAAAATCAGAATAAGCTGCAGTCATGAGACATGGCGCCAGAAATTAAGACTATTCAAACCCTCTAGTCCCAGGGACTATTGAAGAAGAAGTGGGTGTGTAAGCTTGTAAGGACCTATTTTAACAGATAAAATTAGTTCAGTTTCTGTATAATTTATAGATAATTTAATTTAAAGAGTTTTTTTTTTTTTTCCAGATAAGGTCTAGATCTGTCACCCAGGCTGGAGTACAGTGGCATAGTCCTAGCTCACTGCAACCTCCACCTCCCAGGCTCAAGTGATCCTACCACCTCAGCCTCCTAAGAAGCTGGGACTATAGATGTGCACCAACACGCATGGCTAATTTTTGTATTTTTTGTAGACACCGTGTTTCGCCATGTTGCCCAGGCTGGTCTCAAACTCCTGAGCTCAAGCAGTCTGCCTGCCTAGACCGCCCAAAGTGCTGAGTTTACAGGTGCGAGCCACCACAGCCAGCCTATAAAGTAAACGTGAATATCTAAGGAACACTGATGCAAGACCAGCATGTGGGACCCCATGTAAGATTAACAATGTTTTCATGGATCATTAACCCATTCTTATTAAAAAAATTATGAAAGATTATGAAAAGGTTTACAAAAGTTGTATCTTATGGTCAAGATGATTAAAATTTATTAGATTTGTCTATAATATCTGAGAAAGATTTGATTGGCTTCATGCTGTCTTTATTAGCTCTTATTGTTTGGGAAAGCAAGTCTCAAAGAGTGAAAGGTTTTGGCTTTTAGTTTTTGAAAACTTTGAGTTACTGCTTAACTAAATGAATGACTTATTTTTTACAATGACCTGTTGTGGGAAGTCAGGGACCCCAAACGGAGGGACCGGCTGAAGCCATGAAAGAAGAACGTGGATTATGAAGATTTTATGGACATTTATTAGCTCCCCAAATTAATACTTTTGTAATTTCTTATGCCTGTCTTTACTGCAATCTCTAAACATAAATTGTAAAGATTTCATGGACACTTATCACTTCCCCAATCAATACCCTTGTGATTTCCTATGCCTGTCTTTACTTTAATCTCTTAATCTTGTCAGTTGAGGAGGATGTATATCATCTCAGGACCCTGTAATAATTGCGTTAAGTACACAAATTGTACAGCATGTGTGTTTGAGCAATATGAAATGTGGGCACCCTGAAAAAAGAACAGGGTAACAGCAATTGTTCAGGGAATAAGAGAGATAACCTTAAACTCTGACCGCCGGTGAGCCGGGCAGAACAGAGCCATATTTCTCTTCTTTCAAAAGCAAATGGGAGAAATATCGCTGAATTCCGTCCCTGAGAAAGAGAATGCGCACCTAGGGGTAGGTCTCTGAACTGGCCGCCCCGGGGCGTACCTGTCTCTTATGGTCGAGATTGCAGAGGTGAAATAAACTCCAGTTTCCCATAGCGCTCCCAGGCTTATTAGGAAGAGGAAATTCCCGCCTAATAAACTTTGGTCAGACCAGTTGATCTCAAAACCCTGTCTCCTGATAAGATAATATCAGTGACAATGGTGCCAAAACTTCATTAGCAATTTTAATTTCGTTTCGGTCCTGTGGTCCTGTGATCTCGCCCTGCCTCCACTTGCCTTGTGATATTCTATTACCCTGTTAAGTACTTGATGTCTGTCACCCACACCTATTCGCACACTCCCTCCCCTTTTGAAAATCCCTAAAAAAACCTGCTGGTTTCGGTGGCTTGTGGGGCATCACAGATCCTACCAATGTGTGATGTCTCCCCCGGACGCCCAGCTTTAAAATTTCTCTCTTTTGTACTCTGTTCTTTTATTTCTCAAGCCAGTCGACGCTTAGGAAAATAGAAAAGAACCTACGTGATTATCGGCGCAGGTCCCCCGATAACCTGTGATCCTGTTTTGTGATATCAAGTGTTTTAAGTCTTTGATGTTTGACAAACTTTCCAAAATCCAATTCTAAATTCAGTCATTTTCATCTCATTAGTTTTTTTGACATTGAGTCCCCTGAAATCCAAAGAGACATATTTGGCTTAGTTGGTATAATCACACAAGAAGTATTATCAAATATAAAATGATATGTAACCATCTTTGCATTGTATTTATGTAAATGTGTTATTAGTGTTTTAAAATTGTATGAGATTCTTCTGATTGTGATATGTCTTAGTATATGTTTTCAGAACTAATTATGATTATTATATTCAAATGTTATATATCATAGATATAACCACATTTCTTTGTCAGTTGTGTCTTAAACCATGGCTATTGTAAGACTTTTGTCATCTACAATTATTGTTTTACTTAGATCCTTTCGTAGAGTGGTTTATAATCAGTTATAGAGCTCTGAGACTACCCTTTTTGTTGTTGTTGTTGTTGATGTTTGCTTTTTGAGACAGGGTCTCAATCTGTCACCTATACTGCAGTGTGGTGGCATAATCACTGCTCACTTCAGCCTTAATCTCCTAGACTCAAGCAATCCTCCCACCTAAGCCTACCAAGTAGCTGAGGCTACAGGCACGCACCATACACTCAGAGAATTTTAAAAATTTTGTAGAGATAGAGTCTCCCTCTGCTGCCCAGGCTGATCTCAAACTCTTGGGCTCAAGCAATCCTCCCACCTCAGCCTCCCAAAGTGCTGGGATTACAGGCATAAGCCACCACACCCAAGATTTTAATACATTTATCATGTCTTCATTAACAAATACCAAGTGTCTATATTGTACTACATAGTGAACAAGGTCCCAGAGATAAGTAATCAACAAGCAGACATGGACTTGGCCATAAAGTGTTTGACACCTTCATGGATTGTAAAAAAAAAAAAAAAGCATGACAACAAATAAATAAATAAAACCGTGTTTATATGATAAATGTTATCAAGAAACTTAACGCAACTTAGTTGAAAAGGTAACTAGGAGGATATTATATTAGCTACTATAGTAAGGATAGAATTGTCACAGATACTTCCACTTCGATATGAGTAATGCAATGAACAACACCAAAAAACAAACAAACCAACCTAGGCTGGGTGCAGTGGCTCGCACTTGTACTCCTAGCACTTTGGGAGGCCAAGGCAGGCGGATCACTTGAGGCAAGGAGTTCAAGACCATCCTGGCGAACATGGTGAAATGCCATCTCTACTAAAAATATAAGAAAATTTGCTGGGCGTGGTGGCCCACACCTGTAATCTCAAGTTACTCAGTAGGCTGAGGCGAGAGAATCATTTGAACCCGGGAGGCAGAGCTTGCAGTGAGCTGAGAACACACCACTGTACTCCAGCCTGGGCAACAGAGCAAGACCCTGTCTCAAAAAAAAAAAAAAAAAGGTGGAGTTACCATCATGAGAGAATATAAAGTACAAAGATTCTAAGACTAGAAAACTTTATTATGGGCCGGGCATAGTGGCTCATGCCTGTAATCCCAGCACTATGGGAGGCTGAGGCAGGAGGATCACTTGAGGCCAAAAACTCAAAACTAGCCCAGGCAACATAGTAAAATACCATCTCTAGTAAAAAAAAAAAAAAAAAAAAAATTAGCTGGATGTGTTGGTGTCTGCTTGTAGTCCCAGCCACACAGGAGGCTGAGGCAACATAATTGTTTGAGCCCAGGAGTTCAAGGCTGAAGTGAGCTGTGATGATACCACTGCATTCTAGCCTGAGCTACAGAGTGAAACCTTGCCTCCAAAATAAAAATAAACGTTTGTTACAGCCATGGACAAAGAGAAAGCAATTAATGGCTTTCAGTGAACTAAATGGGAGGTATCTAGACTAAAAAAATCTTGTAGTCTTCTGCCCAAGATGGCCTGCTGGCCTCTAGGCAAAAATGATACATGATTAGATAAAGGTGGAAGTTTTGATTTAGTTTTGATTGAATTGTTAAACTACTGATGATACAGTGCCCACGTATATGATATTGACTCCATAAATTATCAGGTTGGCCAAAGATGTAGCAAAGGCATTTGTAAGAAAGCTGTAACTGATAACGCTTGATGGTATATTTCTACATTTTCTTCCTAAGTTTATCAGATTAGTTGACCCCTATATCAGCTGAGTTCTTTATTCTCTAAGTTATGACACGCTAATTCTTGGAGGATGTAACATAATATAAATAACATGTAAAAGCAAAATACTATACGCAGTCATTTAACCCATTTCCCATTTGTCCTGAGAATACTTGCAAGTGGGGCTTGCAGCTGCAGCATTTACCCTCAGATCACTTGCAGATTTCTTTTTTTTCAGATAATATTATAATTGCAGTATGTGTAAATCAACATTCCCTGAGAAAGTATCACCTGCCTTAACAGTTTTTGTCTGGGGAAGTTGAAAAGAAATAGTACATTCCTTTGCACATGTTGGAGGGAGAAGTATGTCTGCATAAGAGTCTGGACAGCAGGTCTCTGCCTGTGTGACATGGGTCTCCTTTGGGAATGGTCACTACTCTGTGTGTTATACCCATGCAGAGCACTGCCAACTCTCTACAATGCAAGGTTCCATCCACTGTTCACATCTGGAGAGACACATCCAGGCTACATACTCAAAGAAATGCTAAAGAGGCCGGCCGCGGTGGCTCACGCCTGTAATCCCAGCACTTTGGGAGGCCGAGGCAGGCGGATCACGAGGTCAGGAGATCGAGACCATCCTGGCTAACACGGTGAAACCCCGTCTCTACTAAAAATACAGAAAATTAGCCGGGTGTAGTGGCGGGTGCCTGTAGTCCCAGCTACTTGGGAGGCTAAGGCAGGAGAATGGCATGAACCCGGGAGGCGGAGCTTGCAGTGAGCCACGATCGCGCCACTGCACTCCAGCCTGGGCAACAGAGGGAGACTCCGTCTCAAAAAAAAAAAAAAAAAAATGCTAAAGCTAGTTTTCTGGGATCACCACTGGTACTTCTCGAGTAATACTGGCATGTAGGAGTTGCTCCTGCTCTCAGGATTCATTCTCCAGACACCTAGAGTCCATAAACCTTTCACCTAACAAGAGCTTTCAATCTTCTGCCTTCTGTATCTATTCTGTCATTCTCATTCTGTTTCATTTTTTTCACTTCCTGTTGTATAGTTGCATATTTTCCTTTTTTCTAGTAAAAAGAAGCATGGCTTTGAAGGGAAGCTTCAATTCAGACCTTTTCTTTCTGGTCTTCAAATCAGCTCCTGGAATAAACACAGAGTTAGCTGTGTTCTGAATGATCTCCTGACAGAGTCTTTATTCTCTCATTAGTAAGAGTTGTGAAAACTGCAGCCAACTCCTCATCTTTGTATTTGTGGCTCCCTTTATAGCCCCTGGAACACAGAAGGATATCAAAACATGCTTGCTAAATGTTGGGATCAATCAGATTTTACCATAGTAAACAATAATGTTTAATTAGGTAATTCTATAATTGTATCCATTGATGCTTTCCAAATAGCATGTTTAACTCAGACAAATTCCAGTTTCACAGAGGATATGAGAAGGAAAAAAAATCCACAGCAAGAATACAACAAAGAAGGATTCATTTTACATTCGTTCTGATTAAGAATATCTTTCAGTTTATGATAAAATCAACGATAATATTGTTAAAAACTGACCTAATTACTTTCAACCAGATACTGTCCAAACATTAACTTTTTCCATCAAAAGTATCCCTGATAGTTACTTTGTAAAATGAAAGCACATTTGGCTTCCATTTCTGAGGTGGTTAAAATAAAGGCTACCGGGTTGGATAACTTACAGAGGTTCACACATCTAGAATGGCATGTAACCTCTCTGTAACCGAGCCAGTGGGGCCTGAAACTTCTTGCTATTACACACAAGCAGAAGTGTTGAAATCTTTTTTCTTTCTTTCTTTTTTTAGATGGCATTTTGCTCTTGTTGCCCAGGCTGGAGTGCAATGTGGTGATCTCAGCTCACCGCAACCTCGGCCTCCCAGGTTCAAGCAATTCTCCTGCCTCAGCCTCCCGAGTAGCTGGGATTACAGGCATGTGCCACCATGCCCAGCTAATTTTGTATTTTTAGTAAAGACGGGGTTTCTCCATGTTGCTCAGGCTGGTCTCGAACTCCTAACCTCAGGTGATCCTCCCTCCTTGGCCTCCAAAAGTGCTGAGATTACAGACGTGAGCCACCGTGCCCAGCCTAAATCTTTTTTCTTTTTGTTTTTTGAGACAGGGTCTCACTCCGCTGCTCAGGCTAGAGTACAGTAAGCTGAATCTCGGCTCACTGCAGCCTCAACTTCCCAAGCTCAGGTGGCTCTCCGGCTCAGTCTTTCAAGTAGCTGGGACTATAGGCATGCACCACCTTGCCCAGTTGATTGTTGTATTTTTTTCGCCATGTTACCCAGGATAGTCTTAAACTCCTGGGCTTAAGTGATCCGCCTGCCTCACCTCATAAAGTGCTGGGATTACAGCTCTGAGCCACTGCACCTGGCCAAAATCTTTTTAATACAGCAATTCAGCAGAAGACAAAACTGGGAGAGTGAAAGACCACATTAACAATTGGGCAACTATGCTTACCCAGCTCCTCAGTAACACCCCATATCTGCTTTATACATTAACCCCAAGCTTTTCTCCTGGTAGAAAGGATTCTAGTCTCTGCTCTAGGACTAGCAATGTGATTTGGGGGCAATAATGAACTTTCTAAAGCCAGGCACCATAAAAACAGCTTTTCCTCCACAGACATGGTAGTACTTTTTCCTTTCATCTGCAAAACCAATCTGTCCTAATCTAGATAATTTCACCCCAGACGGTAGGATTTTATGTTAGTATCATTAATTCTATCTCCTAAGGAAATTTGCTTCTAAGACTGAAGTTATCATCCAGTTTCTTGTTATCTGGTTAGAACCACCCAAGAGAGCAGAAGAGTATAGAAACACAAATGCTGGAGATTTCTAAGTTCCAGATACTCTGTCACCAATTGTGAGATGGATGCCATGAAGCAGCACTTTCCTCCTGGGGTGCAGCAGGGGCAGGACTTTCCTCTGGGGTGCATCAGGCCTGGGATTCAACAGACTAGGCACCAGGACTCCAGAGGCCACCAACCCTGAGCCCAGGGGATTGTGTGCCCTGTCAGCTCCATTGTATATTATTGCACACATACAAACAAATTCTGCAATACTTTAAATTTAGCAATTCAGCAGTAGAAGACAGTACTGGGAGAGTGAACGACCACATTAAGAACTGGGCAATGACCAGCCTGGGCAACATGGTGAGACCCTATCTTTACAAAAACAACAGTAAAAAAAATGAGCCAGGTATGGGGGCACAAACTTGTATTTCTAGCTACTCTGGAGGCTGAAGGGGGAGGATCACTTGAGCCTGAGAGTTCGAGGCTGCCAAGGCCATGCCAGTGCATTCCCATCTGAGTGAAAGAGCAAGACCCTGTCTCAAAAAAAAAAAAAAAAAAAAAGAATTAGTCAAGTAATAGGCAAAGCATCCTAAGCAAAAAAAAAAAAAAAAGAAGCCTGAGGCATCACATTATCCAACTTCAAACTATTCTGTAAGGATGCCATTACCCAGAGCAAATTAATGCAGAAACACATATTGCATGTTCTTACTTATAAGTGGGAGGTAAACCTGATACACAGGAACATAAAGATGAGAACAGGGCAGGGTGCAGTGGTTCATGCCTGTAATCCCAGCACTTTGGGAGGCCGAGGCAGAGGGGCAGGGAGGGATAATTTGAGGTCAGGAGTTTGAGACCAGCCTGGCCCACATGGTGAAACCCCATCTCTACTAAAAATATATATATATAAATATATATTATAATTTGTTATATATATAACAAATTGTATTATATATAATATATATTATAAAATATATTATATATAATATACAATATATAATTATATATTATATATAAATATATAATATATAGTAATATATATTGTATATTATATATAGTAATATATATAATATATAATATATAAATATATAATATATATTACATATAAATATATAATATATAAATATATAATATATATTATAATATATATTATAATATATATTACATATAAATATATAATATATAAATATATAATATATTTATATATAATATATAAATATATAATATATATATAATATATTTATATATTATATATAAATATATAATATATATTATAATATATAATATAATATATAATAATATATAATATAATATATATTATAATATATAATATAATATATATTATATAAATATATAATATATATTATATAATATATAATATATAAATATATAATATATAATATATAAATATATATTTTTAATTTATATATATATTATATATATTATTATATATAATATATTAATATATTATATATATAATATATAAATATATTATATATATAATATATAAATATATTATATATATAATATATAATATATTTATATATTATATATTATAATATATTATATATTTATATATATATATATAAATAGCCTGGCATGGTGGTGGGCGCCTGTAATCCCAGCTACTCGGGAGGCTGAGGCAGGAGAATTGCTTCAACTCAGGAGGTGGAAGTTGTAGTGAGCCAAGATCATGCCACTGCACTCCAGTCTGGGCGACAGAGTGGGACCCTGTCTCAATGAAATAAAATAAGATAAACATGAGAACAATAGAAAACTGAAGGACAACAAAAGGAGGTAAGGAGATAAGGGGGTAGAGGCTGAAAAACTTCCTACTGAGGACTATGTTCCACTGAGGACTACTGAGGACTATGTTCAATACTAGTATTGACAATATCAATAGAAGCCTTAGCATCACACAATAGACCCTTGTAACCTACACATGTACCCCCTGAATCTAAAATTAAAATTTAAAAAGAGGCCACATAACACACAATAGTATTATGAAATACCATAAAAGGCCAGGCGCGATGGCTCACGCCTGTAATCCCAGCACTTTGGAAGGCCGAGGCGGGAGGATCACCTGAGGTCAGGAGTTCAAGACCAGCCTGGGCAACATAGTGAAACCCCGTATTTACTAAAAATACAAAAAATTAGCTGGGCATGGTGGCGGGCGACTGTAATCCCAGCTACTCGGGAGGCTGAGGCAGGGGAATCATTTTTTTTTTTTTTTTTTTTTTTTTTGAGACGGAGTCCCGCTCTTTAGCCCAGGCGGGATTGCAGTGGCGCAATCTCGGCTCACTGCAAGCTCCGCCTCCCAGGTTCACGCCATTCTCCTGCCTCAGCCTCCCGAGTAGCTGGGACTACAGGCGCCCGCCACCGCGCCCGGCTAATTTTTTGTATTTTTAGTAGAGACGGGGTTTCACCGTGTTAGCCAAGATGGTCTCGATCTCCTGACCTTGTGATCCGCCCGCCTCTGCCTCCCAAACTGCTGGGATTACAGGCGTGAGCCACCGCGCCCAGCCGGCAGGGGAACCATTTGAATTCAGGAGGCAGAGATTGCGGTGAGCCGAGATCTTGCCATTGCACTCCAGACTGGGCAGCAAGAGCAAAACTCCGTGTCAAAAGAAACAAACAAACAAACAAAACAAAACAAAACAAAACAGGTATTTTTATTTTAAAAATGGGCGACTACCCTGGCCTGCTCCTCAGTAACATTATGACCCATCAGGCATCTGACAAGCATTGCTCTGGGGTAGAAAAGGATCCAAGTCTGCTCCAGTACTAGTAATGCATTTGGGGGCAATAATGAATTTTCTAACCAGGGTCCCCCAAAACAGATTTCCCTGCACCAGATAGTATTTTTTCTTTTCAATCCCTAAAGCAAACTATTTAACTAGATAACTTCATCTCAGATGATAGGACTTTATGTAAATCTCATTAATTCCATCTCTTGATGTAATTTGCTCCTAAGATTAAGGTTTCCACCCACCTCCCTGAAATCTGATTTGGACCCCCAGGAGGCCAGAAGAGTATAAAAACGCAAAAGATGTTGACTTCTGAGTCCCACATACCCGGCGTCAGCTGGTGAATGAAAGACACGAAGGAGCTGCTGTGGAGCTGCTGTCTCCCCTCGGAGTTTGGCAGGCCCGGGATTCCGCAAAGGAGTTGGCGGGGCCAGATGCCTCCAGCCCTGAGCTCAGTACATTCGGTGTCCTGGATGCTCCCTTCCTTTCCTTATCACTGCGAGCTCTCCTGGGACGGCCTAGATTTCCACTGGGACCTACTTTCGGCTCCCTGCGTGCTTCATTGCTGAAACTGCCGGCGAAAAGATCTCTTTCTCAAGCCTCAGAGCACCTTGAGGCGGGGCGCAGAGTCGCCCGCTCTGGATCCCGCGCCAGAGACCCAGGAGGATCCGCAGGAGCCCTCGGGAGAGCAGGAGGCTGCATAGGGTCTCAACGTACTCCCGTCCCCGCAGCCTCCCTCGCAACTCGCCCCTCGCTCGGTAGGCAGACAACTCCAGCCGGACAGGTCCGTCCGAGGAGACCTTTCAGAGTGTCAGCCTACTGCTGACCTCGGAGCCACCAACCAAAGTTCCAAGACTGCTGGCTGCAGATTGCATGCTCTTGGGGCAGACGCCCTAAGAATGTGTCCACCGAGTCCAATGTGTCTTTGGAGTCCTGAGCCCTGAGATTTCCGCTAAGACCTTCCATTGGACGATCTCTTGTAACAGATGTTGTTACAGTAACACGTGAGTTCGCTCAAATGCGATGGAAGTTTTGCCTTTCGATCATTTTGTGCCTTTGTCTTTCCCCTTCTCAATAAAATCGTACACAAATGTGAAATTCTTGTTGCCTGTGTTCCTGTTGATGTTGGGTAAGGATGAGCCTCAGGGGCGGGGTGGCTGGTTGCTGGTGCCAGGACTATCACGGGGACCCTGAATCCCCTAGGTTTGCTGGTTGCAGGGCAAACAAAAAGTACAAGAAGTGTGTGTCTTATGCAGAGATTGGAGGGGAGAATAGGCCAGGGGTCGTGCATGGCTGGTGACTCACAGGCTGAGCCTACAGGAAATCCGGTGAACAGGCAGCAGACCTGAGAACTTACTGCAGGAAATTCTCCTGTTCTGAGGCCCTGGAACTTTTTCCCTCTGAAGGTTTGCACCTTTCTATCTTGAGGCCTTGTTAAACTCATAATTTCTGGAAGTTTTCTTCTAGACTCTTTAAGATTTTCTCCATAGGCTCATGTTCTGCATGTATGAATAGTTTCATTTTTTCACTTCCAATGTATATGCTTTCTTACTCCTTTTCTCACCTTATTGCACTGGCGAACAATTCCAGTACCTTGTTGAATAGAAATGGTTGGAGCGACTATCTTGGCCTTGTTCCTGATTTCATGAGAAAAGCATTGAGTCTGTCACTATTACATACAATGTTGCTACAGGTTTTTGTCGACGTTCTTTGCACGGTTGATGAAAATCCCTCTATTCCCACGTTGCTGAGAGTTAGTTTTTAAATTTTAAATCACGAATGCATATAGATTTTCTTAAATGCTTTTTGTGCATCATTTGACAGGATTATACAGTGTTTCTCATTGAGCCTACCAATAGGGTGAAATATACTGATTGACTTTTGAGTATTAAACCAGACTTATATATGGAATAAACCTTACTTGGGCATGGTATTGTTCTTTAACATACATTTCTGATTTCTATTTGTTAGTATTTTGGTGAGGATTTCTGCATCTATGTTTAGGTGCAATCTTGGTCAGTAGTTTTCTCTTAGTGTCCTCGGTTTGCCAGGAAAATGCTGATCTCATAAAATAAGTTGGGAAGTATTCCATATTCTTTTATTTTCTAGAATAAATTGTGTAGAATTTGTTATTTATTCTTTGAATATTAGGTAAAATTAGTCAGTGAAATGGTAAGAACCTCTAGGTTTTTTGTTTTTGTTTTTGTTTTTTTTTTGGAAGATTTTTGACCATGAATTCAATATCTTTAATAATTGCAAAAATTTACAGATTATTTTTCATGAGTTGGGTAGACTGGATCTCGCAGGATTGATGCATTTTATCTAATTTGTTGAAATTATGAGTACAGAGTTGTTGTTAGACCATTTTTAAAAGTTACCATTGTGGGCCAGGTGGGGTAGTTCATGACTGAAATTCTAGCACTTTGGGAGTCCAAGGTGGGCAGATCACTTGAGGCCAGGAGTTGGAGACCAGCCCCACCAACATAGCAAAACCCGGTTTCTACCAAAAATACAAGAAGATTAGCCGGGTGTGGTGGTGCATGCCTGTAATCCCAGCTACTCGGGAGGCTGAGTCACAAGAATTACTTGAACCCAGGAGGCAGAGGTTGCCGTGAGCCGAAATCGTGCCAATGCACTCCAGCCTGGGTTTCAATGGGAGATTGTATAAAAAAAAAAATAAAAAAATAAAAAAGTTACCACTGTGAATAGGTTGACCAACATAAAGACACTGCTAGGTAACAGTCTGCCTCTCTAGATCCGCTTAAGGCTCTTCAGTCAGCACTGCGCTGCAAGAAGCAACCTGTATGGACTGCACTGGAGAGCTACTTTTGCTCCCAGGCTTCTGATTGAGTTTAGACACTGAAAGACAACAGCTGTTCAGAGATATGGATTAGTAATTTATTACCTTGTTTTGTTTCACCTAGACCTCAGGGTACTGAAATATTTTATCTGAAGTAAAAAATAGGCTGGCTGTGGTGATTCACACCTGCAACCACAGCACTTTGGGAGGCCGAGGCAGGAGGATTACTTGAGGCCAGGAGTTCAAAACCATCTTGGGTAATAGAAAGATAAGCCATCTCCACACACACACATACATACACACACACACACACACACACACACACACACACAGTAGCCAGGCATGGTGGCACATACCTGTAGTCCCAGCTACTTATGAGGCTGAGAAGGGAGGACTGCATGACCCAGGATGGTTGAGGCTGCAGTGAGCTATGCTTGTGCCACTGCACTCCAGCCTGGGGGACACAGCCAGACCCTGTCTCAAAAAAAGTGAAAAAAAAAAAAAAGCCAAAAAATACTGTGGAGTGGCCCTTTCTTCAAGCATCTGCTTGCTTTCTCTAACACCACTCATTCTATTGCCCCTACTGAGCTTGAAATGATAATGCTTTCTTCAGGTGCCAGGTCTGGAGTGCTGGTGCACCTATCTCAAAACGCTGTCTCAAAACTCCAACAGGGAGCACCTAACGGTACTGGGTGCAACATTGCTAGCACGGAGCAAACAGCAGTCCAGTAACCTGGAACAACAGGCTCTGCGAAACCAAGGACTCTGACAAAGAAAAATTGCCAATTCCAAACATAGCCTGTTTTAGAGAAATGAATGGCGTTGTCATCGAAAAAACACAGACTCGATTGTGACAGAAATACCGCCACAAACGCAGGTACAGGGACAGCCGACACCGAGAACCAAGGGAAGCGGCTGAGAGCTGCGCCTCCACGGAATAACTGCCAGCCGGCACAGTGCGAGTGAGAAACCGGCCACTCCATGAAACGACCAGTACTGCCACGGAAAAGAATCCGACGTCGCCAACAAGCGGTGCTACCAGGAGAAACGCCTGCTTTTGAAGAAAACAGCCAGGAACGCGACTGAAAGACACTTGCTCCCAGGAAGAATTGGCATTTGTTCCAAAACACAGCTGGATAAACCGAGAACCTTCGGAGTGGTTGCACCGAAACGGGGTCACCCAGCACCTCAGCGTCCTGGGCTCTAGCAAGCCTCACAGAAGCAACCGGCAGTGCTAACACCGAGGAGCACCTAGAGCGGCAAAACTAGCAGTAATGCCATCGACGAAAGGCCAGTTAGGCCAAAAGAATAGAATATTTAGTTCCGGGAATTACAGGCCAGCGCAAACCAGACAGCATAAAGCTGAGGGTCAGCAAAACAAAAATTAGGAACAATTTTTTTTTAAAGGGCAAGTTAGCTGAAAAACACACGCACACACAATAAAAACAATACATTTGGGAAGATTCATCAAATGAAAATTCAAAACTAAGCAAAACATGGAAAAATGGACTCTACAAAGAAGAAAATGCAAACACTTCTAAACAATGTGGTTTCACAGAGGTAATATCGCTGTCAGGCCTATATCAGTATCTGCTCGGTCTCACCAGGACTTCTAACTAAGGGACTGCAGACACTGCTAAACCGCTACTTGCTACTCCTAAAATATCTTCTTCACCTACGTGCCCGGACTTCTATATTTAAAACTCAGGCATAAGTAAAGCAGGGTAAGTTATTATGAAACCGAAAGTTACTGGGACTAAGGAGTCGCAGGCATGGCTATGCTAGTACTGGTTGCGACCAAATATGGACTTGCAAGAGCTAAGAAATCACATTCACAGGGGCACTTAAAATCGAAGCATGCACTTGTTACTCTAAGAAATCCCTAACCCAGGACTCGCTCAGAATATTTCGAACGCAGAATTAAGCATCTTTATCGCAGGCGAAATAAGCCGATACTTATTCCGCTTAAGTCCGAACTTGCTATGCAGAGAAACCACAATCAGGGCTACATTCCGAGTGTAGGAGGTTTAAAACTCCCGAAAAGGCAGTCAAAGCAGGCAGGGCCAAGCCGGACCTGCTGTGCCTACCCGAATTGCTAAACCCAGTTGTGGTACCATTAAGTAACTGGTAGTTCTCTTATAAGCCAAGCTAAACTGTTCCAAAGAAAAAGACGCTGGAAACACTGCTAGCCCTGAGACCCATGAATAAGTAGTCTTTTCAATTATTTATTTATTTTGAGACAGGCTCTCGCTCTGCTGGAGGGCGTTGGTGCTATCCGGCTCACCGCAGCCTCGACCTCCTGAGCTCAAGCAACCCGCCCACCCCAGCCTCCGGAGCAGCTGGGACTACAGGTGCACACCATCTCACAGGGCTAACTTTTGCATTTTTTGTAGACACAGGCCTCACCCTGTCGCCCAGGCTTTTCTCAAACTCCTGAGCTCAAGCAATCCGCATGCCTCCGCTGCTGAAAGTGCTGGGATTACTGCCGTGAGCCACGCTGCCCCGCCAGAATAAGTAATCTTAAGAACTGGTCATCTGTGAAGTTGTATTAATATAAGTAATTGCGTGGTCCTTCCACGAGAAATAGCAAAGATTGATAAACCTCTCAGTCTTATGATCGTGAATAAAATTCCTGAGTGTAAAACAATGAATCGATATACTGAAAAAAAGAAAGACCGCTGTTAAAAATAAAATTAACAATTAAAATTAAAAAGACGTTATAATAACGTAAAAGACATGATATAAAATTAAATGTAAACAAACAATACATTTAAAAAGCAATAATTAGAAAAATAGTAGGAATAAGATTTTAAAATACAATGGAAAAAAACAAATTTTAAATTTGCCAAAAACTCTAAGAATTCTACAATCGTAAAATAGATTTCTCAAAGTGAAAACAGATACGAATGAAATATTTAATGAAATAAATACAAATATTTAAAATACAAGGAAACTGAAAGTAATAAGCGACGCGAAACAAGAAAGAAACATAAGGGAAAAAGAGAATTTAAAAACTGACAACCAGCAATGAAAGCACATCTTAATGTATTTTTATTTTCTAGGTGGAGACGTTTGGTAACTGAGAATCTTTTCAAGGAGGAGAATCCAAAAAGCCTTCTGCTGCTATCTAAGGCTGCTTAGCTCCACAGATCCGTGAACAGCACGCCCAGAGTACAGAGAACGCGGCAAAACCAACGCGAAGAATCCACTCCAGGCAGTCTGAGAAACCCGGGAGGTGGCGCCACGGCTGGAGGGCAGGAGGATGGCGGCGTTCCAAAAGGCACCCGCTGTCACAGACCTCGGTGTCCTGCTGTCTGTCCCAGGGATGGAGAGGACTGCTCCAGGGAAGCTGCTGGAGCCTGAGTCTGTCGGGTTCCTCTGCCTGCCCCACCTCTTCTACGGGTGCCTCTTGCTGCTTCTGTGTCCCCGGCCAACTGAACTCAGTGGGCTTCGCTGTACTTGGTTCCAAGGTGCTCTGGACTCCAGGAGAGAGTCCGTTTTGCCAGTAGACTCCGGGCAGCCGCCAGCAAGGGCTGGAAAGCAGTCCCAAATCACAGCTGTCCAGTGAGTACTCTCCTAGTACTGGATACAAAGGAAGAGGCCACGGCCCACGATCTTCTGAACTCACAATAGGTGGAGGCTGGGGCTCTGGCGCCACCTCTGCGGAATCCCAAGCCCGCTTCACACAGCCAAGAAAATGTTGCTCCATCCCTCAAGCCTCAGACCAACGTTTGCGCTGATCAAGGAGGGAGAGTCTCTGCACTACCATCAGCCTGAGTATTTATGCTCTGCAGAGCCCGTGGGCGGAGGCCAGTCAGATATTAAGAAACTCAGTAGTAACAAATGCACGAAAATTAGTAGACAAATGAAAAACGATAACATTTTAGAGAGTACATAGAACCAAAACGAACCGTAATTCCGACAGAAAAACATGGCGAGAAAAGAAACCGAAATGAAATGACACTAAGCAAATCTTGAAGAGAACTAGCGCTACAGAACGCAGGTATTCAAGAGCGCGCAAGGGCCAAGAACCACCCGTTTCCGGGAAATGAGCGTTGCTGCCACCGGAAAACTGTCTGCTAGGGCTCTGCCCTAACCACCTTGCAAACGAGAAACTGGCGCGTTGAACTTAGCAAGCGCCGGCACCTAGCGGATAGCGCTGGTATTGCCAAACAAATATCCGTTTTGGCGCCGTAAAGGGTGCTGCTAAAGAGAAACAGCATGCTCTTAGAACTAAGAGCGGTGCTTCCACACCTAAACAACCTGTTTGGAGGAATGAACCAACTCTGTTTCAATGTGTTGTACCAGAAAAATGTGTTGCGGCATTTAATGTGTTTTAATCCGTTCAATGTGTTTGATAGGTTTAATATGTTTTAACCCGTTTTAATGGGTTGTGACAGAAAAAGCGCCGGCTAATGGTACCACACAATTACTAGTGCGAACAGCGGCTCGGTGCAATCACCGTTCTGCACGGCAAAACGGGGTTCAGGAAGTTCCTAGGAGATACTAGCGGTTGTAGGAGCGAAAAAGTGACAGCACTGAGAACCTAAGGACCCCGCGAACGGGAAATGTCACGTTGGGTGCAGCAACTGAGAAAACGCCCAGTGGGCGCCACTGGCAAACGTGCTGATACAAAACCGCCAGCTCTGCATAGGAAGCGGAGCCTCCAGACAGAACCCGGAACCTGATACCAGCGAGGCTAAGACCGAGCTCGGCTCCCCGGCTCCTGAGAGAATGAAAGTCAAGAAGCACGAATCTGAGACGCTCAAAATTAGAAGAAAAAAAAAATACATAATTTAAAATAATGAAAGTCTGAAATGCAAGTAAAAATGAAAAACACATCGGTAACATTGTCCTCAGAGCAAGACACAAAAATAATTTTAAGGTAAGCAAAAGTTACAGAGAACCAACCCTACAAAGAAGAAATTACAAATATGGCTAAGCGATGCAATGCCTACCATTAGAATATTTCTGTCAGATCTAAACCCCTGCAGGTTGCTCCTGTCATAATTTCCTACGAGAAAAAAAACAAAAATATCCACGGTTAAACGTGTTTAGCTACGTCTAAAAAATCGTAGTAGCTGGTACATCCCGATTTGGTCTACAAGAGGAAAAAGTCTCGATGGGCAGGACTTGCTATTGTCAAAGGGAGCTTGGTAAAACTGAGACATCGCGATCGCCGGCATTTCCTGACTTCCACGGGAGTTTTAAAAACACACAAGCATAGCTAAGACAGGACTCGATATTGCGAAACCAAACTTGGTATAAGAGCTCCCAACACTGCTAAACTGGTCATCGCTAAACCTTTAAAAAAAAAAAAAAAGCATTCGCTGGTACCCAGATTTCCACAGGAGTTAAACATTTCCTGCGCAGCTAAAGCAAGTCTTACCAGTAGGAAACCGGAACTTGCTAGGACTAAGAAACTTGAGGCTAGGCTGACCCCATGGTTGTTATGATTAGAAATCCGAGGCCACTGGAAACCCGGAGCTGCTGACCAACGAGTCACAGGGTAACTTCGCCTTCGCATGGGGAAACGGGTGAGTTCCTACGGCCTAGATATCGCAGCCAGGGCTAGACCGGTGTTTGTCTTAAGTCAGGACTTGCTTGGGCTGAGAAAATACATTTTGGCTATTCCCCTACTTGGACAGAGGGTGGAAATCCCAGGCACCGCGAAATCGAAACTTGCTAGGACTAAGAAGCCAACGACGCGCGAAACCGTGGGGTCCTGCGACAGAGACGCCGGCGGCGCCGCCACAGGACTGCGTTCTGGAGGCCGAGCCGGAACCCGTGCGGCGGCGCTGGGAAGAGACTGTGCCCCTGCAGCTCCCCTGTCACCGGCTCCAAGGAGCGTCGGGCTCCCCCCGCCCAGCCCTGCAGCACCCATCCGGCAACGCCAGACTCGGCGCAACGGGGGCAGCTGCGACTTTAAATCTCTCAGATCCGCGGCCTGAGGGCTGCCGCCACCGAGAAATGGAGGCACAGAGCTGTGAACAAGAGACCACGGCTCGCCGAAATGGCGGTGCCAGGAGCCTGAAAGGGAATGCAGCCGGCGGGGTTGTCAAGGACAACATTTGTTTTGGCGCAACCAGCGGTGCCGTCACCAAGAAACCGTCGACTCTGAGAAAAAAAGAGAAGTTCGGCTACCGAGAAACTCCGTGCAGCAAGTGCTGTGACAGCAAAACCGCCGGCTTCGCGCCGCTGGCGAAAGAGCCAACGGAAACGCCGGGTGCTGCGACCGCGAAGCCGGCACTAGAGGGCCTCGGATGGAGAAAGCCCCGCACCGAGACGAGGAAACTGTGCACAGCACGACTAGCAGTTGACACAAACAGAAAAGTGTCTCGTCTGCTCTCTGGGAGAAAGCGTGGATCAAAACCAGCAACTCAGTGGAGAGAACCCCGCAGCCACTGAAGAAGTTGCCCACGTGGCGGTGGGGCCAGAGAAACACCGCGATTTCGACGACAGCCGTAGGGATACCACAGAGAAACATGCGCGGCCACAGAAGTACATCCAGCTCCGCGCAATCAGTGGTTCTGCGATCCAGAAACCGCCAGCTGGGCTAGACTAGAAACTTCTAAAAAACTGTCGTCCCATAGCAGCTTTCCTAACCACGACAGACAGTCGCCTTTAGAGAGCACCTAACGGTGCTGAGACCGGCCTGGGCCAGCAAAAGCGCAGAGCGGTGCCAGTGCCAAGAAACGCCCGACTTGGTGAAACCAACCTTGTGACCACCGATTCCACTGGCTTCGCAGGACGCAACGGGCGAAGGCGCGGCGGAGAAACCGCAGGCTCCCTTCACCGATTATGCTGCGGGCTGGGGATGGTGGGGGGCACCCGCGAAATTGTGAAACCAGCGGCGCTGGGACCCAGCGATCAGCTGCCCGTAGCAAATGTCTGTGCAGTTGCAAAAGATAATTTTTGGCCGTGAGAAGGTTGCCGCCAGAGAGCGTCCGATAACGCTGACAAAGGCGTGGCGTTGCCAGTGAGAAACAGCCGGCGCTGGGAAAGGAACGGTGCAGCGACCGACCAACTGCGCGCTCGGTGCCACCAAAGTGCTACTGGCTCTACCCACTCTGTCCCCCACGGGCTTAGGGAAGTCTGATGTCTTTTTCTTTTCTTTTTTCCTCTGTCGCCTAGGCTGGTGCAGTGGTGTCATCTTGGCTCAGTGCAGCCTCGACTTCCTGGGATCCAGCGATCCTCCCGCTTCAGCCTCTAGAGTAGCCGAGACCACAGGTGAGTGCTACCACCCCCGTCTAATTTATATATATTTATATATATAAATATATATATTAAAATATATATTTTATATTTATATATAATATAAATAAATATATAAATATAAATATATATTTTTATATATTATATAAAATATATAAATATATATTTATTTATATATTATATATAATATATATATTATATAATATATATATTATATAATATATATATAATATATAATATATATATTATATATAAAATATATTATATATAATATATATAATATATTATATATTATATATTATATATAATATATATAATATATTATATATAATATATAATATATAATATATTATATATAATATATAAAATATATAAAATATAGTATATAATATATAAAATATATTATATATAATATATAATATATAAGATATATAATATATTATATATAATATATTATATATAATATATTTTATATAGTATATAAAATATAAAATATATATTATATATAAAATATATATTATATATAAAATATATATTATATATAAAATATATATTATATATGAAATATATATATATAAATATATATATATTAGTGACGGCGGTCTCGCTATGTTGCCCAGGCTGGTCTCGAACTCCTGAGCTCAAGCGATTCGCCCGCCTGGGCCTCCCAAAGTGCTGGGATCACAGGCGTGGGCCACCGAGGCCCGCAGGAAGTCTGTATTGTTCTTGCATTCCACCCAGTGCATTACGCAGGGGGAGAGTAGTGGGCTTATGCGCCGAGAACCAAGCAGATCCTGTTGGTCCCAGGAACAAAGTATAAACCATTCTGGTCGCCAACAGCTTCCTACGCAGGAAACAGCCATCCACCCTCTGTGACTGGGCTTTTCCAGGTCACCCCTCGCTGCCAGGCTCTCTTCCCGGTCCAGAGCCCACAGGATCCTACAGGAGGGGCCAACAACTGCTTGCCTTTGAAACTTGAAACTCTCGGTCTAAGGTTCCTTAGGAGCGTAAAAGGCACAGCGTTTTCTGATCGCAGCTTCAGGTCTCCCGCCCCTGTCCCGGTACCTCTCCTGCAGGACGGAACTCTGTGGGAACGCTCGTTGATTCTGATGGTTAACTGTCAGATATCCTTGATATTGGACATAGGATTTGGAAGAGGGCAGGAGAGAAAAATGAACTGCAAGACTCCAGCACAAGAGGTGGGATTGCTGGCAGATGTCTGCTCCCTCTCCAAACCTAATGAACATCTCAAAGTGCCATCCACTTTCCTATACCCTTGATCTGTGAAATGGATCACTGACGCTTTCTCTGTCTTTCCGGAAATGCAAAACAGGTGAATTTTCAAGCGCTTGAATTGTCTCTCACACTTTTCAGTCAAGAGTGGGGCTATAAACTCCTTCCTCATAGGAAATAAGGAACTGCCACTGCTTGGAAGTAAAACGTATTTTTCCCATAAGCTTTCACATTTCCCAAAAAAAATTATACATCCAGATGTAATCCCCCTAAGAGGCTTACAGACCCTACCAGGAGCGTTCCCACGCGAACGCATCATCTCCCAATCGGATCCTGAAAACACCATGCAACCAATTCCATCCTTTTCTGGATCAACCTGGGCAGAGGACAGGTGCAGAGGAGCCCAGAGAAGGGCCTTGACAAGTCAGGAGACCCAATTTGGGGTCGCAATTGTCACTCACTCCCCAGGCGTTTGCTTTGATCTTCCCCTCCCACCATACTACTTCTTCTGCTACCTGGTTTCTCCCTGGTATTTGAGGATCCTCCAATTGCCTTCTGGTCTTACAGACGGGAGAATAAAGGAAAAATGGCATCGTTTCCACCTTAAAAGTTACAAGCACTTCACCAGATGGTACAGCCTAGGTAGAGCCTTTGTAAAACAAATGCCCGCCCACTGCTTCACCCTCCTCATTTCCACCTCAGCAAAGCATTTTAGCAGAAAAGCTGACCCAGAGCAGTAGCTCCCTGCTATAATCCTAGCACTTTGGGAGGCTAAGTCAGGAGTATCTCTTTAGCCCAGAAGTTCAATACCACCCTAAGCACAAAGTGAGATCCTGCCTCTACCAAAAAAAGAAAAAAAAAATTGAAAAATTAGTCGGATTTGGTCTCGAGTGCCTGTAGTCCCAGCTACTCGGGAAGCCGAAGTGGGAGGATCTCTTGAGCCCTAGAGATGCAGGCTGCAGTGAATGGTGATCTGGGACCGCATCACTGCAGTTCAGTCTGGGTGACAGAGGGAGACGTTGTCTCAGAAAATAAAATAAAATAAAAAATAACATAACTGGGATTACAAGCTCTGTAAGAAGGGGTCACCTGAGACATTATTACATATACCATTAACAGAGGAAAATGCTGCAAATTATACTGTGTCCCAATGGTAAGAGGCCACCCATTTAAAAATATATACATATTTCAGAGATACTAAATGAGAAAAATGTTTACCCTAGAACTGATTAAATTCAGGTATCCACTCCTTTATTTTCAATCTTTAGTGCCATTTTTTAGTTTGTTTATGTCTTGAAAATAGCATAGAGATTAGAGTTGTAATTCTTTATTTTTTAAATTATTTTTATTTTGTTCACTTATTTATTTATTTTTGAGACAGAATCTTGCTCTGTCACCCAGGCTGGAATGCAGTGGCACGATCTCAGTTCACTGTAACCTCTGCTTCCGAGGTTCAAGCCATTCTTGTGCCTCAGCCTCCAGAGTAGCTGGGACCACTGGCTCCTGCCACAACACCCGGGTAATTTTTGTATTTTTAGAAGAAACGGGGTTTCACCATGTTGGCCAGGCTAGCCTTGAACTCCTGATCTCATGTGATCCACCCACCTCGGCCTCCCAAAGTGCCAGGATTACAGGCATGAGCCACCATGCCAAGCCAAGTTGTAATTTTTTGAAACCTATTTTTTGATTGTATTTGTTTTTTTCATAGCTCAATACACTGAAATGGTTGGGTAAGTGGGAAAATCATCTTCCCCACTCCTCCAGTATCTGTAAGGTGCAATTTCTCATAAACACTTTCAGCTTCTTGCCTCCCCTTTTAGTTCTTCTCACATATTGTGTGGTTTGTGGCATGAAAATCATTATTTGTGACAGACACCATACCAACTATATTTTGTGCTTTATCTTGTTTCATTCTCAACCGAAAAATGTGGTGAGCACATGCTTTGTGCTGGGCTTTCTTCTTAGTTCTCTCCATTTTGTAGATGCACAGCCTCACTTAGGGAAGTTGGAGTGCATATAGCTCTGTCTGTGGCTGAATAGATAAATGTAATTTTAGCATTCAATGTTAAGAAATCAACTCTTGGTGCAAATTTAAGGCTCATCTTCTAATGTAGTGTGTGTGTGTGTGTGTGTGTGTGTGTGTGTGTGTGTGATTTTACTGTGTCCCTTCTCCCTAACACTCCAGTTCAAGATAGCAACCTAAGTTCTGAGTTGATTATTCTGGACACACTCTCTCAAAATTTGACTGTTGGACACCAGAATACACCACCCCAATATACCAATATACCTCTGGCATATTGATTATTTCAGGCCTAGCATGGTAGCTCACACCTGTAATCCTAGTGCTTCGGGAGCCCAGGAGTTCATCAGCAGGCTGGGCACATAAGGGGTCCCATCTCTACAAAAGTATTTTTTAAAAATTAGCTGGGTGTGGTGGCATGAGCCTATAGTCCTGGTTACTAGGGAAGCCAAGGCAGGAGGATGGCTTGAATCCAGAAGTTTAAAGTTACAGAGAACTATAATCATGCCACTGCATTTCAGCCTGGGTGAAAGAGTAAGACCCTGTCTCTAAAACAAAAACAAAATAGGGCTGGGAACTGGTGGCTCACGCCTGTAATCCCAGCACGTTGGGAGGCCGAAGTGGGCAGATCACCTGAAGCCAGGAGTTTGAGGCCTGGCCAACAGTCTCTACTAAAAATATAAAAATTAGCTGGGTGTGGTGGTGCATGCCTATAATCCCAGCTACACAGAGGTTGAGGCACGAGAATTGTTTCAACCCAGGAGGCAGAGGTTGCAGCGAGCCCAGATCATGCCACTGCACCCCACCCTGGGCGATAGCGCAAGAAGACTCTGTCTAAAAAAAAACAAAACAAATTAAAAAAAAAACAAAACGAGATGAGAGAAAACCTTCATCTGTACTGTACTGCTATACTCCTTACTCCTCTTTATGACAGAATACAGAAAGATAAAGACAAAGAAAAGACTATTCTGGGAGGAAAGGGGATGAAACAACATGATTCATACTACAAAGTACCAAAAAGTACACCAGAGTCGATACACCAGCACTAGTCACACAAATCCTTTTCTCCCATCAGTCAATATTTTGGACAGGAAAAATAGAGAGTGATTTTTACTGTCTACTTCACCAGATTCCACAGAGTGGGGCCTGGAATCTGGCTGGTAAAAATTCTTTATCCTTATGCTGGCTGATCAGCTCCTGGTTTCCCTCAACTGTGGGCTTCCAAAAGAGCCAAACTTTGGGTTCCTGCTCACAGCACCAAATTTTCAGGGGCCAAGGGAAATCTTTCTCTGCGCACTCTGAAAGTTTGCTCTAAAATGGACTCACAGAGGCAGATTAATAGGAGAAAACACATAGAAAATGTATGATTGCTCAGCCCCTCAGTGAGGTGCAGGAGGTTATATACCATCTTGAGGTTACACAAAAAAGTGCATCATGCCAAAACAGGTTATAGGAGAGAGAAAACTTGTAAGGGTTCAGACTCTGTTAATCCTTCCTAGATCCAGACAAGAGAAGGCCTGTATGAATCAATGCAGATTTTCTACAGATGCAAATTTTTCCCACAAACGAAAGCATTGCAGGACTACTTATTTTGCTGGTTCTCTGGCAGCCATCTGAAAATATTTCAAATAAATATATTTTGGGGTTAAACATTTTTATTTCTTTCAAGGTGGAATATTAACTATGTATGTCTCTTATAGATATAGTTTTAAATAAATAAGGGAATCCACTTTTTCTAATTTGTTAAGATATGTTTTGTTTTAAGAATGACAAGGGGTTAAATTTTTAAAAGATTTTCTGCATCTACTGATATTATCACATGGTTTACTTCCTTTTTAATGTTAATGTGTTGACTAATATTAACTGATTTTCAAGTGCTAAACCAATATTGAGTTCATGGAATAAATCCCACTGGATCATGATGTATTTTTTAAAACATATATTGCTGGATTCAATATGCTAATACATTATAATTTTTATCACCTGTGATCATGAGAGCTCTTGGCTAACCAAAAAATTGGGGGATTGACAAGAGTGATATACAAAATAGGCATATAAATATTCATACTTGCTTGATATTTAAAAGGGCCTTTTAATTTTTCTGCCCTGCTCAGGCAGACTTATTAAATACTGGCATCATGTCTCATTCGGGGCCATTCAAAGGTCAATAGTGACCTGAATCATTCTATTTTTGTAGGCATCCTCATAATCTTTTCAATACAGATTGAATTATTTAGGATTCAGTCTGCAGAAGAAAAAAGTCAAAGCATATAAGGTAAACAGAGAGGCATATTTTATTGGCCTGGCTTCCACAGGAAGCATTAGCTAAAGTGAAAACTTATGTGCCACTTTTTAATTCAAAAGTGGTTTTTTTAAGAGAGTGGGAGTTAAAAGACAGGGTAATTAGAATAGGAAGGAGTGAGAGACAATTCAATGGTGTGCTACTGAGGCAGAAAATTTAAAAATAAATACGCATTCATTCACTCCAAGAAAAGTAACAGGCAGGGCAAGGGTTAAAAAGAAAAGAACAAGTTCTCCTCTGCCTAGCAAGCTCACTTCAAAGACAGTTATAAGATACCCCTGTCCGGAAAGCCAAGTCCAAAGGAATGGGCTCCAGACACCCGCCCCTGCTCCAGAGCAAGGTTGAATGAAAAAAAAAAAAAAAGAAAGACAAATTCTTTTACTGTTACTCCTCTCCCAGGCTTCTTAAGCGAGATTATGTTTTACAAATGTCTGTATTTAGCCAGTTCTTGTTTTTCTTTCAATGCAGGCACAAGACCACCGACTATGCAAGGCCACAAGTTATGCTATGCTATAGATTATGTGACCTATCATATGATTAGCTGCTTTTGTTTTACTTTTGTAAGCCAGCTTATAAAAACCCCACTCTGTCTTTGTTCTAGGCTCAGCTTTTTGGATGCAAATCCACTGAGCCGGTGCGTACCTAAAATAAACAATCCTCCTGTTCTCCATATCAGTCTCTCTGGTCCTCAGTTTCCTGCAACACTACCTTATTGGCCCATACTGGGTATCACGCAGGGTCAGAGGCGAATTTACCATGCAGCTAAGGAAGCTTAGCTTTTAGGATCCGTTTGAACAGGTCTGTAATTTTGTACTCAAAATTTTTATTCTTTTTTTTAAAGAGAATCCCCCACTACTTTTATGAACATTGGGTACTATTAACTGAACCTACCTTGAACACAACAGTTTGCTTGATCACATGGAACCATCTTCTAGGAAGCCCTATCTAAGAATAATCCACTTAGGATAAGCTTCTAAGAATAATCCACTTAGGATGAAAGAAAGGGGAAGAATATATCCACTGTGGGAGAAATAAAACAATCCTGACACAAAAAGACCCCTGTGTACCCAACAGAAGAGAGACAGAACACTAGTATTGAATTAGCCTTAACAGATTTACATGCATGTAAGGTAGCATGACAATAACTATAAAGCTGGCTCATATCTCATATGCTTTGAACAAAGAATGGGGAAGAATGAGAACTGCTTTTACTGCTTCAAAAGAAAAGAGGGTACACCTTGTGACAGTTTCCCCTATACTGAGAAACCCTCAGCTCGTCCTTGTAGGTGCTGTTAAAAAACATCTGGATGTTATTTTCCTATGGCCCGGGTACATTCTGGAGACCGGGCTTAATCCCTAGAGATATTATATTTCCACTGTTAGAACAAAGATTCAGAGTTGTTACCACGTTGAATGTAATATCACTGTTTTCTTTCTTTTGTGGTTTTTAGGAACAGAAACAACACACTCAGACTTGAGAAACTGGTCTGGTTTAAAAGGGTTCCTGGCCTTACAGGTGGGTAAGAAATGTCACTTCCTGGCAGGCTGAGGAACATCAGGATATTTGGAGGACCTTGACAAGGGAAGAATTCACCGAAATCTATAGGTATTCCAGGCAAAGTGTGATAGCAAGATCCTGGTATGGTTTCCTAGCCTTGAGAGGCTTTTAAAAGTCTAATTTGAGATTCCTTATTAAAAGATCCAGAAAAGCCAACTTAAAGAGACCCTGTGTGGTAAAACACTATTCCTGCTGCACTTGTGTAAATATTAGGCCAACTTTAAAGACACTAAATTTATTTTGCAAACAGATTACTCTTACTAATACTTTGATGATGTTTGATAAAAAGGGAGTAAGTATAGAGAAAAAACTTTCAGAGAAAAAAATATAGTGCACCTGTTATTAGACTCTAGCTCATTGTTTTTGAGGTTTTTTCGTCTACCTGAAATCTAGACTGGATCTTGAATTTTTTGTTTCCTGTAATATCTGGCAATGGGCTGGGTGTCAGAGCTCGCAACTGCAATCCCAGCACTTTGGGAGGTCGAGGTGGGAGGATTGCTGAAGCCCAAGACTTCGAGACCAGCCTGGGCAAAAGGCGAAACACCGTCTCTACAAAAAGTTCAAAAATTTGCTGGGCATGGAGGCATGCGCCTGTGGTTGCAGCTGCTTGGAAGGTGGAGGTGGAAGGATTGCTTGAGCCAAGGAGGTTGAGGCTGCAGTAAGCCTTGTTTGTGCCACTGCACTCCAGCCTCAATTACAAAGCAAGGACCCCATCTCAAAAAAAAAAAAAAAAAGGGCTGGACGCATTGGCTCATGCCTGTAATCCCAGCACTTTGGCAGGTTGAGGCAGGTGGATCACTTGAGGCTAGGAGTTCGAGGCCAGCCTGGCCAACATGGTGAAAACCCATCTCTACAAAAAATACAAAAATTAGCTGGGTGTGGTGGTGTGCACCTGTAATTCTAGCTACTCGGGAGGCAGGGGCAGGAGAATTGCTTGAACACAGAGGTGAATGTTGCAGTGAGTGGAGATGGTGACACTGTACTCCAGCCTGGGCGACAGAGCAAGACTTCACCTAAAAAAAAAAAAAGTCTAGCTATGGCTCTTAAAACTAATATTTCTGATTTTTCTTCTACCCTTCTGGCTTTGAACTGCTGAAATTAAACTGCACTTTTCCTGAAGTCTTGTCAGCTGAAGCTGGATGGGTTAATATAGACTGCAGAGAAATCACCACCACTCATACATGGACTACTCAGAAATTTCACCAGAACACCTCATGCAAACTGCAAACCAGGAAATTCCGTCAGATTGCCACTGCCTGCCCCCATTCAAACTGAAGATACTTCAAGCTTAACATCTAAAACTTTCTGACTGGCTGCCCTCTGGACTAAAAAAACTGAGTTTATAGTCAGTTCCAATCATTAACCTTTGCTTTTCTCGTTTCAATGAAAATATCTTTTTTTTTTTTTTTTTTTGAGACAGAGTTTTGCTGTTGTTGCCCAGGCTGGAGTGCAATGGTACAATCTCGGCTCATTGCAACTTCCACCTTCTGGGTTCAAGTGATTCTCCTGCCTCAGCCTCCTGAGTAGCTGCGATTATAGGAATGTGCCACCACACCTGGCTAATTTTGTATTTTTAGTAGAGACAGGGTTTCTCCATGTTGGTCAGGCTGGTCTCAAACTCCCTAGGTGATCCGCCCGCCTCGGCCTCCCAAAGTGCTGGGATTATAGGCATGAGCCACCACACCTGGCTGGAAATATCTCTTATTAAATGAATGATTGCTTAGGCCTAACTTTGGTGGATGCCATTCTGCAATCCCACCACCTGACTCGAGACAGTCCTGTTAACTGTTTAACTGGACTGACCTATTCTCAGGACTGAGAGACTGGTATAATGACTAGATAATATAGTGACCCAGTTCCTGAACCGAGAAACTTTATAAGGAGGTTTCATGGTACCTTGGCAATTGAGAAAACCAAAGAAGCAAGAAGGTCAGTATTACCACAATCACTATGCCTTTCTGTGTGGCAGCTGGCCATAAAGGAATGCTCTGACCTACCTCCCCTGAAAGTAGGGCATAAAGCCCTTATTCCAGAGGAGTACTTCTTTACCCAGAGGCCAAAAGAATCTGAACAGACAGCCATTTCTGGGCTCCCCAGTGCCCATTTATTAGCACTAGATAATATACTTATTGTCCAATCATACTTCTACATGACTTGTCCATAGAATCCAAGCCTAAAAATACATACTTTTCATTGGGTCTTTGGTCCTCATTTCTGAGGGCTCCCTTGTCATGGAAAACTTTGTTAAATAATTTTTTAATGGTTTTCTCTTGTTAATCTGTTTTGTTGTAAGATTGCAAGCCATAACCCTGGCAATGGGTGACAAAAAACTATTAACTTCTTGTCTCCTACAATAGACACTGTTAGTAACTGGACTCTACCCTCCCATGGAATTTCCCTCACTTCTTTTCTTGCCTGATTCAATCATAACAACCCTGCTGACTTTCAATTGTGCCTACAATTTTCACCTTAATCCTATCAGGTCCTGAAGAAATTTTTCCAGATGAATTAGTGATCATCTCCCAACTATTTGGACTTTGGTGTCTGCCATTCTGTATATAACAGAACATACTATAAAAGCACAGTCTGTACTGGACAGAATCATTTACTCCCTTTCCTAGACCAGCCACGTAGCTTGGCCTGATCTGGAGGCTAAAATATGGAGCCCCATTCATCATCTTTGGAAGAGCTGTCTTGAAGGCAGCATGTCCAGAGCCCCACATGCCACCAGACTTAAGCCTAAAGTAAGCTGGGATTGGGCAATGGACAACTTCACTGCACTGAGCCACCACTGCCAATGTCCCCAGTTCTGTGCACATATGAAGTACAGTGCATTCAGGCTGCCATGCTGGGCTTACATAGGCTAGAGTCATTTCTGAAGTTTAAAGGGGACAAAAATGTTGTTGAGACCCACACTCTGGGGCCAATGGCTGAAACCACAGAAGAGCTACACTCACTTGAAAAATAAGTGTATGCTGAGATCGTTCGAAGATGGCTGAATAGGAACAGCTCCAGTCTAAAGCTCCCAGCGTGAGCAACACAGAAGACAGGTGATTTCTGCATTTCCAACTGAGCTTTGAAGAGAGCAGTTGTTCTCCCAGCATGGAGTTTGAGATCTGAGAACGGACAGACTGCCTCCTTAAGTGGGTCCCTGGCCCCCGAGTAGCCTAACTGGGAGACACCTCCCAGTAGGGGCCAACTGACACCTCATACAGCCGGGTGCCCCTCTGAGACGAAGCTTCCAGAGGAAGGATCAGGAAGCAACATTTGCTATTCTGCAATATTTGCTGTTCTGCAGCCTCCACTGGTGATACCCAGGCAAATAAGGTCTGGAGTGGACCTCCAGCAAACTCCAACAGACCTGCAGCTGAGGGTTCTGACTGTTAGGAGGAAAACTAACAAACAGAAAGGAATAGTATCAACACCAACAAAAAGGACATCCACACCAAACCCCATCTGTAGGTTACCATCATCAAAGACCAAAGGTAGATAAAACCACAAAGATGGGGAGAAACCAGAGCAGAAAAGCTGAAAATTCTAAAATCAGAGCATTTCTTCTCCTCCAAAGAATCACAGCTCCTCGCCATCAACGGAACAAAGCTGGACAGAGAATAACTTTGACGAGGTGACAGAAGTAGGCTTCAGAAGATCGGTAATAACAAACTTCTCCGAGCTAAAGGAGGATGTTCAAACTCATCGCAAAGAAGCTAAAAACCTTGAAAAAAGATTAGACGAATGGCTAACTGGAATAAACAGCATAGAGAAGACCTTAAATGACCTGATGGAGCTGAAAACCATGGCACAAGTACTACGTGATGCATGCACAAGCTTCAGTAGCCGATTTGATCAAGTGGAAGAAAGCGTATCAGTGATTGAAGATCAAAAGAATGAAATGAAGTGAGAAGTTAGAGGAAAAAAGAGTAAAAAGAAATGAACAAAGCCTCCAAGAAATATGGGACTATGTGAAAGGGCCAAATCTACATTTGATTGGTGTACCTGAAAGTGACAGGGAGAATGGAACCAAGTTGGAAAACACTCTTCAGGATATTATCCAGGAGAACTTCCCCAACCTAGCAAGGCAGGTCAACATTCAAATTTAGGAAATGCAGAGAATGCCACAAAGATACTCCTCAAGAAGAGCAACCCCAAGACACATAATCGTCAGATTCACCAAGGTTGAAATGAAGGAAAAAAAGGTTAAGGGCAGCCAGAGAGAGGTCAGGTTACCCACAAAAGGAAGCCCATCAGACTAACGGTGGCTCTCTCAGCAGAAACTCTACAAGCCAGAAGAGAGTGGGGGCCAATATTCAACATTCTTAAAGAATTTTCAACCCAGAATTTCATATCCAGCCAAACTAAGCTTCATAAGTGAAGGAAACATAAAATCCTTTACAGACAAGCAAGTGCTGAGAGATTTTGTCACCACCAGGCCTGCCTTACAAGAGCTCCTGAAGGAAGCACTAAAGGAACAACCGGTACCAGCCACTGCAAAACATGCCAAATTGTAAAGACCATTGGTGCTAGGAAGAAACTGCATCAACTAACAAGCAAAATAACCAGCTAACATCATAATGACAAGATCAAGTTCACACGTAACAATACTAACCTTAAATGTAAATGGGCTAAATGCCCCAATTAAAAGACACAGACTGGCAAATTGGATAAAGAGTCAAGACCCATCAGTGTGCTGTATTCAGGAGACCCATCTCACCTGCAGAGACACACATAGGCTCAAAATAAAGAGATGGAGGAAGATCTACCAAGCAAATGGAAAACAAAAAAAGCAGGGGTTGCAAACCCACTCTCTGATAAAACAGATTTTAAACCAACAAAGATCAAAAGAGACAAAAGAGACAAAGAAGGCCATTACATAATGGTAAAGGGATCAATTCAACAAGAAGAGCTAACTATCTTAAATATATATGCACCCAATACAGGAGCACCCAGATTCATAAAGCAAGCCCTTAGAGACCTACAAAGAGACTTAGACTCCCACACAATAATAATGGGAGACTTTAACACTCCACTCTCAACATTAGACAGATCAACAAGACAGAAAGTTAACAAGGATATCCAGGACTTGAACTCAGCTCTGCACCAAGTGGACCTAATAGACATCTACAGAACTCTCCACCCCAAATCAACAGAATATATACATTCTTCTCAGCACCACACTGCACTTATTCCAAAATTGACCACATAGTTGGAAGTAAAGCACTCCTCAGCAAACGTAAAAGTACAGAAATTATAACAAACTGTCTCTCAGACCATAGTGCAATCAAATTAGAACTCAGGATTAAGAAACTCACTCAAAACCGCAAAACTACATGGAAATTGAATAACCTGCTCCTGAATGACTACTGGGTACATAACTAAATGAAGGCAGAAATAAAGATGTTCTTTGAAACCAATGAGAACAAAGACACAACATACCAGAATCTCTGGGACACATTTAAAGCAGTGTGTAGAGGGAAATTTATAGCACTAAATGCCCACAAGAGAAAGCAGGAAAGAACTAAAACTGACACGCTAACATCACAATTAAAAGAACTAGAGAAGCAAGAGCAAACATATTCAAAAGCTAGCAGAAGGCAAGAAATAACTAAGATCAGAGCAGAACTAAAGGAGACAGAGACACAAAAAACCCTTCAAAACATCAATGGTATCCAGGAGCTGGTTTTTGGAAAAGATCAACAAAATTGATAGACCACTAGCAAGACTAATAAAGAAGAAAAGAGAGAAGAATCAAATAGACGCAATAAAAAATGATAAAGGGGATATCACCACCGATCCCACGGAAATACAAACTACCATCAGAGAATACTATAAACACCTCTATGTAAATAAACTAGAAAACCTAAAAGAAATGGATAAATTCCTGGACACATCCACCCTCCCAAGACTAAACCAGGAAGAAGTTGAATCCCTGAATAGACCAATAACAGGCTCTGAAATTGAGGCAATAATTAATAGCCTACCAACCAAAAAAAGTCCAGGACCAGATGGATTCACAGCCAAATTCTGTCAGCGGTAGGAAGAGGAGCTGGTACCATTCCTTCTGAAATTATTCCAATCAGTAGAAAAAGATGGAATCCTCCCTAACTCATTTTATGAGGCCAGCATCATCCTGACACCAAAGCCTGGCAGAGACACAACAAAAAAAGAGAATTTTAGGCCAATATCACTGATGAACATCGATGCAAAAATCCTCAATAAAATACTGGCAAACTGAATCCAGCAGCACATCAAAAAGCTTATCCACCATGATCAAGTTGGCTTCATCCCTAGGGTGCAAGGCTCATTCAACATACACAAATCAATAAACCTAATCCATCATATAAACAGAACCAAAGACAAAAACCACATGATTATCTCAATAGATGCAGAAAAGACCTTCAACAAAATTCAACAACGCCTCATGCTAAAAACTCTCAATAAACTAGGTATTGATGGGACTTATCTCAAAATAATAAGAGCTATCTATGACAAACCCACAGCCAATATCATACTGAATGGGCAAAAACTGGAAGCATTCCCTTTGAAAACTGGCACAAGACAGGGATGCCCTCTCTCACCACTCCTATTCAACATAGTGTTGGAAGTTCTGGCCAGGGCAATCAGGCAGGAGAAAGAAATAAAGGGTATCCATTTAGGAAAAGAGGAAGTCAAATCCTCCCTGTTTGCAGATAACATGATTGTATATCTAGAAAATCCCATCGTCTCAGCCCAAAATCTCCTTAAGCTGATAAGCAACTTCAGCAAAGTCTCAGGATACAAAATCAATGTGCAAAAATCACAAGCATTCCTATACAACAATAACAAACAGAGAGCCAAATACTGAGTGAACTCCCATTCACAATTGCTTCAAAGAGAATAAAATACCTAGGAATCCAACTTACAAGGGATGTGAAGGACCTCTTCAAGGAGAACTACAAACCACTGCTCAATGAAATAAAAGAGGACACAAACAAATGGAAGAACATTCCATGCTCATCGATAGGAAGAATCAGTATTGTGAAAATGGGCATACTGCCCAAGGTAATTTATAGATTTTTTTTTTTTATTTTTTGAGACGGAGTCTCGCTCTGTTGCCCAGGCTAGAGTGCAGTGGCTTGATCTTGGCTCACTGCAAGCTCCGCCTCCCGGGTTCATGCCATTCTCCTGCCTCAGCCTCCCAAGTGGCTAGGACTACAGGCACCCACCACAATGCCCGGCTAATTTTTTGTATTTTTTTAGTAGAGACAGGGTTTCACCATGTTAACCAGGATGGTCTGGATCTCCTGACCTCGTGATCCGCCCACCTCAGCCTCCCAAAGTGCTGGGATTACAGGCATGAGCCACCGCGCCCGGCCGGTAATTTATAGATTTAATGCCATCCCCATCAAGCTACCAATGACTGTCTTCACAGAATTGGAAAAAGCTACTTTAAAGTTCACATGGAACCAAAAAAGAGCCCACATTGCCAAGACTGTGGGGGAAATAAAGAGAGATCAGGCTGTTACTGTGTCTATGCAGAAAGAAGAAGACATAAGAAACTCCATTTTGTTCTGTAGTAAGAAAAATTCTTCTGCCTTGAGATGCTATTAATCTGTAACGCTAGCCCCAACCCTGTGGTCACAGAAATATTTGCTGTGTTGACTCAAGGTTTAATGGATATAGGGCTGTGCAGGATGTGCTTTGTTAAAAATGTGTTTGCACGCAGTATGCTTGGTAAAAGTCATCACCCTTCTCTGGTCTCAAGTACCCAGGGACACAATGCACTGTCGAAGGCCACAGGGACCTCTGCCCAAGAACGCCTGGGTATTGTCCAAGGTTTCTCCCCACTGAGACAGCCTGAGACATGGCCTCGTGGGAAGGGAAAGACCTTACCGTCCCCCAGCCCGATACCCATAAAGGGTCTGTGCTGAGGAGGATTAGTGAAAGAGGAAGGCCTCTTTGCAGTTGAGATAAGAGGAAGGCATCTGTCTCCTGCTCGTCCCCGGGAATGGAATGTCTTGGTGTAAAACCCGAACGTACATTCTATTTACTGAGATGGGAGAAAACTGCCTTATGGCTGGAGGTGAGACATGCTGGCGACAATACTGCTCTTTACTGCACTGAGATGTTTGTGTAAAGTCAAACATAAATCTGGCCTACAAGCACATCGAGGCACAGCACCTTTCCTTAAACTTATTTATGACACAGAGTCCTTTGTTCACATGTTTTCCTGCTGACCCTCTCCCCACCCTGCCACATCCCCCTCACCAAGATAGTAGAGATAGTGATCAATAAATACTGAGGGAACTCAGAGACCAGAGCCGGTGCGGGTCCTCCATATGCTGAGCGCTGGTCCTCTGGGCCCACTGTTCTTTCTCTATACTTTGTCTCTGTGTCTTATTTCTTTTCTCAGTCTCTCATCACACCTGATGAGAAATACCCACAGGTGTGGAGGGGCTGGCCCCCTTCAAAGACAATCCTAAGCAAAAAGAACAAAACTGGAGGCATCATGCTACCTGACTTCAAAGGATACTACAAGGCTACAGTAACCAAAACAGCATGGTACTGGTACCAAAACAGAGAGATAAACCAATGGAAGAGAACAGAGCCCTCAGAAATAATACCATACATCTACAACCATCTGATCTTTGACAAACCTGACAAAAACAAGAAATGGGGAAAGGATTCCCTATTTAATAAATAGTGCTGGGAAAACTGGCTAGCCATATGTAGAAAGCTAAAACTGGATCCTTTCCTTACACCTTATACAAAAATTAATTCAAGATGGATTAAAGACTTAAATATTAGACCTAAAAACCATAAAAACCCTAGAAGAAAACCTAGGCAATACCATTCAGGACACAAGCATGGGCAATGACTTCATGACTAAAACACCAAAAGCAATGGCAACAAAAGCCAAAATTGACAAATGGGATCTAATTAAACTAAAGAGCTTCTGCACAGCAAAAGAAACCACCATCAGAGTGAAGAGGCAACCTACAGAATGGGAGAAAATTTTTGCAATCTACCCATCTGACAAAGGGCTAATATCCAGAATCTACAAAGAACTTAAACAAGTTTACAAGAAAAAATCAAACAACCCCATCACAAAGTGGGCAAAGGATATGAACAGACACTTCTCAAAAGAAGACATTTATGCAGCCAACAGACACATGAAGAAATGCTCATCATCACTGGTCATCAGAGAAATGCAAATCAAAACCACAATGAGATACCATCTCACACCAGTTAGAATGACGATCATTAAAAAGTCATGAAACAACAGATGCTGGAGAGGATGTGGAGAAACAGGAACACTCTTACACTGTTGATGGGAGTGTGAATTGGTTCAACCATTGCGGAAGACAGTGTGGTGATTCCTCAAGGATCTGGAACTAGAAATACCATTTGATCCAGCCATCCCATTACGGGGTATATACCCAAAGGATTATAAATCATGTTACTATAAAGACACATGCACATGTATGTTTACTGCAGCACTATTTACAATAGCAAAGACTTGTAACCAACCCAAATGTCCATCAATGATAGACTGGATTAAGGAAATGTGGCACATATACACCATGGAATACTATGCAGCCATAAAAAAGGATGAGTTCATGTCCTTTGCAGGGACATGGATGAAACTGGAAACCATCATTCTGAGCAAACTACCACAAGGACAGAAAACCAAACACTACACGCTCTCACTCATAGGTGGGAATTGAACAATGAGAACACTTGGACACAGGGTAGGGAATATCACACACCCAGGCCTGTCATGGGGTGGGGGGAGGGAGGAGGGATAACATTGGGAGGAATATCTAATGTAAATGATGAGTTAATGGGTGCAGCACACCAACTTGGCACATGTATATGTATGTAACAAACCTGCACATTGTGCACATGTACACTCGAACTTAAAAGTATAATAAAAAAATTTTAAAAAGAAAGTAGCATTTTAGAAAACAACTTCTCAATAAATAGCCTATAAACAAAAAAAAAAGTAAAAAGAAAAATAAGTGCATCCTATAGACAACACAACACAATGGGCCATGACCCAGCCAGGACATGCCAACCTGTGAAGCTGGACAGATAGATGCCTAGAGCAGAGCCCAGGCTGCCCACAAGAAATTGCTGAAAACTAAGGCTTAGGACAGACTGGAACCCAGAAAAGAAAGGAACCCCGGTCTTGGTCATGGTTCATGGCACCACTCCTTTATAACAATGCCCTAGAAGAAGCCCATGCACCTCAGTGGGAGCACTCATGCTGTTCTTGGGGAACCTTCATAGGACTGTGCCCTGCCTTGAGCTGGAAGTCTCTGCAGTAGACATCCTTCCATATTTTGTTCTTCATCTTCTGAACGCCTTCAAGGTTTTTCAATTGGAAAAATTCTATCTGCATAATCAACAATGTGCTAAGGAACTCTACTTTTAGATCTTCTTAGAATTCATAGTTCTTTGTACATGAGGATTAAAGCATTCTTCTGTATTCTCCACTTGTGAAATAGATTTGAGGTTGGTGGAGTCAGGATTGGAAACACATACAGGTGGGCAGGGGCATGAAAGGGACTGGGACCCAGATCAGAGCTGGAGGCTGAACTCCAGGGAGCCTTTGAATAGCTATGGATATCACCAGGGTGGGAAGGGACAGTGCTCCACTGTCCTGGGATTCTCTTGAAACTGAGCTTGGCCTCCCTGCTGAGAGCAGAGAACAACCATCAATAAATATTCCTTCAATGGTCTGAAGTTTACGTTTACAGGGTGGAGGTGGAAATTAAATTTAGGGAGCCATGAGGAAGACCCCCAGCCCTGTGCCTTTTGAATTGACAACCATGGCATTTCAGGGCATCAGCTCCAGGTCAGGCATTCTCAGGCAGTTGCATAATTCTGCCAATGTGGGGCCCGCCCACCTCAAAAATCCACATGGATTGGATCCAGCAAAACCAAATATTCAGCAAAACTTCAAGATCTAGCAACACTGAAGGCTCAAGTACATCACCGGTGCATACTTGGCCCAAGGAGGCTATTCTCTCACAATCTCTACCCAGCTCCGGGCCTGCAGCATCTGAGACTCACTCCTTCAAGCTGCAGGTATCCCAGGAAAAAGATTTATGCATCCTCATAGCTTCAACATGCAGTGTGTCAGGCACAGAAAAATGGTTGTCTTCAGAAAGTGATAAAAAAAACATGCAGTAGCAATCACCCTTTGGACTTTGAAACTTTTCTGTCACCTTAGATGTCAGAAACTAAAACCCAGAAACTTGGTGTTGGCATTAATTTGGTCTAGCTATGAAGACTTTTTTTTTTTTTTTTTCACACAGTGACAGTTCTGAATTTGAATATAAAGGAGCTTAGGTGCTATAATCTGAATGGAACGTGGGAATAAAACTGTCTTTGCCTTGTACTTCTTGTTAGATTAATTAAATACCAATTATCAGTATAAGAAAATGGCAATAAATTGTCAAAGTGGAATTGGAAAGTGTTTTTAGGATTTGGATATGAAGCAGGCTTCCCATGTGACCATTCTCACTTCTTATTCTGAAGTCTAACACTCTGCTTTTCTTTCTCTCCCTCTCTTCATTGATTCTTCTAGTGGCTGGTGTTTGGGTATTGTGGGAACTGAGCTTTCATCTCCTATGTTAGCCATAGAGATGAGGGCTTTGAGGGCACCATGGAATCCGATTGCTGGAAATAAATCAATCTTAAAGGAAAGGAAAATTTAAAAATCAGGTGCAACAAAAGCAAAATGAGAAAACTGCTAAACTCTACAATTCTATAAAGAAGAATTGCATAAAAAGGAAATAACAGGAAAAGGTAAGAAAATTTAAAAGGATATCAGAAAATATAGCATACAGGGTCAGAAAGATTTGAGAATATGACGAGATGGTTTTAGAAGGCAGGATGGGGCCGGGCACGGTGGCTCATGCCTATAATCCCAGCACTTTGGGAGGCTGAGGCAGACGGATCACGAGGTCAGGAGATCGAGACCATCCTGGCTAACACGGTGAAACCCTGTCTCTACTAAAAATACAAAAAAAAAAAAAAAAAAAAAAATTAGCCGGGCGTGTTGGCGGGCACCTGTAGTCCCAGCTACTCGGGAGGCTGAGGCAGGAGATTGGCGTGAACACGGGAGGCGGAGCTTGCAGTGAGCGGAGATCGCGCCACTGCACTCCAGCCTGGGAAACAGCGAGACTCTGGCTCAAAAAAAAAAAAAAAAAAAAAAAAAAAGGCAGGATGGGCTGGGCGCGGTGGTTCACGCCTGTAATCCCAGCACTTTGGGAGGCCGAGGCGGGCCGATCGCCTCAGGTCAGGAGTTCGAGACCAGCCTGACCAACATGGAGAAACCCCGTCTCTACTAAAAATACAAAATTAGCCGGGCATGGTGGCCCGCGTCTGTAGTCCCAGGCAGGAGAATTGCTTGAACCCGGGGAGGGGGTGGGGCGGAGGTTGCAGTGAGCCGAGATCTCGCCATTGTACTCCAGCCTGGACAACAGGAGTAAAACTCCGTCGAAAAGAAAGGAAGGAAGGAAGGAAGGAAGGAAGGAAGGAAGGAAGGAAGGAAGGAAGGAAGGAAGGAAGGAAGGAAGGAAGGAAGGAAGGAAGGAAGGAAGGAAGGAAGGAAGGAAGGAAGGAAGGAAGGAAGGAAGGAAGGAAGGAAGGAAGGAAAAAGAAAGAGAGAGAAAGAAAGAAAAGAAAAGAAAGGTGGCAGGATGGAATTTGGAAAAAATTAACATTTTAAAAATAGAAATGTAAAGGCGGATGGAAGGAGAGAAATTGAACAACAGGAAATGGATACCATGCATCTCTGAAATAATAACTGTTGAAAATTAGTGTGTCAATTTTAGGGTTTAATGCATTATTATAAACAAGTGGATAAACAAATATAAGTGCATATACCAGTTATGAAAACATGTCTTAAGGACTATGATTAGGACTTATCTATTACTCAGTGTCATGCTTCTAATGGCCGGTTGTGTTTTTTTTTAAAGAAAGAAAAGCCCCTATAAATGTGGCTCCTAAATATCCAGCCCTCGAGGTTGTTCCTTTGCAGGAGTCTGTTCCTTTTGGCCGGCTGCTGAACCTAGGGAGGCAGCGTGGGATGGAGTTGGCAAACATCCTGCAAGTCCACGACCCATGAAGAGCCGCTATGGTACCACTAGCAGTGCTAGGACCCAGAAACTAGCGAAACTGTTTAGGAGAAGCTGCGGGCTGGACCCACCAGCGGTGCTGCCACGGAGGTCAATCCTGCTTTGACAAGTGAGCGGTGCTGCAACTGAGAAAGTTACAGTCTGAGGAACCAGGGGTACTGGGACACAGGAAAAGGAGTCAGCCAGCTTGCTTTAGGCACACAGTAAGGGAAGGGTCCCCAGAGAACCTCCGGAATAAAAGAACTTGCACAGGCGCCTGGCCTAAATGTGCCCTTGCTGACTAAGGGCCCGCATATGCACTGGGGCAATGGGGGTGGAGCCACCAGGAATTTGCGCCTTATACAAACAGGGAACCTAGCCCCATCAGCTTTTAAATAAAAGCCCTTGTATTTAAATATTAAGGGGGCAACCAGAAACCTGTTCTCAGGACCCCTCTTTTTGCTGTGAGCTTTCCTTTTCGCTTAGTAAATTCTACTGCACTCACTCTTCGATATCTGCGTGCCCATTTCTTCATGATGGTGAAACAAAAACCTGAACTTAGCCGGGCGCGATGGCTCACGCCTGTAATCCCAGCACTTTGGGAGGCCGAGGTGGGTGGATTACCTGAGGTCAGGAGTTCAAGACCAGCCTGGCCAACATAGTGAAACCCTGTCTCTACGAAAAATACAAAAATTAGGTGGCAGTGGTGGCGTGTGCCTGTAATCCCAGCTACTCAGGAAGCTGAGACAGGAGAATCGCTTGAACCTGAGAGGCGGAGGCTGCAGTGAGCAGTGATGGCGCCATTGCACTCCAGCCTGGGCGACAGAGCGAGACTCCGTCTCCAAACAACAACAACAACAACAACCTGGACTTAGCTGAGCTGAGGAGCCAAAATCCTGCATCAATATCAAGTGTCACACTGAATAGCGGTGTGTCCTGTGGCAAACTTTATTTTTGGCGCAGTTAAGGCATTGCTACTAAGAAACTCGTCTCTGAGAAATATCGGTGGTTGGAAGGTTGTAGGGTGCTTCCACCGAGAAAGCGCCTACCCAGTGAAATACGCCTGTGACAGAAAAACCGAGGCCAAGCCCTGCCAGCAGTCTTGCCCAATCACGGTGCTGAGACAGTGAGACAGCCAGCCCGGGGAAAGTAGCCGTGCTAGGACACAGGAAGCGATACCACAAAGAACATGTGAGTCTTGTGAACAAGGAATGTTGTTTTGTTCAGCGCTACCAAGAGCGCGGCAACCGAGAAAACACGGAGTCGCCCCTAGTGGCGAAAGTGCGGATGCGAAACCGCTGGCTCGGCGTAAGAGCAGAGCCGCGGAAGAGAACCCTAGCGGCGGGGAACTAGCTCGCCTTCAGTGCTCACGGGAGAAGGCAAGTTAGAAAGAACCTGAGACGTGACACTGAAAATCAGTAGAAGAAATACGCCACATTTATTCTACCGGGGAAGACAGTGGGTAAGAAAAAAATACCGTAACATTTAAATTAAAAAATAATTAAAAATTTAAAAGCAAATAGAAATTAAAACAAAATACACTGATAACCTCGCTGCCAGAACAAGATACACCAAAAAAAAATTTTTTTTTTTGAGTATACAAAACATACAAAGCATCCTACAAACAGAAAGAAATTGCAAACAGGGTCGAATGGTGAGATCCTACCATTATATTTGTCAGCACTAAACCCGTGCCTCTTGCGCCTATCCGAAGTTTCCTCGGATTAAGAAGAAACAGCCATGGTTAAACCGGTATTTGCGACACCAACAATTATCTGTAGCCGACGTACCCCAACTTCTACATGAGTGAAAAATCGCCAGCATAGCCAGGGCGAGACTATTGCGAATTCTAACTTGGTATGATTTAAAAATTCCAGACACTGCTAAATTTTTTTAAATTGCATTCTTCAGTACCTAGATTAATACAGGAGTTATAAACCGCACGCATGGCTATAATGGGGGCTCCTATTACGGAACAGGAATTTGCTACTACTAAAATTATGTAGGCATGGTTAAAGCCAGAATTGTTACAACCAGAAATCGCAAACTGGAATAACTCTCAACTTGCTACGGTAAGAAATAACTAAACTCTGACTTGGTCAGACTAAGAAATCAGGAGTTTGAGACCAGCCCAGGCAACATGGCGAAATCCTGTCTCTAGGAAGGATACAAAAAATTACCCGGGCGTGGTGGCGCGTGCCTGTGGTCCCAGCTACCCCGGAGGCTGGGGTGGGAGGATCGCTTCAGCCCGGGAGGCGGAGGTTGCAGTGAGCCGAGATCGCGGCACTGCACTCCAGCCTGGGCGACAGAGCCGGACCCCGTATCAAGAAAGAAAGAGAAAAGAAAAAGAACCAAAGAAAAAGAAAAGTCACCATCGCACGGTTAAGTCTGCCTTGCTACAGCTAAACAGTGACTTCCTAGGACCAAGAAATCGCAGCCAGGGCTAGACCGATGCCCTAAATCGGGACTTGCTTAGGCTGAGAAATCACATTTTGGCTAGTTATTTGGACAAGAGGTAGAAATAGCGGGCACCGCGAAATCGAAACTTGCTAGGACCAAGAAGCCAACGACGGGCGAAACCGCAGGGGCCTGCGATAGAGACGCCAGCGGCGCCGCCGGGGGACTGGGTTCAGGAGGCCGAGCAGGAACCCGTGCGTCGGCGCTCGCGGCGCTGTGAAGAGACGGCGTCCGCGCAGCTCCTCTGCCTCTGGCTCGGAGGAGCGGCGGGCTCCCCCGCCCAGCGCCGGCGTCGCCCGGGAACCCCAGACTCTGCGCAACTGGCTGCGATTCCAAATCCCTCAGATCGGCTACCAGAGCGCTGCCGCCACCGAGAAAATGGAGGCACCGAGGAACAAGATGTGCCGCGACCAAGAGAACTCGGCTTGGCGAAATGGCGGTGCTGGGACCCTAAGAGTGACGCCAGCCGGAGGAGTTCCCAAGGACAACATCCATTTTGGCGGAACCAACGGTGTTGTCACGCAGAAAATGTCGACCCTCGGAAAAGAGAGGTTCTGCGACCGAGAAATTCGGTGCAACAAGTGCTGTGACAGAAAACCCCCCGCTCGGCGCTGCTGGCGAAAGAGCCAACAAAACGCTGGGTGCTGCCACCGTGACACCGACTTTAGGACCCCGGCCTCGGATGGAGAAAGGAGGGTACGGAGCCACCACATAACTTCCTAATGTCTTCAAATAGCGAAAGTGCTAGCCGGAAACTGCCGGCTGGGTTTACCTATTGGTGCTCGTGTGGGACTAGCAGATTCGAGAAACCAGCGGGACTGGAACCTAGTACACTTCGGCAGTTGAGAAATGACTTACCAGGACAAATACTGCTTCTGGCTCGATGGTGCTGCCCATGAACATCCGCCGGCTCTGAGAAACGAGCTGCACTGTCAGTGAGAAACCGTGGGCACTGAGAAACGAGCGGACTGCAACTGATAACTGCCCACCCAGTGCCACTACGACAAAGTGCTGCTGGCACTACTCCCACCCTCCGTCCTCAAATCAGTCCCCTCCCGCCTAAGAAGACCTTTATTTTTCCTAGCGAAGTCATACTGAGGGCCCCATCAACCGATCCCTTGCGATGCGCATGGGAAAAGGAGGCAGTATAGGGACCGAGAATCGGGCGGATTGGGCTGGCCCTGGTAACAAAAGCCATCCGGGTCGCCAACCGTCTTCCACTGCAAGAAACAAACCTTCCAGTGGCTGGGCTCCGCCCTTCTCCTTGGTCAGAGCCCTCCAGGCTCCTAAGGGCGAAGCCGACACCTCATCCCTTTGGAACTTGAAGTTCTCAGTCCAAGACCTCCGTGGAGAGTGAAAGACTCAATGCCTCCTGACCGAGGCTTCAGGCCTGCCCCGGCAGCTAGGTACCTCTCCAGGGGATGGAACTCTGTGGGAACTGCTATTTAATTCTGATGGTTAACTCTGTCAGATGGCCTTGATATATGGGAATAATCGTTGCAGGAGGGTAGGGGAAATAAGAATCGCAAGACTCTAGCACAGGACGTGTGGATTGATGGTGAGGCCTTTGCTCCCTCTCCCCTTGAAATCCTCAAAGGGCAGTTCCCGATTTCTATCACCTTTGAAATTCATCCCTGATGTCTTCTCCATCTTTGGGAAGTGCAATGCAATTTCAAGCTCTTGAATCTTCCCTCTCCCACATTTGTCAAATATACTGACGCTACAAACTCCTTTCTTACAGGAAACCTGAAACTGCCATTGAGCAGAAGGAAAACATCCCTTTCCAGAACCTTTCTCGTTTTTCTAAAAATCTGCACTTTTGGAAGTGATCCCCCAAAGAGACCTCCAGACTCTACCATGAGTGTCTCCAGCTGAACTCATCGTGTCTAATCCTCACCCTAGCTTATCCTGTTCAAATCATTTCCATCTTTTTCTGGATGAACCTGGGCGGATGTCAGACCAGAGAAGAGCACAGAATGTACCAGAGAGGTAAGAAGACCCATTTTGGGCTCTCACTTCTCACCCACTCCCAAGATGGTCACCTCCAGTCTTCCCCCCTATACCTTACCCTTTCTTCAGCTAGCCAAAACCTGCCCTGGTACTTGAGGCTTCTTCAGTTGCCTTCTTTTGCAGGCAGTAGAATAAAGGAAAGAGGGCAGTGTCAATAGAAGAAAAGTTACAGCCACTTTATCTAATTGAAGATACTGTGCAGAGCCTTTGAAAAAACAAAATATCTCACCCACCATTCCTCTCTCCGTTTCCACCCTAGCTTCCTATTTTAGCAAAAATGGTGGGATCAGCACCTCTGGAGGGAAGGGGTCACTCTTCCAGGTTAGGAATGTGGACAGGAGTTATGGAGCTTACTTCCCTAAAGGAGGAGGCATTCTAGTTCCGGCATTCAGATTCTGTCTGATTCCAATATGGTGTTTGTGTGGGGTGGTCAGAGAAAGGGCAAGTCGGCAACTGTATATTCCTCAGCAAGAGACTATAAGACATTTGCATTTGGAAAATCAGGAGAGATGCTGATATGGTTTGGCTCCGTGTCCCCACCCAAATCTCACCTTGAATTGTAATAATCCCCATGTGTCAAGGGTGAGACCAGGTGGAGATAATTGAATCATGGGGTTGGTTTTCCCCATGCTGTTCTCGTGTTAGTGAGTGGGTCTCACGAGATCTGATAGTTTTATAATTGCCTGGCATTTTCCCCTGCTGGCACACATTCTCCTGCGGCCCTCTGAAGAGGTGCCTTCCATCACGATTGTAAGTTTCCTGAGGCCTCCCCAGCCATGCAGAGCTTTGAGTCAATTAAAACTTCTTTCTTTATAAATTACCCAGTCTTGGATATTTCTTCATAGCAGTGTGGGAACAGACTAATACAGATGTGGTAGAGTTGGGTGCTGGGTGGCAATGCTAAGTGTATGCAGGTTCTAGGCACCAGATCAAATCTGGAATGCAAACTGTGGGACACAAACCACAAATGATGCCCAGCCTTTAATACTTTCTTTCATTGTTTGTCATATAGAAGAAGAAACAAAGAATAAAGAAAAGCATTTTTTTTGAGACGGAGTCTCGCTCTGTTCCCCAGGCTGGAGTGTAGTGGTACGATCTCGGCTCACTGCAACATCCACCTCCCAGGTTCAAGTTATTCTCCTGCCTCAGCTCCCAAGCAGCCAGGATTACAGGTGCATACCATCACACCTGGCTAATTTTTGTATTTTTAGTAAAGACAGGGTTTCACCCTGTTGGCCAGGCTGGTCTCAAAGTCCTGACCTCAAGTGATCCACCTGCTTCGGCCTCTCAAAGTGCTGGAATTACAGGCATGAGTCACAGTGCCCAGCCGCAAAGTATATTTTTGTAAAATTTCATCAAGATAAATCTGGCTAAACCAATAAACTAATAATAACAAAACTTGGGTTATTGTTGACTAAAGGAAGGTGGCACAAAATGGAAACATTTTTAAACATTCAAAAAAAAAAAAAGACTGGTCAGGCGCAGTGGCTTACACCTGTAATCCCAGCACTTTGGGAGGCCAAGGTGGGCGGATCATGAGGTCAGGAGATTGAGACCATCCTGGCTAACACGGTGAAACCCCATCTCTACTAAAAATACAAATCCTGGCTAACACGGTGAAACCCCGTCTCTACTAAAAATACAAAAAATTAGCCAGGCGTGGTGGCGGGTGCCTATAGTCCCAGCTACTCGGGAGTCTGAGGCAGGAGAATGGCGTGAACCCAGGAGGCAGAGCTTGTTTGCAGTGAGCCAAGATCGCGCCATTGCACTCCAGCCTGAGCGATAGAGCAAGACCCTGTCTCAAAAAAAAAAAAAAAAAACAAGGATAGTCTTTACACAGAAGTGGTATGCACAGGTGAATTGTCTGGGAAGTCAGGATGTTGCACAGAAGCTATGCAAGTCATAGATTAGAAAAGCAAGAATCCACATTCATGCTTTCCAGCATAGATGAGGAGATACTTTTTCTCCACCTTCTTAGATTCAGTGGCTGGGCAGAGAGTGCTGTGAATTCATCTGACAACAGGCAGATTAACACGAGAAAAGGAATATAAGTTTTTTATTTTTTATTTTTTTATTTTTTTGTTTTGAGACAGAGTGTCACTCTGTCTCCCAGGCTGGAGTGCAGTGGCTCACTGCAAGCTCCCACCTCCCGGGTTCACACCATTCTCCTGCCTCAGCCTCCCAAGTAGCTCAGACTACAGGCGCCCGCCACCATGTCCAGCTAATTTTTTTTATTTTTTAGCAGAGACAGGGTTTCACCTCCCAAAGTGCTGGGATTACAGGCATTAGCCACCGCGCCCAGCCAAGTTTTTTAATGTTTAATCTAATGTGCATGGAGGCATCATAGAAAGAACTGAATATCCAAAAGTGTGGTGAAATTTGAGACTTTAGATACCATCTTAATGATAGTGGCAGGAGGCAGACAAATCCTAGGGAGACAAGGGTGGGTCCCTGGTGAAACCCCACCTTCAAACCAAAGACAGTTTAAAGCATGAAAGCCAAGCTACAAGTCTCCAGTAAATCCATGGACCGGATTAAGAATCTCTCTTCCCCTTTAGCACACTTCCCTCTGATTGATCCACACACTTCACTTAGTGCACTTTCCTCTGATTGATCCCCACACTTCACCTATTTTACATATACCTGCCCTTCCCTAATTGTTTTTTTACACAGTTGTGCCCACCTTTGAGTGGTGCTTTTGTTTTAGCCTTTTTTGCATATGCACAAACCAATCAGCATGCACTCCCCCATTCTGAGCCTATAAAAGCCCCAGACCCTGCCACATTGGGAGAGAGACCACCCAACTTCTGGTGGGAAACCATCCTCGAATCCCCTCTCCACTGAGAACTGTTTTGTGGCTCAATAAAACTCCTCTCTGCCCTCCTCACTTTTTGATTTTCAGCATAACCTCATTCTTCTTGGATGCAGGACAACAACTCGGGATCCACCTAACACGGGTACAAAGAAGGCTGTAACACGGGAAGCAGCTGTTGGGCCAAACCAGCCCTGGAGCTGTAGGCCAGAGCAAGACCACAGGACTGACAGAGCTGTTAACACGCTGACATCTTTCGGGCTGCAGAGGGCGGGACTGAAAGAGCTATTAGCATGTTGTAACACCCACTCTGGGGCTTTGGGGTCACGGGCATCCCTGTTTGGGTGCCATCACATTCCCCTCATCTGGATGCCAGAGTCCACCATAGGAGTCACTTGCAACATGCCTGGTCCAGCCACAAGTCCCACACAGAGCCTGCTCCTGTGCTGGTGCTTGGAGCTACCAGTGGAACCCCACACTCACTAGCTCACACACCCCTCCTGCCAGGGGCTGAGTGCACAGTCATGGTGGCCACAGGATCTGCACCAGAGGACATGCCAGGCACAGCCCAGCAAACCGAGTAGATGGGGCATCTCCTGTGGTTAGCCTGGGCTCCAGCAAGGCCTAGGTAGGGCATCGCCAGCCAGAGGTCTCTGGCTGGCAAAGTTGCTGAGAAACATCCTATGTCATTAAGGAGATGGGGAGGGGCAGAGGGGCACTTATGGAAATATGAATGATTTTTTTTTTTGAGACAGAGTCTCTCTCTGTCGCCCAGGCTGGAATGCAGTGGCGTGATCTTGGCTCACTGCAAGCTCTGCCTCCGGGGTTCATGCCATTCTCCTGCCTCAGCCTCCCGAGTAGCTGGGACTACAGGTGCCCGCAACCACACCCAGCTAATTTTTTGTATTTTCAATAGAGACAGGGTTTCACTGTGTTAGCCAGGATGGTCTCGATCTCCTGAACTCGTGATCCATCCTCCTCAGCCTCCCAAGGTGCTGGCATTACTGGCATGAGCCACTGCACCAGCCACAAATGATATTTTAGAAGATAAATGGTCCTTTAGAAGAATAGATAAAAGATATGACAGTTTTTAGAGAATGTCTTTTTTTGGGTAGGGTGGGTGTAATCACCCAATGGTTTCATCTTGCCCATTGTCCACAAAGGCCAATGCACTGAGAACAGCAGCTTTTTTGCAGCAAAGAAAGACTTCAATAATTGCAGGGCTGGCCAAGTGGAAGGACAGGAATTCATTCCCAAATCCACCTCCCTGAGAATTCTTTTTTTTTTTTTTTTTTTTTTTTTTTGAGACGGAGTTTCACTCGTACTGCTGCCCAGGCTATATAGTGCAATGGCACCATCTTGGCTCACCACAACCTCCGCCTCCCAGGTTCAAGCGATTCTCCTGCCTCAGCCTCCCGAGTAGCTTGGATTACAGGCATGCACCGCCACGCCCAGCTAATTTTGTATTTTTAGTAAAGATGGAGTTTCTCCATGTTGGTCGGGCTGGTCTCAAACTCCCGACCTCAGGTGATCCTCCCGCCTCGGCCTCCCAAAGTGCTGGGATTACAGGCATGAGCCATGGCACCCGGCCAGGCTGAGAATTCTTAAGACAGGATTTTTTAAGGATAGTTTGGTAAGCATGGGGCTAGGGGATGGGTTGATGTGTTGGGTACTATGGGGAACGTGGAAGTGGAGAATAGTGTGGACTTTTGAAAGGATGTCTGCCTAGGAGTGGAGTTGGGCATGAGGGCAGGACTAAAAAAGAGTGAGTGAAGGAAAAGGTATGCAGGGAGCAGAAGAGTGGAGGGGTGGCTCGGGGTTTGGAGACTTGCCCGTCAATTCCCACAACAGAGACTTGGGAGGACTGGGTGGGTCCTGAAAAATTAGGTAAAGCAGAGTAGGTTGCCCGGTATTAAATAAGAAAAAATACTGGCCTACCTGCCACCATCAGGGTTACCCTTGTCTTAGATGAAGCAATGGTAGTTGCCGGGGCGTCCATTCCAGGGCCCCATCAGTCTTCAGTGGCAAGGCCAGTGAGATCCGAGTAGGAGGTTTTGGCCAGCTCAGGAAGGGATGGGAGTGGTCCTTGTGGGGGCCGCTCACAGTCCAACTTCCAGTGGGGTCCTCTGCAGAGGGGGCATGGCCTGATGGGCTTACCTGGGTTTGGGCATTGTCTAGACCAGTGGCCTTCATTGCCATACTTGAAACATGCGCCAGGTGGAGGTGGATTGCTAGGAGGCTTCTGTGTGGAGCTGCGGCCCTGTGGGCCTGCAGGGCCCCGGATGGCGGAGTCAAGCATTTGAAACTCTGCATGTTTTTGCCTTTTATTTTCCTCATCACGATTGTTAAAGACTTTGAAGGCTAAATTAAGAAGGTCTCGTTGTGGGTTTTGAGAGCCATCATCAAGCTTCTGTAGCTTACGCCGAATATCGGGGTGGATTGGGACATGAACTAAAGGTTTAAAATAGTGGTTCCTTCTGGGCTGGTTGGGTCTAGGTTGGTATATTTTCTCATGACTTCAGTTAAACAAGAGAGAAAAAGGGCTGTTTTTTCGTCAGGATCTTGGGGGATTTCTGAAAGTTTTTCATAGTTTATCGCTTTATGGGCACCCTTTTTGAGTCCTGCAAGGAGACACAATTGTGGTCTCAATGGTAGCGTCCAGAGGCCCTGTCTTGATAATCCCAGTGGGGGTCCTGGTTGGGGACTGCCTGTGCGCCAGTAGGCTGGGCAGGAGCTTGGTGATAAATTGATCAGCATGCCCCTGAGCTAGGGTCCAGATATGGTCCCGGTCTTCTGGGGTGAGGGTGGAAGAGAGGATAACGTAGAGGATATGCCAGATTAGTTCATAAGACTGGGTAAGGTACTGAAACTCCCTAATATAAGAGGTCAGGTCTTCTGGAAATGAACCCAGTCTTTTGTTAATTTGAGAGAAATCAGTGAGGGAGAAGGGAACATGAACTCTAACAATACCTTCAGTTCCTGCTACTTCCTGAAGAGGGCACTCTAGCACAGGCACTAAAGTAAGGGTGGGGCATGGCCAAACATGGCACCTGAACAAGTGTGGATGGGAGAGAAGGAAGAACCTGGAAGTGGTTCCTGCTGAGTGTTTGAAGGGGAAAGGGGGATTGAGTTAACAGGTAGTGGAGGATAGATAGGGGCGTAAGGTGGTGGGATGGGTTTACAAGCCTCAGGAGAAGGCAGTAGGGGAGGAGAATGGGTACAGGCAATACTAGAATTGTCCTGAGGAGGGGGCGGTGTAGGAAAAGAAGCAGATACTGCTGACTGGGAAGATGGTGGCTGGGAAGATGGCGGTTGAGAAGACAACGAGGAGGCTTGGGCTAAAGAAGACGATTGAGAGGAAGAGGTAGGGGTTGGGAGGGGTGGACAGCAGTCTGCTGGATCTAACGAGGAAAAAGAGGTAGGGTTGGGAGGAGAAAGACAATCAGGGTGGCAAGAATGGAGGAGAAGGATTTGAACAGGTGAGCAAGAATTGCAGAGGTCGGGTTGTGATCTGAGTGCAAAAAGGCCTGGACATAAGGAATTTCTCCCCATTTCTCTAGTCGTTGTCAATAATTGCTTAACTCAGTTAAAACTGTAAAGTCGAATGTTCCATTTGCGGGCCATTTGGACCCATTATCCAATTCGTATTGTGGCCAGACTGAATTGCAAAAAAAGACAAGGCGCTTAGGGTGGATATTTTGCCTGAGGCCTAAGGTTTGCAGGTTTTTTATGGGGCAGCCTAGAGGGCTGTTTTTTGGAAGGGAGGACCGGGAGTTTCCCATAACAGAGGGTAGGCTCAGGAGAACAGGGAAAAAGGAGACCGTCCTGGACGGCCAGAGGGAGACAAAAGGAGCAATCATCATCACCGCTGCCTTTTTCATTCCTGGAACGGGATCAAATGGATTAGAGGCGTCTCCCTAAGACCAGGTGATGGGATGATCAGCGAGTACCTGGCACACGCCGGAGCCTTGCTGGACCGACATTGGATTTTTGGACCGTAGACACCAAGAGAGGCCATGTGGCTTTTCCCTTGTTAACTGGGCTCCTAGGGAAACTTACCAATAGGCAAGGCCAGTGACCAATGTGCATGCACAGAGAGGCAACTGGAGGCTGAGGAGCTTCCTTTGTCCTGCTGCTGTGGCCTGTTCTCCAGGGTGGAGGGGTAGGTCCATGGGGGATGTGGACCAGAGCCCCTCCCCGGTTTCGGCACTAGATGTAAGGTTCTTGTGTTGGTTCAAACCCTGAGAGCACGCCAAAAGACAACACGAAGTGGTGTGGAGCAGCAACATGCTGTTTTAATGAGCACGTGAGTGCAGGTGGGCTGAGGCCTAAAATGGCATCAGCCCCAAGTGAGGACGGTACAGGGGGTTTATAGTCCTCTGTAAACAGGAAGTGTCCCAGTCTAACATGACTGCTATGTAGTACGCGACGGCCTCTTTCTCGATCTTCAGGGGTACGTGTCTTCTGGCCAGGGAATGTGTCTTCCGGCTGGCTCTCTTCCTGCTTCTGCTATCTTGCTGACACACGCTGCTGGTGCAAGTGGCGTTGTGCCTTGGGACTGGGCCTGAGAAGGGGGGAGTTACTCATCCCTTCAAGCTTTGGGTCCCCGGGGAGAATCTTTCAAGTATGAACCTGGCCTTGTGAAAGCAGAGCTCCAGTTACACAGTGTATCCCGAATCCATGAATGTTATGATGGTGCTAATTTGAACCACTAAGAGGCCTTGTGAGAGTCTCTTCTTTCCCAGAAAATGTGGGGAACACAGAGAGTGTCTTTCTGGATAGACATACCCAAGAAACTTCTGCTGAGGAAAGTGAAAGCAAAGATACAACTTATCCCAGAAAGGGGAGTGCATATGTAGATGGTGATAAGTAATATAGCCTGAAATATTCACATGGATATAATTAGAGTTAGGGTTATAGTTAAGGAGGAAGGGAAGGGAGACAGAAAGAAAGCAAGTAAGAAAGGAAGCAAGAAAAGATAAAACTGTGTCCAAGTTTCTTACTTGTATTAAACAGAGTGTTTTTCTAGATATTGTTAACCAAGATAAGGAATCCCTAAAGAGAGGCAGGCTTGATTTAGAGCTGTCTGAGGGCTTCCAAAAGAGCTGTTCAGTGAATAAGAAGGAATCCAACCATGGAGCATCAGAGTCTAAGTTGGATGTATAGGTTTGTGTGTCTTCAGTATTGTCTTGTATTTTAAGACAGAATTAGATGTGCCCATCAGAAATGAGTGTATGGCATGAAAAAGTTGCAGATGGTAGGCCGCAGTGAACTCCAATTGTTTGGAAGGCTTAACTTGAACCTTCCTAGGCTAGAGAATTTTAAATGACTGAGATGTTTCTAATGTGCCTAGAGCTTCTTTTCTAATGAGCCCAGGGAGGGCTAGAATCTCTATCAGAGTTAGTCTGGGATGTAAAGGGGATCAGGATGTGCCACCCCAATATATGCCACTTTAGCCTATGGATTATTTTGAGCAGTTAAAAAATTAGAAATAGCAGGCCTGGTGCAGTGGCTCATGCCTGTAATCTTAGCACTTTGGGAGACCGAGGCAGGTGGATCACCTGAAGTCAAGAGTTCGAGACCAGCCTGGCCAACATGGTGAAACCCCATCTCTACTAAAAAAAAAAAAAAAAAAAAAATACAAAAATTAGCCAGGCGTGGTGTGGCACGCCTGTAATACCAGCTACTCAGGAGGCTGAGGAAGGAGAATTGCTTGAAGCCAGGAGGTAGAGGTTGCAATGAGCCAAGATCGTACCACTGCACTCCAGCCTGCGTGATGGGAGCGAGACTCCATCTCAAAAAAAAAAGAGAAAAAAAGAAATTAGAAATAGCAGACATATGAGGATCTCTGACCTCCCTTTCCTGCTGAAAAGCAGGGCATACATTTTGCTTTTGTAAAAAAATTTGCATTTATAAAAGCTTCCACCTCTCCCCTACCTGGAAGAGAAGGAAACTCTTCTACTCTAATACTTGAAGGGGGCCTGCCTCTCCACACCTGTGGGTATTTCTTGCAAGGTGGAGACGAGACACTGAGAAAAGAAATAAGACACAGAGACAGTATAGAGGAAGAAAAGTGGGCCAAGGGGACTGGTGCTCAGCAAGTGAGGACCTGCACCAGCATTGGTCTCTGAGTTCCCTCAGTATTTATTGATCACTATCTCTACTATCTTGGCGAGGGGGATGTGGCAGGACTATAGGGTAATGGTGGCCAGAGGGTCAGCAGGAAAACATGTGAGCAAAGGACTCTGTGTCATAAATAAGTTTAAGGAAAGGTGCTGTGCCTGGATGTGCACATAGGCCAGATTTATGTTTGACTTTACACAGACATCTCAGTGCAGTAAAGAGCAGTATTGCCGCCAGCAGGTCTCACTTCCAGCCATAAGGCAGTTTTCTCCTATCTCAGTAAATAGAATATATGATCAGGTTTTACACTGAGACATTCCATTCCCAGGGACAAGCAGGAGACAGATGCCTTCCTCTTGTCTCAGCTGCAAAGAGGCCTTCCTCTTTCACTAATCCTCCTCAGCACGGACCCTTTATGGGTGTCGGGCTGGGGGATGGAGGTCTTTCCTTTCCTACAAGGCCATATCTCAGGCTATCTCAGTGGCGGGAAACCTTAGACAATACCCAGGCTTTCTTGGGCAGAGGTCCCTGTGGCCTTCCACAGTGCATTGTGTCCCTGGGTACTTGAGATTGGAGAATGGTGATGACTTTTACCAAGCATACTGCCTGCAAACATTTTTACCAAGGCACATCCTGCACAGCCCTAAATCCATTAAATCTTGAGTCAATATAGCACATGTTTCTGCGAGCACAGGGTTGGGGCTAGGGTTACAGATTAACAGCATCTCAAGGCAGAAGAATTTTTCTTAGTACAGATCAAAATGGAGTTTCTTATGTCTTCCTTTTTCTACATAGACACAGTAACAGTCTGATCTCTCTTTCTTTCCCCCACAATGCTTGTTTGAGGACATGTATTATCACCAGAGAGGACTTGAAACTGCATAACAAACCGTACTTGCCAGACATTTCCTAATCACCTTCTCACTGTTTACTCCCTCCCCCTATAATCGATAATCGCAAAGCTTCCTTTCCCTTTGACTATTCTATTCTCTTCACAATTTATCACCCCTTGTTAAATGGTATATAAGCCCCCAGCCCTAAACTCCTACTTGGGTTTTCACTTCTCTTTTGTGAAGCCTCATTATGTATGCAAAATAAAATTTTTCTACTGTTAATCTGTCGTTTATCAGTTTAAGTGACAGGCTGGGGCTGGGCGCCGTGGCTCACGCCTGTAATCCCAGCACTTTCGGGAGGCCGAGGTGGCCGGATCACGAGGTCAGGAGATCGAGACCATCCTGGCTAACACAGTGAAACCCCGTCTCTACTAAAAAATACAAAAAATTAGACGGGCGTGGGCCGGTCGCGGTGGCTCCCGGCTGTAATCCTAGCACTTTGGGAGGCCGAGGCGGGCGGATCACGAGGTCAGGAGATGGAGACCATCCTGGCTAACACGGTGAAACCCCGTCTCTACTAAAAATACAGAAAATTAGCCGGACGAGGTGGCGGGCCCTGTAGTCCCAGCTACTCGGGAGGCTGAGGCAAGAGAATGGCGTGAACCCCAGGGGGCGGAGCCTGCAGTGAGCCGAGATTGCGCCCCACTGCACTCCAGCCTGGGCAACAGCGAGACTACGTCTCAAAAAAAAAAAAAAAAAAAATTAGCCGGGTGTGGTGGCGGGCGCCTGTAGTCTCAGCTACTCGGCAGGCTGAGGCAGGAGAATGGCGTGAACCCCGGAGGCAGAGCTTGCAGTGAGCCAAGATTGTGCCACTGCACTCCAGCCTGGGCGACAGAGCAAGGCTCTGTCTCAAAAAAAAAAAAAAAAGTGACAGGCTCTACACACTGAATTTAAGAAGGTAGAGGTCGGGTTTTTTCATCATCTACAAAGGTACTCTGCTTCTAAAATGAGTTAGAACAATGGATTTGACCACAATCAGATGGACATTAAGGGTAAGAAAGAAAAGTGGCTCAAAGCAGCCTGAGGAATGTAAAGTATGCAAAATTTATCAGGCTCAGAGAGACTTGAGCAAGAGCCTTCAGTCATATCCCTCTCAGCCATACCCAGGAATAACTGTTTCAAGGCATTTTGACAGGGGCGGCGACTCAGCTCTTGCCTGTAATCCCAGCTACTCAGCAGGCTGAGATGGGAGGATCACATAAGCCCAGGAGTTTGAGACTGCAGCAGGCTATAATCAGGCTACTGCATTTCACCCTGGGCAACGGAGAGAAAACCCATCTCTAAAAAAGTTAAGATAAATAAAAAATAAATAAGCAAAAAATAAATTTGGAGCCGGGCGCGGTATCTCATGCCTGTAATCCCAGCACTTTGGGAGGCCGAGGTGGGTGGATCACCTGAGGTCAGGAGTTTGAGACCGGCCTAGCCAACATGGTGAAACACCATCTCTACTAAAAATACAAAAAATTAGCCAGGTGTGGTGGTGGGCGCCTGTAATCCTAGCTACTCGGGAGGCCGAGGCAGGAGAATCGCTTGAACCCAGGAGGTAGAGGTTGCAGTGAGCCAAGATCGCACCATTGCACTCCAGCCTGGGCAACAAGAGCGAAATTCCATCTCTAAATAAATAAATAAATTTTGGTGGTTTTTTTTTTCTTTCCTGTTGTTTCCAGACTAATAACCTAAAATGTTACCACAAGTTGGGCAATGTGAGTCTCACTCATTACCTTCTTTTTCCTGAAATTAGTGACATAAAGAAAAATGTATAGCCAACAATAGCTTATGTTATTTTAATAAACCAATGTAAAATTTTGTTTGTTTGTTTTGTTTTTGAGACAGAGTCTTGCTCTGTCACCCAGGCTGAAGTGCACCCAGGCTGAAGTTGGAGGCTATGGTGAGCTGCACCACTACACCACTATGGGAGGCCGAGGCGAGTGGATTGCCTGAGCTCAGGAGTTCGAGACCAGCCTGGGCAACGTTGTGAAACCCCGTCTCTACTAAAACACAAAAAATTAGCCAGGCCTGGCGGCATGTGCCTATAGTCCCAGCTACTCAGGAGGCTGAGGCAGGAGAATTGCTTGAACCCGGGAGCTGGAGGTTGCAGTGAGCCGAGATTGCGCCACTGCACTCCAGCCTCGGTGACAGAGTGAGACTCCGTCTCAAAAAAAAACAATATAAGGTGAAGGCCAAGCAGGGTGGCACATACCTGTTGTCTCACCTACTCAAAAGGCTGAGGCCAGAGGAGGATTGCTGGAAGTGAGTTCAAAGCCAGCCTAGAGAATATATTGAGACTCTGTCTCTAAATTTTATATATATATGGTGAATTCACCTTTACCATATCTTTTATGTATAAGCAATGGGATTGATTAGCAAGTAATGGGACTCTGAAATCAAAGGGGTAAATTTGGGTAGATCTTTATAAATATAATAACCTTGAACCCCACAAATCTCTCTAAGCGTCCTTTAAAAAATAGACTTTCTGTCTGAGTAGGTGAGTCCTTTTTTTTGTTTGAAGATACTAGAAAGCTCTTACTTGAGACAGCTCCTAAAAGAATGTCAATTCAACAGAAGTCTCATAGCCAGTATAACTAATTCTAACCCCCTAACTAGAGTCAGATACTAGGATACCCCTAAGGGACAACAATGAAATCTGAATTTGGGTGTCATTGCTTACATATCAAAACAGTTGCAAGAGACAGTTAATTTATATTTGCAGAAACCATATGAATTTGTATGAAAATGATTTTTTAAAGTGCTATATCAAGAAAACTAGAACATAATGCAGAACAAATAAAATTTACTTATATGGGTGCCAAGAATAGAAATTCTGGGTTCCGCATACATCAGCATCTAGAAGAATCTGCAGTAGGTATGGATGGTTGATTGAGGCCTTTATTCAATGGTAGTCTACAAAGAATAAGACAGAAGTAAGAACTTTCCTGTTAAAATGGAAAGATAGAGTAAACAAGTTTAGGAATATCTCATAAGCCACTGATTCCATTCTTAGGTCTATATCCAAGGGAAATTCTTGCACATGCACACAAGGAAACATGGAAGAGAATGTCCATATATGTACTGTTCACAGTAACAAAAATTTGCTGAGGAGGAAGGAACTAAAACTCCAACAATAGGAGAGCGGATAGAAAGGAACATATTATATTCACAGAACGGAATATTTTACAAAAATCAGAATAAACTACAACATTACTCAAAATCATGGCTGCATTATAGCAACATAATATTCAGAGAAAAAGTTTAAAAGACTACATAGAACTGTCAATTGAGGAAAATGACAAGATAAGTCTCAATCATTTTAGGAGGTTTATTTGCCAAAGTTAAGGACATGCCTGGGAGACAGGTCTATGCCTTTCTCTGATGATGATTTTGAGGGCTCCAAATTTAAAGGGGAAAGGGCAGGATATTGAGAAGCGCACAGTTTTCACATAAACCAAAGGGGCAGAGGAAAAATATGGGGAATCTGCATTTTACATAAGATAACAGACAAAATGGGGTAGAGGGAACAATCAGATATGCATTTGTGTCTGGCGAGCAGGGTGACTGCACATGTAAAGATAAGCTATCAATTTGCATTGCCATGGTGAAGTTTTAACAGCTCACCAGGAATTTCCCTGTGGGCAAAATATGGGAGAGGCATGTAGCTTTTCATCTTGTAGCCATCTTATTTAGGAATCAAAAGCGGGAGGCAGGTTTGTGTGACCCAGTTCCCAGCTTAACTTTTCCCTTTGGCTAAATGAGTTTGGGGTCCCAAAGTTTAATTTCCCTTCACAGAACACAGTTTTATTTTATAAAATTAACAAAAACACACAATATGTAGATACATATTGATAAAAATAAAACTATGTAAAAAGGTAAACAACAGAATATTCAATTTAGTAATAAAATAACCAACTGTGGATGGTTATCTTGAATTGAAGGGTTGGAAATAAGGGATACAGGAAAATCACACACAATAAACTAAATTGGAAGATGGGCCTAATGCTAACACCAAAAATGGACCTCTTGACGGCAGAATTGCATTTATCTATCCAGCCTCAGGAAGAGTTACACAACCTCAAGTTTCCTCAAGTGAGGCTGTGTGTCTATGAAATGTGGGGCATGGAGAAGCAAGCATAGCACAGTTTTCCAGGAGGCGCTGGCTTAATAAAAGAGGGTGGAATGTGAGGGGCCAAACTTTTCATGTGTAGATCCCCTCTCAAACTCTACAACCAGATAATTCATTAGTTTAGTGGTGAGAACTAAAAGATGAGACATGAAACTAAAGTTATTCAGGTATAATTGTACCTTATAGAAACTGGACAAGGGGGATGCCACTTTTCCCACTTATACAATCATTCAGTGTATTGAACTACCCTGTGAAAAGATAAGTACAATTGCATTAATAGATTAAGTAAACTACAACAAGGTATGGGGTCACACACCTGTAGTCCCAGCTACTCAGGAGGCTGAGACAGGAGGATTGGTTGAGCTCAGGAGTTAAAGGCTGTAATGAGTTATAATCATGCCACTGCACTCCAGTATGCGTGACAGAGTAATACTTCATCTCTTGAAAAATAAAGAGAGAAAAGAGAGAAAGAAATTATAGCTTCAAACTCTATGCTATTTTGAAGACATAAAGTAAAATGATAAAAAGAGTTGAAAATAAAGGAGTGGACAAAGATACATCTGAATCTAATCAATTTTTTGAACTTTTATTTTAGGTTCAGGGGTACATTGGGTATATTTTAGGTTCAGGTGGGTGGAGGGATGTCCTTTAGTTCTGTCCTTTGTCCAGTACCCATGAAGATAAGCTGTTAATTTACATTGTTAGGGTGAAATTCAACAGAACTATTTTAGGGTACAGATATCAAGGTCCACAAGAAATTTCCTTGTGAGCAAACTGAAGATGGTATATAGCCTTTTGTCTTTGTAGCTCTCTATTTAGAGGAAAAAATAAGAGGCCATTTTATGTGACTTGGGTCCAAGCTTGACTTTTCCCTTCAACTTAGGGAATTTGGGGTCCTAGTATTTTTATTTGCCCTTCCTAGCTGTTATATGTAAGTTGCTCTGGTGATTTTTCCTGAAGTTTATATTGCCTAACTTCAGTTGGCAGGGCTTTAAGAAAAAGCACAATTTTAATCTTTAGTGAGTCTAACCAAGAAAAATGGAAACATCAGTTCAGAGACTTGTAGAGACAAAAATATTTAGTATTTGGTCTAAATTGTAGCCAAATAACAAAAACTCAAAAACAATGGGCAGGGCTAGAGTCTAATAACAGGTGTACTATAGTGTTTTTTCTGAAATGCAATTTTTCTTTCTTTTTTTTTTTTTTGAGATGGAGTCTTGCTCTGTTGCCCAGGCTGGAGTGCAGTGGCACTATCTCGGCTCACTGCAAGCTCTGCCTCCTGGGTTCACACCATTCTCCTGCCTCAGCCTCCTGAGTAGCTGGGACTACAGGCGCCCACCACCACACCTGGCTAATTTTTTGTATTTTTAGTAGAGACGGGGTTTCACCATGTTAGCCAGGATGGTCTCGATCTCCTGACCTCATGATCCACCCGCCTCGGCTTCCCAAAGTGCTGGGATTACAGACTCGAGCCACCGTGCCCGGCCCCCGCAATTTTTCTTTCTTTAGTCTCTCATTTATACCAAAGACAAATCATAGTAAGACTAATTTACTTGTAAAATGTTTTAGTCTTACTATATTTGGCCTGATTCTTTGCATAAAGTATAGCAAGAATAGTGATTAGTGATGTAGGCATTTTTTAAGTTGGTGTTGCTAGAACTTTTTTTTTTTTTTTTTTTTTGAGATGGAGTCTCTCTCCGTTGCCCAGGCCGGAGTGCAATGGCGCGATCTCTGCTCACTGCAACCTCTGCCTCCCAGGTGCAAGCAATTCTCCTGCCTCAGCCTCCCAAGTAGCTGGGATTACAGGCGCTCACCACCGCACCTGGCTAATTTTTATATTTTTAGTAGAGACGGGGTTTTGCCATGTTGGCCAGGTTGGTTTCGAATTCCTGCCCTCAGGTGATCCGCCCACCTCGGCCTCCCAAAGTGCTGGGATTACAGGCATGAGCCACTGTGCTTGGCCACTAGAACTTTTTCATAAGGAATCTCAGGTTACACTTTTAAAAGCTTCTTAAAGCTGAGAAGCCAAGCCAAAGATTTGCCATCAGACTGTGCTTATAAAACCAGTGTATAAAACTGTGTAAAATATGTGTGTATAAAACCAGTGAATTCCTCTCTTTTTGAGGTTCCCAAAATATCTGGAGAGTCCTGGGCCTGTCATAAGGTGATGTTATTTACTTACCACAAGATCATCAGGAACCTCGTAAGGGAGCCATGTAGATGAGGCACCAAGCCAGTCTTTCCAAGGGGCTTTTTATTTGCTCTGTGAAGACAACCTAAATTGCTCAAAGCAGTCTGGTCATATCCAAAAATATATCATTCCAGTTAAAGCCTTGGTAAAATAACCAGTATATCCAATTGTGAGCTGTTACAAAAGAAAGCAGATTCTTACTGTGTATGCAAATAACTATATTGCCATAAATTAAGAATACTCACGAATAGCTTCCAAATTTTGGAGAAATCAGGTAGAGAAAGGTAAATGTTTCCTTGTTTTTTTTTTTTGTTTTTTTTTTTGAGACAGAGTCTCGCTCTGTCAACAGGCTGTAGTGTAGTGGCGTGATCTCGGCTCACTGCAACCACCACCTCCCAGGTTCAAGTGATTCTCCTGCCTCAGACACCCGAGTAACTGGGACTACAGGCGCGTGCCACCACACCTAGCTAATTTTTGTATTTTTAGTAGAGATGGGGTTTCACCATGTTGGCCAGGATGTCTCAATCTCTCGACCTCGTGATCCGCCTGCCTCAGCCTCTCAAAGTGCTAGGATTATAGAAGTGAGCCACCACGCTCGGCAAATGTTTCAATTTTATTCACAAAAGTATACTTTACCCAATTGTTGTAAACTATAAATATTAATGTTTAAAATAAAATTTTTCTTGACTCAAAAACAAAACAGGAAAAGAATCAGCAATATTTTAAGCAAAAAAGTTACAAAAATTATTTTAGTCTTTTATCAGTTTAGTTCCATGTAATTCATTCCTGTTCTGCTTGAAGTTATCAACTTTCATGAACCTATTAACTTTGTTTACTAGAGTCTTGAAAAATTTCACATTGTTCAATGTTATGATCTCCAAAGTTATCAAAAACCTGTATTCAAGAGTACTTGTCAGGATCCTTATGAATTTTTTTGAAGAAGAATCAAATTTTGGACTATAGCTGATTATAAACTGTCTTTCAAGAAGAATGAAAATAAAACAATAAATGTCTATGGATGGCAAAAGACTTAGAATAGCCGTAATTAAAGACACAATTGACAGCCAGGTGTAGTGGCTCATGCCTGTAATCCCAGCAATTTGGGAGGCCAAGGTGGTCGGTTCACAAGGTCAGGAGATCAAGACAATCCTGGCTAACATGGTGAAACCCCATCCCTACTAAAAATACAAAAAAAAAAATTAGCTGGGCATGGTTACAGGCGCCTGTACTCCCAGCTACAGGTAGGAGGGAGGTAGGAGAATGGCATGAACCCAAGGAGGTGGAGCTTGCAGTGAACCGAAATGGCGCCACTGCACTCCAGCCTGGGTGACATAGTGAGACTCCGCCTCCAAAAAAAAAAAAAAAGACACAATTGACAAGAAAATTTGCTTATTTCTGTGGCATATAACAATTTAACACAATAATCATATGAATCATAACATAGGCCAAGACATATCATAATTTTAGGAATCTCATACAATTTTGGAGCACATATTAATAACACATTTCTGCAAATGTAACTCAAAGTTAAATGCCACTTCTATTTGACAGTGTTTTCCATATGATTTTTATATACCAAAATTAAAAGTTAGTTTCAGGTCAAAAAGACTTAATTTTAGAATATAAAATTTGATTTTGAGAAGTTTGTCAACTATTAAAGGCTTAAAACACTTGATAGGAAAATAAGAAAGGTTTCAAACCCTGGATCAAAATAGAATTACACATAAGTAATCCTTATCTTACACAAATAAGTTACTCATTTAGCCAAAGTGATAATTCAAAGATTTCAAAAAGCAAAAACCCTTACTCTTTGATAGAGAGGAGACTCAGTTCTCTAAACAGTCAAAAAGACAAAGACAGCATGAGGCAAACTCTCTTTTTTCTTTTGCAATGTATTTAAAAGGTGAACAAAAAATCTTGCATTTGTTATCTCTTTTTTTTTTTTTTTTTTTGTTGTGTTCTAGGAAAACTTTATTTATAAACACAGGCAGCCAATAGTTTGCCAACTCCTATTTTAGAACATGAGTGAGAATCATCAATAAAACTACAAATCTTTGCAACAGTCAGAATAAGAAAATAGTGAATTAAAGACTATTAGCATTTCAGCCATCTAGGACAGTGTTCTTCTCATTATCATACGTAAATATTTGTTTTGTTTTTTTTTTTTTTTAATTGATCATTCTTGGGTGTTTCTCGCAGAAGGGGATTTGGCAGGGTCATAGGACAATAGTGGAGGGAAGGTCAGCAGATAAACAAGTGAACAAAGGTCTCTGGTTTTCCTAGGCAGAGGACCCTGCTGCCTTCCGCAGTGTTTGTGTCCCTGGGTACTTAAGATTAGGGAGTGGTGATGACTCTTAACGAGCATGCTGCCTTCAAGCATCTGTTTAACAAAGCACATCTTGCACCGCCCTTAATCCATTTAACCCTGAGTGGACACAGCACATGTTTCAGAGAGCACAGGGTTGGGGATAAGGTCACAGATCAACAGGATCCCAAGGCAGAAGAATTTTTCTTAGTACAGAACAAAATGAAAAGTCTCCCATGTCTACTTCTATCCACACAGACCCGGCAACCATCCGATTTCTCAATTTTTTCCCCACCCTTCCCGCCTTTCTATTCCACAAAACCGCCATTGTCATCATGGCCCATCCCCAGTGAGCCGCTGGGCACACCTCCCAGACGGGGTCGTGGCCGGGCAGAGGGGCTCCTCACTTCCCAGTAGGGGCGGCCGGGCAGAAGCGCCCCTCACCTCCCGGATGGGGCGGCTGGCCGGGCGGGGGGCTGACCCCCCCACCACCCTCCCGGACGGGGCGGCTGGCCAGGCAGAGGGGCTCCTCACTTCCCAGTAGGGGCGGCCGGGCAGAGGCGCCCCTCACCTCCTGGATAGGGCGGCTGGCCGGGCGGGGGGCTGACCCCTCCACCTCCCTCCCGGACGGGGCGGCTGGCCGACCCCCCCCGCCGCCTCCCTCCCGGATGGGGCGGCTGGCCAGGCAGAGGGGCTCCTCACTTCCCAGTAGGGGCGGCCGGGCAGAGGCGCCCCTCACCTCCCGGACGGGGCGGCTGGCCAGGCGGGGGGCTGATCCCCCCACCTCCCTCCCGGACGGGGCGGCTGGCCGGGCGGGGGGCTGACCCCCCCACCTCCCTCCCGGACGGGGCGGCTGGCCGGGCAGGGGGCTGACTCCCCCTCCCCCCTCCCGGACGGGGCGGCTGGCTGGGCGGGGGCTGACCCCCCCACCTCCCTCCCGGACGGGGCGGCTGGCTGGGCAGAGGGGCTCCTCACCTCCCAGTAGGGGCGGCCGGGCAGAGGCGCCCCTCACCTCCCGGACGGGGCGGCTGGCCAGGCGGGGGGCTGATCCCCCCACCTCCCTCCCGGACGGGGCGGCTGGCCGGGCGAGGGGCTGACCCCCCACCTCCCTCCCGGACTGGGCGGCTGGCCGGGCGGGGGGCTGATCCCCCCACCTCCCTCCCGGACGGGGCGGCTGGCCGGGCAGAGGGGTCCTCACTTCCCAGTAGGGGCGGCCGGGCAGAGGCGCCCCTCACCTCCCGGACGGGGCGGCCGGCCGGGCGGGGGGCTGACCCCCCCACCTCCCTCCCGGACGGGGCGGCTGGCCGGGCAGAGGGGCTCCTCACTTCCCAGTAGGGGTGGCCGGGCAGAGGCGCCCCTCACCTCCCGGACGGGGCGGCTGGCCAGGCGGGGGGCTGATCCCCCCACCTCCCTCCCGGACGGGGCGGCTGGCCGGGCAGGGGGCTGACCCCCCCTCCCCCCTCCCGGACTGGGCGGCTGGCCGGGCGGGGGGCTGACCCCCCCACCTCCCTCCTGGACGGGGCGACTGGCCAGGCAGAGGGGCTCCTCACTTCCCAGTAGGGGCGGCCGGGCAGAGGAGCCCCTCACCTCCCGGACGGGGCGGCTGGCCGGGCGGGGGCTGACCCCCCCCACCTCCCTCCTGGACGGGGTGGCTGCTGGGCGGAGACGCTCCTCACTTCCCAGACGGGGTGGCTGCTGGACGGAGGGGCTCCTCACTTCTCAGACGGGGCGGTTGCCAGGCAGAGGGTTTCCTCACTTCTCAGACGGGGCGGCCGGGCAGAGGCGCTCCTCACATCCCAGACAGGGCGGCGGGGCAGAGGTGCTCCCCACCTCTCAGACGATGGGCGGCCGGGCAGAGACGCTCCTCACTTCCTAGATGGGATGGCGGCGGGGAAGTGGCGCTCCTCGCTTCCTAGATGGGATGGCGGCCGGGCAGAGACGCTCCTCACTTTCCAGACTGGGCAGCCAGGCAGAGGGGCTCCTCATATCCCAGACGATGGGCGGCCAGGCAGAGACGCTCCTCACTTCCCAGACGGGGTGGCGGCCGGGCAGAGGCTGCAATCTCGGCTCTTTGGGAGGCCAAGGCAGGCGGCTGGGAGGTGGTTGTAGCGAGCCGAGATCACGCCACTGCACTCCAGCCTTGGCACCATTGAGCACTGAGTGAACGAGACTCCGTCTGCAATCCCGGCACCTCGGGAGGCCGAGGCTGGCGGATCACTCGCGGTTAGGAGCTGGAGACCAGCCCGGCCAACACAGCAAAACCCCGTCTCCACCAAAAAAAAAACGAAAACCAGTCAGGCGTGGCGACGCGCGCCTGCAATCGCAGGCACTCAGCAGGCTGAGGCAGGAGAATCAGGCAGGGAGGTTGCAGTGAGCCGAGATCGCAGCAGTACAGTCCAGCTTCGGCTCGGCATCAGAGGGAGACCGTGGAAGGAGACCGGGGAGAGGGAGACGGAGAGGGAGACGAGAGGGAGGGGGAGGGGGAGGGGGAGGGGGAGAGGGCTTGTTAGAGAGCTTGTTATCTCTTATATGGAAATTTTGTTAAAAAATTTGTATCTCTATATCCGTATATTATTAATGCTAAAGCTAATTTTAGTAAAATTATGAACAGGTCTATCTAACCTCAATTAGTTTTGACCACAGAAGATAAGATTTGTATAAACCTTTTATAACCTTTTATAATTTTTTAAATTTAGTTTTATCTGTTATTAACTATTAAAAATTTAAAACTTTAAAACAAACATCTAAACTAAGCTAGGTGTGGCAGCTCACACCTGTAATCCCAGCACTTTGGGAGGCCGAGGCAGGAGGATCCCTTGAGTCCAGGAGTTCAAGACCAGCTTGGGTAATAAACTGAGATCCCGTCTCCACAAAAAAAAATATTTAATTACCCAATTATGGTTGTGTGCACCTACAGTCCCAGCTACTTGGGAAGCTGAGGCAGGAGGAACCCTTGAGCACAGAAGTTTGAGGTTATATAGTGAGCTGATAACACCACTGCAGTCCAGCCCAGGCAACAGAATGAGACCCCATCTCGAAACCCTCAAAACTGAACAACATTTTTCTTACCAACAACTATATTTTTATGTCTTTTTAATAACCTTTTTTTTTTTTTTGAGACTAAATCTTGCTCTGTCACCCAGGCTGGAGTGCAATGACACGTTCTCGGCTCACTGCAACCTCTGCCCCTCGGGATCAAGCGATTCTCCTGCCTCAGCCCCCTGAGTAGCTGGGATTACAGAAGCGTGCCACCACACCCAGCTAATTTTTGTATTTTTAGTAGAGACAGGGTTTCGCCATGTTGGCCAGGCTGGTCATGAACTCCTGACCTCAGGTGATCCACCCACCTCCTCCTCCCAAACTGCTGGGATTACAGGCATGAGCCCCTGCGCCCTTGCCAATCTTCTTTATTTAAAACATCTTTTTTGTATATGTTGCATATAGAAGTGTTTTTGTGTATGTTGTATATATTTTGTATATAGAAGCATTTTTTGTATCTAGAAGGCTTTTCTTTTCCTTTTTTTTTTTTTGTGAAATAGAGGATCTTACTCTCTTACTCTGTTGCCCAGGCTGGAGTACAGTGGCATGATCATAGTTCACTGCAGCCTAGACCTCCTGGGCTCAAGCAGTCCTCTCACTTCAGCCTCCTGAGTAGCTGGGACTACAGGCATGTGCCACCATGCCTGGCAAATTTTTTTTTTTTCATAGAGACAAGGTTTCACCATATTGCCCAGACTCATCTTGAACTCCTGGGCTAAAGCAATCTACCAGCTTTAGCCTCCCACAGTGCTGGGACTACAGGCATGAGCCACCATGCCTGGCCTAACCTAGAAGTTTTAATTATACATAATAATTATAATATTAATGCTTAATAACTCTGATTTTTAGTGAAAAATCAAGGAAATAAGTAATTTTAACTGTTATATACCAGATGTAGAGACCAATACAAAGGAAAGAGCTCTCAAGACAGTCTCTGTAGGACCTGATTTCTCTCAGCATGGCCAGGAGGCACAGCTGGACTAGGGAAAGTGAGGCACAGGTCATGTCCCCAGTCCTCACAACGGCCACTGGTCTAGGCCACTGGTATGGGTCTCTCATATATATATATGGCTTGAATATCAGCTTTTAATTAAGCTGACTTCTGACCATGTAGCTCTTTTTTAATTAAAAAAATCTTTCAAAATTTCTTATTATCAGATTTTAGCTGAGACAAACAGCTAACATTGCTGGCTTTTGAACTTTTTAACCAAAGACACCCTACATAACCAAGAATGCATGAGGTGTCTCCAAAGAGGCACAAAGAAGTACTCACAAGATCCAGAACCAACTTCAAAGATAGCTCAAAGAAGTAAGAGTTTTGCTAATCACAAATGGGGTATAATTTGTATCTGTCTGATTATATTCTCTCTAGGGTCTCAGCTTCTCATCTGGCCATCACAAAGGCCCAAAAAGCCCCATGTGCCCTTACAGATGGAAGACAATCAAAAGCTGTCCATGGAAAGGAAAAAGATGAAAAACAAATGAGTACCCCCAAAAGTAAAAAGTCACATGATTATCAAACCAAAAGGGGCTGATTCCCTGCCCAGGAGTCAAACCCAGGCCACTCTGGTGAAAGCAGAGAATTTTATCTAAACTACAAGGTGGAGCAGACTACTTAGTGAATCTTGAATGGGATCCAAAGTAAGGAGTTTGAGCTCATAAAGGGTTTTAACTTTGTTTTCAGTTAGGGGTTTGCTCTTTAATTTTGTCAAGAGAATTTCTAAGGCTAGCCATGACACCATTGTATGTCTTTCTTTTAATGTAATCTTCCTATAAATACAAATAAGGCAATTGTTGAGAATGAGAGATCTTTAAAAATGTTTTTTGAGTTTAGGAGTCTTTCTAATTTAAAGGATCCATCGTCTGGACATTGGAAATTAGAATTTCCACTGGTATACTTAATTCAATGCAACAGCCTCTTCATTGGAAAACCCAAGATATAAATTTCTAGGTTTAATGTAAGTTTTTATCATTTAAGAAAAAGATGTTTCTTGAAGAGGCATAGAAGTGGCAATCCTAAAGAGTCTCTCCCTCAAAAATTTACTCCCAGGAATAGGCCAAGATAGAAAGATTCTTATTGCCACACATGGTTAAGGATGCTGTTTGTGCATACAGTGCCTCTGGTGACTTAGAAATTTGTGGGGATCACCAGTCACAGACCTCTTAATTTGTGACACCAAGTAGGCTCTTTTAGGATAGGACTTTTCTAGCACTAACCAGGCAACAAGGGTTGAGGCAACAAAAACCCTGTAGAGATGGGACTTTTAAAGACAAACTACCTCAAGAGCTTGACACATTTGGAACAAAAAGTGTATTGCTTCAAATCTTATATGACTCTGGTTCCCAGCCATTTTCAGACTGGCCACCAGACATGATCCAAAAATCATGCCACCCAAATGATGGAGACAGAGAGTGCTCCCACTTGGTCACAGGTCAAGCTCAAGGACATAAAACAAGACAAGAGGGGAACCTCATCCAGTTTTTATTTTGGAAACCCACAGCAAAGTTTATACGCTGCTCTGATCACAATCAAAACTGACCAGTTTTCAGGGTTGGCTTGAAAAACGGGCTTATAGGAGGTTTAGGCCCATGTTCCACCCTATGGTGTCCTTCTTTATCACAGAACAACACAAAAAGACAAAGAAGAAAACTGTTTCTGGGAGGAGAAAGACCAAACAATACGAATATTCATACCAAACAGTACATCAGAGTTGTTAGACCCACTACTAGCCACACAAATTTTTTTCTCCTATTAATCAAAATTTTGCAGAGGAAAAAGAGACATACAGTGATTTTTGCCATCCACTTGACTGGATTCCACAGAGAGAGACCGAGAGCCTGGTTGGTAAGAAAATCTTACCTTTCTGCCATCTAGTCAGGTCCTAGGTTCCCTTCACTGCAGTTTCCAGAACAGCAAAGAGACTTTGGGATCCTGCTGACAGCACCAAAACTGTAGAAGCTAAGGGAATATTTCCCTTCCTCCTCTGAAGGTTTGATGAAAAATCAACTGACAAAAGGCCAATTACTAGGGGAGATGGCATAGAAATTTACTAGCATGCATTGGGGGAAAGTCACAAGTGATTACCCTAACAATGGGGTATGAATGTTTATATACCAATTTAAGGTTACCAGAAAGAATGGGGGCTTAAGTCTGGCTACATCAATACAGGTTTTCTCTACAGATGAAGGTCTCCCTCATAAAACACAGTTTTTAGGACTACTTCTGTTTGCAGGCCCTCTGAACCACTATCATGAAGTATGTCAAACAAATAGATTTTGGAGTGAAATGTTTTTATTTCCTCAGGAAACCAGCCCTAACAACTCTGAGGCAAGAAGAGGCTTCAGGACTGGATATGGGACTTAGGTGACAGAAAGTCTCCTACCTCTTCAAAAGCACAAACATACTTTATTTCTGTTAAAGAAAAAATGTAACACAGTTGTTAGGATGGTAAAGCAGACTTCATTCAGCATTATTGCCATAGGTGTACTTTGCAGTAGAGGATTGAGATTGGGATCAGCTCCTAATACAAGGAAAATAAGGGATTTACAGCCAAAGACTGAGAGGTAGGGATGGAACGTGGGGCAGGACAGGGGTTAGTGAATGGAAAATTACTAAAAGGATACGTTAATTTTTTCTAAAGTGACCTAACAGTATTCTTGCTATAGGCAGACCAGGGTGATCAGATATCAATTGGAGAATAAGGAATGTGGTCAGATATCGAGGGCGAATCAGATATTGAAGATAGGGGATGCTGGCTAAAACTGGGCTCTTGAGGCAATGTCCAAGGTCCAAGCATAGGTGGGAAAGGGGTGAGGAGACTGTGTCTAGGGTTTGGTCAAGGAGGGTCTTTGTCAGTCCCTTCTACTTCACTCTGTAAAACCCCCTAGTAATTTTATTGGAACCTTAGGGAAGGTGTTACACAAACACAATTTAAGCTCAAGGTTGCCAGGAGATTTTGACCCCTTCATCCTAGAAATTCATGTGGTGGCCACTGTGATGAAGGAAACCCACATATCCTGGAAGAGGGAAGGCCTTGCCCATTTCTCACAAATCTGCTCATCCAGAATTGGCCTCACCAGTTAGGAGACTCAATTCATTTGGACCAATCCTGTCTTTCCACTAGAACTTTCCTGGCTCTACTTAAGCCCATTTTCCCCAAATGTGCTCTTCCAGAATTGGCCTTGCGAAGTGACTGCTTGGTTCTCTCTGCTTCTTCCTCATGCATCTTCCCAGTTCAGCATAAGCCACCATACTGATCCTAGGTTGACCCTTCTTCAACACCTGGAACAGCATCCAGGAACCTAGACAGAGGTCAATTTGGAGATTTGTTTGGCATCCTGGTCCCCACCCAAAATTGAGGTCCTAGCTCTGCAAACCACCCCCAGAGTACTCTGGTATCTCCATCCTGCACTCCTGGCTTCTCTTTCCATTCCCAGCTTTCCTATGGTGCAGGAAGGTGCCTCCCCTTTGGCCCCACATCCCCAGTAACTTACTTGAGACAAAGTTGCAATGTAAAAAGCCATGTTTGCTCATTTCCGTTGCCAGCATAATTTCACAAAGCCCCTGACTCTGTGATGATGTCCTTCTGTCTGGGAGAATGCTTTAAAAACAAAACAGGGGCTGGGCACAGTGGCTCATGCCTGTAATCCCAGCACTTTGGGAGGCCGAGGCAGGTGGATCACCTGAGGTCAGGAGTTTGAGACTAGCCTGGCCAACATGATGAAACCCCGTCTGTACTAAAATACAAAAATTAGCCAGGCATGGTGGCAGGTGCCTGTAATCCTAGCTACTCGAGAGGCTGTGACACAAAAATCACTTGAACTCGGGAGGTGGAGGTTGCAGTGAGCCGAGATCGCACCACTGCACTCCAGCCTGGGTGACAGAGTGAGAGTTTGTCCAAACAAACAAACAACAACAACAACAACAACAACAACAGGCAGGATACAGCACATTGCCCCCCACATCTCCTGTCTGAGTCACTATGTTCCTTAAAAGATAAATGAGCCGGGCGCAGTGGCTCATGCATGTAATCCCAGCACTTTGAGAGGTCAAGGCAGGTGGATCACCTGAGGTCAGGAGTTCAAGACCAGCCTGGCCAACATAGTGAAACCCCGTCTCTAACAAAAATACAAAATTTAGCTGGGCGTGGTGGTGGGTGCCTGTAATCCCAACTACATGGGAGGCTGAGGCAGAAGAAACGCTTGAACCCGGGAGGCAGAGGTTGCAGTGAGCCAAGAGCGCGCCACTGCACTCCTGCCTGGGCGACAAGAGCAAAACTCCATCTCAAAAAAACAAACAAACAAACAAAACACATAAATGAACTCAGTCCTTGCACATAATATGTGACACATATTTTCCTACACATAATATGTGACAGGGTTAGTGATTATGCTCTATAATCTATAACCAGATGTACTCTTGCACCCAAGCATTGATGTGATTCTGCTTTAATGTAAAATCTGAGCAAGTTTGACGTAAGTTCTGAAGGCATACTGAAACCTCCATGACCTGTATATAAGTTATGAGCAGAAACGCTGTTTCTAAGCAGTCTGCAAAATCTCTCTAAAAGACTCCTCCAGGGCTGTAAGTCCTCAGTCTGTAGTCCTCAGAAAGACTTCTAAATAAATTTAAATATTTAAAAGCTTGATTTTTTTTTTCTTCAGTTGACATTAACAAAGATTATCTCCTTGACCAATCTCTAGACAGGTTCCTGGGAGTACTCTTTACTAAGCTTCAACCTTGGTCTATAAAGACTTGAAAAACACTAACACAGTGTCTTACAGCTCAAGGCCACAACTCTGGGATGACCCTAGCCCTCCTTTAGATGCCTGACTGAGAAAGATCAAGGCTACAAAAAGAATATACTGTGTGTTCGAGGCAAGACCTGAAAATAGGGCTCCTGTCTCCCAGCCTCTGTGGGAGGGCAGGAGCCTAGCTTTGTTTAGCCCCAGTTAGGAGACTCAGTTCATATGGACCAATCCCCCCTTTCCACTTTCTATAATTTTTCACTTTCCTGTTTCTACGCAGGTCTTCCTCACTCACACACCTCCCTATTCCCTCAGTCTCCCTTTAAAACACCCAGTCACCTCTATACCAATAAAAGTTGTGTTCATGCTGGACTCCTCCCTATTGCACCAAGGGCCATGCACCTGTCCTGGCCCAGGCCCGGCCACCAGCTCCTCTGCTCCCTGTCCTTCCTCAGCAGCCAAACCAGAAACATGCATGGGTAAGAATTTTGCATTTTTGCACAGTTTTATCACGTGGGCAAAAACACATGTGCAAAGTTCTCTGCAGGCACGATCTCTACCATTGTGTTTGAGCAAACCTAGAGGTGTCATGGTAGCAATACCTTTTGGCACAGGATCACCCATTGAAGAGTCTCAGTGAAAGAAATCTCAAGGAGGCCAAAGGCAGGTGGCAGAGGCAGCCTTGCATCAACTCAGCCACTGCTCCTGGGCTCTACTCCCAACAAGACTTGGAACACTGGGTGGTGGCTGTTGGGAGGCAGGAGGAGGGTGATGCTTGGTAGGTCTCCATCATCTGATTTCTCAGGCTCCAGTTGTCTGTTCCTGGAGCAGGGTGATCCAGCCAAGTGAGGCAGTTAGGGAGTGCATTGGCAGGGCTCAAGGGAGGCTGTGACTTGGGGGCATCTCTGGGGGCATCTGTGTCTCCTCCTGGGTTGCAGTCATCGGTTCCTAGGTGGGTGGTTCTGTGCCCAGCCTAAAGGTGCTAGGCACTCTGGGTTCTTGTCTCAGGTGGGCCCATTTCAGAAGTCCACAGGAATGGGAAAGCAATTCAATGTCCTGGTGGTCCCAAGAGAGGTGACCCAGCTTTGGATAGAAAGCAGGCTGCCAGGGACTTGAATCCTCTTGTACACTGGAACATGCTCTACAGAATCCCAGGCCTCAAGCACAAGTTGTTGAAAGTGCTTCACATCTGTCCTGTTTCAGGTGACAAAGGATGAGTGCCCTTTTTTGTGGTCTTCTGGCTGATTAGGCAGTCCCAAGCAGATAGGGGCAAGCTGGGTGGTGACAGGAAGCCCAGAGCTGATCGCAACAGAAGAATGGCCTGGTGTTATAAACATAAAAGCCAATCACCTTTGATGAAATTTTCTAGAATGAAATCCTTTTGGTGACAGACTGGGTTAGAAGTTGAAAAGAAGAGTATTAGCTTCCTAGAAGGAAGCTCTTTTGGGGGACACTGGCTTGTAGTATGCTGCATGATTTGGGGCATGATTATTGCCCCAAATCACGTAGGTAGTTCTGAAACCCAGGTCTCTTAGCAGAGGAATTCTTGGGGAGATGCCTAAGGAATGGTTTGGGTTTTGGATTAGAGGTGGGGCAGAGATAGTTGTACATTCCTAACTTGGACTTTCACAAGCCCAGTTTTGGCTTTTACTGATGAATTGCTAAGTTAGAAGGATTTCAGAATGTGTGTGTATATGTGTAATAGCAAGAAGCCAAGTTCTCTGGCTGGCTGACTCGGTTATTTTATCATCTCTGAAATGGAAGTGAAATTTGCTCTCATTTTACAAGGTAGCTTTCATGAAGGCATTCCATATAAAAGTGAATATTCAACATAGCATAGCAGAAAATAATTTGGTCAATTGCTATTAATACTAATATCATTATTATTGATTTTATCATGGATTCAAAGATAAAGTAATGAGAACAAATGTAAAACGGTACCTTTCTTGGAGTATTCTGTCTGAAAGTAGATTATGTTTCCTTCTCATATCATAGCCATAATGAAATTGTATTGTAATACGTTTTCATCTGAGTCAAACATTCTGTTTGCAAAAACATCAAGGGGTATGAGAACTAAAAATAAAATCCTAAGGCCTCCAACCAATTGAATGGACCCTCTATTGGCCAAGGGGACCCCAGAGAAACCTGAGTTCCTAGCTATGACAAGACAGGAGGTCAGACATAGCTTGTTATACCTACTCCCTTTTGCAGTTTAAACATGACTGACTAGCATTATTATTACAATAGGGATCATGAGACTGACAGAACAGACTCCTTATAGCATTAAGACACCAAACTATAAATGAGACCTAAGGCTGTGCCAGGCAAGGGTTGAATCACACATCTCTACACTTAAAAAACAAATTATGTTCTAACTACCACAAGGTTTTTTTTTTTTTTTCTAGCAGCTAATCAAGCGCTGGCCTCAAGATAATCACTATTAAAACCATTACAGTTCATCCATCGCCAGACAGTGACTAACTGAGGCCCTTGTTCCACAAGCTATAAATGCAGCTTTGATTGGACAAGAGACTGATTTCAGTAACTTTCTCCTAATAAGAAGACCACCAGCATGCACTGTTCACAGAGGCTGTGCACTTGAGTGCCTTCGTGTCCCTGTTTCACCTTTTGACATATATGGCCTAACTGTAATACATTTGAATGTTGTCTCCACCCCAGAATGAATATGGGCTGTATGTAACAGGCATATTTATTCAGTACACATGCATTAGGAACACATTCATGAATATTTATATGCCTCCTGTAACCTGTTGAATACGTATACTTGGTCAACCCATTCAACATAAATCCCTGTTCCACCCTCCACTTCCTCAAAGTGCCTGCTTCTGTCTTTGGCTGGGGACTACACTTTCCAGCCTGTCAGAATAACCACCCTACAGGCCATAACACATTATAAGAAATAAAATTAAGTCTGTGCATGGTGGCTTACATGTGTAATACCAGCACTTTGGGAGGCCAAGGTGGGCAGATCACTTGGGGCCAAAACCAGCCTGGAGTTCAAAACCAGCCTGGCCAACACGGCAAAACTGCGTCTCTACAAAAAAAAAAAAAGAAAGTTGTCCGGGGACAGTGACTAACACCTGTAATCCCAGCATTTTGGGAGACTGAGGCAGAGGGGTCACCTGAGCCCAGGGGTTTGAGACCAGCCTGGGTAACATGGAGAAACCCCATCTCTACAAAAAGCACCAAAATTAGCCAGGCATGATGGCACATGCCTGTAGTCCCAGCTACTAAGGAGGCTGAGGTGGGAGGATCTCCTGAGTCTGGGGAAGCTGAGGCTACAGTGAGCCATGATTGTGCCATTGCATTCCAGCCTGGGTGATAGAGTGAGACCCTGTCTCAAAAAAAAAAAAAAAAAAAAAAAAAGAAAAGAAAAGAAAAGAAAATCTCCTTTCTAAATTAATAATTGTGTGATTCTTTTAAGTTGACAGATACAAATGCAGATTTTTTTGGTCAAATATCATTCTTACTGTAAAAGTCTGATTAGTTTCAACATTTCACAAGCATGTGTTGATATCCTTCCATATGCCAGATGCGGTGATGGGAGCCATATACACAAAGATGAAGGACTGGCTACAGCTTTCACAGACCTTACAACCTACTGAGAGAGCAAAGACACAGTGAAGAGATCATTCAGAATACAGTCCAACTCCAAGATCATTGGGAGAGCTTATTTGAAGACCAGAAAGGTTACTGAACATGGTGACTCTCTTCAAAGCCAGACCTTTGTCCTTGAATTTAGGGCTTCAAAAAACAATAGTAGGGCCGGGCGCAGTGGCTCATGCCTGTAATCCCAACACTTTGGGAGGCCAAGGTGGGCAGATCACCTGAGGTCAGGAGTTCGAGACCGGCCTGGCCAATATGGTGAAACCCTGTCTCTACCAAAAATACAAAAAAAAAAAAAAATTACCTGGGCTTGGTGGGGGGTGCCTGTAATCCCAGGTACTCAGGAGGCTGAGACAGGAGAATTGCTTGAACCCGAGAGGCAGAGGCGGCAGTGAGCCGAGAACGCGCCATTGCACTCTAGCCCGGGCGACAAGAGTGAAACTCCATCTCAAAAACAAAAACAAAAAGAAAAACAAACAAACAAACAAACAAAAAAACAGTAGAAAACCTAATGAGAAACCATGGCACAGGAAAACAGAATAGCAGAACGGTCAGAGGAAGCATAGCACTAGAAGTTTACCTATTTGAAAGATTTATGAGACACTTAAGACAGAAGAGCTCTGCCTGTCTGGTTAAAATGGTGGGACAGACAAGATTTATTTGAGCTCAGCAGCACTTGAAGTCCACTGGAGAGGTGTAGAGCAGCTAGCCCATGTTATGGTTGCAATGGAAAAAAGTCAATAGGGTGAGAATCAAGAATGGATCCATCTTGTGGATGATGACATCATTCAGCAACAAGGTACAATTGCTACAATAGAGGATCATATTTCCAAGCCAGGTCCAAAGAGGCATCAGGGCTGTCAAGCTTAGGTATAAATGTTGACAGAATCTTCCTTTGGATTACCTAAGGCTCTGAATTTCTGGGAAGATCTTGATGCCCTCTAACCCCAGCAAATTGATGCTAGCTATACATTGAATCTGACAGTGGCAGCTCAAACAGATTTTAAACACATCTTGTATGTATCCATTCATACACATTTACATATTAAAAACATGTCTTCAAGTTTGAGCTTTCTTGGTGTATCTCAGGTACCTTTTGACATGGTTCTCTTTTTATTGTATGTACTAATAGAGTGAGAACCTACTTATTACTTGGGGGCTGCACCAAGCCATTCATGATAGCTCGACCCCCATGACCCAAACACCTCCCTTTAGGTCCCACTTCCAATATTATCAAAATCTTTTTTATTTTATTTATTTATTTATTTATTTATTTATTTTTTGAGATGGAGTCTTACTCTGTTGCCCAGGCTGGAGTGCAGTGGCGCGATCTTGGCTCACTGCAAGCTCCACCTCCTGGGTTCATGCCATTCTCCCGCCTCAGCCTCCCAAGTAGCTGGGACTACAGGTGCCCGCCACCACGCCTGGGTAATTTTGTGTGTGTGTGTGTGTGTGTGTGTGTATTTTTAGTAGGGACGAGGTTTCACTGTGTTAGCCAAGATGGTCTTGATCTCCTGACCTTGTGATCCGCCCGCCTCAGCCTCCCAAAGTGCTGGGATTACAGGTGTGAGCCACCGCGCCTGGCCTTTTTTATTTTTATCAAGACAGGGGTCTCTCTGTGTTGCCCAGGCTGGTCTTGAACTCCTGGCCACAAGCTATCCTCCCACCTTGGCTTCCCAAAGTGCTGGGATTACAGGTGTAAGCCACTGCTCTGTCCCGAACCAAATTTCAACATGAGATTTGGAGGGGGACAAATATTCAAACAATATCATTGAGATTAAAAATTATTAGAGAAGTTTCAGGGTTAGAGCCATGCTTCAGTTTAATCCTCAGTATAAGAATTATGTAGAACTAAGACAAAATGATGAGGAAAAGATTGCTAGAATAATAAGGAATTGTTATATATCATGGAAATATTGACACAAAACTATCAAAAATAATTGAGGGCCGGGTGTGGAGGCTCATGCCTGTAATCCCAGTACTTTAGGAGGCCGAGGCAGGTGGATCACAAGGTCAGCAGATTGAGACCATCCTGGCTAACACGGTGAAACCCCGTCTCTACTAAAAATACAAAAAATTAGCTGGGTGTGGTGGCAGGCACCTGTAGTCCCAGCTACTCAGGAGGCTGAGGCAGGAGAATGGTGTGAACCTTGGAGGTGGAGCTTGCAGTGAGCCGAGATGGCGCCACTGCAGTCTAGCCTGGGTGACAGAGCAAGACTCTGTCTCAAAATAAATAAATAAAAAATAATAATTATTGAAGCTGGACGTGGTGGATCATGCCTGTAATCCCAACACTTTGGGAAACCAAGGCAAATCTTTGGTTTCTGATGACCCAGAAGTGTAAAAGTACAAAACTGGAAGACTATTGCATCCTTCTCCTCACTCTCAGCACAGATGTATTGTTTCACCATCTAGGAGCTTGAAGCTTTGAAGGACTGTAAGTTTATCTGCATGCAAGAGCAGAGATCCCAGGTTACTGCCTGCCTGCACAGGACAGAAGTCTGGACAGCTTCCATGTGCTGAGTGATACTCAGAGAACACCCAGTTTTGCTAAGATGGGAACTACTCTGTGTGCAGGGAAATGACTGGGACTCAGAGACTTTCTCATTGCCATGAGCATTTTGGAAGGCTGTCCAGACAGGCCTGTCTGTGGACAGATGTCCCAGTTTCAAGTGCCTTCAAGGGAAGTGAGTGCTACAAACAATGTGGCTGAGTGAGACTAAGAAAAGCCAGAAGACACAAGAGCTGACAGACATGAGAGACTAGGGTCATGTTGTCCATATGGACAGGGATCCTGGAACTCTGCCCTTCTCTAAAGGCTTTTCTTTCCTACTTAACATCCTGCCCTCTCAGCACTGGTGCTATAGCCACCAGCCTGCCCAATGCTGAGTTCTTCTTACTGCACATGCCACCTCTTGGATATCTTTCAAATCATGTATCCCATTTTATTTCCAAGGGCTTAATCATTTTGGAATTTGCAGTTGCACTCTAACTTATTTTTTCCCAATCCTTTATTGAAAAGCACATTTGAGCCAGGCGCAGTGGCTCACACCTGTAATCCCAGCTCTTTGGGAGGCCGAGGCGGGCGGATCACAAGGTCAGGAGTTCCAGACTAGCCTGGCCAACATGGTGAAACCCCGTCTCTACTAAAAATACAAAAATTAGCTGGGCATGGTGGCAGGCGCCTGTAATCCCAGCTACTCGGGAGGCTGAGGCAGGAGAATCGTTTGAACCCAGGAGGTGGAGGTTGCAGTGAGCTGAGATACCGCCATTGCACTCTAGCCTGGGCGACAGGGCGAGACTCCACCTCAAAAAAAAAAAAAAAAAGGAGAAAGAAAGAAAGAAAAAAATGGCCGGGCGCAGTGGCTCACACCTGTAATCCCAGTAGATTACAGTAGTAATCAGTAGTAGAAGAAGTGTGACAATTCTAAATAGATCTAGAAGCAAAGTTCTTTAGTACATTAGTACATGTCATTCATGAAGAGAGTTTTTCTAATTGAAAAATCTTTAAGTCATTCAGAAGAATAAAACTGAAAATGTTTCCAATAACTGAGCCCTAGAAGCTCTTAGGTCTGAAGGGTTCAGTCCCAGTGAAGTCCACAAGGGCAATATGAGGGCCCTCACTGGGGTGTCTCTGCATGGGGAAGCAGGTAGTACTGTGAGCCAGGAGCAAGTCTGGGGTTCCTTTCCTTTCCTGCTTCCACCATGTATTTAGCCTTTTTTCACAGCTTCAGCGGTGGCCTGTGCTCTCCAAGGCACTCTGGACATGTGTCTGTCCACCTCCCCAAGTGCTGGCTTTTAGCTAATGTAAGCTCCATTGGGATGCAGCATCTGTGTCTTCTTGAAGGAACTGCGGCATCTTGGCAAGTTCAGTCATTGATTCTTAGGCAGGTGGGTCTCAGTGTTTTGGCCTCTCTCAACTCTGGGAATGTCTCCTTGCCCTGTGTATACCAACACAACAGCCAACATGCACGAGAGTTCAAAAAGGGCAGCTGGGGTGATACTTACCTGATTCGGTGTTTTCAAATTTCCGAGTTTCACCCTTAGGGAGCTAGTTTGCAGTTTGGTTCTTTGCAGTTTGGTTCTGAGAGCCATTCCTGAAGTTCAGTTGAAAATCTGCCTTCACCTTTCCATCAAATTTTAAGTTATCTTTAACCCCTAATAAATCTCTATAGGCTTAAACTATTTGAGTGTGCTGTTTCTTTTCCTAAAAACCAGAAAAGGAAATATGAGTGATATCACATTCAATTTTATGTCTACAAACTTATTACATCCTTTTTAAAAATAATGTTCTTAAAGAAATGAATCTAGGCCGGGCACGGTGGCTCATGCCTGTAATCCCAGCACTTTCGGAGGCCGAGGTGGTCGGATCACGAGGTTAGGAGATTGAGACCATCCTGGCTAACACAGTGAAACCCCATCTCTAATAAAAATACAAAAAAACTAGCCGGGCGTGGTGGCAGGTGCCTGTAGTCCCAGCTACTCTGGAGGCTGAGGCAGGAGGATGGTGTGAACCTGGGAGGCAGAGCTTGCAGTGAGCCGAGATCGCGCCACCACACTCCAGCCTGAGCGACAGAGCAAGACTCCGTCTCAGAAAAAAAAAAAAAAAAAGAAAGAAATGAATCTAGATTCCTTAATAAAACATGTAAATATTCAAGATATATTTTGTTTTTAGGATATTTTGAGAATGTTTATTTTTTATCATCACAACTTTTAGACAAGAAAAACACAAAAGAAGAAAAACTCTCAACATTTCATCTTGAAAGTTTATAAATATTTTTTCTTAATACTCTCCCACAAAGAAGTAAAATATTTAAATAGACATTTTGGTCTCTTTTGTACATGTTAATTCCTATCTTTTTTATTATTATTTTTTTCATTTTACTTTGTGTGTGTGTGTTTTGACGGGGGCGGGGGGCGGGGGGCAGTGTCCCCGTGTTACCCAGGCTAGTCTTCAACTCCTGGCCTCAAGCAATCCTCCTACTTCAGCCTCCCAAAGCCCTGGGATGACAGGCATGAGCCACCACGCCCTGCCAAATTCCATTAACACAGTGTTCAGAACAGGAGCAAGGAGCTCCTCCAATCCCTGCTGAGTACCGAACTAGTCCAGAAATGGGGGCATCAGGAGTGTGATGTGCTTAGGAAATGGGAGTGCTTGTGGTTGGGTGGGGTGTGGGAGAGAACCATGAAACTGAAAGTGAAACATGAAGATGAAAGTGCCGCTTCTTAGATGAAAATTGTCCAAGGAAAGTTTTCCCACGTAACCAGATTCCAGACCTACCCCAATCCCAAGTCCCAGATGTACCTAGATTGTATGATTGAATTTGAGACCCATAATTACAGCTCCATTGTCACTGACCATGCTGGAGCCTCCCACACACAATCCCTAGTCTACAGGCCTACCCTGCTTGCAAACAGAAAAATGTCATTCTCTAAACCCATGCTAGGATGACTGCAGAATAGGCCAGAATCAGACGTCTGTCCCCTACCACTTGCTCTTCTCCAGCCCAATTATTTGATCCAAAGCACTAAGAAGCAGGAGAATGGTAGAGATGGCAGGGAGAGCAACAGGAAGGCGTCAGAAAGGCACCCTGGCACACTCGGACTAAATGTTAGGAGGACTCAGTAGAGGCATTTCAGGGCTAAGCACAGTTGCCGGGGCTGTTGTCTGTCTGCTGAATCTTTCGGCAGCCCAACCCATGTCCGCGATTTTGACTTCTGGCAGCTCTCTACCCTTGGCCGGCTTCCCCCTCCCAGAAGCCCTCAAATCCTGACCACAGACAACCCCACCACACACCCCTTGGCCAACAAAGCCAAGATACCCAGGACCAAGGGCCAGTTCCCCCAATGAGCCTTCCCACCACCACCCACCCCGCCAATCTCCTCTTTCCTCAACGACCAACCAGGAACACAAATGTAATCCTAGCACTTTGGGAGGCAGAGGCGGGTGGATCACGAGGTCAGGAGCTCGAGACCAGCCTGACCAACATGGTGAAACCCCGTCTCTAGTAAAAATACAAAAATTAGCCAGGTGTGGTGGCATGTGCCTGTAATCCCAGCTACTCAGGAGGCTGAGGCAGGAGAATCGCTTGAATCCGGGAGGTGAAGGTTGCACTGAGCCGAGATCGAGCCACTGCACTCCAGCCTGGACGACAGAGCAAGACTCCGTCCCCCCCAAAAAAAAGCCTGCATGAGTCCTGATGATGGCCTTGGAAAAGATGATGAGGGCACAGGATCTAGGAGCTATCCGAGCAAGTGAATCTAGGGAGAAAAATAATGTGAAAGAAAGAAAACTGAGAGGACAGGAAGCCTTGGTTGGGAAATATAAACAACAACAAACCAGGAGAATTGAAGAGTGAATCAAACTACAATGGACATATCACCTTTTGTCCACTAGAGACACTACTGCCACATGCCCTCCCTCCCGACGGTAACCTTCATTTTCGGGGGGGCGGAAGAGTGGGGAGAAAGACAGTTTGGCTTCGGGTTCCTGCTGGCAGATCCATTCTGTCCTCGGTCCTCGTCCCCTTGGTTTTGTATCCTTGAAAGCAGGGAATGACACTGAAGAGGACTAGCGGTGCGATCCTGCATTTTAGTTGAAGGACCAAATCTCATCTCTCCCAGTGTTGGGACTGATGACTCCTGCACTACTTGATGATCTCCGGTGCCTTGAGGGGAGGACCATGGACTTGGCTGGTTTCAGCAGCCCAGCGGATTTCAGCGTTTGACAACCTGGAAGTTCTGCTGCCCCCTCACGGTGGGAGAAAAGCGGTGGGTCCTGCACAGGCCGAAGAACCACTAGAGGGCAGCAGCACACGGGCTCCATAAGACTTGCTGCGTGTCGACCCTGGCTCATACAGTGCTAAGAGAATTGATCAATGCTGTCGTTCTAAATTCAGCTATGATGAGGTGGTGCTGCTTTCCACAGACTGGGATGTTTCTAGAACTTTCTAGGACTTTCATGTCTAGCATACACCTGAGATGACTGTAGAAAGTCCCTCAATGAGTCAACCGTTGGTTTTATCCCTAATAAAATGGGTTCATGGGGTCAGGAGTTGAGGTATTTACTGCCTTCCCTCCCCCTCCACACACACATCCTTTATGCTTAGATTTTTCCATACCAGAAATTTGAATCATGTGGGGAAAGCATCCACTGTAAGTTTAGTAACAGTTTGGCAAAGCCTGAAAATTATGTGTAAAATAGTGCTTTAGGAGTTCTAGAAACTGAATAACAGACTCATTTTCTGGTATCTTGACTTTCAGAAGGCAAATGAATCATTCTTAAAACAGTTTAGTTTAAAAACAAATGTCAACAAGCATTTGTTGAGTGTCCGCCATGAAGCAACCACTGTACTAGGCTCGTGGTACAAAGATGACAAGACCAGGGCCAAGACAAGAATTTGGGCTGAGGGAGACAGCAGGCACATTTGACGTGACACTTCTTATATGTGGAAGGCCTCACAGACAGAGCTACAGTGACAGGACTGAAAGATGCTAATTCTTCAACTTTAAATTTTTGTCCCCCTAGGGCACGATGAATTATTAACAATATGTTATTTCTTAGAATTCCGAAAATTAGCTTTTGAAAAGCTGGATTATATTGTATTATATTCTGATTTGTGAAAAAGTAGAAATTTGTTAAATGTAAATATTTAAAATAGGCTACAATTTTTGGAAACTTGGGATTTCTTGATTTTTTTTTCTTTTTGAAATGGAGTCTTGCTCTGTCCCCCAGGCCGGAGTGCAGCGGTGCGATCTCGGCTCACTGCAAGCTCTGCCTCCCGGGTTCACGCGATTCTCCTGCCTCAGCCTCCATAGTAGCTGGGACTACAGGCACCCGCTACCACGCCCGGCTAATTTTTTTGTATTTTTAGTAGAGACAGGGTTTCACTGTGTCAGCCAGGATGGTCTCAATCTTCTTACCTCGTGATCCGACCGCCTCGGCCTCCGAAAGTGCTGGGATTATAGGCCTGAGCCACTGCGCCTGGCCGATTTCTTGATTTTTTAATATACCAGGAACCTCTAAAATGAAAGTGGCCCTGATGACCTCTAGGAGACCACAGAGAAGATATAGTCTCAGTTTCCTCAAAAAAATTCTAATCTAGGGGAGAGAGACACATTAATAGGCCACTTTAGTACCGTGTAAGAGGAAGCTTTCTTAAGCCCTATGCATGAATCCTTTAAGACAAACCAATACCAACAATTTGCCAAAAACATGTCCTAAACTGCACTGCTCAGTGCTGAGAGAAAGCATGCTGAATTTTTAAAAATATTTTTTTTAGTCAGAGCTATGAGAGTGCTGAATTTTATCATTCTATGTATTCTTTATTTTTCAATTAATTCCATGTCCTATTCTGCTATTCTTATTTTTTCAATAAAGATTCTAAATGTGTTGATACAGCTACCTTGTCTGTTTTTATGTAACTAATGTCATCTTATTAAGTGATATTATTAGTAATCTCTATTTCAGGAAAACACAAGTTATTTGATTACAAGTATATTCAAATCAAGGGTCTGCACTAAAACCATCCACATCTTCTCCCTATCACAGGTTATCAGTACAACCCTCAATGTCTCTATCTTCACCACTATAATGTTATTTTTTGGCCAGGACTCTGTTCGCTTGGCCCTCAAAGAAAACAACAGGAGCTTAAAAGATTCAGAAGAACCCAATGAACATATAAAAGTGTTACCTTCATCACTAAAAATAATGCTCTGGACTCTAAAGTTTACACACAAGGGGTGATGAGGGAGGGAGCCTGACTAAACTCATGCTTTCTCACTATTGCTCCCTGGTTTTCTCCTAGCCTTTTGAAACTCATTGATCACTATCACTATCAAGCTAGCCATGAGCATGGGCACTGATTCCCTTTTAACTCTGTCTGACCCAACTAAGGACAAAACATTGATTACCAACTTACACAAAAATGGAATATTTAAAGGAGTCTTTAGTGATAACATCTCAGAAATGAACAATGAGAATAAATCCAAACAATCTTTTTTTTTTTTTTTTGAGAAGAGTTTTGCTCGTTGCCCAGGCTGGAGTGCAATGGCGAGATCTCAGCTCACCACAACCTCAGCCTCCCGGGTTCAAGCGATTCTCCTGCCTCAGCCTCCCAAGTAGCTGGGATTATAGCATGCACCATCATGCCTGGCTAATATTGTATTTTTAGTAGAGACAGGGTTTCTCCATGTTGATCAGGCTGGTCTCGAACTACTGACCTCAAGTAATATGCCCGCCTTGGCCTCCCAAAGTGCTGGGATTACAGGTGTGAGCCACCGCGCCCAGCTCCAAACAATCTTAATAAAAAGGAGGACTCAGATGTGGGTTAAAAGCCTAAGGTGCTACACCCTAGGAATAAAGGAGAACTGGTAATAAACTAGTTCTCAAAAGGAAGTAAGTTAATCTTCGAATTATCTCCCTTTCTTTTTTTTTTTTTTTTTTTTGAGACAGTTTCGCTCTGTCGCCTAGGCTGGAGTGCAGTGGCACAATCTTGGCTCACTGCAACCTCCACCTCCTGAGATCAAGCGATTCTCCTGCCTCAGTCTCCCGAGAAGCTGGGATTACAGACATGTGTCACCACGCCCGGCTAATTTTTGTATTTTTAGTAGAGACAGGGTTTCACCATGTTGGCCAGGCTGGTCTCGAACTCCTGACCTTGTGATCCGTCTGCCTCAGCCTCCCAAAGTGCAGGGATTACAGGCGTGAGCCACTGTGCCCAGCCGAATTATCTCCATTTCTAAAATTGAATTAAGGTTATCCCAATTGCCAATACCCCTAGCTGCCAACCAAAAGCAAAATTCTTCTATAGAGAAAGATAAAATTATTGCAGGCCTCAAAGTGTTTGTAAAAAATTTCCCATACAGTATCCAGCATTCAATTTTAAGAAAATGAAAGGCAATAGAACATGAAGAAACACTGAGAGAAGCAACAACGAAACAGTCTCTAGATACCGAGACACAGACTGTAAAATACCATTCAATATGAATAAGAAAATAAAAGACAAGATTGAGAAACTCATAGAAAATTAGAAATGATAATAAAGAAGCAAAAATAACTAAAACATAAAGCAGCCATGGCCAGGCACGGTGGCTCACGCCTGTAATCCCAGCACTTTCGGAGGCCGAGGCAGGTGAATCACTTGAGGTCAGGAGTTTGAGACCAGCCTGGCCAACAGGTGAAACCCCGTCTCTACTAAAAATACAAAAATTAGCCGGGTGTGGTTGTGGGCTCATGTAATCCCAGCTACTCGGGAGGCTGAGGCAGCAGAATTGCTTGAACCTCGGAGGCAGAGGCTGCAGTGAGCTGTGATTGCGTCACTGCACTCCAGCATGGGTGACAAAGTGAGACTCTGCCTCAAAATAATAATAAATGAAACATATAGCAACCAAATCAATAACTCAATGAGTTTAACAGAAGATTAGCACAGCTGAAGAGAATTAGTGAACTGGAAGAAAAATCAGAAGAAAATGTCCATGAGGAAACAAGGAGAAAAGACAAGAGATGGGAAATACAGAACAGATGGGAAAAGACACAGAGTGTACAACAAGAAAACCTAATAAACGGGTATTTGGAATCTCAATAGGAGGTTGAGAATTGAGCAGCAGCAACATAAAAAATATTGTGCCACATCCTTCTGTCCTCTGTGGTTTCTGATCAGAGGTTTGCTGTCATTTGAATTGTTTTTCTCTGTAGGCGAGGTTTTGGGTTTTGTTTCTTTTTCTGACTGCTTTCAATAATTTTTTTGCCTTTAATTTTTATAAGCTTAATTATGTTTCTTGGTGTCGATTTATTTCAGTTTATACTTTCTAGGGTTTGGTCAGCATCTTGAATCTGTACCAAATCTTACCACATTTGGGATGTTTTCAGCCATTATTTCCTCAAGTACTTTCTCAGCCTCACTCTTTCTCCTCTCCTTCAGGGTTTCTGAGAACACAAATGTTAAATCTTCTATTACAGCCCCACAGATTCCTGATGCTCTACTTATTTTTTTCCCCCGTCAATTTTTTCTCTGCTCTTTAAATTGGGTTGTTTTGATTCTTTTGTTTTCCACTTCACTGATTCTCTGTATTCTCTAGTATGCCGGTCAGCTCATCCACTGAACTTTTAATTTCAGTTATTGAATTTTCAGTTATAAAATTTCAATTTGCTTCTTCTTTATATTGTCTATTACTTTACTGAGGTTTAAAAAAATTGTTTCGGCCAGGCACAGTAACTCATGCTTGTAATCCCAGCAGTTTGGGAGGCCAAGGCGGGCAGATCACGAGGTCAGGAGATCGAGACTATCCTGGTTAACATGGTGAAACCCATCTCTGCTAAAAATACAAAAACAAAATTAGCCGGGCGTGGTGGCGGACGCCTGTAGTCCCAGCTACTCGGGAGGCTGAGGCGGGAGAATGGTGTGAACCAGGGAGGCGAAGTTTGCAGTGAGCCGAGATTGCGCCACTGCTCTCCAGCCTAGGCGACAGAGCGAGACTTCATCTCAAGAAAAAAAAAAAATTGTTTCAAGCGTGTTCATAATTGCTCCTTGAAGTATTTTTTATCATGGCTTTTATCACGGTTTTGTCTACTACTTACAACATCTCTTTTATCTGTTGGCATGTATTTACTGTCTTTTACGTTTAGTTTGAGAGTTTCCTGATTTTTGCTTTGAAGTATCAGTGATTTTAAAAATTGAAACCTGTATATTTTCAGAAGTTATGAGACTCTGAGTTTTCTTTAAACCATCTGTTTTACCTGGCTTTTTATGACACTGCTCCCGTAGAGGAAGGAGGTGGGGTGCCAGCTCATTACTGCTAGATGGAGGTAGAAGTCCAAGTTTCCCACCTGACCTCCATTTGACACCCAAAGAGGAGGTTGCACCTGGTTATTACTGGGGCGGAGCAGGAGTTCTGGCTCCCCTCATGGCCTGCATCAGCACTGCAAGTGAAGATGGTCCTATTCCTGCGGAATAATGGTGAAAGTCCTGACTCTCCATCAGGCCTCCTCTGACATTACCTTAGGAGAAGAGGAAAGAGAACCTTGTTACTGCTGGGTGTGGGTGAAAGTCTGAGCTGCTACTTGGCCTCTGACACCACCCTAAAAAGGTGGGAATTGAGGTGCCTCGTTATAGCCTGAAGAAGGCAGATGCTTAGGCTCCTCACCACAACAGGTCTCGCTCTGTCACCCAGGCTGAAGTGCACTGACTTACTGCAGCCTCAAACTCCCCGGGCTCAGGTGATTTTCCCACCTCAGCCTCCTGAGTAGCTGGGATTACAGACACACCACCACACTTGGCTAATTTTCCTGTTTTTAGAAGAGATGGGGTTTTACCACGTGGGCCAGGCTGGCCTTGAACTCTTGAGCACAGGCAATTCGCTGGCCTCAGCCTCCCAAAGTGCTGGGATTACAGGTAGGAGCCCCTGTGCTGGCCACCACAGCCTTTCTGACATGGATGCAGGTGGGGTCACATTTCTTACTGTGGTATTTGGCCTCAATACTAGGACTTTTGTCTAAAAGTTTTGTTTTGCTAGACAGCCCCTTTCCTGAGCCTTTGGCTAAAGAGCAGGCTTTCGTTAAGAGTTTTGTTTTTGCCTGTGCTCATTGGCACTCCTGGCTTGCCCAGCTTCTTTAACTCAAAGTCTGTGACATGTAAGAAGAAAATTCAAGGAGTTTGCCACTGTGTCGTTCTTCAGGTTCTGAGATGCCTATAGTCAGTTTGCTTTTTTCTCTCAATCTTTCGGTTTTTTTTTTTTTCTTTTTTCACTCTGTCCCTCAGGCTGGAGTGCAGGGGTGCGATCTTGGCTCACTGCAACCTCTACCTCCAGGGTTCAAGAGATTCTCCTGCCTCAGCCTCCCGAGTAGCTGGGATTACAGACGCCCGCCACCAGGCCCAGTTTATTTTTTTGTAGAAGCGGGGTTTCACCATGTTGGCCAGGCTGGTCTCAAACTTCTGACCTCAGGTGACCTGCCCACCTCACCCTCCCAAAGTGATGGGATTACAGGCGTGAGCCACCTTGCCCAGCCAATTTTTTTTTGTTTTCTAGATCACATCCAGAGTTTTAAAATGTACTTAGTGGGAGAAATAAGGAAAAATACAACTACTCCAGCTGCCCAAAAATCAAAGTCTTGTGTTCATTTTGCTTTTATAAATGTTGTGGCCGGGCGTGGTGGCTCACGCCTGTAATCCCAGCACTTTGGGAGGCGGAGGCGGGTGGATTTCCGGGTCAAGAGTTCGAGACAGCCTGGCCAACATGGTGAAACCCCGTCTCTACTAAAAATACAAAAACTGCGTCCAGAATTGGTTCCTTCCAGTGGGTTCTTGGTCTGGCTGACTTCAAGAACGAAGCCGCAGACCCTCGCGGTGACTGTTAACAGTTATTAAAGATGGTGTGACCGGAGTTTGTTCCTTCAGATGTTCAGATGTGTCTGGAGTTTCTTCCTTCTGGTGGGTTCGTGGTCTATGCTGACTTCAGGAGTCAAGCCGCAGACCTTCGTAGTGAGTGTTACAGCTCTTAAAGGTGGCGCGTCCAGAGCTGTTCATTCCTCCCAGTGGGTTCGTGGTCTCGCTGACTTCAGGAGTGAAGCTGCAGACCTTTGTGGTGAGTGTTATAGCTCATAAAGGTAGTGCAGACCCAAAGAGTGAGCAGCACCAAGATTTATTGCAAAGAGGGAAAAAACAAAGCTCCCATAGCGGGGAAGGGGACCCAAGCCAGTTGCCACTGCTGGCTTGGGTGGCCGGCATTTATTCTCTTATTCGCCCCGCCCACGTCCTGCTGATTGGTCTATTTTACAGAGTGCTGATTGGTCCATTTTCACAGAGTGCTGATTAGTATGTTTACAAACCTTTAGCTAGACACAGAGCACTGATGGGTGCATTTTTACAGAGCGCTGACTGGCGTATTTACAAACCTTTTGCTAGACACAGAGCGCTGATTGGTGCATTTTTACAGAGCGCTGATTGGTGCATTTACAAACCTTTAGCTAGACACAGAGCACTGATTGGTGTGTTTACAATCCTTTAGCTAGACAGAAAATTTCTGCATGTCCCCACTCAACCCAAGAAGTCCAGCTAGCTTCACCTCTCAAAATTAGCCTGGCATGGTGGCTTCTGCTTGTAGTCCCAGCTACTCAGGAGGCTGAGGCAAGAGGATTGCTTGAACCCAGGAGGTGGAGGTTGCAGTGAGCCGAGATAGCGCCACTGCACTCCAGCCTGGGTGACACAGTGAGAATCTGTCTGAAAAAAAAAAAAAGTTGTGTTGGCCTGGTGCAGTGGCTCACACCTGTAATCCCAGCACTTTGGGAGGCCGAGGCAGGCGGATCATGAGGTCAGGAGTCAAGACCAGCTTGACCAACATAGTGAAACCCCATCTCTACTAAAAATACAAAAAATTAGCCAGGTGTGGTGACGGGTGCCTATAATCCCAGCTACTTGGGAGGCTGAGGCAAGGGGGTGGAGGTTGAACCCGGGAGGTGGAGGTTGCAGTGAGCCAAGATCGCGCCATTGCGCTCCAGCCTGGGCAACAGAGTGAGGCTCCATCTCAAAAAAAAAAAAAAAAAAAAAAAAGTTGTGTTAAACCATTACTTTCTGAGTTTTTGGCACCCCAAACAAATGTCTCACTCTCCTCACTCTAGCCCTGGCCTTCTTTGGAAATCATCTTAGAGGCTGCCTATACAGCAAGTGAAAATAAAGGTGACTTCAGACAAAATCTGTGAGAATTTGTCACCACCAGAAAGTGAAAATAGTTTGAAGTTTGGAAGTAGAAATTAAATGATGAGTAACATAAAGGATTTACCCTTATGTGCAAATCTGAATGGAAGTTAACCACGTGAAACAATCAAAACAATGTCTTGGGGCATTTAAAATATATGGATTTAAAAAGCAGAAGACCTGGGTGGAGGGAGAATGAAGGAAATTAAAGTGTCATTGTTTGGGAAAAGGGTAACTGTGATTTAGATGTTTTAAATCTAGAATTCATGATGTAATCTCTAGGTTAACCACTAAAAGAATATATAACTATCAAGTTAATAGAGAAATTAGAATCATTAAATAATACAAAATAAGGTAAGAAAGAAAAGTAACAGAACAGTAAGACAAGTAGAAAACAAATGTTAACGTAACCGATTTAATCCCAAATATATTAGAATGACATTAAAACTGACGAACTGGCCGGGCGCGGTGGCTCACGCCTGTAATCCCAGCACTTTGGGAGGCCGAGGCAGGTGGATCACGAGTTCAGGAGTTCAAGAAACAGCCTGGCCAAGATGTTGAAACTCCATCTCTACTAAAAATACAGAAAAAAATTTGCCGGGTGTGGTGGCGGGCACCTGTAATCCCAGCTACTCCGGAGGCTGAGGCAGGAGAATCGCTTGAACCTGGGAGGTGGAGGTTGCAGTGAGCCAAGATCACACCTCTGCACTCCGGCCTGGGTGACAGAGCAAGACTCTGTCTCAAAAAAAAAGAAAAAAGAAAACAGCGATGAACTGGGGCACTCCAGCGCTAAGAGGTAGAGGAAAAGAGGTTGATCCACAAAAAGATCAAGGAGCAGGGTCCAATGAGTTCCATGTTTGCAATAAAAATAAAACAATAAAGGCAGCAACACTTGGATATTAGTGGATCCTTTGACAATAACAACATCCTGGAGGTCTCCAATCTAGGAGAGCAGCAACTATTTCCACACCTGGTTATTATTCCATTTCATATTATTATGCCAAGATGGGACAAGAGCCAAACTTGGACAAAGGATTTAGCAGCCACTGTGAACAACACTGCTGAAAAGAAAACTTCTGGCCTAGTGTGCAATCCGTACTTAGCACACTCTTCTGTGATTTTTGCTACCTGGCCCCTGTCCTGCCTTCTTTCCCAGCACCACAGGAATGATGCAGTACCCTCCAAATTGGGAGTTTCCAAGCCAGAATTAGAGTTTACTAAGTAAAGGCCAATATCCACCAGCTGGGAAACAACTAAGTAACTTTCCTTAAGTGCGTGCTACTTTCCTGAGTCCAGCAGGTTGCCTGAAAAAGAAAAGAAGGAAATAGCCCTAAAAATTGTGTCAGTTTCTTATTTGTGGCATATGTAAAATATCATGTGCTCTTCCAAAAAAGTTTGGACCTGTCATGATCCTTTTTTCATCTTGCTGCATCTGAGGGATCATTGGGGATGCCCTGAATTTTCAGTTCCTTTGGGCAAACACAAAGACAAGCTCATTTTTTGTTCCATAAATGCTTTTTTTTTGAGACGGAGTCTCACTGTCACCCAGGCTAGAGTGCAGTGGTAGAATCTCAGCTCACTGCAACCTCCACCTCCTGGGTTCAAGCGATTCTCCTGCCTCACCTCCCGAGTAGCTGGGATGACAGGCGTGCGTTACAACGCCCGGCTAATTTTTGTATTTAGTAGAGACGGGGTTTAACTATGTTGGCCAGGCTGGTCTCAAACTTCTGACCTTGTGATCCGCCTGCCTTGGCCTCCCAAAGTGCTGTGATTACAGGCGTAAGCCACTGCGCCTGGCCACTTTTTTTTTTTTTTTTTTAAGTCCAGCAGGTAGAATGTAAATCTTATGCTGGAATACAACGATAATGACCGCTTGCTGAAAGCTAATGTATACCAGCTACTAATCCAAGTGTTTCCTGTATGTTACCTCATTTGCTTCCCACAACACTGTTTCAAAGGTGAGGAAATGGAAGCTTAATGAAGTTAAACTACTTGCCTGAAATCACCCAGCTATTAGGTTGAAACAAGATTTCAACTCAGGATCCCAAACCAACCTTCTTAACCACTCTGTTATTTCCTTCCTAATGTTGCCTTAAAACATATAAAAGTGCCTGGATACCACTAGGGTAGCCAGAACTATTTGTCAATTCTTACTAAATTTGAATAATCTATTTTGATTCCACAGAAAATCTATAAACCTGCTTATTAACTGGCACAACATCTGCACCACAGGGAACTGTGTTTTAACACTAACTCATTCTAAGTCATTTACCATGTACCTGACTACGAATATTACTAGTGGAAATCATAATGTCTGGCAGATTGCTATCATATAAATTCCTGGCCACCAACTCCTACTGCATGCTGTTACTGCTGTGCTTCCTGTTGATGCTACTGTGTTATTACTGTGTCCAGGGTCCATTTCAAATCCTTTCCATTCTGTTCTGTGGCAGGCAGCGCCTATGATTGTTCCCAATGATCATGCCTTCTGCTATTTGTGCCTTTGTTCATTACTTTCCTTTGAATGTAGGCTGCCCCTGGTGGCTTGCTTCTAAAATATAGAATATGGCAAGAGTGATGGAATGTCACTTCTGAGATTGGAATACGAGAAACTTTGGTTTCTGTCTTGCTCACCCTTTCTTGCCCTCTCTGATGGACTCTAGCTGCCATGTCCTGTGGAGAGCCTGGCATGAACAGAGGCCTTGCGGAGAACTGAAGCCTTCAGTCCAAGAGCCAGGGAGGAACTGAATTCTGTCAAGAACCACTTGAGTGACCTTGGAAGCAGATCCTTTCCCATTGGAGCCTTGAGATTAAAGCCACCTTACCTGACAACTTGATAGGAGCCTTGTGAGTGACCCTGAAAGCCTAACTATGTGACACTTAGATTTCTGACCCACAGAAAGTGTGAAATAATAATATTGTTTTAAGCCACTAGGATTTGGGGGAATTGGTTACATCGCCTTCGATAACTAATACATCTTCCAGTCTCAAACTTCTTCATATCCAACACATAAATACTTTTTCTCTCCTATTCTTGAATTTTTAGTAGATGACCTGACCATCTATTTCAGGAAGAAAATAGAGGTCTTCAGTTTGATAGGAATTTCCTTAACTTCTTGAAAGCAAATCTACACTCCTGATAACTTTCAATCCATTAATCCCTCTCTTGTACAATTAGCTCCTTTTCCTCTTGTACTTTTATTTTCTTCCTCTGCTGGATCCTTCCCCCTCACCATTTAAATAGCCTAAGTCTCTCCCATCAAAACACACAAAAATAGTAAAACTGGCTAGACTCTATAGGTACTCCTTTCAACTCTTCTCTCATTTTTAAATGAAAGTTCTAAAACTGCTGTCCCAATTTTCCTAGCTATTCCTTAACCTACCTGAATATAGACTTCTCACCTCCCCTCTCTTCCCCTCAGAACTCCATTAAATCTTTTCTTGCTAAGGTCTTCTGCCAAAGACATTCATGATGCTAAATATACCAGACCATTTCCAATCTTTTTTTAGCTTGACCACTTGACCACTTGGCAGCATTTGGCACTGCTAACCACACCATTTTTTTTTTTTTTTTTTTTCCTTGAGATGGCATTCTGCTCTTGTTGTCCAGGCTGGAGTGCAATGGCGCCATCTCGGCTCACTGCAACCTCCGCCTCCTGGTTTCAAGCGATTCTCCTGCTTCAGCCTCCAGAGTAACTGGGATTACAGGCGCCTGCCACCACACCTGGCTAATTTTGTATTTTTAATAGAGACGGGGTTTCTCCATGTTGGTCAGGCTGGTCTCGAACTCCTGACCTCAGGTGATCCTCGGCCTCCCAAAGTGTTGGGATTATGGGCATGAGCCACTGCACCTGGCCCACACCCTCTCTTTTGAAACACTCTCCTTTCACGGCCTTATTGATGTCATACTCTTCCAGTTTTCCATCTTTCTTCAGCTGCAATACTCAGTCCTTTCAGCTTCTTCCTTTTCTACTCAATCCATAAACATTGATACTTTTTAGATAAAAAGTCCTACACTCTCTTCCATTCTCCCATTTGGGACTAGGAGTCCCAAACTCAAATGCTTTCAGGGACTAAGCAAATAAGGAAAATGAATGATAGCTGAGTCTAAAACATTAGAAATTGGTGGGGATTATAGGGAACTGGACAGCTCAAATCCTATGTAGAAAAGGGTTCTCCATTTGGTTAAATTCAATTGCTGTAAAAGAAGAGCGGTCCTATATACTGGAATTTCCAAAAAGCCTATTTTTGTGTCCAATTTCTTCATCTTAAGAAATACCGTGGCCAGGCACGGTGGCTCATGCCTGTAATCCCAGCCCTTTGAGAGGCGGAGGCAGGCGATCACCTGAGGTCAGAAGTTCGAGACCAGGCTGGCCAACATGGCAAAACTCTATCTCTACTACAAATACAAAAAATTAGCCAGGCATGGTGGCAGGCTGTGTGAATAATAACAATTATGATAATATTTAATTTAATTTATGTGTTATTTTATATTTATTTTTTTTTTGAGGCAGAGTCTTGCTCTGTCACCCAGGCTGGAGTGCAGTGGCACGATCTCGGCTCACGCCATTCTTCTGCCTCAGCCTTCCCAGTAGCTGGAACCACAGGTGCCCGCCACCATGCCCGGCTAATTTTTTTGTATTTTTAGTGGAGACGGGGTTTCACCGTGTTAGCAAGGATGGTCTCGATCTCCTGACCTCGTGATCTGTCCGCCTCAGCCACCCAAAGTGCTGGGATTACAGGCGTGAGCCACTGCGCCCAGCGTATTTTTTTTTTTTTTTTTTTTTGAGACAGACTCTCGCTCTGTTGCTCAGGCTGGAGTGCAGTGGCACGGTCCCAGCTCACTGCAACCTCCGCCTCCCGAGTTCAAGCGATTCTCTTGCCTCAGCCTCCCGAGTAGCTGGGATTACAGGCGCATGCCACCATGCCCGGCTAATTTTTGTATTTTTAGTAAAGACAGGGTTTCACCGTGTTGGTCAGGCTGGTCTCAAACTCCTGACCTCATGATCCACCCACCTCGGCCTCCCAAAGTGCTGGGATTACAGGCATGAGCCACCAGCTGATGATAATATTTTAAAACACCAATTCAATCTACAAGCAGCTAGCCTATCACTCCTGCAGACTCTCTTTAAACAATCCCATCTATTCTTAACACTTCAATATTCCTTTTATGCTGTAAACTTGCAAATCTCTATCTCTACGGTTAGTCTTCTTCCCTAAACTATATGTAGGCCCATATATCCAAGGGCCTCTAACATTATCTCCTTATAATAACACCTCTGGTTCCATCCTCTCTCCCCATCCAGCTCCGCCAGTTGTATTTCCTATTTTGGTAGATGGTGCCAACAATCTACTGGCTCAAGCCAGAAATCCAGGAGCCATCTTTGACTATTCTTTCTCCCTTGTCACCAATATATCCAGCAATATTTATTTAGTATCTATGGCATGCTTTACAGCCAATGTTGGTTCTATCTCTAGATTTTTTTTTTTTTTTTTGAGACAGGGTCTCACTCTGTTGCCCAGGCTGGAGTGAAGTGGCACCATCTTAGCTCACTGCAGCCTCAACCTCCCTGAGCTCAAGTGATCCTCCCACCCCAGTCTTCCAAGTAGCTGAAACAATAGGTGCACACCATCACTAATTTTTTTGTATTTTGTAGAGACGATGTTTCACCATGTCACCCAGGCTGGTCTTGAACACCTGGGTTCCAGCGATCCTCCCCGACTGGGCCTCCCAAAGTGATGGGATTACAGGCCTGAACCACTGCGCCCAGCCTATCTCTAGATTCTGACCAGCTCTCTAATTCCATTTTCCCCCATGGTTTCATCTACATTACTAACAGTCTCCCAGTTGATCTCTATTCCTAGCAGCTTGTCCCATTTAATCTGTTCTCCATATTGGGGCTAGAATTATCTCTTTAAAAAGTACATCTTAGGATGTCACCATGCGGCAAGGCTTCCCCTTGCAAAAAGAAAATCTGACATCTTCAACACTTTTTATAAGGCACCCTTGTGCGTCTATCCAGCAACATTGTTTCAGTTTCCTGAATGCTATAATCTTGGTGCCTTTGCATGTGCTATACTTTTGGCTAAGAACACTTAGACTTCACATCACTTAAAAACATTTTTTGTTTTAATACAGATGGGGTCTCGCTATGTGCCCAGGCTGGCCTCAAACTCCTGGGCTGAACTCCTCCTCCCCAACTCGGCCTCCCAAAGTGCTGGGATTACAAGCGTGAGCCACCGCGCCCGCCCACATCTCTTCTTACAGGTCAACTGGCTTTCCTTGACACCCAGTTACTTCGTTCTTCAGGTGTTGCAAAACTCATCAGCAAGCACCTAGGCAATTACTGTTCAAAATATCTATGCAGTCTACTAGACTTAAGATTCAGAAAGGCAGAAACCACATATACCTTGTTCACAGCTGGACTTCTCAGTGTCTAGTACTAGGATTCTCAATACATATCTGTTGAAGTTATGATGACATTATTACCATATAGCTATTTGAGTTCCTCCGTAATCCCAATTCTCAAGTTCTTTGAGAGAAAAAAATAAGTAAATCTCAATTATAGAATTATCCTCAAAATGTATTTATATATAATATTTCTTTGGAGGAATTAAGGAAGCAGTCACATGCAGCTGACTGTGGGTCACTGGACTTTTTTTTTTTTTTGAGACGTTGTCTCGCTCTGTCGCCCAGGCTGGAATGCAGTGGCACTACCTCAGCTCACTACAACCTCCACCTCCCCGCTTCAAGCTATTCTCCTGCCTCAGCCTCCCGAATAGCTGGGATTACAGGCGCCCACCACCATTCCCGGCTAATTTTTGTATTTTTAGTAGAGACGGGGTTTCGCCATGTTGCCCAGGCTGGTTTCGAACTCCTGACCTCATGTGCTCCACCCGCCCAGGCCTCTCAAAGTGTTGGGATTACAGGCATGAGCCACCGCGCCGGCCTGGACTCTTTAAAGGAGTGGGGAAGGCCTGCACTAACGGGATCCGGTGTAAATAATTCTGAGCAGCTCCAGGTCCTGAGCCCAGCAAGCACGTGCTGCGGCAGGGCGCGGGGAGGGCGCGCTTCGCGGAGGAAGATTCCGGGCGGCCCGAACGTGCTCGCGCCCGTAGCTGCCGCTGCCGGGGCCGCGGCCGCCCGGGTGCCCAACCGAACGCACGTGCGCCAGCGGGGCCCGAGCAGAAGGGGAGCCCCGGCTCTCACGAAGAAAATGGAGGGCGACCCACGGGTTAGGGGTCAGGAAAGGCGTGGGGCGCATTATGCCCTGGGAGGGGAAAGCACGGAACAAGAGGCTCTGAGGGACGGAGAGGAAGGAGGGCGACCCACGAGCTAGGTAAGGCGGGCCAACCCAGGTCTCGGAAGGAAGGGGGCGGGGCAGGACGGGGCGGGAGGGGCCGCGCAGTAGCTGGGCTGTGAGGACGGTTGGCGAGTTCATTCCGGGCTCGGGTCGGGAAGTGTCCGCCCCTGGAGTCAAGCTGGGGAGGGTGAGAGGTTGAAGGGCAATGACTTAGGTTCCCAGCTTCTGGCCCTGCCAGGCTCTGCAGTAGCCCAAGCCCACCGCTGCCCGGTTTCTTCTCAGAGAGCAAGCCCTCGCCCTTCGTGAGCGCCAAATCCCCGCGCTCGGCCCCGCCCATCCACTGAGGGGTGTGGGTAGGGGCGTGGCCCGTTCCCTTGCTGGTCGGCGCCCGGAAGGCGTCCGCGTCAGCCGGAGCTCGACGCGGTGACGGTGTGCGTCGACGTAAGTGACGCGCAAGCCTGGGCCGCTCCTCCTTCCCTCAGTGAGTGCCGGCCCGGTCGGGGCGGGGGAGAAGAGGGAGGGCGGGGGAGGGAGAGGCGACCCGAGAGTCGTTGTGGGTCGCGGGCCGGACCGGGTCCCGGGGCGGTGGGAGCCCCGGCCGGGCAGAAGGGCTTGGCGGGCCGTTAGAGGACCGCCACGGCTGTCGAGTCCCCTCCCTTGTTGGACTTGCGCGCCCTGGCGCTCGGAACCTCCGGCGCTGTGCCCACCCCGCTCTAGCTCGCGTCTCCCGACTCCAATTAGGTCAGGCTCGGAGTCCCGCGGCCGCGGCTCCGGTCTCAACGCTCCGGGGCCGCTCGGCTCGCCTTTCTTCCCTCGCCTTTCTCTCCTCTTGCTTCACCCTCCCCCCTTCTTTTCACGTTGCTGGTTTTTTTTGTTGTTGTTTTATGCTTTAGGGGTTTTGTTCCTCGGCTCGAGCTCATGGGTGTACATTATCATGCTCTTCTTTTGTAGAGCAGCCCGACGGCCATGGAGGCTGAAGAGACGATGGAATGCCTTCAGGAGTTCCCTGAACATCATAAAATGATCCTCGACCGATTGAATGAACAGCGAGAGCAGGACCGGTTTACTGACATCACCCTAATTGTCGACGGTGGGTAGGGCAGTGGGCAGAGGAGCGAATTTTTGGCTTCAGTTTTTTTCTGTCCTTCGGACACCCGCCTTTTTTTTTTTTTTTTTTTTTTTAACCCATCCTCTATGGTCTCCCTACCAAAGTCTGCAGAGTGTGTGCACTGGGACCAGATTGCACTTGTCAGTGTCCACTCACACAGCGTGCTGCAGAAGGCTGGTTGGTCAGTCATGCCTTCCACGTAGTCTGGTGTTCATCTCATTTTAACTTCTTACATCCTGTTGAGTGCAAGATGATGTCGTTGGGGACAGATTGTCTCAAAATGTTTGGTTGATAGCCTCTTGTTGGTAAGCTTTGAGAAGTCCCTTACAGGAGTCATTTGGGAAGTGTTGATTTTTTTTCTAGTTTCCCAAATGGTCTTGAAGGGAGAATGAGAGATTCCATTGCAGCACTCATACCCCCTTTGAGAATCTCCAAAATAAAATGGGGTCTTTACCAGCCTTAGGAGTTGCCTCTATAATGGAAGGAAATCCAGCGTGGGTATGTTTTCTGTTTAGCGAAAATAGGTTTCTCAAGGTAACCTGTTTTTAAAATTATGGGTCTACCATAGATGGAGCTTCCAAATATTAGGCATATTAAAATGTTTTTCATAGCAGACATATCCAGCTTTGTGCTTACGGTTTTTTTCTCTCTTTCCAAATGATATGTGACCTTTTGGGTTGTCCTTTTATTTAGCAGTTTCAACTGAGTTGGATATGCTTCTCACTACTTAATTGGAAACAACAGAGTGTCAAGAGGCTCCTTACCTAGTGTTGTAAATTAGGCTTTATAAAACTAAAGGGGTTTGAAGTGAAGATTTAGCTTTATATCTAATTGAGATTAACATTTGCCAAGATAGCTGCCAAGAATATTCTGCATTTAGTTCAATAATTTCTGTAGTTACGTAATGAAGGAAGACCTATTTTGCTTTATATGATTTTTAAGTCTATTTTGTAGTTATACATTTGATTTTCGTGCTTGTGTATGATTTTCTTTTTTTTTCTTATTTTACCTAGGACACCATTTTAAGGCTCACAAGGCTGTTTTGGCTGCTTGTAGTAAGTTCTTCTACAAATTCTTTCAGGAGTTTACCCAAGAACCATTGGTGGAGATAGAAGGTAAATGATTCTTGTTGTTTTTTTATTTAATAAATCAAAGAAGCCATTTTATTTAAATGCTTGTTTTAAATACAATACTTAGCAAACAATTGGTGAAGCAGTTTTAGACAGTTTATCAAGACACCATAGGAAATAGGCATCAGTAGTTCCTGTAGGTAAAGGTAGATAAATTGTTCTTTTGATACCTGAGAAGTCTTACTTTCAGTGAAGTGCTTGGTTGAATGATCTGCCAGGAAAAACTTAGATGGTAGATGTTGGTCTTTTCCATTGTGGAAACTGGTGGTCATTGTTTTTTGAAAACAAGTATTAAACGTGAATTACTATCTTTGTTCAGTGGGCTTATGTTTCAGACTGCTGGAGATGCTGCAGGTTACAGTAGAAGCTTTTACTGTACTCTATAGCAGAAGTAGTGATGTATTAGCAGAGGTACAGATGACATGCAGTGTGAAGTGGGCTGCCATAATAGGGAGAAAGCTAGGAAAAATGAACTGAAGTAGCATTTAGAGGAAATTCTGGCTCTACAATGGGATGGATCAATACCTGTTACCTTGAAGCAAAAAGTGATTTTTGTACTTTCTAGACATTTTTCTAATAATAACCTGCCAAGTGCCAGGCGTTGTGATATGTAGTTTTGTGTATTGTCTAAGGCTCACAGCAATCGTTTGATGTTGGGCAGGATGGCTTGTGCTTGTAGTCCCAGCTACTCGGGAGGCTGAGGCAGGAGGATTGCTTGAGCCCAGGAGTTCGAGGCCAGCCTGGGGCAACATAGACCCTGTCTTTTCTTTTCTTTTCTTTTCTTTTCAAAAAGGGAAGTGGTGTTATTTGTAATAATTTACACTTCAGGAAGCAGGCTCTAAAAGGTTACTTGCCCAGGGTTGTCCAACTAGCAAGGAATTAAGTTTGTGCTATTAATTACCATGCTTTTTCTTCTGCTACTGCAGTAACTCCTCCCCTACCACCAGCATCAAAATCTAAAACAGCAGGAAATAAATGTTTGCCTACGTAATTACAGAATTTTAGCTTCTTTTAGGGTTCTTGGGTTTTGGTTTTATATCTATTTCATTGTGTACGTATTCTTTGTTCTGAATGGGTTGCCTAGAAACTCCTTTTTTCCCTTTGATGCCTAGGGGAGTAAAGAAAACAAAAAAGAGTTAAGAATATTCTTTAATTTTGGTATATTCCAGTTTAGCATTATAGCTGATATATTTACAGCTAGAGTATCTTTTAATATCTATAATCAGGACAGAGACATAATTATGAAAATCCACAAAACTTAATAAAGTGAGAATCTAACTGCCCAGATGATAGTGGTTTCTACTACAAAGCAAGCCTCCATGAATTCATTCACACCTGAGGTTTATTAAATATGTGACCCCAGGCGGGTTACTTTACCTCAATTGCATACTTTTCTCCTCATCTGAAAAGTGGGTTCATAGGATTATAAAGACTAATTGCGATAACATGCAGAGTGCATGGCATGATATTTGGTGCCTTGTCAAAGCTTGATAAACAGGGTCCAGTCTAAGAAACATTAGGGAGACCTCTTCTCTACAAAAAATTTAAAAAATTATTAGCTGAGTCTGATGGCACATGCCTGTGGTCCCAGCTATTCAGGAGGCTGAGGCGGGAGGATTGCTGGGGCCCAGGAGGTCAAAGCTGCAGTGAGCCATGATTTTGCCACTGCATTGTAGCCTGGGCGACAGAGCAAGGCCCTGTCTCAAAAAAAAAAAAAAAAAGTCAGTTTATCATATTGAATATCTATAATATATCATGTACTATGTTAGACCCAGGAGATGAAGAATTAATGAATAAGATGTCCCTTAAAGAAGTCGGAAAATTTCATAACAGGTGAGCAACAGGCAAATAAAGGAGTGCAAAAAGTATTACAAAGACTATTACTGTGAAATGGTATCACTGAAGAGGGAGAATGAGTGGTTTGGTCTTCCTTAGGAAAGATTTCAAAGAGGAGTTTTGAGTCTGAGCAGAATTTTTTTTTTCTTTTTTTTGGAGATAGATTTTAGCTCTTGTTACCCAGGCTGGAGTGCAATGGCGTGATCAGGCTGGTCTCGAATTCCCCACCTCAGGTGATCCACCCGCCTCTTCCTCCCAAAGTGCTGGGATTACAGGCGTGAGACCACGACTGGCCAAGTCTGAGCAGAATTTTTAAGTCTTAAAAAATAAGTGGCCTGGCCGGATGCGGTGGCTCACGCCTGTAATCCCAGCACTTTGGGAGGCCGAGGCAGGCAGATCACCTGAGGTCGAGAGGTCGAGACCAGCCTGACCAACATGGTGAAACCCTGTCTCTACTAAAAATATAAAATTAGCCGGGCGTGGTGGTGGGCACCTGTAATCCCAGCTACTCAGGAAGGCCGAGGCAGGAGAATCGCTTGAACCCGGGAGGCGGAGGTTGTAGCGAGCTGAGTCACGCCATTGCACTCCAGCCTGGGCAACAAGAGTGAAACTCCGTCTCAAAGAAAAAAAAAAGGAAAAGTGGCCCAAGCTGGAATATTTGTTGCTGGTAGAATGAGCACACATTACCTGGAGAAGTAGAAGTAGAGCCTGGTCTTCTGAAGACTAGTCACCTTGAGATTTAGGTCTGTGGCACACACAAGTCTTCAGTATTTGAATTCTAGATAGATAAGAAAGCAAAATAGACACACACTTTATTTCTGTCATTTGGTCAGATTCAGGTTTAAATAATTAATTTGGTTCAGTATCTTAAGCCCTTAACTTTGGGGTTACAGTACTGTCTAGCAAGGTCACCTGGCTGTGGAGAAAGCCCTGGGCATATAGTTAGTTAGAAAACTTGAGTTTTAGCCCTGGCTTTAACTGTTTGTGTGCTGTGTGACCTTAGATATCTTGGCTTCCTTATTTTTCATGTCACATAATTTTGGAGTATGTCATGGACATTTGAATATTTTGTTACAAAACTGGATGCTGTTAAAATCCTCTGGAAAATATTTTTGGTTTTTTGGTTTCACTTTAGCGGGCAGTTAACCTGGTTAGGTTCAGACTGCCTCTGTGGGCTGTGGATCCAGTTTGAACTTACTTTTCAAAACCTTCGTATTGCTGTTCAGGTCCCAGGTGTGCCATCCATGCCATTGTGCAGTTCTCAGCGCCTTTCCTCTGCCGCCTTGGGTCAGTTCACACATGGGCATGTTGGTGGTAAACTTGAGATTGTATACACAAATTTAGAGGACGTTTCTTCTCTCCGTGACTTCCCTTGTACACAAGCTCCCAAGAGTTTCTTTTCGTGGTTCTTTGGTGAGAAAACTGGAATTTTAGCTTCTTTGTGCTTTTCATACGTTTTCTGTAGAGGGGCTCATTTCCTGAACAAAATGGAGAGAGAGAAAAGTTAGAGAAAAAAATAAAATGAATTCCCTCTTCCATACTCTTCCGATCATCGTCTTTTTCCTAGTTCTTTTGTCAGAAGAACTCTCTTTTAGAGTTTAGGAGACAGCTACCAGCCACAGGTGTGCAGACTCAGGATTGGGGCTTGCTTTGAGGCAGAGCTGAGAGAGAAGAAAAATTACCAGATATCCACCCCTCCCCATTGTCCCTCTCCCATTCATCATCTTTTCTAGTTCTCTAGCCAGAAGGAGTTTCTCTTGGAACTTTTCTCTGTCTTCACTCACTGCACAGTTAATGAGATTTGGGCTGTCCTCAAGTCTAAGCTGACATATGTGGGAGAAAAAAACCAGGAAACTCACTACTGTTTTGAGTTTTGATTTCTCTCGCCAGTCTGCTTGCTTCAAATTACTTTTCAGAGTCCTTGTATATTTGCTTTATGTATTCTTTCCAGGATTTTTAGTAATAATCAATGGACAAGATAGGGTGGAGTGTGCTTTCTCCATCTTAGCTAGAACTGGGACCCCGTCCCCCACTCGTAAAATATAAATAATGACTTAGCATGGCACATTAGGTGGGCATTAGAGACACCAGGGAAGCGATTACAAATATAAATGCCCAGGTTGTATCTCCAGATAATTAAAAATCTTTCAGGAGTAGGATCCAGAAAACTATATTTAAAAGTTCTCTAGGTTCTTGATATACTATGTAGGTTGTGGTCTGAGGACCACTACATGGGGATCATTTGGAAACTTGTTAGAAATGTAGACTCAGGTTCCATTCCAGACCTGCTGAATTGGAACAAGATCCCCAGATGGTGCCTACGCACAGTAAAATTTGAGCAGCACTGCCCTAGCATGATTCTAGTGTGCAGTCAATGTTGAGGACCACTGTCTTAGAGGATTGCGTAAAAGCAAATGACGTGTATATAAATTTAGATTGTAATATTCTCTGAGTATAAACTCATTAGGTGCAAGCTGAGCTCACCCTCCATGTTTTCTGTGTTCCTGGTTAAAGTAAGTTACCTTTGATGAAAACCACAGGTTCATCTTTGACTTCAAATCAGATTTGTTGCTATTGAAGCTAATTGGATCCCAGCTCAGCTTTGTGGCTTGGATTCACACCATATAAAATCTTCAACAGACATTCATTCCTTTGTTCAGAACACACAACCTTCTAACGTGAACCTCCAATTTTCTAAATTCATTCTTTTTCTACTTCACCTGAAACCACAGATCCATGGCACTTAGTTTCTCTGTAACAGCAGCTCTACCATGGTGTCCAGAAATTTTAGCCCCTACTATCAAGAACAAAACATCCTTGTACATGTTTATACATCTTTTTGAGTAGGAGTTTTCCACCAGTTGCAGGGATTCCCTGAGTCTAGAGTAATGCCACAATGCTGCTCCCTTTTACTCCTTTCTAAGCATTTCTGTCAGGGAGAAGACTTAGATTCAGTTGTTCACTTTAACATTTTCCTTAGATACTCTCTTAGAAAAGTTGTATTCTGCGCACTTCTGTTATGAAGGGAGTAAGGGATTGCTGAGATTTGTTAAGTTACCAAACTAGTCTTGATAGATGTATAATTATTACATATCCACCATCACTTCATTTAGCTGGGCAAGTATTATCAGTTTGGTTCATGTTAGCTAATTAGGTCACTGGTTTGTTCCTAGGACAGTGTTGGGCTGGTCATATAAGTTAGAAGCACCTGGGAGCTGGGCATGGTGGCTCACGCCTGTAATCCCAGCACTTTGGGAGGCCGAGCGGGCGGATCATGAGGTCAGGAGATCGAGATCATCCTGGCTGACAGAGTGAAACCCCGTCTCTACTAAAAATACAAAAAAAATTAGCTGGGCATGGTGGTGGGCACCTGTAGTCCCAGCTACTTGGGAGGCTGAGGCAGGAGAATGGTGTGAACCTGGGAGGCGGAGCTTGCAGTGAGCTGAGATGGCGCCACTGCACTCCAGCCTGGGCGACAGAGCGAGACTCCATCTCAAAAAAAAAAAAAAAAAAAAACACACCTGGGGTGCTCATAATAAAAAAAACAAAAACCCAGATATTTATCCCAGTTTTGATTCCAAAGATCAGGTACCAGTACTTTCTTTTTGGAGACAGGGTCTTGCTCTGTCACCCAGGCTGGAGTGCAGTGTACCATCATGGCTCATTGCAACCTTGACCTCCTGAGTTCAAGCAGTCCTCTCACCTCAGCCTTCTAACTACAAGCACATACCACCAAGGCCAGCTAGTCTTTGTATTTTTATTTATTATTTATTATTATTACTATTTTTGAGACGGAGTCTCACTCTGTTGCCCAGGTTGGGGTGCAGTGTGGTGTGATCTTGGCTTACTGCAGTCTCCGCCTCCCGGGTTCAAGCAATTTTCATGCCTCAGCCTCACAAGTAGCTGGAATTAAGGCTCCCACCACCATGCCCAGCTAATATTTTTTGTATTTTTAGTAGAGATAGGGTTTCACCATGTTGGCCAGGCTGGTCTCAAACTCCTGACCTAAAGTGATCTGCGTGCTTCAGCCTCCCAAAGTGCTGGTATTGCAGGCATGAGCCACCATGCCCAGCCTAGTTTTTGTATTTTTTGTAGAGAAGAGATCTCACTACTTTGCCCATGCTGGTCTTGAACTACCAGCCTTAAGCAATGCTCCTGCCTTGGCCTCCCATAGTGCTAGGATTACAGGCATGAGCCACCACACCCAGCCCTTGGTACCAGTACTTTATTTAGTCTATAGGTGATTCTCATCAGTCAGGACAGGGAGCTAGGTCCACAATTCCTTATTCAAATCTTCTCGGAGGCCAGACATACTTCTCAACATTCCAGATTTTAGAATTTTTCTAAGGGTAATGAAAAACATAATACTCACAAATACTAATAGTTTAGCAGCATAGCATGTTAGTATTCACTCTTAAGTGGGATAAAGATGACATAGCCCCATGTTAGCTGAGATCAAATTTTGCTGCCAGATTTATGGAGAAACTTCTGTGTTTTTTGTTTGTTTGTTTGAGATGGAGTCTTGCTCTGTCACCCAGGCTGGAATGCAGTGGCACAATCTCGGCTCACTACAGCCTCTGCCTCCTGGGTTCAAGCAGTTCTCCTGCCTCAGCCTCCCCAGTGGCTGGGATTACAGGTGCGTGCCACCACGCCCGGCTACTTTTTGTATTTTTAGTAGAGACGGCGGGGTTTCACCATGTTGGTCAAGCTGGCCTCAAACTCCTGACCTCGTGATCTGCCTGCCTCGGCCTCCCAAAGTGCTGGGATTAGAGGCATGAGCCACCACACCCAGCCGAAACTTCTGGTTTTAAGAGAAATGGGAGGCCAGGCGCGGTGGCTCATGCCTGTAATCCCAGCACTTTGGGAGGCCGAGGTGGGCAGATTGCCTGAGCTCAGGAGTTCGAGACCAGCCTGGGCAACACGGTGAAACCGTCTCTACTGAAAATACAAAAATTAGCCGGACATGGCAGCGCGTGCCTGTAGTCCCAGCTACTGGGGAGGCTGAGGCAGGAGGATTGCTTGAACCTGAGAGGTGGAGATTGCAGTGAGCTGAGATCAGGCCACTGCACTCCAGCCTGAGCGATAGAGTAAGACTCTGTCTCCAAAAAAAAAAAAAAAAAAGAGGAAAGTAGAGGCAATGTAGCTGAGAGATAATAAGACAGAATCAAAAAGTTCTGGCATTGATTCAGTATGGTGGTGAGGGAGAGAAAGAAATAATGTATACATTTTGTGAAATGAGTAATATAAAAGTAAGAGCAGATTCAAAATGATATTTTTTCTTTGATAACTTTCTTCTCCTAACTTCAAAATTAATTTTCCTGAGTGTTAATAGTGCTGGTTGTTAAATGAGAAAAGTTTTGAAGTGGTTGATGTTTCGATTCTTTTACCACATTTTTTAATTTTAATTTTAATTTTTTTTTGAGACAGCGTTTTGCTCTTGTTGCCCAGGCTGGAGTGCAATGGTGTGATCTCGGCTCACCGCAACCTCCGCCTCCCGGGTTCAAGCGATTCTCTTGCCTCAGCCTCTCGAGTAGCTGGGATTACAGGCATGCACCACCATGCCCAACTCATTTTTTGTATTTTTAGTAGAGATGGGGTTTCTCCATGTTGGTCAGGCTGATCTCGAACTCCCGATCTCAGATGATCCACCTGCCTCGGCCTCCCAGAGTGCTGGGATTACAGGCATGAGCCACCACGCCCGGCTCTTTTGTTTGTTTTTTGAGATGGAGTCTCACTCTGCCACCCAGGCTGGAGTGCAGTGGCATGATCTCAGCTCACTGCAACCTCCATCTCCCGGGTTCAGGTGATTCTCCTGCCTCAGCCTCCTGAGTAGCTGGGATTACAGGCACTCACTAACCACACCTGGCCAATTTTTGTATTTTTAATAGAGATGGGGTTTCGCCTTGTTGGCCAGGCTGGTCTTGAACTCCTGACCTCAGGTGATCTGTCCATCTTGGCCTCCCAGAGTGCTGGGATTACAGGTGTGAGCCACAGCGCCCGGCCTCCAAGCTTACCACTGTTTTTTATTTTGAGATGGAGTTTTGCTCGTTGCCCAAGCTGGAGTGCAAAGGTGCAATCTCGGCTCACTGCAACCTCTACCTCGCAGGTTCAAGCGATTGTCCTGCCTCAGCCTCCCGAGTAACTGGGATTACAGGCGTGCACCACCACACCCGGCTAATTTTTTGTATTTTTAGGAGAAATGGGTTTCACCATTTTAGCCAGGCTGGTCTCGAACTCCTGACCTCAGGTGATCCTCCTGCCTTGGCCTCCCAAAGTGCTGGGATTATAGACGTGAGCCACCGCGCCTGGCCCTTATCACATTTTTTGACCACCTCTGTGTTGACATGGCATACGAAGTTTTCTCCAAGTGGAAGATCCCCCTCACAAGATTGTCAACAAGTGTTTGGACTTGAGCAGGAAAGCAGAGGAACGATCATGAAATTCTAATACATTTGAGAATCCTAGTGGTATTAAGATTTTCTAGCTAATATAGTTTACATCCCTAGCATATGGTTCCCTCAAGAGTTCAGCAAAGCCTTTCTAGTAAAAATATTAATAAAGGTCAAGATGTAAATTGGAACAATAAGCAGTAATTCACCCATCCTACCACCAGAGAATAACAAGGGTAGGCATATGTGCGTATGTACAAAAAAAAAAAAATGGGGGGACTTTAGTATTATGAGTAAGAGATTGTGAACCTATAGTGAATGAGAACATGTATCTTCAAACTTTTCCAAGCAGGAAGGAAAAGTTTGAAGTTTTTATCCTGTTAGTATTCTATTTAAAATCTTTGTCATAGACTTAGGAGTCAGACCATCTGGTTGTTATCACTTCATAGAGTTGTTATGAGAATTAAGTGAGTTAATGCTTGTAAAGTATTTAGAGCCTTGCTTTATATGTATATAGTAAGTGTTACGTATGTGTGTTTGATTAAAAATCAAAATTTCATTCTACTTTGGAAACACTTACACATTGTTTTAAAAAGGATTTTTCTTGTGCTTTTAAACTTTTGGCCAAAACTTCTGAAAGACAGCAAAAGCTAGTTGTATTTTCCTTGGGCTACTCTCATATACTAAAGAATAAATGAAAGCAACAAGGAGAAAAAATACAAAGGGAACCAAATAAAACTAGCCTTCAGTGAGTCCAGTTATTTTTGTTTGCTTATTTGGTAGAGTGTAACTTGGTCTTTTTATATTTTATGGTGTTTCTCAATATTCAGATTGCTTTTAGACGTTTTGAAAATGAGTTTGCTGAGGCTCAGAGGTTCTGAATTGCCCCAGATCACTCAGTTCATGGAAGAGCTGTGAGTAAAACATGAAAGTTCTAACTTCCTGAATGGTATTCTTTTTTTTTTTTTTTTTTTTTTTGAGACAGAGTCTCGCTGTATTGCCCAGCCTAGATTGCAGTGGCATGATCTCAGCTCACTCTAACTTCCACCTCCTGGGTTCAAGCGACTCTCCTGCCTCAGCCTCCCCAGTAGCTGGGATTACAGGCGCGCGTAACCACACCCGGCTAATTTTGTTATATTTTTGGCAGAGATGGCGTTTCACCATGTTGGCCAGGGTGGTCTCGAACTCCTGACCTCAAGTAATCTGCCCACCTCGTCCTCCCAAAGTGCTGGGATTACAGGCATGAGCCACTGCGCCCAGCCAGGAACGTTTCTTTACACAAATAGAGGATACTGCTTTGAACACTTAAATGATATTCCACCAGCATTCTTACTGCTGTCCTGAAGGCCGCATTCAGATGTGTAAAACAGATGGGAAGAACATATTTTTGTGAATTGCAGTTTTACCTATTGTGTGCGGTTTGGACTTGGGCATTTCTTAGTCTAAAATCTATGTTAAATGTAGGTTTTCTTTTTGTTTTTCTTAATAGTGTCTCGTAGCCTTTCATTAGCAGACTGAACCAATAATATATAGCATTGAGATATAAAGAAACAGTATCACTTTAGGACTAAATTTTAAACACAAAACCGTCAAAAGTATCAATGATAAATGCATAATTTTGAAAGTGACTTTAGGCCTGGTGTGGTGGCTCACACCTCTAATCCCAGCACTTTGGGAGGCCGAGGTGGACGGATCATGAGGTCAGGAGGTTGAGACCAGCCTAGCCAACATAGTGAAACCCCATCTCTACTAAAAATACAAAAAATTAGCCAGGCGTGGTGGTGGGCACCTGTAATCTCAGCTACTCGGGAGCCTGAGGCAGGAGAATCGTTTCGATCTGGGGAGGCGGACGTTGCAGTGAGTCGAGATCACGCCATTTCACTTTAGCCCAGGCAACAGTGGGAAACTCCATCTCAAAAAAAGAAAGAAAAGAAGGTGACTTTAGTATTTATTCATTTATTCCTGCTTTGTGTTCTTGCATTTTAGGAAGCACTGTTAGGTACTGTGATATGAGTGTACAGATCAAAAATCACTTTCCTGAAGTAGTTTACAGTCAAGAGATGTCCATGAATTGTCATTATCAGAATGGGTACAGAGTTTACAGAGTTGAACCTTGGAGAATTAAAGAATGTTTAATGGTTAACCCATTTATGCCTGAAATTGTAATTTTTTGAATTTGAAAAATCAGACCTTGGTGATGACCTTGAGCAGTAGGATATTAATAACTCCCACATGCTTAGTGTTCAAATAATGGAACACTAGGCATAAATGGATTAAATAATGCAGGAATGGAAAGTGTGAACAGATGTACAACTGCTGTAGAGCTTGTATCAGTTGTCAGAAACCTTCCAACAAAGAAAAGCGTAGGACCAGATGGGTTCATTGATTAATTCAATGAAATGTTAAAAGAAATTAATGCCAGTCCTTCTCATAGCCTTCCAAAAAAACTGAAGAGGAAGGAATATTTCCAAATTCATTAGTAGGCCAGCATTACCCCAGTACCAAAGCAAGACAGGCCACAAAAAAGAAAACTATAGCCCAATATCCTTGATGAATATAGATGCAAAACTTTGCAGTGAAATACTAGCAGACTGATTCTAACAGCAAGGTACAGGTGTCATATTCCATGACTAAGTGAGATTTACCCTTAGGATGCAAGGATAGTTCAACATAGGAAAATTAGTTAATGTGATATACCATACTAACAATAAAGAAGCAAAATGACGTGAGTATCTCAATAGATGAAGAAAAAGCCTTGGACAAAATTTAATACCCTTTCTCAGTAAAAACTCTTAAACAAACGAGGAATAGAAGGAAATTATCTCAACATAATAAAGGCCCACAGCTAGCATACTCAACGGTGAAAAACTGACACTTTTTTCTCTAAGATCAAGGAACAAGACAAGGATGCCTACTCTTATCACTTCAATATAGTACTGGAAATCCTCGTTAGAGCAATTAGGCAAGAAAAAGAAGTAAATGCCATCCAAGTAAGAAAGGAAGGAATCAATCTCTTTTTGCAGATGACATCTTATATATAGAAAACTTTAAAGACAACACAAAAAACTACTAGAACTAATAAATTTAGTAAAGTTGCAGGATACAAAATCAGCATACAAAAGTCAGTTGCTTTTCTTTTTTTCTTTTTTTTTTTTTTTTTTTTTTGGGAGACAGAGTTTCACTCTTGTTGCCCGGGCTGGAGTGCAGTGGCGTGACCTCGGCTCACTGCAACCTCCGCCTCCTGGGTTCAAATGATTCTCCTGCCTCACCCTCCCGAGTAGCTGTACAGGCTCCCCCTATCACACCCAGCTAATTCTTTGTATTTTTAGTAGAGATGAGGTTTCACCATTTTGGCCAGGCTGGTCTCGAACTTCTGACCTCAGGTGATCCATCCACCTCAGCCTCCGAAAATGTTGGATTGCAGGCATGAGCCACCGCGCCCGGCCATCAGTTACATTTTTTTTTGAGACTGAGTTTTGCTCTTGTTGCCCCGGCTGGAGTGCAATGGCGCAATCTCGGCTCCCCCCAACCTCCGCCTCCCAGGTTCAAGCAACTCTCCTGCCTCAGCCTCCCGAGTAGCTGGGATTACAGGCATGCACCACCACGCCTGGCTAATTTTGTATTTTTAGTAGAGACGGGGTTTCTCCATGTTGAGGCTGGTCTCGAACTCCTGACCTCAGGTGATCCACCAACCTCGGCCTCCCAAAGTGCTGGGATTACAGGTGTGAGCCACTGCGCCCGGCCATCAATTGCATTTTTATACACTAACAATGAACTATCTGGAAAGGAAATTAGGAGAACAATCCCATTTATATTGACACCATAAAGAATAAAGTAACTGGGAATAGGCTTAACCTTTCACCTCCTTAGGTGAGAGACATGCAATACTGAGAACCATAAAACATTAAAGAAATTGGGCTGGGCACAGTGGCTCACGCCTGTAATCCCAGCACTTTGGGAGGCGGAGGCGGGTGGATTGCTTGAGGTCAGGAGTTCAAGACCAGCCTGAACAACATGGTGAAACCCTGTCTCTTCCGGAAAAAAATACAAAAATTAGCTGGTTATGGTGGCCCATTCCTGTAGTCCCAGCTATTCGGGAGGCTGAGGTTGCAGTGAGCATGGATTGCACCACTGCACTCGAGCCTGGGCGACAGAGCGAGACTCCGTCTCAAAAAAGAAAAAAGAAACTAAAGACACTCAATAGATCTTCATGGATTTGGAACACTCAGTATTGTTAAATTGTCCATACAGATTGAGCATCTCAAATTTGAAAATCTGAACTGCTTGCCAGGTGCAGTGGCTCACGCCTATAGTCCCAGCACTTTGGGAGGCCGAGGCGGGCATATCACAATTTCAGGAGTTCAAGACCAGCTGGCCAACGTAGTGAAACCCTGTCTCTACTAAAAATATAAAAATTAGGTGGGTATGGTGGTGCGTGCCTGTAGTCCCAGCTACTTGGGAGGCTGAGGAAGGAGAATCGCTTGAACCCGGGAGGTGGTGGTTGCGGTGAGCCGAGCCTCTGTACTCCAGCTCGGGCAACAGAGTGAGACTTGGTCTCGAAGAAGAAAAAATGAACTGCTATAAAATTTGAAACTTTCTGAGCATCAACATGACTCAACGGAAATGCTTGTTGGAGCATTTTGGATTTCGGATTTTCAGATTTGGGATGCTCAACCTGTGTCAAGTATAATGCAAATATTTCAAAATCCAAAACAGTTGTGATCCCAAGCTTTTCATATGAGGGATATTCAGCCTGTATTACAGAAAGTGGGCTACAGATTCAATACAGTCCCTCTCAAAATCCTGATGGAATTTTTTTTGTTTTATGGAAACAGGAAAAGCAGTTCTAAAATTCATATGGAACCACAGAAAATCATGGACTAGCCAAATCAATCTTGAAAAAGAACAAAGCTAGAGGCATCATACTTTTTTTTTTTTTTTTTTTTTTTTTTTTTTGAGGTAGTCTTACTGTGTTGCCCAGGCTGAAGTGCAGTGGTGTAATCTTGGCCCACTGCAGCCTTAGCCTCCCAAGTAGCTGGGATTACAGGTGCGTGCCACCACCCCCATCTAATTTTTTTCTTTTTTTCTTTTTTCTTTTTCTTTTTTTTTTTTTTTTAGTAGAGACGGAGTTTCACCATATCGACCAGGCTGATCTCGAACTCCTGACCTCAGGTGATCCACCAGCCTTGGCCTCCCAAGGTGCTGGGATTACAGGCATGAGCCACTGCACCCAGCTGACATGATACTTCTTGATATCAAAATATTTTACAGAGCTACAATAACCAAAACAGTATGGGACTAGCTTAAAGAGACATACAGACCAAAGGAGCAGAATAGAGAGCCCACAAATAAAAACATGCAAATAATATGGTCAACTGATCTTCAGGGATGCCAAGAATGCACAATAAGGAAGGAATGTTTTCTGCAACAAATGATGTTGGAAGAACTAGGTATTCACATGAAAAAAGATGAAATTGGACCCCTATCTTCTACCATAAAAAAGAAAAAAACTCAAAATGAATTGGAGACTTAGACATAAGACCAAAAAATGTAAATCTCCTGGAAGAAAACATGAGGGGAAGCTTCACCACATCATTCTTAGTAATTTCGTGGATGTGACGTCAAAAGCACAGCCAACAACAGAAAATAAGACAGGTGGGACTACATCAAACTAAAAAGCTTCTGTACAGCAAAGGAAACAACTGAGTGAAAAGGAAATCTAAGGAATGGGAGAAAGTATTTGCAGAACCAAATAAATGATAAGGAATGAATCCCAAAAATATATGAGAAACTCCCACAACTGATAGTAAAAAATATCTGCCCAATTAAAAACAGTCTAAATGATGCAGAAAAAAATTAAATTAAAAATGTTTTTTTAAATGTGCTAAGAACTTGAATAGACATTTCTCCAAACAGATGGCCAACAGATACATGAAAAAAAAGTTCAGTGTCACTAGGCATCAAGGAAATGCAAATCAAAACCACTATGAGGTATCAGTCACTTCACACCTTTCAGGATGGCTATCAAAAAAAAAAAGACAACTAGTATTGGTGAGGATATAAATAAATTGGAATCCTTGCACAATGTTGGCAGGAATAGGTGCAGCCATTATGGAAAACAGTATGAATGTTCCTTAAAAAATTAAAATACCATACAATTCAGCAATCCCACTTGCTGAACATTTATCCAAAAGAACTGAAATCAGGATCTTGAAGTTTTAGCACTCCTATGTTCATTGCAGCACTATTTACAGTAGCCACGAGAGGAAATAAATATTCGTCAACAGATTAATGGATAAAGAAAATGTAGTATATGTATCCAATGGAATACTATTCAGCTCTTAAGAACAAGGATATTCTGCATATGCAACCACATGGATGAACCTTGAGGACATTATGCTAAGTGAAGTAAGCCAGTCACAGACATAAACTGCATATTTCTATTTATATGAGGAATCTAAAATAGTCACTTCCACTCATATGAGCTATCTCAAATAGATTGAAAGAGTGGAATACGGGTTGCTAGGGGCTGGGAGGGAGGAGGAAATGGGCAGTTACTAATCAGTGGGCATAAAGTTTCAATTGCGCAAGATGAATAAACTGGAGGTCTGTACAACATTGTACCTAGAGTCAACAATAGTGTACACTTAAAAATGTGTTAAGTGGGTAGATCTCATGTTCTTATTACAATAAATGTTAAAAGGTTTCATTGAACATGTGACATTAGAGTTGGACCTTTAAGGGGTGGGTGGTAGGATGAGTATAACCAGAGATGAAATGATTAAGCATCCAACTAGGAGGGTGTTAATAAAGGCAAGTCAGGCTGGGTGCGGTGGCTCACGCCTGTAATCCCAGCACTTTGGGAGGCTGATCGGGCAGATCACTTGAGGTCGGGAGTTTGAGACCAGCCTGACCAACATGGGGAAACCCCATCTCTACTAAAAATTCAAAATTAGCCAGGCGTGGTGGTACATGCCTGTAATCCCAGCAGCTCGGGAGGTTGAGACAGGAGAATCTCTTGAATCTGGGAGGCAGAGGTTGTGAGCCAAGATCACTGTATTGCACTCCAGCCTGGGCAACAAGAGTGAAACTCCATCTCAAAATAAATAAATAAAGGCAAGTCAGCTATTAGAAAGTGCAGGGTTTGTTTGAGAAATAGTATATAGTGTGTGTGTGATGTCGTTTAAAATTTGGAAAGGTAAATAGGAAAATAATGTGAAGGGCCTTGAAATAAAGTCAGAGAGGTACTAAATTTTGTTTGCTAAGTTGTGAAAAGCTATTGAAGATTTTGGAGCTGAGTTGGCACAGCTGTAATCTCCCTGGCAAGAAATGTAGCATGTCTGACATGTAATAGCCAATTCATATATTTGAGTGATAGAATCTTACTGTTCTCCAAGAGCCTCAGGAAATTTAAAGTAGTTTAAGATTTTCCAGCTAGGTAGTGCTGAAATTTGGCTGTAATATTATTGTATTGCTAATGAGAATTTTTCCAGAAAATAGTTTTCAAAAATAAATACTCAACAAGCTCCAAGCCCTGGGCTTTTCTTTCTTTACTAAACATTGTAAGATTTGAGTCAATATGATTACATGCTCTAATGTACATCTTCTTTACAGGTGTTAGTAAAATGGCCTTTCGCCATTTAATTGAGTTCACATATACAGCAAAATTAATGATACAAGGAGAAGAAGAAGCCAATGATGTATGGAAAGCAGCAGAGTTTCTACAAATGCTAGAAGCTATCAAAGCCCTTGAAGTCAGGTACTTAATTTCTTTAATGGGGTTCAGATAGTCATATTCAGTCATGTTCATTCTGTTAGTGAAGAACTTACAGTATGTGTCATGCCATGAAGAACAGAGTTCTTCAGAAGAATTAAGAATATTTAAGGATCTATTAAAAAATTTTCTGGATACTGATTGTTCTTTCACTTGACTTTGATTTTCTGATCATGTGTTAAAACTGCTAATATTAAAGTAGCATCTTTGGTATGTAATAAAATAAATCTAGACAGCTTTTTAAGGATCTGGATCCTTATAAACTGTTTTGTTGGATTCAAGTTATTGTTTATACCAAGCCTTATCCTACAAAGGGTTTGGCTTACAAAGATTAACATAATACTGTTTAAAAATAAGGAAATAGATGGAAATAAATAAATTGGTTTAATAAGGAGATAATCATTTCAAGTTAGAAGTATGATAGCCAAAAATGCATACCATAAGTCTATAGTAGATGTGCTAAATCTAGCTCTAAGTGCACCTAGTTCAAAGAAAAAGACTATTCAGTTACATTATTCCTTGTTAGAAGATGAGAACAAATCAATTGCTGAGGAGCCATTCCTATTCCTAGTATTAAAATTTCTCCTGAGAAGTATTAAGAAAACATTAGGCCAGGCCCAGTGGATTACGCCTGTAATCCCAGCACTTTGGAAGGCTGAGGTGGATGGATAGCTTATGCCCAGGAGTTCACAAACAGCCTGGGCAACATGGTGAAACCCTGTCTCTACAAAAAATACAAAAATTAGCTGGGCATGGTAGTGCATGCCTGTGGTCCCAGCTACTCAGGAGCTGAGGTGGGAGGGGAGGATCACCTGAGCCTGGCAAGGTTGTGGCTGCAGCGAGCTGTGATCACGCCACTGACTGCATACCAGCTAGGGGGAACAAAGTGAGACCCTGTTTTTTTAAAAAAGAGAAAACGTGAAAGGATATAATGAACAAAGACCTCAACATCCTTACTTGATGAATAATGGCAGTGTAACATAGTTACTAAGAATAAGAGCTCAGGAGTCAGTTTCCCTGGGTTAACATCCTGCTTCTACCACTGTGTGGCCTTAATTAAGTTACTTAACCCTCCTGTCAGCTGTGTCCTCCTCTGTCAAATGAGAGTAATAACGGTACTTTCTACATGGGATTTGATTGTGAGGGTTGAATGAATTAATGCATGCAAAGTGTTTAGCATGGTGTCTGGCTAAATGACTCTGAGTACTCTAAGTATGAACTATTATCTCCTGGTACTGTTTTTTATGTTTCTCAATACAGATCATTGGCCTGATGCCAAAACAGTTTGGTAAAATCAGTTTCACATAGCGGCACAATGATTTAATCTTAACTCACTGTTGTGGTTTAGTTAAAAGATAAAATTTATTTCTCTGAGGACTCTACTGGAATTTTATTTTATTTTATTTTTTTGAGATGGAGTCTTGCTCTGTCTCCCAGACTGGAGTGCAGTGGCACAATCTCGGCTCACTGCAACCTCCATCTCCTGGGTTCAAGCAATTCTCCCTGTCTCAGCCTCCTGAGTAGCTGGGATTACAGGTGCCTGCCACCATGCCCAGCAAATTTTCGTATTTTTAGTAGAGGTGGGGATTTCGCCATGTTGCCCAGGCTGGTCTCAAACTCCCAACCTTAAGTGATCCGCCTGTCTCAGCCTCCCAAAGTGCTGGGATTACAGGTGTGAGCCACTGTGACTGGCCGAATAAAAGTTTTTTTTTAAGAGATAAAAATTTAGATAACTCTAAGAATACTGAACTGTACTCGTCCATAAATATCATCTCTTAGTTTGACAGTTCAAGATTAAACCTTTCTGACAAGAGCTTGATACGTATATATATTCTTTGATGCTTAGCACCTGGCATATAGCAGGTGTACAGGAAACATTTGTGAATAGATAGATGGATACATGCTAATTAAAACCAGATCAGTACTCTTGCAGAGAGACCTGAGCATGGATGTCAAAATAGAGATGCATTCTGAGGATATAAACCTGATCAGGCCATCTCTTCTCAAAAAGATTAAAGGAAATATATATGGATGGGGCGATGTCAGATTGTGGTTAAATATTGAATGAGAGCCTTCCAAAAGAATGTTCTCTGTGGCCCTTTTGCTGCTCATGATAGTGAGTGGTATGTCACTTTGGAGAAGATTCAAGACTGGGATCCCAAGCCTGGCGCAGTGGCTGATACTTGTAATCCCAGCACTTTGGGAGGCCAAGGTGGGTGGATTACTTGGACCTCAGGAGTTTGAGACCAGCCTGGGCACCATGGTGAAACGCCAACTCTATGAAAAATACAAAAATTAGCTGGCACTGTGGCGTGCAACTGTAGTCCCAGGTACTCAGGAGACTGAGGTGGTACGATCGCTTGAGCATGGGAGACTCAGAGGTTGCAGTGAGCCGAGATTGCACCACTGCACTCCAGCCTGGGTGAGAATGAGACCCTGTCTCAAAAAAAAAAAAAACTGGAATTCCAATAGTACCTAAAACAATCATTGCTTTTCAGTATAAACACAGTAACATGTTGAATTGTTTCTTGAACCAGATAGGCATGTAATATGTTCTGAAGAGTTCCCTTTGAAAAGAGGAAGACAGTAGTATTATATGTTGGCTGTTTATAATAATGCAGTGTTTAAGCTTCTACAGAGATGGTTTCTGTTGACTTTTTCCCCCATGCATGAGCCTTATTTTACTGTTTCTTTGTATGTCTCATCATTTTTTTTGGTTAAAAATTAGATTTTTGGCCTGGGCACGGTGGCTCACACCTGTAATCCCAGCACTTTGGAAGGCCGAGGCGGGTGGATCACTAGGTCAGGAGTTCAAGACCAGCCTGGCCAAGACGGTGAAACCCCATCTCTACTAAAAATACAAAAAAAATTAGCCAGGCGTTGTGGCGGGCGCCTGTAATCCCAGCTACTCGGGAGGCTGAGGCAGAGAATTGCTTGAACCCGGGAGGCGGTGGTTGCAGTGAGCTGAGATCATGCCACTGCACTCCAGCCTGGGCAACAGAGCAAGACTCCATCGCCCAGACTGGAGAGTACACTGGTGAGATCTCGGCTCACTGCAACCACCGCCTCCCCCGGGTTCAAGCAATTCTCTGCCTCAGCCTCCCGAGTAGCTGTGATTACAGGCTTCCGCCACCACACCCGGCTAATTTTTTTGTATTTTTAATAGAGAGGGTGTTTCACCGTCTTGGCCAGGCTGGTCTTGACCTCCTGACCTCGTGATCCACCTGCCTCGACCTCCCAAAGTGCTGGGATTATAGGCGTGAGCCATGGCACCCGGCCAAAAATTGGATATTTTTAAATAAGTTTTATTTAGATCCCACCCCCTACCTCCCCACCCCCATTCTGTCTCTCAGACATGATTTGTTTGGGTTTGGTTTGGTTTTTTGAGACAGGGTCTTGCTTTGTCACCCAGGCTGGAGTGCAGTGGCACAATCTCAGCTCACTGCAGCTTCAACTTCCCGGCCTCAAGAGATCCTCCCACCTTAGCCTCCCAAGTAGCTGGGACCACAGATGCTTGCCACCATGCCTGGCTAATTTTTGTATTTCTTTGTAGAGACAGGATTTCACCATGTTGCCCAGGCTACTAGTCTCGAACTCCTGGGCTCAAGAGACGTGGCCACCTCAGCCTCTCAAAGTGCCGGGATTGCAGGCATAAGCCACCATACTTGGCCAGACATGGTTTCTTTTTTTAATCTTTCAAGCTTTTTTTTTTTTTTTTGAAGACAGAGTCTCACTGTTACCAGGATGGAGTGCAGTGGCGTGATCTCGGCTCACTGCAACCTCTGCTTCCCGGGTTCAAGCGATTCCTTTGCCTCAATCTCCCGAGTAGCTGGGACTACAGGCACACGCCACCACGCCCAGCTAATTTTTGTATTTTTAGTAGAGATGGGGTTTTCACCATGTTGGCCAGGATGGTCTCATCTCTTTACCTTGTGATCTGCCCGCCTCTGCCTCCCAAAGTGCTGGGATTACAAGCACGAGTCACTGCGCCCGGCCTCAAGCTTTTATTTAAGTGCAGTGATCCAGGATGGATTTTAGATCTTGTTGAAAGCAGCCACATCCATGGACTGCACATAGTCCTCAAAAGCAGTGATCTGCTTCTCCACTGTTGCAAGTTTATCATCTTCAACTACACGCTGTATTTGAAGTTTCTTAATTTCCTATCCCACTGGAACTAGTTTAGATGAGCCAGACATCGTTTCTTATTGTTGTTACTGGTTTAGTGACTTTCCTGGACTTCTGTAATCCCTTTCCTGTAATTCTGTACAGTCTACATTTTGTGTGTATGGCCACTGAAGTCTGCATAGGTAGTTTACTGAACAAACTGATCATTGGACAGAAATTTTCTTAAAAGTCTTAAACCAGTAAGTCTCCACATTTTTGTTGGGGAGCTCTTTATAGGGTACACCATCAGTGTCCCATCAAGCAGTTTACAACTGCTTTAGCCTTTACTTCCTGTGTTAACAGAACCTCAAGGTCAGATAGAGATGAGAGTTGCTAAGGTCTTTCCTGGACATGTATACAGCTCTGTGCATGTGTATGGCCCTCTAGGTTCTCTGGAATATTGTCAGAGCTTTTTTTTTTTTTTTTTTTTTTTTTTTTTTTTTTTTTTCCTTGAGACGGAGTCTCGCTCTGTCCCCAAGACTGGAATGCAGTGGTGCGATCTTGGCTCACTGCAAGCTCCACCTCCCAGGTTCACGCTATTCTCCTGCCTCAGCCTCCCGAGTAGCTGGGACTACAGGCACTCGCCACCACGCCCAGCTAATATTTTGTATTTTTAGTAGGGACGAGATTTCACTGTGTTAGCCAGGATGGTCTCGATCTCCTGACCTCGTGATCCACTTGTCTCGGCCTCCCAAAGTGCTGGGATTACAGGCGTGAGCCACGGCGCCTGGCCTTTTTTTCTTTCTTTCTTTTTTTTTTTTTTTTTTTTTTTTTTTTTTGGAGACAGAGCTTTGTGTTGGCACGATCCTGGCTCACCGCAACCTCCGCCTGCCAGGTTCAAGTGATTCTCCTGCCTCAGCCTCCTGAGTAGCTGGGATTATAGGCGCTCACCACCACGCCCAACTAATTTTTTTTACTTTTGGTAGAGTCGGAGTTTCACCATGTTGGCCAAGCTGGTCTTGAACTCCTGACCTCAGGTGATCCACCTGCCTTGACCTCCCAAAGTACTGGGATGACAGGCATGAGCCATCACGTCCAGTCTGTCAGAGCTTTTTAAAGCCCCCTATGAACATCTCATTCTCCAGTTTTTCCTTTCAGTTTTTGTTCAGCTTCTTGATAGCCCAAACTTGTAATGCCACCACAGTAGTTGCAATGATAAACAGTTGCCATTGATTGTTTTTTGACAAATGTCTTGTGTTTAAGGCTATTTGAAAAGTGAGCTGTGGGTCAGATCAAATCTCCAAATATTTTATCCTGTCTTAGATTTATGTTTTAAGGAAGTGGTACACGTAAAGCTCTTAAAACAATATCTGCCACATAATAACATGATTATGCATATGTTCTTTTCATTTCTTGGAATGCCATCTGTCTGCTTGTTCATGGCAAAATTTTACTCATCTTTCTGGTCTCAGGTGAGAGCCAACAACCTGTTCTCTGAAGCTTTTCCTTACTGAGCCAAGCAGATTGACTTAGGCACTTCTATTATTCTGTATTTTTATGTTTTACATTTTCCATTACAACAATAATCATATTAGTGTTCCCACATTTTTCTAATAGTCTCCAACCTCTCTGAGGCAGGGATTATGTGTTTTTTTCATCTTCAGGAGGCATTTGTGGATGGGTTTGAAAAACTACCTCGAAATTATGCCTCTGAGACTCAGTTGCCAGGTTTATGTCCATTCCGTCATAAGCCTCTAAAATCTCTTTCCTTGCTGTTCAGTTGTGAATACAGGCTGGCTTATCCCACTCTGCAAAACAAAAGCCTGGTAGGAGCACTTTTTCTTGTTCTTTAATTACTCCTGTTTGGGATAGGGATCTGAGTTCAGAGGTCATACCTATAGTTAAGACAAGCATAAGAAAACTGGCTAAGAAGTAGTTTACGGCCTGGGTGCAGTGGCTTATGCTTGTAATTCCAGCACTTTGGGAGGCCAAGCCAGGTGGATCACTTGAGGTCAGGAGTTTGAGACCAGCCTGGCCAAAATGGTGAAACATCGTCTTTACTAAAAATACAAAAAATTAGCCGGACATGGTGGCACGCCCCTGTAATCCCAGTTTTCACAAGGCTGAGGCAGGAGAATCGCTTGAATCCGGGAGGCGGAGGTTGCAGTAAGCCAAGATCGCACCACTGCACTCCATCCAGCCTGGGTGACAGAGTGAGACTCCATCTCAAAACAAAAAAAAAAGAAGTGGTTTACAATTTACCTCAACACTTGTACTTGAAAAGAACCAAAGGAAACCGTACTTTTTCAACATAAGATGCACAATTTTTTTCCTCATTTTAATATATTTCAAATAGGAATTCCTTTTAATAGTGAGTGGCCAGGCAAGAGTTAACAGTTTCAACTGTTAATAAATTCTAGTAGTTATTTGTGTTACCGATACCAGACAAGTTGAGTTTGTCATTTAAAATGTCTTCCAACCGATTATACCATGAGTTGATCCTTAAGCGGAAAGTTATGGTAGAATTGGTATTGGAGCATTCCAAAGTGGGGTATTAATTTCATATTAATGGCGTAAATATTTGTCATCAAAGGAGTGACCACAAAAGCAATAACCAAGGGCTTTATGGGGCCTTAGGAAGACATATAATTTAACAGGCTAAACAATTTAGGAATAAAAATTAATTTAGCTGGACTACTTAAGGCAACTGTATAACTATTTTGCAAATACAGAAGGTGCATGAGGTGCTCTTCTCACATATGCAGTATGGAATTATTTTTGGAATGTAGTGTAAACTTTCTGAACGACACCGAAAAGAAATTAGGACCTCATTTTGCTTTGCTGACATTACATTATTGTTAACTTAAAACTGCGTATGGCCGGGCGCGGTGGCTCACGCCTGTAATCCCAGCACTTTGGGAGGCCAAGGTGGGCGGATATGAGGTCAGGAGATCGAGACCATCCTGGCTAACATGGTGAAACCCTGTCTCTACTAAAAATACAAAACAAAATTAGCTGGGTGTGGTGGCGGGCACCTGTAGTCCCAGCTACTCTGGAGGCTGAGGCTGAGGCAGGAGAATGGCGTGAACCTGGGAGGCAGAGCTTGCAGTGAGCCGAGATTGCGCCACTGCACTCCAGCCTGGGCGACAGAGCGAGACTCTGTCTCAACAACAATAACAACAAAAAACTGTGTATGAGTCGGGCGCAGTGGTTCATGCCTATAATCCTAGCACTTTGGAAGGCCGAGGCAGGCAATCACCTGAGGTCAGGAGTTCGAGACCAGCCTGACCAATATGGTGAAACCCTGTCTCTACTGAAAATACAAAAATTAGCCGGACATGGTGGCGTGCGCCTATAGTCCCAGCTACTTGGGAGGCTGAGACAGGAGAATTGCTTGAACCCTGGTGGTAGAGGTTGCAGTGAGCCGAGATCACGCCATTGCATTCCAACATGGATGACAGAAACTCCATCTCAAAATATATATATATATGTATATATACAGTGATACAGACACCACCACAATCAAGATCAGGGGAACACTTTTATCATTCTAGAAGCTTGTCTCATGATTGTTTGCAGTTGATCCTGATCTCTAGCCCCAGGCAATCATTGATCTGATTTTTATCACTAGTTTTTCTATAGTGTACCGTACAAAGTTCATGTTTGACTTTATTTACCTTAGCATTGTGTTTTAGAGATTTGTCCAGGTGGTTGTGGGTGTTATTTTGTTCCTTTTCATTGCTGAGTAGTATTCCACAGTGTGGGTATGCTACAGTTTGTTTATCTGATGACTTTTGCATGTTTTTTTTTAAGATTTTATCTATTAAAATAATGCTACTGTATACAAATCTTTGAGTGGATATATGCTTTCATTTCTCTTAGTAAACATCTACAAGTGGAATAGAGCTTAGTTGTTTGGTATGTGTATGTTTAACTTTGGAAAACAGTTTGGAAGTTTTTTAAATCTTTTTTTTATTTTATTTTATTTATTTATTTATTTATTTTTTGAGACGGAGTCTCGCTCTGTCGCCCAGGCTAGAGTGCAGTGGCGTGATCTCGGCTCACTGCGAGCTCCGCCTCCCGGGTTCACGCCATTCTCCTGCCTCAGCCTCCGGAGTAGCTGGGACTACAGGCGCCTGCCACCACACCCGGCTAATTTTTTTCTGTATTTTTAGTAGAGATGGGGTTTCAACATCTTGGCCAGGCTGTTTCTTGAACTCCTGACCTCGTGATCCACCTGCCTCGGCCTCCCAAAGTGCTGGGATTACAGGCGTGAGCCACCGCGCCCGGCCAGTTTGGAAGTTTAAAAAAAAAAAAAACAGTTTGGAAGTTTTTTGGTTTTATGGCCGGGTGTGGTGGTTTATGCCTGTAATCACAGCACTTTGGGATGCCGAGGCAGGTGGATCACCTGAGGTCACGAGTTTGAGACCAGCCTGGCAACATGGTGAAACCCACCTCTACTAAAAATACAAAAAAATATCTGGGTGTGCTGGTGGGCACCTGTAATTCCAGCTACTTGGGAGGCTGAGGCAGGAGAATCACTTGAACTTGGGAGGCAGAGGTTGCAGTGAGCCAAGATCATGCCATTGTACTCCAGCCTGAGCGACAAGAGTGCTTTTTTTTTTTTTTTTTTCTGGAAAAAAGAAAAAAGTAGTTTTATATGCTGGGTATGGTGGCACATGCCTATAATCCTAGCACTTTGGGAGGCTAAGGCGGGAGCATACCTTGATCCCAGGAGTTCAAGACCAGCCTGGGCAACATGGTGAGACCCTATCTCTACAAAAAAAAAAAAAAATTTTAACTAGCTATGTGTGGTGGCACATGCCTGTAGTCCCAGCTGCTTGGGGAGCTGAGGTTTGAGGATTGCTTGAGCCCAGGAGGTTGAGGCTGCAGTGAGTAGTGATCGTGCTGCTGCACTCCAGCCTGTGCAACAGAACGAGACCCTGTCTCAAAATAAAAAGTGGTTTTATCCATTTACATATTTGTGTGCAACACAACTACTTATGCCCTGTCTTCACCAGCACTTGATATTGTCAAGGGTTTTTTAAACTTTAGGTCAGGAGATGACAAACATTTTATTAAAAGGACATAAATATTTAGACTTAAATGCCATATAGTCTCTGTTGCAATTACTCAGATCTGCTGTTGTAGCAAGGCAGCTATAGACAGTATGTAAATGAATGGGTGTAGCTATGTTTTAATAAAACGTTGACATAAAACATGCTACTACTGTTAGGCCAGAGTTTGCTGACTCTTGCTTTAGTCATTCTAATTGGATATGTAGTGGTATGTTATTGTAGTATTAATATTTTTAAAACTTTAATAAGGTATAATATAAGCTGCACATATTAAAGTACACAGTTTGATGACTTTTAACATGCATGTATATTCTTGTGAAGTCATTATCACAGTGATAAACACATCTATCACTCTCTAGTTTCCTTGTGCAATTTTGTAATCCATTCCTCTCTCCCTATTCCTATCTTCATCCCTACAATTTTATGTGCATGTAATAGTATGGTAGTGCTTGTGTAATTTCTTTCACTTGCCATAATTATTTTGAAATTCATGCCGGGCACAGTGGCTCACACCTGTAATCCCAGCACTTTGGCAGGCCGAGGCGAGCAAATCACCTGAGGTCAGGAGTTCAAGACCAGCCTGGCCAACATGGCGAAACCCCGTCTGTACAAAAATTAGCTGGGCATAATGGCGGATGCCTGTAATCCCAGCTACTCGGGAGGCTGAGGGGGGAGAATCGCTTGAACCTGGGAGGCAGAGGCTGCAGTGAGCCGAGATCGTGCCATTGCACTCCAGCCTGGGAGACAGAGGGAGAAAAAAAAAAAAGGCTGGGCACGGTGGCTCACGCCTATAATCTTGGCACTTTGGGCGGCCAAGGCGGGTGGATCAAAAAAGAAAGAAATTCACGTATATTAGTGTGTGTATAAGTAGTTCATTCCTTTTTCCTGCTGAGTATTCCATTGTATGGATGTATCACCATTTGTTGATTCACCTGTTGATGGACATTTAGGTTGTTTCAAGTTTTTGGCTATTAGAAATAAAGTGGTTATGAACGTTTGTGTAACAAGTTTTTGGACATACGCTTTCATTTTTCTTGGTAGATACCTCTTAGTAGAATAGCTGGCTTGTATGGTAAGTATATGTTTAATATTCTAAGATACTGTCAGTCTCTTTTTCAAAAATGGTTGTGCCATTTTACATTCCATTCTGCAGCCTATGAATGCTCCAGTTTTTCACAGCCTTGTGAATACTTGATATGGTCAGGCTTTTTTTTATTTTAGCTGGGCTGGTGGGTATATGGTGATTTAAATTTGCATTTCTCTAATGACTAATGGTGTTGGATATTTTTTAATCGGCTTTTTTGCCATCTGTTTGTATTCTTTGGCAAGGTGCCTGATCAAATCTTTTGCCTGTTTTTTAAAATGGGATTATTGTCAAGAAGGGGGCAGCATTGTGGGGGTCTGAGATTTTATCCTGTTTGCAAGGTAGTAACTTTTTAGCTAACAGTTTCATGGATGCCGGCAAGAGACATGAGACTCTTGAGTCCAGAAAAGGGCTTGATTACTTAGAGCAAAGAAAGCAGCATGAGTTCCATGTTTGTATCAGTGTTTCTTGTTCCCTGTCCCCCTAGTCCCACAGGGGTGACACAGTGGCCTAGGTGTGTACCGTGCTCACAGTTGTTTGCATCACAGTTGAGGAATTCTGAGCTTTAGGAAACCCAAATCTTCTATAATGAGCTGCAAGCAAACCTGCCTAACCTTTGCTGTAGAGGAAACATTATTATACTGGACAATAAATAAACCTACTCTCCACTCTGGAAGAGGACAGGCTCTGTTTTCCAAAGTCCTTTGCTGTACAGACAACTTTGAAAAGATAGTCCAAAATAAAAGGCTCTCAATGTCTTTGTTTATAAGACATGCAGAAACATTATGAGTATCCATGGAGAGTTGTCTTGTTCCATATCCTTGTTTCTGTATTATCCTGGCTGGTACTGAATTTTCCCCATAAGTACAGCACTTCTTTAGCCGCTCTGATTAATCTGACCGTAGGGACCAGGACCTGGCTGGGTGCGGTGGCTCATGCCTGTAATCCCAGCACTTTGGGAGGCCGAGGCGGGCGGATCATCTGAGGTCAGGAGTTCGAGACCAGCCTGGCTAACGTGGTGGAACCCCATTTCTACTAAAAATACAAAAAAATTAGCTGGGCACGGTGACACATGCCTGTAATCCCAGCTACTCAGGAGGCTGAGGCAGGAGAATTGCTGAGGCTGCAGTGAACTGAGATCGCGCCATTGCACTCTGGCTTGGGCAACAAGAGTGAAACTCTGTCCCAAAAACAAACAAAAAACACAGGGACCAGGACCTAATCCATTCAGTTTTTCTCCTACTGGATTTATTTAAGGATTTATTGAAGTCAACAGAACTTCAAGCAGCAGGATTTGGGCACCCTGCCGTGTTGACCTTAATCATGCACCCACCACACTAAGGTTCATTCTGGACTCAGCCAACTGAACAAATCCCTAGAAAAACAGGTGACTTTCTTTTTCGGTTTCTGTATTGACTTTTCCACTTAGCCCTGGGCATTAGTCTAAGTATAGCAAGATGCTTTACAATTATACAGGCTCCACATTGTCCCATAGGGAGGATGTCTACTAGGGCAAGTTTTTCATTCATAATAAACCTGGCCCCAGTGGCTTGAAGCTGACATAAATGCCTTCCAGAGCCCAAGTGATATCAGTGAACATATCAGCTTAAGTCATGCACAATGTTGTACCACTTTTTTAATTGGATTACTCCTATTAGGGAAAACTGCCCACGGGATGTGCATAAATAAGTCAGTTATTATTCTAGGAAGCATCCCTTTGAGAATTTCTAACCAAGAGTATCCTTAAATGAGACCTCCACAGTCACCCGAGGGCTGCTTGATCTTCCTTAAACACTTGATGGTCTCTTATAACCACCTCTTAGGTGTAAGTCGTCATTTTGTTTCGTTTTGTTTTGTTTTTTTGAGACGGAGTCTCACTCTGTGCCCAGGCTGGAGTGCAGTGACGCAATCTCAGTTCGCTGCAACCTCTGCCTTCTGGGCTCAAGCAATACTCCTGCCTCAGCCTCCCTAGTAGCTGGGATTACAGGCACCTGCCACCTCACCCTGCTAATTTTTGTATTTTTGGCAGAAATGAGGTTTCTCCATGTTGGCCAGACGGGTCTCCAACTCCCGACCTCAAGTAACACACCTGCCTCGGAGTCCCAAAGTGCTGGGATTACAGGGACGAGCCACCGCGCCTTGCCAGTCATCGTATTTTTGTGAGGCAAGGAAATTAGTACCTGGCTTCCACACAAGAAGCACAGTCCCAGGGGCACATAGGAACCCTGAAAGGAAAGTACTATTTGCAATTGTTCGTGCCTCCAAAGTAGGCACGAACCTGCATCAGTGTAGAGGCACAGATTGATATAGCCTCCAATGTAGTCTCCTTTCCCAGTTCAATTAGAATGATTCAGTCTAGTTCTAGTTTTTGGAGAGACTGAGGACAGGACAGTCAGTTGACTTCTTTCCTATTTATTTATTTATTTATTTATTGAGATGGAGTCCCGCTCTGTCGCCCAGGCTGGAGTGCAGTGACATGATCTTGGCTCACTGCCTCTACCTCCCAGGTTCAAGTGATTCTCCTGCCTCAGATTCCCCGGTAGCTGGGACTACAGGCACGTGCCACTAGGTTGAGCTAACTTTTGTGTTTTTAGTGGAGACGGAGTTTCACCACGTTGGCCAGGCTGGTCTCGAACTCCCGACCTCAAGTGATCCGCCTGCTTCAGCATCCCAAAGTGCTGGGATTACAGGTGTGAGCCACCACTCCCAGCCGAGTCTGTCCTATTTATCACAAGCTCCTGAATGCCAGCTGACTTGAGTAGTAACTGTCCACCTCATGGACTGATCTCAGCTATGAGAATGGTAGTGGAGCATGGTGTTTTGCCTGCGACACACAGGAGTCATCCCCAGCTGTTTTTAGAAGATATGTTGGTAAAGTTAAGGGAAACCACTTGGCAGGGAATGGCAAACACAGCAGTCAGTTTAAAAATGCTTATAGCCATTGGAGAGACCTGCAACTGAGCATTTTTCTTAATTTGAAAGGTTCTAGGGGCAGTTCTGAAAGACAAAGGTGGTTTGTTTTGTTTTGTTTTTGGAGACAGGGTCTCACTGTGTCACCCAGGCTGGAGTGCAGTGGTGCAATCACAGCTCACTGCAGCTGTAACTTTCCAGGCTCAGATGATCCTCCCACCTCAGCCTCCCAAAGGAGCTGAGACTGTAGACATGTGCCACCATGCCCAGCTAATCTTTTATAATTTTTTGTGGAGATGGGGTCTTACTATGTTCTCCAGGCTGTTCTTAAACTCCCGGACTCAAGCGATCCTCCCGCCTCAGCCTCCCAAAGTGCTGGTATTATAGGTGTGAGCCACCACACCCAGCTTGACAAAGATTATTGTCCCTCCCTGCCCTATATCTTCTGGAGTCGTAAGATGTTTCTCTCCCTAGATGGCAAGATTGTCATTCCTCCTTCACCTCTTTTCCAGTCATCCCCTCCTCTTATGCAGACCTTTCATCTGGTAAGGTCAGGTACAAGAAGGGCAAGGACATTTAAAACTTAGAGACCCATTATGTTTCCCACTTTGGCTCACATGGGCTATTATAAGTGAGTGTACTTGGCAAGCAGTGAATTCAATCAAGTGGTCAGTATTCCTATAAGATGATGTCACTCCATTAAGAGAATCCAGATGGCTGAACTAGAATGAAGTTCGAATTTCCTAACCCTGGCTTTGGCCAGGCTGTCACCTTTAAGAGGTACCAGGCTATTCCAGGATTATTGTTGGGGGAAAAGAAAATGTTTAAGAATGTTCAGGGCGGGCCAGGCGCGGTGGTTAACGCCTGTAATCCCAGCACTTTGGGAGGCTGAGGTGGGCAGATCACCTAAGGTCAGGAGTTGGAGACCAGCCCTGACCAACATGGTGAACTCCCATCTCTACTAAAAAAAAAAAAAAAAAAAAAAAAAAGCAAAATTAGCTGGGCCTGGTGGCACATGCCTGTGATCTCAGCTACTTAGGCTGAGGCAGGAGAATCACTTGAACCTGGGAGGTGGAGTTTGCAGTAAGCGAGATCGTGCCATTGCATTCTAACCTGGGCAACAAGAGCGAAACTCCATCTCAAAAACAAACAAACAAACAAAAATTCAGGGCACAGAATCCTGCTTTTTCAGATTGGGTTTATATTACTTCCCTCCCCTTCTGTCTTCATCATTATCCACGAAGTAGCCAAGAAGACATGATCCCTTTCTAGGGACAGCTAAATTCAGTGATCAAACTGCTTTACTCAGATTTTTGGACAAAGAGGAGGTGAGGGAAGTAGAGTCAGAAATCATTTTGAGTCATTGTTTGAGAAAGCTGTCGCCATACTCAACAAGCTACTCAGTATCTATGGATGGTAGCATGAAACATCCATCAGTACCTTGACTGTTATTGATTAGCTTTTGTGGTCATTTTTGTGTATGTGATAAAGCTGAACCATTATCAGACTGCAGATGGTATAGAAAGGTGAACATAAGACATAGATTAGTTTCAAGAGCCACAGTAGTGTGTCCAGAACCAGCTGATGAAACTGGAACAGCAACAGTGTAACCTAAAGAAGTGTCAGCATGGTGGGGCGGGGTGGCTCACACCTGTAATCCCAGCATTTTGGGAGGCTGAGGTGGGCAGATTGTCTGAGGTCAGGAGTTTGAGACCAGTCTGACCAACGTGGTGAAATCCTGTCTCTACTAAAAATACAAAAACGTTAGCCAGGCGTGGTGGCGTGCACCTGTAATCTCAGCTACTTGGGAGGCTGAGGCAGGGGAATTACTTGAACCAGGGAGGTGGAGGTTGCTGTGAGCTGAGATTGCGCCACTGCACTCCAGCCTGGGCTCCAGAGCGAGACTCCGTCTCCAAAAAAAAAAAAAGAAGTGTCAGAAATGTCGGCAATGGTGAAGCACCACTGATAGCCCTGCAGTGGGGTCACAGCTCCAGTACTGTCTGCAAGGAACAGTCGGAGACAATGCTCTGTGTGTTATGTGATCCTTCACTATGAGACAAGCAGACCAAGTTGTAACAGGTGTCAAGTCTGACGTAACAGTGGCAGACTTCTGCCTAAGAAACAGGGTCCTCTAATTTGTGCCCAGTCTCTGATGGTGGTGCATGTGTTACCATATCCAGAATAATGTTGGCTGTAGGCTTCATTAGTGGCAATCTGGGCAGTGCAGGCTTGGTTAGCATCTTGATTCCAGTTGGTCTCATTAGAGAATAGTCCCTTATCTTGCACATCTGAATGAGTGACCCAGATAATTCCGGCAACAGCTGCTATTTTTTCCACAGTTGTGGCCCCAGAGGCGTGGATGTCTTTAATCTGCCAAGTCTTCCAAGTAGCAGACTAAACAGCTAGACCATTGGCAACAATGGAAGTGCCAGTAAAAATATAGCAAGGTTAATTTGGGGGAATGTTGACCAGAGTCATGAGGACAGCCTTGAGTTCTGCCCACTGAGCAGAATGACCATGTCTGCTTTGGGTTTTCATTGTTGGTGCAGAGGCTGAGCACTTGCAGCAGCCCAGTGAACACCGTCAAATTTCAGCTTAGCCAAGCCATCAGTTAATTAAGGGCTCCATTAATCTAGTGATTTTGCTTTGGGCAACAGTTAGGGAGCTGCTACTTTTTCATGATGGCTGAGGGGGCCCACTACTTTCTTAAGTATACCATTTCTATTTGACAAGTGACACTTGGTGGGCATTTCTCACCTTGTTAGTCATGAAGTCTTGAGTTTACTCACCCCCAAATGGGAATATCAGACTGGAGAACCTCAGGGCCTGTATGGGTAGTTAGGGATCAGTTTCAACAAGAGCGCAACAGCAAACTAATTTTCTCAGATTTGGTGTACCTTGGGAGCTGTGTCAGGGTTCAGCAAGTCCAAAACCCAAGTAATAACCGTTGGGTAGAGGCTGCCTCCTTTTGCCAGAAGCTCTAATCTACAAAAGCATCAGGCTCAGACTAGTAGCTCAAAGGGTTCATTAGCGTTGTGGGGCCCTAAAGGTAGAGAGAATGCACTGCAGTTCGATTGTTAACTTCCAAAGCAGCCTGTTGGTTGGAGCCCCACTTAGAGGTTGCTGTTTTGCTTGCAGGTTAGCTGATAGAAAGGAGAAAGTAGAATGCCTAAGTAAGGCACATACTGTCCAGCACCCAAAGAGTCCAGTAGGATACTGGGCTTTATTTTTGTTGGGAGGAGGATAGGAGAAGAAACAGTTTTTCTTTTACTGCTGGATGGATGGAGTGTTGTGAATCTATCTTTATAAACTTTACCTGATGAGTAGGCCTCTGAAATTTGCTGGGGTTTATCAGCAACCCCTGCTGATGGAGGTGTGATAACATTGCAGTCAGCCTTTGAGACTGAGACTTCTGATTTACCAGTCAACAGGATATCATCAATATATAACATAAACTAGACATCAGAAGATAGAGACACTGCACTAAATCCTGACCTCACCACTAGCGGCAAATGTCAGGGAGGTTTGCAGGTTTGCTGCACTGTTCTGTTAGCTTTTCTTCCCAGTTGGGGTGATTCCCTCTGGTACTTATGGGATGAAGAAGTATAAATGCACTTCCTGCTATACATTCACATGTTGAAGCAACAACAGTATACATAGAATCAGCCGTACCACAAGGTCAGGATAGCGTCCCTTTCCTGCTGTGAACCATGCCCAAACCCCATCAGTTAAAAAATGCAAGTCCATCCTCTCCCCATGGAAAAGTGGTATGGTGAGTTTGGCACCTTAATCTGACATAGCCATGGAAGCTTGAGTCCTCCCATTCCTGAGTTTTCTCCAGTATACTTGGATGAGTATATTGCTTTCAGTCCCCTTTGGGAATAGGGAGAATTTGGCTCCACTCCTAATTATCTTTCTCCTAAAAGCACTGAAGTGAAAGGAGAGGGTAGAGGAGGAAGAGATGTGGAGGGAGAAAAGTGACTGTGCCAATAAGTAAGGCACATTTACTTTTGGTTTCAAGCAGCACAGAAGCTGCACGTGGCTTGACTAAACAAACCTCCAGTGTTTTCAGCCCACCCAATGACCTCAGTCAGTGTAACGTCATCCCTGCTGACACCGATCTATTTCAGCTTCGGGGATTCCTTGATTCATTGGCTCCCTGCATATTACTTTGCATTTGGGGTTGTGAGGTTTATGTCCTTTTTGACTTGACTCAGGTTTGACTTGGACAGTAGTGACTAAAGAGTACACCTTGGCCAGGCGCAGTGGCTCACGCCCATAATCCTAGAACTTTGAGAGGCCAAGGTGGGAGGATCACTTGAGCTCAGGAGTTTGAGACCAGCCTGAGCAACATAGTGAGACCTTGTCTCTCTACCCCCACCAAAAAAAAAAAATTACACCTTAATTCTGGACATTGCTGCCCTGTTGTTATTCGTTTGCCTGGTTTTAACATAAAGGTTAGGGAGCTTTTCAGCAGCATTGACCACAAGAATTCGTATTACTTTGGATCCTTTTCTCATTCCCTGGTGAGAATCTTCATCAGCATTGTAAACCCAATTGGACTGGAAGGCTCTATATATTCAGTATCTTATCTATGGTTTCCCATAGGAGTTTGTCTCAAAGACATCTCTCAAAGAGGGCCCTTATAGAAGCCAAGACTGACTGCAAAAAAAACTTGGAAACCTTTTACTGTCCTCCAAATGAATCAGAGGTGGACATGATAAACTACAGGAAGGACGGAGCCCAAAGCTGGCCCAGGTTTTATCATTCTTCCTTGATAAGCATTATGTTCTCCCCTCATCTCCCATGTGAACCGTCCAAAGCTGTGACTCACCTGGCTTCTGCCTATAGCAATCGCAAATTTCCCTTCTTTTACATTCATTGTAGGTGCATATTATTGTAACTTGTCTGAAAAGAGGCAGAACCTTCTGTCCCACCCACCCATTCCCAATGAATCTTAGTATGGTTGTTAACCATGGGGCAGACATGGTACCAGATTGATAAAAGAGTCTCTCTCCCACAGAAGAGTTTGCAATAACCAGGGCACCATTTTAGCAGCTGTTCTTGAACTTGCTGCCCAATACTCTTCCTGCAACCACCTTCCAAGTTTTGCTTCATTAATAGGTACTTTTGTTTCCTAAAGCTACTACTGTAACAAAGTACCATAAACTGGATGGCTTTAAACAAGAGAAATGTGTTGTTTCTCAGTTCTGAAGGCTAAATGTCTGAAATCAAGGTGTTCATAGTGCCATGATCCCTCCCAAGACACTAAGGGGAGCATCGTTTTTGCCTCTTCTGGCTTCTGGCGAAAAGGTGTTTCTTGGCTTATGGTAGCAGAACTCCAGTCTCTGCCTTCATCTTCACATTGCCATCTTCTCTGTCTTCATAATGGCTTTCTCCTGTGTCCAGGTTTCTTCTTCCTTGTAGAGACACTAATTGTATTGAATTATTCAAGGCTTGTCTTAATAACCTCATTATTTTTTTTGAGACTGAGTTTGACTCTTATTGCCCAGGCTGGAGTGCAGTGGTGCCATCTTGGCTCACAGCCACCTCCACCTTCTGGGTTCAAGCGATTCTCTTGCCTCAGCCTCCCGAGGAGCTGGGATTGCAGGCATGCACCGCCATGCCTGGCTGATTTTGTATTTTTAGTAGAGACAGGGTTTCTCTGTGTTGGTCAGGCTGGTCTCAAACTCCCGACCTCAGTTGATCCGCCTGCCTTGGCCTCCCAGAGTGCTGGGATTACAGGCGTGAGCCACTGCACCCGATGTTGTTTTTTCTGTTTTGTTTTGTTTTTGTTTTTGTTTTTTTGAGACAGTTTCACTCTTGTTGCCCAGGCTGGAGTGCAATGGCACGATCTCGGTTCACCACAACCTCCACCTCCTGGGTTCAAGTGATTCTCCTGCCTCAGCCTCCCAAATAGCTGGGATTACAGGCATGTGCCACCATGCCCGGCTAATTTTTGTATTTTTAGTAGAGATGGGGTTTCTCTATGTTGGTCAGGCTGGTCTCGAACTCCTGACCTCAGTTGATCCTCCCGCCTCAGCCTCCCAAAGTGTTGGGATTACAGGCGTGAGCCACCGCGCCCGGCCAGACGTCATCTTAACTCAGTTATATCTGCACACTTACTTCCAAATAAGGCCTATTCACAGATATTAGGGGCCAAGACTTCAACATACCTTTTGTGGGAACACAATTCAACCCATAATAATAGGCAGTAAAGTAGAGGGCCATTTATTGCTTTGTTGACTATACAGTGTAGTCAACATGTTTGCTGCTGGTTCCTGTGGACTTCCCTCAAATCCGATCAGTTGCTCTGTGATGCCTCATCCTTCCTTTTCCAGAAAGCCTTTTTTTTTTTTCCCAGCATCTTATTCTCAATGCCAAAAAACTGGCAAGAGCTATGAGATTTTACTCTACTTGCAAGCCTACAAGTTTTCCTGCCACAGTGTCATGGATGCTGGAAGAAGATAGAAGACTTCTGAGTCAGAAAGAAAGGACCTTATTACTCTCTACATAGCAAGCAGTATAAATTTCATTTTTATACCAGTTTTCCCTTCCCCTCAAGTCCCACAAGAGTGACATAGAGTGGCCCAGGTGAATGCATAAGATTGATTTATATTATAGCTGAAGAATCTCCAGCTTAGGAATCTCAAAATTTTTATAGTGGGCTACAAACAAACCTGCCTAACGTTTTTTCCAGAGTGGGGGCATTCTCTTTATTATATTGGACAATAAACCTGCCCTTTCATCTACTATACTATACTGCAAACATCCAAACCGAAAGTTTTCAGTTCACAAGATGTGAGGAAACTGAAGAGACTCAAGGAGAATTGTCTCCCAACAGGTGTCGTCTTTTACTGAGTTTACTGAGTTGTGAGAATCCTTTCTTCACTCTAGATATAAGATCTTTAGGCTGGGCACAGTGGCTCTTACCGGTAATTCCAGCACTTTGGGAGGCCGAGGTGGGCAGATCACCTGAGGTCAGTAGTTCAAGACCACCCTGGCCAACATGGTGAGACCCCGTCTCTACTAAAAAATACAAAAATTAGGCGGGCATGGTGGCAGGAGCCTGTAATCCCAGCTACTCAGGAGGCTGAGGCAGGAGAATCACTTGAACCCGGGAGGCAGAGGTTGCAGTGAGCCAAGATCGTGCCACTGCACTCCAGCCTGGGCCACAAGAGAGATACTCTGTCTCAAAAAAAAAAAAAAAAAACCAAACAAAAAATTTGACAGATAAATGTTTGCAACTATTTTCTTCTGGCCTGTGGCTTGCTTTTTTATTAACTGTATTTCAGAGGGCAGTTTTTAATTTTGATGAAATCTATTTTATCAATTTTTGCTGTTATGATTTCTGCCTTTCTTATGCTGTTTAAGAAATCTTTCAGCTGGGCAGGCTGGGCGCGGTGGCCCACGCCTGTAATCCCAGCACTTTGGGGGAGGCCAAGGCGGGCAGATCACAAGGTCAGGAAATCGAGACCATCCTGGCTAACACGGTGAAACCCCATCTCTACTAAAAATACAAAATATTAGCTGGTCGTGGTGGCGGGCGCCTGTAGTCCCAGCTGCTTGGGAGGCTGAGGCAGGAGAATGGCGTGAACCTGGGAGGCGGAGCTTACAGTGAGCCAAGATCACGCCACTGCACTCCAGCCTGGGTGACAGAGCGAGACTCCATCTCAAAAAAACAAAACAAAAAAAAAAACAAAAAAAGAAGAAATCTGTCAGCTGGGCACAGTAGCTCATGTCTGTAATCCTAGTACTCTGGGAGGCCGAGGCAGGAGGATCACTTGAGCCCAGGAGTTCAAGACCACCCTGGGTGACATAGTGAGACCTCGATTCTATCAAAAATAAAATTAGCTGAGTGTGATGGCACGCATCTATAGTCCCAGCTGCTTGAGAGGCTGAGGTGGGAGGATCACTTGAGCCCAAGAGGTTGAAGCCACAGTGAGCCAACATCACACCACTGCACTCCAGCCTGGGTGAGAGAATGAGAAATCTTTCACTAACCAATGTCACTAAGGTCTTCTCCTGTTTTCTTCTAGAAATTTACTAATTCTTAAATTTAGGTCTGTGACCCATTTTGAATTAATTTTTCATGTATGATATGAGGTAAAGGTTGAGGCTTATTTTTCCCATACACATAATTGTTCTAGCATCACTGTTAAATGATTAGCTTGGAACTTTTTTTTTTTTTTTTTTTTTTGAGACAGAGTTTCGCTCTTGTCGCCCAGGCTGGAGTGCAATGGTGCGATCTTGGCTCACCCCAACCTCCGCCTCCTGGGTTCAAGTGATTCTCCTGCCTCAGCCTGCCGAGTAGCTGGGATTACAGGCATGCCACCATGCCCAGCTAATTTTGTATTTTTAGTAGAGACGAGATTTCCCCATGTTAGTCAGGCTGGTCTCAAACTCCCAACCTCAGGTGATCCACCTGCCTTGGCCTCCCAAAGTGTTGCGATTACAGGCATGAGCCACTGCACCTGACTGGCACCTTTTTTTCCCCCATAAAAATCAGTTGACTAAGCGTGGGTCTATTTCCATGGACTTTATTCCATTAATCTTCGTGTCTATGCTTTCACCAGTACTATTGTCTTAATTACTGTAGCTTTAAGTCTTGAAATCAGGTAGGATAAGCCCTGCAGTCTTGTTTTATAACTGTTTATATAAATTTTATTGCCACTTTATCAGTTTCTTCAAAAAAGCCTGGTAGGATCTTCTTATAGATTTTTTAAACCCCTACATTATGTATTTCAGGAACAAAGAAAACTCAGCTCCCTTAGAGGAAAATACCACAGGAAAAAATGAGGCCAAAAAAAGGAAGATTGCAGAAACTTCAAATGTTATCACTGAGTCATTGCCATCTGCAGAATCAGAACCTGTTGAAATTGAGGTAGAGATTGCCGAAGGCACCATTGAAGTGGAAGATGAAGGCATCGAAACATTAGAGGAAGTGGCTTCTGCCAAGCAGTCCGTAAAGTACATACAGAGCACAGGTTCCTCTGATGATTCTGCTCTAGCACTGTTGGCAGATATTACCAGCAAGTACCGTCAAGGTGACAGAAAAGGGCAGATTAAAGAAGATGGCTGTCCATCTGACCCCACGAGCAAACAGGTAGAAGGTATTGAAATTGTGGAACTTCAGCTGTCACATGTGAAGGACTTGTTCCATTGTGAGAAATGTAACCGTTCATTTAAATTGTTTTACCATTTTAAGGAGCACATGAAATCACACTCCACTGAGAGTTTCAAGTGTGAAATATGCAATAAACGATATCTTCGAGAGAGCGCATGGAAACAGCACCTAAATTGTTACCACCTTGAAGAAGGTGGAGTCAGTAAGAAGCAAAGAACTGGGAAAAAAATTCATGTATGTCAGTACTGTGAGAAACAGTTTGACCATTTTGGACATTTTAAAGAACATCTTCGAAAACATACAGGTAATGAGCAAATACTTTGTTAAAATTTTTTTTTCCCACATGCACTTCAAATTTAAGTATCTAAATCCTTTTTAAAAAAATAGTGCCTCAGAAGCCATCTCATGTATTATCTCTAATGTGTAGGCTAAGTACACGTTTTTATAGTATTACCTGTTCAAATATTGGTGCTTTAAATGCAAATCAGTATCAACTTTGGAAGTAATTGTTACTTTTATGCCTTGCCCAATTTTTATATTTTTCAAAGAAATAGAGAAAATAGTTTGTGACTTATTTCCTAAAGATCGTAAATAATTAAATCTTATAGTGAGACTTTACCATTTCTATTTTTACATTTCTTGTGTCGTGTTACTTACAGTACATTTACAAGCAATCCCTGACAGCCAGGCGCGGTGGCTCATGCCTGTAATCCCAGCACTTTGGGAGGCCGAGGCAGGCGGATCACCTGAGGTCAGGTGTTCGAGACCAGCCTGGCCAACATGGTGAAACCTCATCTCTACTAAAAATACAAAAATTAGCCAGGCGTGGTGGTGGGCACTCATAGTCCCAGCTACTCTGGAGGCTGAGGCAGGGGAATTGCTTGAACCCGGGAGGCAGAGGTTGCAGTGAGCCGAGATCATGCCACTGCACTCCAGCCTGGTCAATAGAGTGAGACTCCATCTTAAAAAAAAAAAAAAGAAAAGAAAAAAAAGCGGCCAGGCGCGGTGGCTCACGCCTGTAATCCCAACACTTTGGGAGGCCGAGGCGGGTGGATATCTGAGGTCAGGAGTTCAGAGACCAGCCTGACCAACATTGTGAAACCCCGTCTCTACTAAAAATACAAAAAATTAGTTGGGCATGGTGGCAGGCACCTGTAATCCCAGCTACTTGGGAGGCTGAGGCCGGAGAATTGCTTGAACCCGGGAGGCAGAGGTTGCCATGAGCCAAGATCACGCCATTGTACTCCAGCCTGGGCAACAAGGGCAAAACTCTGTCTCAAGGGAAAAAAAAAAAAAAAAAAGCAATCCCTGACATGTTTATACTTCTTTTCTTTTATTTGCCTTTTTTTTTTTTTTTTTTGGCAGATGGAGTCTCGCTCTGTTGCCCAGGCTGGAGTGCAGTGGCACGATCTTGGCTCACTGTAACCTCCGCCTCCCGGGTTCAAGCGATTCTTCTGCCTCAGCCTCCTGAGTAAGCTGGGACTACAGGCGAGCACCACCACGCCCCTGGCTAATTTTTGTATTTTTAGTAGAGACGGGGTTTCACCATATTGGTCAGGCCAGGGTGGTCTCAAACTCCTGACCTCGTGATCCGCTAGCCTCGGCCTCCCAAAGTGCTGGGATTACAGGCATGAGCCACCACATCCGGCCCATGTTTATACTTTTTAATGTACATTGAGTTACCTGCTTTGGCACAGTAGGTTAGTAGGCAGTATATGTTCATCTCTCTCCACCTTTTCAACAGCAAATATGTCAGGCCTGGCGGACATCCAGGGAGCTGAGGAGAATAAGGTCTTTATACTTCTCCTGGGAGCCATGCAGGCATGATGGAAATGTCCTGAGAAATCTACCTCAGGGCCTCGCCCCACATAGTTCTTCATCCCCTATTCCAGTCGTCTCCCTGTCAAGAGTCCCTGACCTTGCTCAGGTTTCTTGCTTGCTCCCACTCCCCGAACAACCTTTGCTGGGTCTCCTACACCAGACACAGTAGCTACCACCAACGAATTGAATCTTGGATAGTTCCTAAACCTACTATTACAAGGGTATGGAGAGAGCAGTTAATACAGCATGCTAAGTATTAGACTTCTGGACATTTGTTCCCAAGTCTTTGTTATATGTGGTGGTTAAGGCTGTTTAGACTGTTAATACAGTAAATACAACATAGATAGCCTACAGTATTCAGAATCTTTCTCTTTGATGCTGGAGTTTGGAGAGCTTCTGGTAAAAGTTTTTTAAAATAGGTTTGTCACTGTCAGTTGGTATACATCACTTGAAATTAAGGAACCACATAGATTCAGATGATGTTATCCCCCTCACTGTCCAAACTTACTGTCAGTATTCGAGGACTGAGTAAATACAGGAATAGCAAAGGGATCTTGTACTTAAGGCTCAGTATGGATTTAAAAGTCTTTAAGGTACTTAGTTTGGATAACTAATAGGCGTTTATGAAATCTTTTGGGAAAATGCTTTCTGATTGCAAACATGTATATATACAGTCTACTTTTGAACAACGTGGGTTTGAACTGCTTGCATCCACTTACATGCAGATTTCATTCAACTAAATATGGATCAAAATTATAGTATTCCCAGGATGCAAAACCCATGTATGTAGAAGACCAACTTTTAGTATGTGTGGTTCCACAGGGCCGGCTGCAGGACTTGAGTGTGCGTGGATTTTGCTATACGAACCAATCCCCCGCATATACCAAGGGACGCCTACCTGTTTTATATAATATTTGGAAACTGCCTACAGTTACAATTTTTGGTCCTTAGAAAACGAATAATAGTCTGTTGGTGAACATTTTTGTGGTAATTGGGTTAATTATGCAAAATGATTGTTGTTATACCAGCAGCACAATAAACAAACATTGGTAAGTAACTTGCAAACTTTGATAGCAGTTTCCAATACCCCAGCAGATAATCAGGATAATCAGTAGCTTTTATAGCCTATGAATGTGAAAGTAGCCGCAGTTACCTCTTTTACCCAAAACATTGCCTACTGACTTTTACCTCTTAGAAAATAGGACAACACGGACCACTTTGGACATCTTTAAATGTGCCTCTCAGGTCTTAGATTTTTTATTTTGGTTTGGACAGCAGAATATAGGGTTAAAGTACATTATGTTGTATGTCTTTGTCTTTCCCTTAGAAATGATGTGAGATAAGTAATTTAAGTAGTTGTTATAAATTACTGAACCATATACCCATTGGAGGAACAGTTGAGCACATAAAGCAAACCGAACCCCCACTTCATTGTTTTTTAACTTCAACCAATTTCTATACTGGTAATTAGTTCCAAGATAGTTGTTGTTCTCTTCTCTCCTCTCCTCTCTCTCTCCTTTGAAACAGGGTCTTGCTGTGTTGCCCAGGCTGGAGTACAGTGGCGCGATCATGGCTCACTGCAGTCTCGACCTCCTGGGCTCAAGTGATCCTTCTACCTCAGCTTCCTGAGTAGCTGGGACTACAGATGTGTGCCACCATGCCCAGCTAATTTTTCTGTTTTTTGTAGAGATGTGGTTTCACCACGTTGCCTAGGCTTGGAACATAGGCATGAGCCACCATGCTTGGCCCTGTATTTCTTTTTTTTTTTTTTTTAGCTTTAACAACAGGAATTCATTTTCTCGCAGTTCTAGAGGTTAGAAGTCCAAGATCAATCTGCTGGTTTCTTTTGAGACCTCTCTCTTTGGCTTGCAGATGGCTAACCTGTGTCCTTACATGGTTTTATCCTCTTTGTGCATGCATCTCTGGTGTGGCCTTGTATTTCTTAATAAGACTGGAAAGTCAAAATTACTTCTTGATCTGTGGGCTGCAGAATGGCTGTTGTGTTTGCAGACTGAAAACAATATTAATCTCCTTGTACCTCTCCCTCTGAACTCTTGGGTGACCAGCTGCATTGTCAGTGAGCAGTAGTATTTTGAAAGGAGTCTTCTGAGCAGTAGGTTTCAACATTGGGCTTAAAATAGTCAATAAACCATGCTGTAAACAGATGTTCTGTCAACCAAACTTTGTTCTTCCGTTTCTGTAGCCCAGGCAGAGTACATGTAATAAGATTCTTAGGGACCCTAGGATTTTTGGAGTGATAAATGACTGATTGGCTTTAACTTAAAGTCACCAGCTGCATTAGCTCCCAACAAGAAAGTTATCTGTCCTTTAAAGCTTTGAAGCCAGTCATTGACTTCTCCCTAACTATGAAAGTCCTAGATGGCATCTTCCAGTACAAGGCTGTTTTGTCTACATTGAATATCTGTTGTTGAGTGTAGCCACCTTCATCAGTGATCTTAACTAGGTATTCTGGATAACTTGCTACAGCTTCTGCACCAGCATGTGCTGCTTCACATTGCACTTTTATGTTATAGAAATTCCTTAAATTTCATTAACCTCTTCTAGCTTCTGCCCTTTCTTCTGCAACTTCTTACCTCTCTCAACCTTCATAGAATTGAAGAAAGGGCCTTGTTCTTGGTTAGGCTTTGGCTAAAGGGAATGTTTGTTTCGTTTAATCTTTTATCCAGGTTACTCACTCTTTCTTCATAAGCAGTAAGGCAATTTTGCTTTCTTACCATTCATATGTTCATTAGTGTAGCACTTTTAATTTCCTTAGAGAACTTTACCTTTTCAGTCACAACTTAACTACCTGGCATAGGAGACCTGGCTTTCGGCCTGTCTCGACTTTTGATATGCCTTGCTCTCACAGGCTTCATCACTTCTGCCTTTTGATTTGAAGTGAGAGACAAGTGACTCTTTTTTTTTTTTTGGAGACAGAGTCTTGCTCTGTCGCCCAGGCTGGAGTGCAGTCATGCGATCTCGGCTCACTGCAAGCTCTGCCTCCTGGGTTCACGCCATTCTCCTACCTCAGCCTCCCAAATAGCTGGGACTACAGGTGCCCGCTACCATGCCTGGCTAATTTTTTGTATTTTTAGTAGAGACAGGGTTTCACCGTGTTGGCCAGGATGGTCTCGATCTCTTGACCTCGTGATCCACCCCCCTCGGCCTCCCAAAGTGCTGGATTACAGGCACGAGCCACCATGCCCAGCCGTGACCCTTTTTTTTGACACGGGGTCTCGCTCTGTCGCCCAGACTGGAGTGCAGTGGCGTGATCTCGGCTCACTGCAACCTCTGCCTCCCGGGTTCAAGCAGTTCTCTGCCTCAGCCTCCCGAGTAGCTGGGATTACAGGCACCCAACACCAGGCCTGGCTGATTTTTTTTTGTATTTTTTAGTAGAGACGGGGTTTCACCATCTTGGCCAGGCTGGTCTTGAACTCCTGAGCTCGTGATCCACCCGCCTCAGCCTCCCAGAGTGCTGGGATTACAGGCATGAGCCACCGCATCCGGGTGAGACACGTGACTTTCACTTAAACACTTAGAGGCTGTTGTAAGGTTATTAATTGATCTGATTTCAATATTGTTGCCTCTCAAGGAATAGAGAGACTAGAGGAGAGAGGGAGGGAAGAGAGAAAAGCTGGTTGGTGGAATAGTCAGGATGCATACAACATTTATCAGTTAAGCTCTTTGTTATGGGTGTGGGTTCAGGGCACCCCAAAACAATTGAAGTAGTAACATCAAAGATCACTGATCACAGATCATTATAAGACATAATTTAAAAATTTAAATTTAAATTTGAAATATTGCAGTAATTACAGTGACAGACGTGAGGTGAGTACATGCTGTTGGGGAAAATGGCAGCGATAAACTTGCTTTACACGGGGTTGTCACAAATCTTCAGTTTTTCAAAAAGTCCAATAAAGTAAAGCACAATAAAATTAGGTCTGTAAGCAGTTTTAAACTATGTTTAAGTTAATAAAAAATGGATCATTTTTCCTTGTAACAAACTGTGAAGACAGGAGACAGTCCTCTTCCTGTTTCTTATTCTCAAAACGTATATACCCCATTAGTTTCATATTTTGCATATTTTTATTAGTTTAATGGTTTGGTTTCTTGTATGTTCATAAAGCATGCACTGTAATCTGTGGCTTGATTTGTAAAATTTTAGCTATTTTTTGTCCTCTGAATTTATTTTTATTTGGAAAATAGTAATGATAATGCCATATACCACTAGGCCATGAATATAAAACAGTGTCAGTGTCCCTGCCTTCAAGGAGCTCAGGATATGCTGGCAGGGGACAAGCATGTGCAATCTGTGTAACATGTTAAGTGCTGACCAAAGTAAGCAGAATCCTGTGGGAATGCCTGCCTGGGTTGCTTGTTTGTGATGGAAGAGACAAAGGTGATATCTTAGTCTGTTCTGTTGCTTATAACAATACCTGAAACTGGAGAATTTATAAAGAAAAGGAATTTATTTCTTACAGTTCTGGATGCTAAGAAGTTCACTGTTATGAGGCCACATCTGGTGAGAGCCCTGCCAGTGGCGACTCTGCAGAGTCCTGAGGCCATGCAGGGCATCACATGGTGAGGGAGTTGAGCATGCTAGCTCAGGTTTCTCTTACTCTTCTTTTAAAGCCACCCATCCCATTCCCATGATAACCCATTAATTCATTGATCCATGAATGGATTAATCTCTTCATGAGGGCAGAGCCCTCATGATCCTATCACCTCTTAAAGGTCCTACCTCTCAATACTACCATATTGGGGTTTCGGTATTAACCTGAGTTTTGAAGGGGACAAACATTCAAACTATAGCAGGTGGCTTCTGGGGGTCATTACCCTTTGATGACTCAGAAAGGAAAAGGAGTTAGCCTCGAAACAGGTATTCCAGGCAAAGGAAATGAAACATACACAGTCACAGAGGAATGAGAGGAAACAAATTGTTTGGATCACTGTTAATAGGGCATTATGGCCAGAGGGTTAGGTCCAATTAGAGGAATGCCAGGAGATGTGGCCAAAGGGGTTGGAAGGGCTAACCATGTGGCATGCACTTGGCCATCATATGGGAGATCTAGAGTGGAGTAAGGGTAAGAAAGAGGGAGAGTAATGAGAGATGAGTTTGAGATCATGTAGTTATTTTCATAAATTCCATAAATGAGTTTGAATAATATCTTGGAAGACTGGGTCATTTTAAAGGAGTTTCAGCCAGGCAGAGATCTCATCAGATTGATATTCTAGAGAGATGACTGGCAAGATAGATTGGAGTGGGTTGAAACCTGCTAGCTCAGTGAGGAATCTTGGAGTCGTCCAAACCAGAATGGGAGGTTGGGTAAAGGCAGTGTTAGCGGAAAAGAGAGATTTGAGTAACATTAGGTAGCCTGGATCAATAGGATTTGGTGGTCGGTGAGGTGCAGGAGTAAAAGAGCTGGTGACTCCCAGCTTTCTGATGTAGATGGCTGTTTGATTGGAGGCTAATTAACTTAGAAAAAAATACGTAGATGAGTAAACAGATGGGGAAGGAGGGAAATACCAGACATGTTGACAGATACACCTGTGGGACACAGTGTCAAAGAGAACCTAGAGGTAACCTTTAGCCATGTTTTCAAACAATTACTCCCTAGTTTCCAAGAAAAGTAGTGTGGAATCATAGAGGGAATGTGTGTCCAGAAATCAGAATTTCAGTTCCATCTCCAGTTCAGCATTTGCCAGCATGATGAACTTGACCAGTCACTTTATCTTTGGGCTTTTCTTGTCTGTGTAAATAAGGATAAAGATACCTACTTTATAGGGTTGTGACAAATAAGAAAATGATGAAAGCGCATTGAAAACTGTACTGTCCACACATCTAAAATAATTAATATGTTTCTATTTCTACATTTTACTGAGTTTACTTAATTTTTTAAATAGGAAAAAGCTCAGATGGCACACAATGAAAATTGAGTCTCGTTTCTACTCAGGTAGATCTCTTGAAGTAACTACTGCTATCCTTTTCTGATTTATCAGATACATTCCTTGCATTTTCAGGTAGCCATAGACGCTCAGGTACGCATGCTTTTGGGAAAACAAGCGAGCATGCGGTAGTACGGCATTATGCCATTTAATTTATCTTGTCATTTTAAAAAATATATGGAACATTTATGAGTATTTAAATTTTCTTCCTGTGGCTGCACAGTATTTTAATCTATGGGTATATCATCAACTACTATTGATGAACATTTAGGTTGTTGCTAGGCTTTTGGTATTACAGACTATGCTGTAGTAAGCATACTTGTACATATGCCTTTTCATATGTTCAAGTAATTTCATTTTTAAGAGCAGAATTGCCAGGTCAAAGAATATGCACTTTTTTCTTTTTTTTTTTTTGAGACAGAGTCTGGCACTATCACCCAGACTGGAGTGCAATGGCGTGATCTAGGCTCACTGCAACCTCCGTCTTCTGGTTTCAAGCAATTCTCCTGCCTCAGCCTCCCGAGTAGCTGGGCTTACAGGCACCCGCCGCCACGCCTGGCTAATTTTTTGTATTTTTAGTAGAGACGGGGTTTCACTATGTTGGCCAGGCTGGTCTCAAACTCCTGACCTTGTGATCTGCCTGCCTCATCCTCCCTAATAATATGCACATTTTATATCTTGACAAAGATTATCAAATTGTCATTTAAGGAGAGGCTTTGCCAATTTGTTTCCAGGTCTCACTGATAATGAAAAATTATTCATTGATAAAACCACTAAACCATTTAGTGATATTGCCCATCATTTTGGGAGTTGAAAAGAGTTTCTGTATTACACTAATTCCAGCTAATTAGGTCTTTTCTCTCAAATTAACTTTTCATCACATAAAAATTGTACAAAATAAGCTATAAATGTTTTGTCAGATAATACATATAGCTCAGTTACTTGACTGTGTCATTCTATTTAAGCGTGAGGCTCACATCTAGGACCTCCTCATTACTGGGGCTCCACCTTCCATCCTGGAATCATTCAGTTATTTACTCCTACCTGCTGGTTGCTGAGGACTGCTGGAGGAAATTCATATCTCAAACCTTAAGCACTTCAGTGTCTGATTTATCCCTTTTTCCTAATTGCTATTTCAGAGCTTCTCCATATATTCAAGACCTCTGTCCACACCCCATCTCCAGCAGATTACTTATCTTCCAACCCCCAACTTACCTGTAACAGCATTCATCTTTGTCCCCTTTTTTTTTTTTTTTGAGACGGAGTCTCACTCGGTCACCCAGGCTGGAGTGCAGTGGTGCAATCTCGGCTCACTGCAACCTCCGCCTCCCAGGTTCAAGTGATTCTCCTGCCTCAGCCTCCCAAGTAGCTGGGACTACAGGCGCCTGCCACCATGCCCAGCTAATTTTTTTTTTTTTTTTTAGTAGAGATGGGGTTTTACCATATTGACCAGGCTGATCTCGAACTCCTGACCTTATGATCCACCCGACTCAGTCTCCCAAAGTGCTGGGATTACAGGTGTGATGACTGCACCCGGCGATTTTTTAAATTTTTTTTTAAATTTTTTTGAGACAGAGTCTCGCTCTGTCGCCCAGGCTGGAGTGCAATGGCCTGTTCTCGGCTCACTGCAACCCCTGCCTCCTGGGTTCAAGTGATTCTCGTACCTCAGCCTCCCAAGTAGCTGGGATTACAGGTGCCTGCCACCACCCCCAGCTAATTATTTTTTTATTTCTAGTAGAGACAGGGTTTCACTATGTTGGTCAGGCTGGTCTCCAACTCCTGACCTCACGTGATCCACCCGCCTCGGTCTCCCAAAGTGCTAGGATCACAGGTGTGAGCCACCGCACCTGGTCTGTCCCCTCTTCTTTTATTCTAGAGAAAGAGGTTTCCCTTTTCTTCAAAGCCAATTCTGGATCCCATGCCTTGATGTCCCTCTAAAACCATGTCCCATCTATCATTCCATCTCCTTTCTCCATTGCCTCTTTGCCCATCAACAAATAAATAATGGATGTCCCTCCTGGCTTAAAGAATCCTGTTATTGGCTGGGCACGGTGGATCACTTGAGGTCAGGAGTTCAGGACCAGTCTCACTAACATGGTGAAACTCTGAGCTGAGATCATGCCATTGCACTCCAGCCTAGGCAACAAGAGCGAAACTCCGTCTGAAAAAAAAGAATGCTATTATTGACATGCTCCCCTCTAGGTAGTCATCTCTCTTGTAGGCCATTTTATTTATTTATTTTTTTTGAGATGGAGTCTCGCTCTGTCGCCCAAGCTAGAGTACAGTGGTGTGATCTCAGCCTACTGCAACTTCTGCCTCACCGGTTCAAGCAGTTCTGTCTCAGCCTCCCAGGTAGCTGGGACTACAGGCTCGTGCCAGCATGCCCAGCTAATTTTTGTATTTTTGGTAGAGTCGGAGATTCGCAGTGTTGGCCAGGCTGGTCTTGAACTCCTGACCTCAAGTGATCCACCCACCTCGGCCTCCCAAAGTGCTGGGATTACGGGTGTGAGCCACCGCCCCGGGCCAGCCGTTTTATTTTTAAATAGAGATGGGGTCTCACTATGTTGCCCAGGCTGTTCCCGTCAAGCAATCCTTCTGCCTTGGCCTCCCAAAGTGCTGCTGGGATTACAGGCATAAGCCACCATGTTTGGCCTTGTAGGCCTTCTTAAAGGAATTTTGGTAATGACTGTTTTCATTGTCATCCTTCTCACTCACTCTTGCCCCATGGCAGTGGGCCTTCTGATCCAATTACATCACTGGTTAAAGTCATTTCCTTGTTTTCTTTACTTCTACTTCTGGCTGTTTCATTTCCTTCACTAGCCCATCTACCTGCTGTTTTAACTTGGTGTTTCACTGGGTTCTGCCCTTGATTTTTGTTATCATACAACATACTCAGAAATGTTTTCCTGCCTGGAGGTTTTTACTATCACTTAACCCCTAATTTGGCCAGGTGCAGTGGCTCACGCTTATAATCCCAGCACTTTGGGAGGCCAAGGCAGGCAGATCACCTGAGGTCAGGAGTTTGAGACCAGCCTGGCCAACATGGTGAAACCCCGTCTATACTAAAGATACAAAAAAATAGCCGGGCGTGCTGGCGCACACATTTGATCCCAGCTACTCGGGAGGCTGAGACACAAGAATCACTTGAACCCGGGAGGCGGAGGTTGCAGTGAGCCGAGATTGTGCCACTGCACTCCAGCCTAGGTGACAGAGTAAGACTCTCAAAAAAAAAAAAAAACCCTAATTTATATATAAATCACCCTCTATTTGGCTCCAGAATTATCTTTACAGCTATCTACTGGACATCTCCACCTGTTTTATACCTCCGTGCCTCTTTCTTTTTTTTCTCCTATTTCATTCCAGGCCGAATTGACCCCCTCCTCTGTGCTACTGCAATACATATTCCATCGCTCTTTTCTGTGACAGATCTTTTATAGTGCATTGCATTTGTTTATTTTCATGTATTTCATCTTTATACCTTGGCCTTTGATAGGAAGTTTTTTGCAAAGAAGGACAGTTTATCTTCTTACCTTCATCACCTAGCACATGGTCTAGCACATGGTAAGTGTGCAAAAAATGCAGAAAGGAAAATGATGCAATTCCGCAAAATAGAGATTGATCATGATTTTTATCTAAGGGAAAATAATTTTTTTAAGAAGTGTAAAGACATGGAACAGAATTTAGATGCAAATTATATTTATCTTTGTCAAAGCATATATACAGTTAAATATTAAATTTTATTATTTTTGCTACCTCTAGAAAAGTCTTTGGAATATGGTGAAAATATTTGAATTCTGAATTGTGATTTCTCCTTTTAGGAATTTAGTATTAAAATTACCCAAAAAGAAAAAGTAAACGTTTAAAATTATTTGCTCTTAGGATTTTTCTTAATTTGCCAACGTATCTTTTTTCCCCTCTAATAGGTGAAAAACCTTTTGAATGTCCAAATTGTCATGAACGATTTGCTAGAAATAGCACTCTGAAATGTCACCTCACTGCATGCCAAACTGGAGTAGGGGCAAAAAAAGGAAGGAAGAAGCTCTACGAATGCCAGGTATGTGCAGATACATACATTCAGTTCTTAACAAAGGAGTCTTGTGTTTGCAGTCATCAAAAGCAAAGGGAAACAGAGTCTCAAGCAAAGGTATAGGGGCTGACGGTTTGGAAAGAAATGAGAATAAAGAACATTATTGTCTTGGGGACTAAATTAGTTTTTTTTAACCCAACCCTAGATGACACCAATGTCAATAACAACTATGTCCTAAATAACAGTCTGGAACTATAGTTAACCATGGAGTAATTATTAAAATTTGGGGTGGGGATTGGTGGAAGCATTTCAGCTGTAATTAGATTCCCCCCCCATGATTAGTGTATTTTTATATCAAATATCAAACAATTATTACATTATTTGATATAAAAATACAAAAATTACATTATTTGGTAAATGTTCTATGTTATGGGAGAAACTAAAATATTGTTATGTTTCTAGAATTTATATGATGCTTAAACAATGAAGGCAGTATTGAAATGTTTCTCAAAATGTATTTAGGTGGCCAGGCACGGTGGCTCACACCTGTAATCCCAGCACTTTGGGAGGCCGAGGCGGGTGGATTGCCTGAGGTCAGGAGTTCAAGACCAGGCTGGCTAACGTGCTGAAACCCTGTCTCTACTAAAAATACAAAAGTTAGCCAGGCGTGGTGGCAGATGCCTGTAATCCCAGCTACTTGGGAGGCTGAGGCAGGAGAATCCCTAGAACCCAGGAGACGGAGGTTGCAGTGAGCCGAGATCGCACCATTGCACTCCAGCCTGGGCAACAAGAGCGAGACTTTGTTTCAAACAAAAGAATGTATTTAGGTTACTAGCTGTGTCAGCTAGAAGTCCAAATGAACCAAAGAATTATGAAATAGCTTGGACGAGATTCTATTGCAGGTACCATATTTATAACATTTACAGAATAAGCCTTCAATCTTTTCTTTACAGAGAATAAATGCATTCATATTTCCTTCAGTTTGGATATAAGTATTGTCTACATCATATTTTTGGTTATTTCAGGTCTGCAACAGTGTGTTTAACAGCTGGGACCAGTTCAAAGATCACTTGGTAATACACACTGGAGATAAACCCAACCATTGTACTTTATGTGATTTGTGGTTTATGCAAGGAAATGAATTAAGGAGGCATCTCAGTGATGCTCACAATATTTCAGAGCGTCTAGTAACGGAAGAAGTTCTTTCAGTAGAAACACGTGTGCAAACTGAACCTGTAACATCAATGACTATTATAGAACAAGTTGGGAAGGTGCATGTGCTACCATTGCTTCAGGTTCAGGTGGATTCAGCACAAGTGACTGTGGAACAAGTCCATCCAGATCTGCTCCAGGACAGCCAGGTGCACGATTCACACATGAGTGAGCTTCCAGAGCAGGTCCAAGTGAGTTATCTAGAAGTGGGCCGAATTCAGACTGAAGAAGGTACTGAAGTACATGTAGAGGAGCTGCATGTTGAACGGGTCAATCAAATGCCAGTGGAAGTACAAACTGAACTTCTAGAAGCAGATTTGGACCACGTGACCCCAGAAATCATGAACCAAGAGGAGAGAGAGTCTAGCCAAGCAGATGCTGCTGAGGCTGCCAGGGAAGATCACGAAGATGCTGAGGATTTAGAGACCAAGCCAACAGTGGATTCTGAAGCAGAAAAGGCAGAGAATGAGGACAGAACAGCTCTGCCAGTTTTAGAATGAAATTACACATGAATATATTTTTAAATTTACTTGTTGGGTTTTTGAACTGATTATGGGCAGTTTGACTGTCCTTAATTAAGCCTAACAGACAAGTGGACCAAAGTTAAGCTGTTTCCTGTTGTGCTGAACTGTTGTCCGTTGAAACACATTGATTCCCCTCCCCCTACTTATTGCCACAGAGGAGGGATCTTTTCCATAACTGAAGGGGAGTTTTGAGAAGTATATTTCTGGAAACTTAAATGGATTATATTCTTATTATATAGTTGGGTACGAATGTATCTATTTTCATTGTGGTAAAAGTTCTTCCTTTTCTCTTTCCCAGGTCATGTTCTTCCTCAAATTTTTTCCATATTGTAAAATCAAACTTAAATCATTAGAATACAAGTTTATGTATTCTAATGCATGTTAGAAAATTGAATAATATAGGAAACACAAGGCTGCATGATGAAAAGTGCATTGTTACTGTGCAGTTAAATTTTGGCTTCTGGCTTTCTTTAGTTTGAACAAACGTTCTTGTCTACCCCAGTAGTCACAGATGCCATCTTTGCAACAGAAAGAGTGGTGGTGGCAAAATTTCTAGAATGTTAAAAAAAAAAAAAAATCCACACCCATGTGCCTTCTCAAAACCAACTGAACTTCTATAAAGCATCTCTGGTTCTTTCAAAGTTTGTGTTGTAAGGAGCAATGTAGATGATGCTATAATACTTTATATTTTTGGTTATAATGACAACCACCAGTTCTTTTTCACTTAAGTTAGGTTGAGAAATTTTATTTAATGGCCACTGAAGGGCCATTTTCAATTGGGAAAATTTATTTACATCTGTGGTAAACTTTATTTTGATGAAAAGTTGCACTAGTATTTTACCACCAGATGAGAAAAAGATGAGCAGCATTTAAAAATTAATGTATTTAAAATAAAGTACAGAGAAAGACATGTATATAATTATCAGGCTTTGTTTTGAATGGAATCTTTTCCCCCAATTCTTAATGTAAAGATCTTGTGCTATAACTTTTAAAGCCATACAAATAAGAGTGCTAAACTGTGGACTTAAAAGTAGGTGTGTAAATATTTTTAATCAGTATTACTTGGAAAATAAAATATAACAAACCCATAGACCAATATGCTATTTTTTTTACCTGTTAAATATTGGGAGTTCTTTACATTTTTTAAGTAAACTTTAAAATTATGTGTTCATGACTCTTTTTTAAAAAATTACCAGCGTGAAAGTTTATATCTGGGCAGAGATAGTTCCTCATGTGTCTTTACCCGTGTTAACATGACTGATGCATGAATTGTGATAAATTTTCCATCACACCTCCAACCCCCCAAAATCAGCTCAAAAGCATGGAAGTAGTTCATATTCTTTATGCTAATAGTTCTTACATGGTAGGCACAATAGCAGGAATTCTCCACTTAACTGTGTCAAATGTAAAAGACCAATGCGATTAGCCCCCTTTGGTAATCGTGACGTTAAATGGTATCACATTTACAAAAATACGCTGAAGAGAGTGGCTTCCCAGCATTGGAGAAGTCAGATTTAGATATAAATCTGGAGATAGAGCCAACCATTGTATTAAGGGGGCCACGTTTTTAAGATCAAAATAAGGGTATGAACACTTCCAAGTGTGTACTGTTTGGTAGTTGGGTATCTACTGCAAAGCTTATTTAACAGTATAGTTTTTATTTGAAATTGGAAAATACCAATAATATAATTAAATTATATCCCAGTGAATTTTCAGTTTGCCTTAGGATGCCAATGTTCCTGAGTTGTTTAAGAAAAAAAACCCTAACAGATAGTGGTCTCAAATATGTAAATTACTAGTTAGTATCTGGTGAATTTTGAATGCTGAAAATAGCGCATACTATGCCCTTAAGCTAAGGTATGAAACAAGGATTTTAAAACAAGAGTTCTGACCACAAGGTAAAGATCAAGGGCAAAGGTACATCAAAGTGTTAAAATTATTTGAGTTTTCACATTTGTCAAGACCTTTCGAGGTAGATTTGAGATGCAGATATAGTTCATTTTTCTTTTCCCAAAAGGTATAGAAGCTATCAGTGTACCCAGAATGCCAGTAAATTTGATTGCAAAAGTAGAGGAAAACTATCTACTGGTGATAAACTGTATGTTGAATAACATTTTGTAGTTGGAAAGCACTTTATGTAGAACATAAAACAGCTGTTAACAACTGATGTATATTTGCTTCAAGTACTGAAGCAAACTGGATATTTAGTCCTCCAGTGTTCTACTGTATTTGTACTGGAGTTTTAAGATAAGTCTACAGTATGAGGTACCAAGTTGGACAGTAGAGTGTGCAATGATGATCACATAGAAATAAGTCCCAAGTGCACTGAGAACGATGAGAGGCTTTTCTATCTCTACTCCGTTTCAACAGCAATTCTCAGACATCAATTGGGTGTCCAACAATTGAATCTGACACCACCCAGATTTAGAGCAAGTTAAGTGCTCAGTACCACAAAATTGCCCCCACTTCAGACACCAGCCACAAATGCGATCAACAGGCTACCCGCGCTTCTGCCCAGCCAACCGTAAATTTAGGGTTCTTATGGCCTTCCCATCCCCCCAAGTTCAATAATGCATTGAAACAACTCAGGAAAGCACTATACTTAACGACTACAGTAAGTATACAATTCAGGAACAGCCAAATGGAAGAGATGCATAGAGTAAGGTGGATGGAGGGGGTTGTGGAGGAGAATAGTAGAGGTTTCTCTGCCCTCACTTGGCATGCCACTTTCCCAGCATGTTGATGTGTTCAACTCAGAAGCTCCCTTACTGACATTTTATAACCTAGACTCATTAAATTATTGGCCTCCGGGCTCAATCTCCAGCCCCTCTTCTCCCTGGAGGTCTCGGGTGGGGGTAATAGTTGTAGCCCTTTAATACAACTGGTTCCTCTAGTGACCCGTGCCCATCTTGAAGCTATCTAGGGGCCCTCTGCCAGTAGTCATCTCATTAGCATAAACTGGTAAGATCAAAAGGGGCTTGTAATGAATAACAAAAGACATTCTGGAAATTACAAGGATTTTTGGAGCTGTGTGCAAGGAACCAGGGAGAAAAACCCAAATCCATTTTATTTGTTTTGTTTTTAGACAGTTTCACTCTTGTTGCCCAGGCTGGAGTGCAATGGCACGATCTCTGCTCACTGCAACCTCCACCTCCCAGGTTAAGGCGATTCTCATACCTCAGCCTCTCGAGTAGCTGGGATTACAGGCATGCGCCACCATGCCCGGCTAATTTTTTTTTTTTCAGTAGAGACGGGTTTTCACCATGTTGGTCAGGCTGGTCTCGATCTCTCGACTTCAGGTGATCCACCCACCTCAGCCTCCCAAAGTGCTGGGATTACAGGTATGAGCCACCGTGCTTGGCCTATTTTTTTTTTTTTTTTAATTACACCACACCTATCATTTGAGATTGAAAGAAAAACTAAACTGAATACATTAGCAATACATTTAAAAGCTAGACATCTTTTGGATATGTACAAAATCAGAAGGCTCTTGTAGTCTTACCAGTTTAAAAAGGCTACCTGGCTGGACACGGTGGCTCACGCCTGTAATCCCAACACTTTGGGAGGCCAAGGTGGACAGATCACCAGTTCAGGAGTTCGAGACCAGCCTGGGCCAACATGGTGAAACCCCCATCTCTACTAAAAATACAAGATGAACCAGGCATGGTGGCGGATGCCTGTAATCCCAGCTACTCAGGAGGCTGAGGCAGGAGAATCGCTTGAACCCGAGAGATGGAGGTTGCAGTGAGCTGAGATCGTGCCACTGCACTCCAGCCTAGGCCACAGAGCAAGACTCTGTCTCAAAATAAATAAATAAATAAATAAATAAATAAAAATAAAAAGGCTACCATACTCAGATAATACTGAATGTAGGGACATTTTCATGAGAATTTGAATGCTTCTGCTCCCACTAGTTTGAACTTGGAATTAAAGATGTCATTATTGGAAGGGTCCATGAAAGTTCTCTGGACTAACTACCCATTTCATAGTTTGAATAAGCCAACAGGCTTATTAAGCCATAGAGTGAGGCCTAAATGTAGATACCTTTACCAATCAAGTGGATTTTAATTCGCATTTTCAATTTAACATGGGTTGGTTGTTTTAAACAAGTGATTCTATGATCATTAAACTAGTCACACAAAAAGTATTTTATAACTCTTAGATGCAAAATTACAAACAAATGCCTGACCTAGAAAGTTTAGTCTGATTTTGTTGGAGAAAACTAATAGCTTTGAATTCATTAGGTTAACACTGACCTTTGTGTTAATTACATCAGGAGAGGGAGATCTAGATTGTTTTTCTTGTGTAATCTGCTGAGCTGTGCTATACCTCTTACAGGATTTGTCATGAAGAATTCAAATGAGAAGAAGGAATTAAACCCTCATCACCCCATCAGTTAATAAAATCCTTCATAGTTAGAAGCCTAGATATTTATTACTTTAAAACCCATAAAAAACAAACAAAAAAAAACCAGAGGCTGTCATAATAGTCTGAACTTCTTAAAACTCTACTCCCTGCCCTGCAAATGTAACTTCATTAATTCTATTGACATGGTAAAGAAGGCAGCATGTGAATTCAATCTTTTTCTCTTCGCCCTTCCTGCAATTCAATCTTCTCTTTGCCCTTCCTGCAACCCAACATGTCCCTATAAATATTTTTTTTTTTTTTTAGACAGGGTCTCGCTGTGTCACCCAGGCTAGAGTGCAGTGGCACAATCTCGGCTTACTGCAACCTTTAACTTCTGGGCTCAAGCAACCCTCCCACTTCAGCCTCCTGAGTAGCTACGACTACAGGTGCGTGTACCACACTCAGCTCCTTTTTGCATTTTTTGTAGAAATAGTCTGTCTGTGTTCCCATGCTGATTGAAATCTCTTGGGCTCAAGCGCCTCGCCCTCCCAAAGTGCTGAGATGACAGGCAGGGGCCCTGTGGCCAGCCGAGTATGACTCTTAACTATTCAACTGAAGCAGTATCCTCACCTTTATATCTGTACCAAAATGCAGTCTGGGAAAGAAAAATTTTATTGTAACATAATAGCTATCCTTTATGATTTTGAATACATTTAGTTATCTCAATGACCTCACTGAAGTTACTGTATTATTAGCTATCATTTTATAAACAGAGGAAAGGAAGAGAAGGAGAAGCTGAGAAAGCTTGTTGGAAGTGGAGCCAGTATTTGAACTGAGCAAGCCTGACTTCACAGACTGCACTCTTGGTCACTAAAATAACTCTCTATGAGATTTCTTTGTGGTTGGCCACACTGGATTGCACAAAGCACAGGACAATCAGCTACCTTCTTTTTTGGAACCCATACCAGCTCTTGATGGAGTTGGAAGTGGAAAGGACAAGAAATCAGAAAAGCCAGCAAGATACATGCAGCCAATTGCCTTTTAGTATCTTCTTTCCCTGAGACTACATCATTTAGGGAATGGTTCTCTAACTTCAGCAAACATCAGAATCTTGTTGAAACACACATTGTTGGACCCCACACCTGTTTCTGGTAGAGGGTGTCCAGGTTCTTGGCATCTTGAACAAAGAATTGGACAAAATAAAGCAAAGAAAGAATGAAGCAACAAAAGCAGAGATTTATTGAAAATAAAAATACACCCCACAGGGTGCGAGCAGGCCCAAGCATAAGGGCTCAAGGGCCCTGTTACAGAATTTTGGAGAATTTAAATACCCTCTAGAGGATTCCATTGTTTACTTGATATATGCCCTGTGTAAATGAAGAGGATGCAGTAAAGTTACAAAGTCATTTACTCACCATATGCCCTATGGAGAGGATATTTCCTGTCATAGCTGACGCGTGAATTGGCCTTAGGTTCCCTGCCTCTAGACCCTATTTTCCTGCCTCATCTCCCCACTGAGAGATGTGATCCCCATAAATCTTTATGGGAGGAGGAGGGACCTATGGTCTTTCTTCTGTAACTGCTACATGCCGGCTTGGGGTGTAGTCCGTACCTACTGGGGATAACAGAACTCTCTCTTTGCTCTGTCTAGTGGAGGCAGGGTAGCTTGATGGCCATGGGTGGTTTCTTCACCTGGAAGTGGCTGGAACCTTTGTTGCATAATCAACGGAAACTTCATAGTTTCTAGGCAAGAGGAAATGAATTTAACTAAAAGATTTAGGCGGGGAACAGTAGCTCACACCTGTAATCCCAGCACTTTGGGAGGCCGAGACAGATGGATCGCCTGAGGTCAGGAGTTCAAGACCAGCCTGGCCAACATGGTGAAACCCTGTCTCTATTAAAAATACAAAAAAATTAGCTGAACGTGGTGGCAGGCGCCTGTAATCCCAGCTACTAGGGAGGCTGAGGCAGGAGAATCGCTTGAACCCAGGAGGCAGAGGTTGCAGTGAGCTGAGATCGTGCCATTGCACTCCAGCCTGGGCAACAAGAGTGAAACTCCGTCTCAAAAAAAAAAAAAAAAAAAAGAAAAAGATTTAATGGGAACTTCATGGGGTGGATACCAATGCTGTCAGGAATGTTTGTTATAGACATTTGCAGGAGAGGGCCGGGCGCAGTGGCTCACGCCTGTAATCCCAGCACTTTGGGAGGCCGAGGCAGGCAGATCACGAGGTCAGGAGTTCGAGACCAGGCTGACCAACATGGTGAAACCCCATCTGTACTAAAAATACAAAAATTAGCTGGGCATGGTGGCGCACAAGCCTGTAATCCCAGCTACTCGGGAGGCTGAGGCAGGAGAATCGCTTGAACCTGGGAGGCAGAGGTTGCAGTAAGCCAAGATCGTGCCACTGCACTCTAGCCTGAGTGACAGAGCGAGACTCTGTCTCAAAAAAAAAAAAAAATAATAAAATAGAATAAAATAAAATAGGAGAGATTTGCAAGAGAAAAAAAACCTGACTTGTTCTAGAATCTATGTGTTTCTTTAAAGTCTTAGCACAAGCAACTCCATTTTGGTTTGGTTTGGTCTACTGGGGCCTAGTGCATGAGCTTAGTCCAAAACAATAGCCTCCCAGAATTTTGTTTAAAAAACCCCTTTTGGGGCAGGTTCTCACTTTGGTGAGAGTGTGACCAAAACTTAGGGCCTTAGTGCCACTCTCAGTTATCATCATCTTGGGTTTCCAGTCTTAGCACGTCATTTATAGGTTATGATGTCTTCCTAGTTGCACATTTTTTTCTTTTTTTTTTTTTTTAATTTTTTGAGACGGAATCTTGCTCTGTCGCCCAGGTTGGAGTGCAGTGGTGTGATCTTGGCTCACTGCAACCTCTGTCTCTCAGGTTCCAGCGATTCTCCTGCGTCAGCCTCCCAAGTAGCTGGGATTACAGGCGCTCACCACCACGCCCGGGTAATTTTTGTATTTTTAGTAGAGGATGGGGCTTCGCCATGTTGGCCAGGCTGGTCACAAACTCCTGACCTCCGGTGATCCTCCTGCCTCGGCCTCTCAAAGTGCTGGGATTACAGGCATGAGCCACCACACCTGTCCGGTTGCATATTTCTTTCAGCTCCTGTCATTCCAGTTGAAGAGAGATCATATGACATTCTAGAGATGGCTGCATGCAAGCGTTTAAAACCTTTGAAAGAATACAGCACACCAGGGAGACTATTATTATGACCATCGGGAGGATAATACCAAGAGTTCGAAGTATGCTCCTTACCTGAGGTTCCCATAAACCAAACCTCCTAAAATCAAATTGATCAAAGAATGGCTTAACTAAGCAGTTTCTTTGTTAATCTGCTACAACTGAATTTCTTTCTTTTTTTTTTTTTTTTGAGACGGAGTCTTGCTCTGTTGCCCAGGCTGGAGTGCAGTGGCGCGACCTCCACTCACTGCAAGCTCCGCCTCCTGGGTTCACACCATTCTCCTGCCTTAGCCTCCCGAGTAGCTGGGACTACAGGTGCCTGCCACCAAGCCCGGCTGCCAGGCTAATTTTTTTTGTATTTTTTTTTTAGTAGAGACAGGGTTTCACCGTGTTAGCCAGGATGGTCTCAATCTCCTGACCTCGTGATCTGCCCGCCTTGGCCTCCCGAAGTCCTGGGATTACAGGCGTGAGCCACCACGCCCAGCCTACAACTGAATTTCTATAATACCTGATGTTTTCTCCAAAGGCCATGAGTGCCAGCAGCTGCACAGATACTTCTCTGTTCAGCTAATCCTATCATAACTTTCACAAGAGAATACAAAGGCTGTTGTGTAACTGTAGCCTTTACAGTAGCATCTGCGTAGGCTGGGAGTGGTGGCTCACGCCTGTAATCCCAGTACTTTGGGAGACAGTGACCGGCAGATTACCTGAGGTCAGGAGTTCAATACCTGCCTGGTCAACATGATGAAACCCCGTCTCTACTAAAAAAAAATACAAAATTAGCCGGGCATGATGGTGCGTGCCTGTAATCCCAGCTGGTCGGGAGGCTGAGGCAGGAGAATCACTTGAACCTGGGAGGCAGAGGTTGCAGTGAGCCGAGATCATGCGGTTGCCCATTGTACTCCAGCTTGGGCAAAAAGAGTGAAACTCCACTCAAAAAAAAAAAAAAAAAAAAAATCTGCTATAGAGTCTATTATGGGGGATACATTTCTAATTATTGCCTTTTTTACTCTAAACTATGGAAAAATGACCTAATGAATGATGTCCTAGAAGAGTGAAGGCCTTCCAGGAATGTTCTCTCTAGACCATAATGCGGGTTAATAGGAGTTAGCCAATGTTCTGTTTCTGACTGATCATGAGGCAGCATATGTACCATTAAAGTTTGTTACCTACATTGGGCCGTCATTTTTTTTTTTTTTTTTTGAGACAGAGTCTTGCTCTGTCACCCAGGCTGGAGTGCAGTGACGAGATCTCGGCTCACTGCAACCTCCACCTCCTGGGTTCAAGCCATTCTCCTGCCTCAGCCTCCCAAAGAGCTGGGATTACAGGCGCCCGCCACCATGCCTGGCTAATTTTTGTATTTTTAGTACAGACAGGGTTTCACTATGTTGGCCAGGCTAGGCTGGTCTCTAACTCCAGACCTCAAGTGATCCACCTGCCTCAGCCTCCCAAAGCTCTGGGATTACAGGCATGAGCCACCATGCTTAGCCTTGGGCCTATTTTTTATCTATCAAAGTATAAGGTTATCCATGTATAAGGATGGCTGTAGACTTCTTCAAAAATAAAAGTATACCCCATAAGTGCGTATAACAGACCCCTTTCCACTTTTATTGTTCGTAGAGGCATAAGCAAGAAAAAAATATTCAGAGTTTCATGATAGAAATCTTAATCTGTGAACGTGGGAAAAGTTGTTCACATCAAGGATGCCATCTTCTTCTGAGGAGAAACTTCCCTGGTTAGTCTTACCCCAAGGGTTCCAATGGATGCACAGCTCCAAGAGCGTGGAGGGACCCTTCTTAGCAGTTCAAAGTTCCAAGGTTTTGTTGTAGTGCGGATGGCAAGAATAGTTTTTCTTTAATGTTCTCAGAAGATTCAAACCATAAAAAGCTTTCTTCCCTGGTGAAAGTACACTGTAGCATAATAATTTACCATTGTAACATCAGCCCTCTTGCATGGGAGAGCTTGTATACCACCAGAAAACATACATTGAAAATAATAACTGAATGAAATCCCTTTATAAAATGTTTAAGGCCAGGCGCAGTGGCTCACGCCAGTAATCCCAGCACTTTGGGAGGCCGAGGTGGGCGGATCACGAGGTCAGGAGATGAAGACCACGGTGAAACCCCGTCTCTACTAAAAATACAAAAAATTAGCCGGGCCTGGTGGTGGGCACCTGTAGACCCAGCTACTTGGGAGGCTGAGGCAGGAGAATGGTGTGAACCTGGGAGGTGGAGCTTGCAGTGAGCGGAGATTGCACCACTGCACTCCAGCCTGGGCGACAGAGCTGAGACTCCGTCTCAAAAAAAAAAAAAATGTTTAAAAGGCCCATCAGGTGACCAAATATACCTGAAGCTTTAATTGTTTTTTCCAGGAATATGGGATCAAACATTAGTTATAAACTATTTTAGTAACTTACAAGTCACGACACCAATGTATTCAATTTGGATCATTTTATCTTTTCCATGATGAGTCATGGGATGCAGAACTATTAATAATAAAATCTTTAAGAACTCAGGAATGACAAGGTGTCCATCCTGGTTCTCCATGAGTCCATGCTTAATTAACATTAGACTTATATCCTCTTGAATACCAGTAGTTTTTCCAAATTAGGTGCATAGCACTGATAACTGATGGGTTATCATGGGCGATTTGACTTAGACCATGGAGTTTATTTAAACTGTTTGTTTGTTTGTTTATTTTCGAGATGGAGTCTTGCTCTGTTGCCCAGGCTGGAGTGCAGTGGTGTGATCTCAGCTCACTGCAACTTCCGCCTCCTAAGTTCAAGCAATTCTCCTGCCTCAGGCTCCTGAATAGTTGAGATTACAGGCCCACACCACCATGCCCAGCTAATTTTTGTATTTTTAGTAGAGATGGGGTTTCGCCACATTGGCCAGGCTGGTCTCGAACTCCTGACCTTGTGATCCACCCACTTCAGCCTCCCAAAGTGCTGGGATTACAGGTGTGAGCCACTGCACCCAGCCTAAATTGTACATTTAAACAATTTTAGTATCAGCAGTTTAACATGAAAATCTGACAAAGTATTTCCTTGGTATTTAATTAATTTTTTTGTTCTACTTGGGTTAGTAGCTTTATGCAAGGAAATTTGGTTATTTCTGTGGTTTACAATAACAACATAATAACCATAATTATAATTGATAGCATATACTTAGACATTAGAATTTTAGAAATCCCATACATATTGAGTATACTCAACACACTTAAAGTATCAAGAAGCCTAAAATCCAAAAAGTTAGTTTAAGGTTAAAAGGCTAAGGCCGGGTGTGGTGGCTCACACTTGTAATCCCAGCACTTTGGGAGGCCAAGGAGGGCGGATCACCTGAGGTCGGGAGTTCCAGACCAGCCCGATCAACATGGAGAAACCCCGTCTCTACTAAAAATACAAAATTAGCTGGTCATGGTGACGTATGTCTGTAATCTCAGCTAGTCGGGAGGCTGAGGCAGGAGAATCGCTTGAACCTGCGAGGCGGAGGTTGCAGTGAGCCGAGATGGCGCCATGACACTCCAGCCTGGGCAAGAGCGAAACTCCATCCCCACCCCCCACCAAAAAAAAAAAAAAAAAAGTTAAAAGGCTAGCGTGCTCCATTAATTGCTGTGGGCCCGACAAAGGTAGCTTAGGAATTCCAGATAAATGGAACAAATGGTGGCTTGCTAGAAATGCATAGGAAACAAAATAACTATCCATAGAACCAAATTAGATCCTTATCTATATTTTTTTAAAAAGTTGCCAAACTGCTGATGCATTTCTCTACAATACTTCTTACTTTACTTTTATTAAGACTAAGAGCTTTAACTGTGAAAATGTTAATTAGCCAAATGTCTCCAATTCTCTATTAGGTTTTAAAGAATATTTTATTATACAAACTTTTCCCATAGTTTTCTCCCCTACTTAATGATTCCTTACTACATCGTTCCATAAATAACCTTTCCACATCTGTAATTTGAACTAACTTTTTGTTTTTTGTTTTTTGTTTTTGAGACGGAGTCTGGATCTGTTGCCCAGGCTGGAGAGCGGTGGCGCGATTTCGGCTCACTGCAAGCTCCGCCTGCCGGGTTCACGCCATTCTCCTGCCTCAGCCTCCCGACTAGCAGGGACTACAGGCGCCCACCACCAGGCCTGGCTACTTTTTTTAAATTTTTTTTGTAGAGACGGGGTTTCACCGTGTTAGCCAGGATGGTCTCCATCTCCTGATCTCGCGATCCGCCCGCCTCGGCCTCCCAAAGTGCTGGGATTACAGGCATGAGCCACCCCGCCCGGCCTGAACTAATTTTTGGATAACTTCTGAATTAGACAAAATTATTCTTTTTCTCACTAATAACATAACCCTTTCTGGCACATTTTGTAAACAGAATTATATGTTAAGGAGAATTCTTATCCTTGGTAACTTAAAACTTTTGTGAGACCCTAAAAAGCAAGAAATCCTCAACTATCAGATACGGGCATTTATACATAAGAACAATTCCACAATTTTAGAAACACATTTCCCCATATCACAACCCTTTCTTTTTTTTTTTTTTTTTTTTTCTGAGATAGAGTCTCGCTCTGTCGCCCAGGCTGGAGTGCAGTGGGCAATCTCGGCTCACTGCAAGCTCCACCTGCAAGGTTCATGCCATTCTCCTGCCTCAGCCTCCGGAGTAGCTGGGACTACAGGCGCCCGCCACCACGTCCGGCTATTTTTTTTTTTTTTTTTGTATTTTTAGTAGAGACGGGGTTTCACTATGTTAGTGAGGATGATCTTGATCTCCTGACCTCGTGATCCGCCCGCCTTGGCCTCCCATAGTGCTGGGATTACAGGCATGAGCCACCGCGCCCGGCCACAACCCTTTCATAATTGGAAATGACCCAGATATTAAATGAGCGTCAGAAATAACTCTAAAATTTTAATTTACACAAAAAGTTTACCTAAAATATTTATTCCATTCACTATACTCAATTCTTTCACTTTTTGTTTGTGTGTTTGTTTGTTTTTTTGAGACGGAGTCTCACTCTGTCACCAGGCTGGAGTGCAGTGGTGCGATCTCGGCTCACTGCAACCTCCGCCTCCCAGGTTCAAGCTATTTTCCTGTCTCAGCCTCCCGAGTAGCTGGGACTACAGGCACACGCCACCATGCCCAGCTAATTTTTGTATTTTTAGTGGAGACGGGATTTCACCATGTTGGCCAGGATGGTCCCAATCTCTTGACCTCGTGATCTGCCCGCGAGTAGCTGGGACTACAGGCACATGCCACCATGCCCAGCTAATTTTTGTATTTTTAGTGGAGACGGGATTTCACCATGTTGGCCAGGATGGTCCCAATCTCTTGACCTCGTGATCTGCCCGCTTCGGTCTCCCAAAGTGCTGGGATTACAGGTGTAAACCACCACCGTGCCTGGCCAATTCTTTCACTTTTAACAAGGGAGCCAGGAGACATCAATTAACATGTAAAATGAACATTGGTTAGGTCAGAAAGGCCAGGGATGCAGCTTGGGGCTTCCAGGTCACAGGTAGGTGTGAAAGGAATGGTTGCATTCTTTTGAGTTTCTGATTAGCCTTTCCAAAGAAGGCAATTAGATATGCATTTATCTCGGTGAGACTGAACAGAATATGAGGCAGGCCTTCCCCAAGCAGCTCCCAGCCCAAATCTTCTCTTCAGCCTAGTAATTTTTGGGGGGCTCAAGATATTTTCCTTTTATAAATTACTCTCATTCGTCAAAAGAAAGCACACAAACCAAGATTATTTTGTTTTGGCTGGGATTACAGTTTTATAACCTTCTATGCCAAACACTGACATCTCAAAATATCTAGCAAAGACAAACATAAAATTCAGACAAAATGTATGCTGACAGTTCCGAAGGCATTTTTATTTTTATTCCACCAATAATTTTAAAGCTAGCTTATATACACCATGGAATACTATGCAGCTATAAAAAAGAATTAGTTCATGTCCTTTGTAGGGACATGGATGAAGCTGGAAACCATCATTCTGAGCAAACTATGGCAAGGACAGAAAACCAAACACTGAATGTTCTCACTCATAGGTGGGAATTGAAGAATGAGAACACCTGGACACAGGGTGGGGAACATCACACACCCGGGCCTGTAGTGGGGTGGGGGGAGGGGGGAGGGATAGCATCAGGAGATATACCTAATGTAAATGACGAGTTAATGGGTGCAGCACACCAACATGGCACATGTATACATATGTAACAAACCTGCATGTTATGCACATGTACCCTAGCACTTAAAGTATTTAAAAAAAAAAAAGGGCTGGGCGCGGCGGCTCACGCCTGTAATCCCAGCACTTTGGGAGGCTGAGGCAGGTGGATCACGAGGTCAGGAGATGGAGACCATCCTGGCTAACACGGTGAAACCCCGTCTCCACTGAAAATACAAAAATTAGGCCGGGTTTGGTGGTTTACACCTGTAATCCCAGCACTTTGGGAGGCCGAGGTGGGCGGATCTCGAGGTCAGGAGATCAAGACCACGGTGAAACCCCGTCTCTACTAAAAATACAAAAAATTAGCCAGGCGTGGTGGCGGGCACCTGTAGTTCCAGCTACTCAGGAGGCTGAGGCAGGAGAATGGCGTGAACCCGGGAGGCGGAGCTTGCAGGGAGCCGAGATCGCGCCACTGCACTCCAGCCTGGGCAACTGAGCAAGACTCCGTCTCAAAAACAAAACAAAACAAAAACAAAAACAAACGAACAAAGTAGCTGGGCGTGGTGGCATGCACCTGTAGTCCTAGCTATTCGGGAGGCTGAGATAGGAGAATATCTTGAACCTGGGAGGCAGAGGTTACAGTAAGCCGAGATCACGCCACTGCACTCCAGCCAGGGCGACAGAGTGAGACTCTACGTCAAAAAATATATATATATAAATAAATAAAATAAAGAAAAATAAAAACAGGGTCACCATTGCTAGTTTTAATTCTTTCAGTTTAATTTTTTTTTTTTTTTTTTTTTTTTTTTTTTTTTGGAGACAGAGTCTCGCTCTGCCTCCCAGGCTGGAGTGCAGTGGCGCGATCTCGGCTCACTGCAAGCTCCGCCTCCCGGGTTCACGCCATTCTCCTGCCTCAGCCTCCCGAGTTGCTGGACTACAGGCACCTGCCACCACGCCCGGCTAATTTTTTTTGTATTTTTAGTAGAGACGGGGTTTCACCGTGTTAGCCCGGATGGTCTCCATCTCCTGACCTCGTGATCCACCCGCCTCGGCCTCCCAAAGTGCTGGGATTACAGGCGTGAGCCACCGTGCCCGGCCTTTCAGTTTAATTTTTATTGGATTTAACGGAAATAAGAAGGAAAGCAGAAAAAATTGCTAAACCTCAGAAAAAGGTTTTTTACAAGAAATATTAGTTCTTACAAGTTTCCTATAAAGTTAAGAAAAAAGGGATTTTAATAATACTAGTTGTTGTAAATAAGTGATTCAATTTTAAGCTATCAATTCACCCCTGCTGTGAAAGATACTGAAATCGGCACTCTCAAACCTCTTGATTTAATTATATTTGCATTATCATAAAGTCAGTGTGCAGGTTAGTGCAAGAGAAAATTCATGAACAGAAGGTAGATCTGAAGAAATTACCTAGAATGTAGCACAAAATGTTAAAAATCTAGAGAATCTGAGAAAAGACATGAAATAGAATGAGAAGGTCTGACACACATAGTATAAAATAGAGATTCCTGAAAGAAAGATAAAAGTTGGGAAGGGTTCTGTTATGGACTAAATTTTTGTATCTCCCAATTCATATATTGAAATCTTAACTCCCAATGTGATGGTATTAGCCTAAAGTGTTCAGTAACCTTTTAAGCTACTAGAACCTATCATCACCTCTGCCTTGTGCATGCTCTTTGGGGTGTGATGGTGAGGATCTATGTCACAGAGAGCCTCTGTCAGATTGGGTGTTTGAGGCTCTTGGTTTCTAGGCAATTTCTCTATGAAATTTTATTCTGTTTATTTGAATTCAAGGGTCTTTTATATCTTTAAAAATATGTAGAGTTTCTCCCTGCATTTTATTGCATTAGAAAGAAAATAGACTGATGGCATGTACTATTTTAAAGATTACTCTTAAAAAAAAAAAACAACAAACCTCTTGTCTTTTGAGGAGGGGATGTCTCTTTAAAAACAAATTTTCTCGAGAGAACCCTTGTTCTACATAAATAGATGACCACTCTCAGAAGCCAAGGAAGCAGTTGTTTCAGGTTCTTTCAATTTTCTTTCCAATCTCAACCGTCAGTGCACGGAGCTGTCCAAGGTTTTTATTTCTTGCCCTTCCCGTTCCTGACCCCTTTAATCATCACACAAACAGGCAGCAGAGACAAAGTAATGAAGAACACCAACTCTGGAGTCAAACAAACTGGGTTAGAGTCCCAGAGCCAGCATTCAACAGTTGTGTGATCTCGATCAAATCCTGTAACCTCTCTGGGCTTCAGTTTCTTCATCTATCAAAACAAGGATGACAGTAACAGTACCTAACCCATAGATTATCATGAGGATTTAATCAGTTACTCTTTGTAAAAGAGTTTATTACAATGCCTGGCAAATAGCAAAAAAGGAATTTTGGGGTTCCCTAGTTTCTACCATAAAAGAATTGTAGACATGGGTTATGTTGCTACTTAACAGTTTTGCTCTTGTAAATATTGCTCTGGCAATCAATACAGGATGGAGAGCAGGAGGAAGTAGAAAGAATGCTCGCAGAACTATGACTTAGGGTGTCTAGTCCTGGCTCTGCCATTAATCAGTTGTGTGACCCTTGCTAAGTTAACTGACCCCTCTGAACTCAGTTTTTTTTTTCTCTCTCTGTAAAAGGAAGGGCTTAAACTTCAGTAAATAACCGGTATGTTTTATTTAGTATTTTGCGAATCCCATTTCCAACTCTACGTTCAATCCAGTGACGGTATTTCTAGTTTATAAACTAGAAAAATAATCTTTGGCATCTGAGGGTCACAGCCGAGAGTATCTCCCTAGCAGGAGATTAGGGAGCCAGTGACAAAGTGGCACCAGGGGAACCGATGTATGCCAGGAATCCAGACAGAGGGTGACATTAGCACTTCTTTCTGCAGAACCTAAACCCTGCCCGACTCACCCGGAGGAGCTGTCACGGTGGTTTGCTGGAAACCCCCTTTCTGTTGGGAGGATTACTGGGTCACGGTTTCCCAAGGACATGGAAACCCTTGCTGAAGCGCTGGAACCGCTCGGCACGAGGCGTACGTCGGTGGGAGCTGTGTCAGCCCGCTTTCGGCCGTGTAGCTGCTCCCATCCAGACTCTAGAAGGGGTCCTCTTTGCGTCAGGCCCAATCACCCCCCTCCCCGAGCGACTGCACTGGGTGTCCCTGCGCCGCGCGTCCCCTCCCTCTCGCCCCTCCCTCCTGGCTGCCATAGAAACCAGCTTACAAGGTCCAGGCCGGCGTCCGGGTGCACTACAGGCCCCCCGTCCCTCCTTCCCCACGCCAGCCCCTCGCTCCGGATTGGTCCTTCAGGAAACGCTGTGGGGCGTCTCGGTCCCCGCTGCGGAGCCGGCCTAGGCCGGAGGGCGGGGTTTGCCCTGGGCCGCTGCCGGTCAGGTCGGCCGCCCCTGACAGCTCCGGGAGCCTCAAGCGCGACAGCGGCGCCCTCACCTCGGGACATCCACACACCGACCGCTCCTGCTCCAGAGGCAACAACCCAGCGCGCCTAGCCTGGCGCCGTGCAGCGAAGCCCAAGAGCTGGCCTCGCCACGAAGGTAAGCGAGGGGCTGGGGGACTCGCCGCCAGCACCCCCACCCCGCCACCCTTCCTCTGCTAGGCTGCAGACCTGGGTGGCTGAGGAGGAGGCGCCTCTCCTCCCCGCGACCCAAGGAAGAAAGGAAGCCCTGCCACGGGGTGTCTGCGAAGTGGGGTCAGAAGAAGGTTAGGCGCTTTCTGGGGCGTACCCCCACACCTGCCCAGGCCGATCCGCAAGCGAGAGGAGGGGGCATTAGAGCCAGGGCGAGAGCGTGCTCGCGCGTGTGTGCCCGTGTCATGTGTGGTGCCCGTGTCATGTGCGGCGCCCATGTCTATGTGCGCGCGTGTGTGCACCCATGTCTCTGTATGGTGTGGACACTCGTGTCTGCGTGCGCGTCCACACGTGAGCCGAGGAGCGCAGCTTAGCGCCTAGCGTTGCGCACAGCGGGTGCGCTGGACCAGAGCCCTAAGGCACCAGACCAAATCTGGAGCGTTTGTTACAAGGGCAGAAGACCGGCGTGATCTCCCCACGCGCGCCGGCCGGTGCTGCTGGTGGAGAGAACTGACATCTAACGCATGTGGCCCAGGAGAACAAAACCTTCCATTGCACCCCACGCCGCGACTCTCCCCAGCGAAAGGTGCTTCTTTTGGAAGACCGCACGAAGTAAGGAAGAGCCTCTTTTCCTCTTCCTGGATATCCCTCCAGGAATATTAGAAGCTCCAGGACTCCTTGATACGACCAGGAAAAGATCGCAACCGGGTCTTTAAAATATCGATTCCAGCCAGCTTCTGCGTGCTTGACACATCTTGGCAGATGGAGAAGTCAAGGCAATAGATAACATGGGCAGCAAAGATTCTGCTATAGCACTTCTTTCCTTTCTGTTTTTTCCTTCCCTCCTTCCCTCCTTTTCCCTCTTCTCCCTCCCTCCTTTCCTCCTCCTCCTCTCCCCTTCTCTTCTCCTCCTCCCTCCCTCCCTTTCTCCCTTTCTCCTCTCTTTTCCCCTTCCCTCCCCTGTTTTCGTCCTCCTGAGTACAGTAGACAAGAGGGCTCTCTGTCTACCCCCCCTCCCCCACCCCATTCCTCATCCCGTTTCAAAATAAGAGCGAATGAATCACATTCTAAGCTCTTACCCGTGCAGTTCTGACAAGTTTGGAAATTACACAAATCGCGTTTGCAATTGAGGCCGCGGGAATCCAAAAGGGAAACAAACGAAACCAGATGAAAAAAAGTGATTCCAAGTCAAGATTTCAAATGGAAATCTAAGGTGAATATTTGTTTATGGTAATAAGATTTTTTTTAATGTTTGAAAAGTATGTATCACACTAGCTTGCATCATCAGTATTCAATGTGATTCACAGAACCGCTTCAAAAGATGGTTTCTGTTAGTGTTGCAACAGCACTTCTAATTCTGGTTGTCATGGTTACTGAAGAAGTCGCCCTGCTCTATTGAGAGGCTGTCTAGTTAGAAGCAGGAACTGTTCTCCAGAGGACCTTCTCTTGTACCCTCGTTGTCACCATGGTAATAATTGAGTTTATGAAAATGTACTTACTTTTTCCCTTAAAGTACTAAAATCCCAAGGCATGTTGTTGTTTTTTTTATTTTATTTTTTCAGAGTTTGCAGTCCATGCAACACAGCTTTCCGCTCAGACAAATGAGAGTAAACACTGCCCTCCAGCAAGTTAAATGGCCCCAAATAGTCATGCTGCCCAGCTCTCTTCCCACAGCTCACTGCACGAACAGAGGACAGAGGAGGGTGTTAGATGTTCCACGAATCCTGGCCTGAGCCCAGATCGCCCTCGCCATTTAGCATTTACATTTGGAAGCCTAATTAGCTTTCTAATTAGGAGATGGGAGAATGTAGGGGGGGATTCCTGCGAGAGGCTAGTGGGGAAAAAGCTGAATCCAACTCCCCATGGACTGGTGTTTGGTGTGCCATTGAATTTGCCTAGTAAACCCTCATGGGTTTATTTTTAGCTGGACCACTGTTAAATGGTAAGCCTGGAAAAACCTTCAGAGAAGCCTCCTTCTGTGTTAGGAAAAAATGTGGATTGGATATTTGGTTTGAGGTGTGTGCTTTTTTTCTAACTACATTTAAAATAAAGACAGGTTTATATGAAATCTGAATTCCCCAGTAATAACTACAGATAGGTTATAGAGCCCTTTATATTCTTGGTTTAACCCTAGGTTTTTAGTTGAAAAGGTTTAATTTGGGGCAAGCAGTGGTACCATTTCAAATACTTTTATCAGCAAATGTTGGTTTCTTTAAAGAACCGTAATTCATTACACATCCACGATTTCTGAGCTTCAAATTCTAACATTGATAGCATGTGATTAGACAGCTTGAAGCCCTCAGACTTACAGTTTTGTTTTATTTTCTTTTCGTTTTTAGAGACTGGGTCTCGCCATGTTGCCCAGGCATGTCTCAAACTCCTGGGCTCAAGGGATCTTCCTGCCTCAGCCTCCTGAGGAGCTGGGACTACAGGTGCATGACAGACTTATCATACATTTTTAAAAAAACAAAAGCAAAGATTTTTGTCTTAGTAGGTTAATGTTTTTGTCACATATATAGTTTCATTTTGAGAAACTTAAAAATTAAAATATAACATTAAATCCAACTTCATTCTTTGAATCTGATCACTGTATTTCTCTAGGGATTAAAGAGTTTTAATTCATTGGTTGATTTTCTTTCACTTGTTGAAAGGACAAACTGTTCATAAAATTTGTTTCATTTTGTATTTTGTCATTTCCTATTGTCATTCTAGAAAAAGGTCTCTAGAATTGAAGTTTTAATTTTCAGGAGAAGAAGAAAATATTCAAATTGCTTATGAAGATAATAGTCTACAACTTGAATTAACCACATCATAGTTCTTAAATTACTTTCTCTCAAGAACTTCAAGGTTAGCTTAGCCATTATTATACAGCATCCTGAGGAATATTAATCAGTTTTACAGATGGACAAGTTGTGTTCAAAAGCCAAGTGATAGGTCGGTGCCGTGGCTCAGGCCTGTAATCCCAATACTTTGGGAGGCTGAAGCAGAAGGACTGCTTGAGCCCAGGAGTTCGAGACCAGCCTGGGCAACATGGTGAGACCTTGTCTCTATAAAAATTTTTTAAAAATTAGCTGGGTGTGGTGGTGCATGCCTGTAGTCCCAGCTACTGGGGAGACTGAGGGAGGAGGATTGCTTGAGCCTGGGAGGTTCAAGGCTGCAGTGAGCTGTGATTATGCCACTGCATTCCATCCTGGGAGACACAGAAAGACTCTGAATCCAAAAAAAAAAAAAAAAAAAGTGATTTCAGCTAACCACTTGGAAAATCGAGACAAAAATCTAAATTGTCTGACATGAGCATTATGAATATGAGCATTAGCCAAGACTTAAGAGAAATTCAGGGCATGGATAGCGGGAAGAATTTAAGATTAGAGAGCAAAATAAAACTGTTAAGGGGAAAAAACTGTAAGGAGAAAGCAGATTAATAGAAAGAAAGTAAAAGCGAAAACATCAAGTGAAAAGAGGGTTGCACAGAAGGAAAACGAAGTTGCAGAATAGGAAACTAAGAAGAACTCCACTCTTCATCTTCCACAGAGAACACTGATGGTTTTCCAGAAAGCAGTCAGTACCCTATTTAGCAAAATCGTGTGACTTGGGAGGCCTTAGCGGCAGATCTTAGTTCATTCTGACTCCCTGCCACCCATCCAAGTGGTGTGGGCTGAGGCAGCTGTCTTTTCGGGTCTCCTGAACTAGCTGCTCATTAGATCTTTTCTCCCTAATCCTAAAGCCATCAAGAAGCTTTCTGTGTCTCTATTTGTTGGAATTATCTAGTTGGGATAATATATGGATACACTTGATTACATAATTGCACTGAAATTTTTCTTTTTACTTTAAAAAATTGTTCAAATTGTTATCATCACAATGCATTCACCTAATTTTATGAGAGTATATTAAAAGCTTATAACTGGCTGGGCGCGGTGGCTTACGCCTGTAATCCCAGCACTTTGGGAGGCCGAGGTGGGTGGATCATGAGGTCAGGAGATCGAGACCATCCTGGCTAACACAGTGAAACCCTGTCTCTACTAAATATACAAAAAAAAAAAAATTAGCCAGGTGTGGTGGTGGGCGCCTGTAGTCCCAGCTACTCGGGAGGCTGAGGCAGGAGAATGGCTTGAGCCTGAGAGATGGAGCTTGTAGTGAGCCGAGATCGCGCCACTGCACTCCAGCCTGGGCGACAGAGCGAGACTCTGTCTCAAAAATAAATAAATAAATAAATAAAAAATAAAAGCTTATAACTAAAACAACAGTCCCAGTCTCCAGAGGCAATCATTTTGAACTCTTGGCTGTTTGATCACTTACCTCCCTATGTCCAAATAATTAGCTTATGTTGCTGTTTTTTCTTTTTTTCTTGAGACAGGTTCTCACACTGTTGCCCAGGGTAGAGTACAGTGGTGTGATCATGGCTCACTGCAGCCTTAAATTCCTGAGTTCAAGCAATCCTTCCCCCTCAACCTCTTGAGTAGCTGGGGCTATAGGTGCACGCTACCATGCCCATGCCCAGCTTTTTTTTTTTTTTTTTTTTTTTGGTAAAGACAAGGTTTCACTATGTTGCCCAGCCTGGTCTCAAACTCCTGGGCTCAAGCAATCCTCTCACTTTGGCCTCCCAAAGTGCTGGGATTACAAGCATGAGCCACCATGCCTGGCCACTGGTTCTTGATTTATCAATTTTGGACAGAATCTATTGACTTATTTATTTTTATGTTTTATTTAGAGGCAGGATCTCACTCACCTAGACTACAGTGCAGTGGTACAATCATAGCTCACTGCAGCCTAGAACTTCTGGGCACAAGTGATCCTCTCATTTCAGACTCCAGAGTAGCTGGGACTACAGGCATGCACCATCATGTCCAGCTAAGTTTTTTATTTTTGTAGAGTTGTCGGTGGTAGGGGGGGCGGGCCTCTCTATGTTGCCCAGGCTGGTCTTGAACTCCTGGCCTCAAGCCATCCTTCTGCCTTGGCCTCCCAAAGTGCTGGGATTACAGGCGTGAGCCACCACGCCTGGCCAAATTAGTTCTATTCTTGGCTAATAAAATACACCTTAGTCATTTTTAATCATGAAGATTTTTAAAGAGCCTTTTAAACTTTTTGGAAATTTGAAATGTAGCCAAATACTCCCTCAGATGTAATCAACAGCGCCAGCCCTTGAGCTCCTACAGAACACAGAGGTACTGATTTTTCCACCCTTTATACTGCCTCAATTTCCATGATCCATACTCCATACCCCCTCTCCCATTTTACCATTTCCCTGACCTACATTTCTCTATCTTTCAGTACTTGCTGAATCACACCTGGAAATTCCTTCAGGCCTTATCTCCTTCCAGATGTTCTCTTTTGGGCCCCACCCTGTCTGTACCTATCTCTAGTTTAGCCTTTGGCCATTATATTTAGACGATCTGTTTATGCATCTACCTTGCCCCACTAGCTGTAGATTTAGTTATATCTACATTGTTCCTGGGGGTAACTTGTACACTTAAACATGGAGGACGGAGCTTAAAAATAATGTTTGTTGAACTGAACACGTCATCTTGATATTGAAGGAGTATTCCATAGTAGAGTAAGAGGGGTAGCAACCTCACATTGCTTAGAGTAGGGGTGAGGGCAAGGAAGTAGGGGGAAAACATAATCTATTTCTTTTCTTTTCTTTTTTCCGATGGAGGAGTCTTGCTCTGCACCCGCACCTGGCCAATATGATTTCTTTCTTTCTTTCTTTCTTTCTTTCTTTCTTTCTTTCTTTCTTTCTTTCTTTCTTTCTTTCTTTCTTTCTTTCTCTTTCTTTCTTTCTTTCTTTCTTTCTTTCTTTCTTTCTTTTCTTTCTTTCCTTTCTTTCTTTCTCTCTTTCTCTCCTTTCTTCCTTCCTTCCTTACTTCCTTCCTCCCTTCCTTCCTTTCTGTCTTTCTGTCTTTCTTTCTTTCTGTCTTGCTCTCTCTCTCTCCCCCTTCCTCCCTCCCTCCCTCTCGAGCTCGCTCTCTTTCTTTCTTTCCTACTTTCCTTCCTTCCTTCTTTCTTTCCTTCTTTCTATAGTGAAAACTGTCTTTATTTTTATTGCCTTTTATTTTCAACAATGATTACTTGAACTTAAAAAAAAAAGAGCGGACTTTATTAAGTAATGATTACTGAAAAGCCAAACCTTTCCAGCCCACTTCATATTGTCTTTTAACCATTTCAGAACACGATCTATTTCTTATCCTCCTACTTTCTAGCAGCATCTGTTTAGAGGGGATTGCCTGTGGCACACACAGCTCCTGCTCATGAGACAAGGTGAAGAAGCCTCATCTGTTTTGTGTGAAGCACAGACCCTGAGGTCAGACAGTCTTGGGCTTGAAATTAAACTTGGATGTTAATTGCCTGTATGGCTTTGGACAAGTTACCAAGTCCTTCTGAAGTTTAGTTTCTTCATCTGAAAAATGAGGATAATAGCAGGCACCTTTTAGGGCTGTTGTAAAGATTTTTAAAAATATGTATAAAGGGCCAAGCACGGTGGCTCACACCTGTAATCCCAGCACTTTAGGAGGCCAAGGTGGGTGGATCACCTGAGGTCAGGAGTTCGAGACCAGCCTGACCAATATGGAAAAACCCCATCTCTACTAAAAATACAAAATTAGCTGGGCATGGTGGCACGTGCCTGTAATTCCAGCTACTTGGGAAGCTAAGGCAGGAGAATAGCTTGAACCCGGGAGGCAGAGGTTGCAGTGAGCTGAGATTGTGCCATTGTACTCCAGCCTGGGCAACAAGAGTGAAGCTCTGTCTCCAAAAAAAAAAAAAAAATATATATATATATATATATATATATATATATATGAAAAATGTATATATCTATAAATGAAATGCCATCTCTACTAAAATATATATATATATGTATAAAGTAGTTGAAATGAAATAATGACTAGTCTTCTAAGTTAGGTACGCTTTGGCCTGCAGTTAACTAAAGAATCTTCCTGCTTAGCTAGAAGTTTATTTTTCTTGCAGAAGAAGAGGTCTAGATAAGCAATTAAGAGCTTTGTTTTAGCTGCCATCAGAGACCTAGTTTATTCCTATCTTTCTGTTCTGCTATCCATCCTTTTGCCCTCATATTTATCACTTCATGGTCTCTAGGTGGCTACTACTCCTCTGTAAGTTCCACAGGGGAAGGAAATGAAAGGAGCTGCTCCAGCTGCAACTATCCTCTTTCAACAGGAAAGCACTAATTATCAGAAACACCACACTAAGGTCTTACTGGCCAAAACTGTGTCTCAGAGCTATCCCTATCTTTGAGGGAGAAAGGGAAACTGGGATCGCCAGCTACTATAACAGAAGGCAAAGAAAGGAGAAGAGAGTTAGTAGTGACGTTGAGTGAGCCAGGCTGCAGTGATGTCTGCCACACTATCACTTATTGATAGGGTGGCCATATGTCCCAGTTCGTCAGTGCAACCCCGGTTTACACCTGTTGTCCTAGTGTGATTGTTATTATTATTTTTTGAGACAGAGTTTTGTTCTTGCCCAGGCTGGAGTGCAATGGTGTGATCTCGGCTCACTGCAACCTCTGCCTCCCGGGTTCAAGTGATTCTCCTGCTTCGGCCTCCTGAGTAGCTGGGATTACAGGCATGTGCCATCACGCATGCTCAGCTAATTTTGTATTCTTAGCAGAGACGGGGTTTCTTGGCCAGGCTGGTCTCGAACTCCTGACCTCAGGTAATCTGCCCACCTCGGCCTCCCAAAGTGCTGGGATTACAGGCCTGAGCCACTGCACCCGGCCGTCCTAGTGCAATTATTAATAGCACCCCATTCTCAGAGGTGTCTTGGTTTGAATGACAGATTCTATGTTCACCCTTCTTATTGAGCACTTGCTATTTATTGTAGGCTCTCATTAAGTAGTAGTTATTTTATTTTATTTTATTTTTTGAGATGGAGTCTCACTCTGCCTCCCAGGCTGGAGTGCAGTGACGCGATCTCGGCTCACTGCAAACTCCGCCTCCCAGGTTCACGCCATTCTCCTGCCTCAGCCTCCCGAGTAGCTAGGACTACAGGTGCCCGCCTCCATGCCCGGCTACTTTTTTGTATTTTTAGTAGAGACGGGGTTTCCCCGTGTTAGCCAGGATGGTCTTGACCTCCCGACCTCGTGATCTGCCCGCCTCAGCCTCCCAAAGTGATGAGATTACAGGCGTGAGCCACTGCGCCCGGCCAGTAGTAGTTACTAAGACAGCTAGAACACAACCGTAAGATACACAACAAGTCAAGTTTACATGCAGTGATTGCTTGTGTAGTACAGGCAGGAGGTACACTGAGTTTACAAGGGAGAGGAATGAGTGTGAATTGACAAAGAGTTGAGGTCAGCTGGTCCGGATGGAGAGGAAATAATATGGGGAAATTGTAACACCAAGGCGAGAGAAGTAACTGGGTTGGACCCAGTTTAAAATATGCAAAAGTGGCTGGGCGCGTTGGCTCAAGCCTGTAATCCCAGCACTTTAGGAGGCCGAGTCGGGTGGATCATGGGGTCAGGAGTTCAAGACCAGCCTGGCCAAGATGGTGAAACCCTGTCTCTACTAAAAACTACAAAAATTAGCCAGGCACGGTGACAGGCTCCTGTAATCCCAGCTACTTCAGAAGCCAAGGGAGGAGAATTGCTTGAGCCTGGGCGGCAGAGGTTGCAGTTAGCCAAGATGGCGCCGCTGCACTCCAGCCTGGGCAACAGAGCCAGACAACATCTCAAAAAAAAAAAAAAAAAATTCATGCCTGTAATCCCAGCACTTTGGGAGGCCAAGGCGGGCGGATCATAAGGTCATGAGATCGAGACCATTCTGGCTAACACGGTGAAACCCTGTCTCTACTAAAACTACAAAAAATTAGCTGGGCATGGTGGCGGGCGCCTGCATTCCCAGCTACTGGGGAGGCTGAGGCAGGAGAATGGCGTGAACCTGGGAGGCGGAGCTTGCAGTGAGCGGAGATGGAACCACTGCACTCCAGCCTGGGTGACAGAACAAGACTCCGTCTCAAAAAAAAAAAAAGGAAAAGTACACAGTTGATATGCCAGGGACTTTTCTTTGAAGACTAACAACAAAGTTTTCATGCTGCCTTTGTTTGAATGATGAACACTTTGTAATATGAGGTACAATGCTAAGATATGATTGGATCTAAGAGCATTCTTAGAACTGATGACACAAAATAAAACAGCCATTCATATTTGTGAAGCCAAATATATTTTTTTTTGCTGTTAGAAAGCCTACCACAAAAGTTTAACATGTGAGAAGAAAGATATTTTTCTGACCGGGCGTGGTGGTTCATGCCTGTAATCCCAGCACTGTGGGAGGCTGAGGTGGGTGGATGATGAGGTCAAGAGATTGAAACCATCCTGGCCAACATGGTGAAACCCCGTCTGTACTAAAAATACAAAAATTAGCTGGGCGTGGTGGCACGCACCTGTAGTCCCAGCTACTCAGGAGGCTGAGGCAGGAGAATCACTTGAACCCTAGAGGCAGAGGTTGCAGTGAGCTGAGATCGTGCCACTGCACTCCAGCCTGGTGACAGAGCGAGACTCCCTCTGAGCGAGACTCCCTCTCAAAAAAAAAAAAAAAAAGAAAGATATTTTTCTAAATTATTCTCTTGAGCCTATAGTAGATTGTGACCTTGAGCTATTTGATAATAAATCCTCCTCTATCAAGAGAAAATATTTGCAGCTTCCAAATTTTCTTTTGAGTTAATATTAAAGGAAAACATTTATGGTCATTAATTTTTTTTCTTAGCTTGACTTTTAAATCCCCCCAATTTTTTTTTATTTTTATTTTTCAGAAACAGGATCTCCCTCTGTCATGCAGACTGGAGTGCAATGGCATGGGCATAATTCACTGTAGCCTCAAACCCCTGGGCTCAAGAGATCCTTTCTCCTCAGCCTCCCAAAGTGCTAGGATTATAGGTGTAAGCCACTGTGCCTAGCCCCCAAATTTGTTTTAGATATTTATTCATTCTGTTAGGCTGGTTGGTGAGCTGATATAGCTGAAAGAGACAAAGTAAAGACATTTGGTCCTAGTCTCATCCCTGCCACTGTCTCTTTACCCCTCTGGGTCTGTTTATTCCAATACAAAATGCGAGATTAAAAAATCCTACAAGCCCCTCCCCAGTGGACTCCTAAAAGTCCCCTAGTGTGCTTGGGTAATCAAGGGAAACTGAATCAGCCAGTCGGCTTGGAGCCTCAGGTTAATTTGGTTTAGCCAAGTATTAAGAAGTAAGATTGCAGAGGAAAACTGAGATAAGACCCTGAAGTGCCTCACATCCAGCTAAGTAAATTGCCATTTGTTTTTGCCATTTACTAAGCAGCGCTGAAGAAAAAGGTCAGTGTGAAAACGGGTGTGCTGGAACGGTCAGAAGGAGGAAAGACTGACAAGGGATAAAAATACTTGTTTTATTCTGAGTTTTGAGTTATTTTACAATGTTCAGTGACCTCACAACATACCTGGTTCAAATTGCAGAGTAGTAGACCCTAGAAAGCCTCACTGCCACGCTCAGCTTACCTGCTGCTGGCTCCATGTCCTGAGATTTTCAATGGCGCCTCACAATTCTCATCATCTAGACACAATCTATTGCTGGTTGCTCTTCAGCTCCAGCCTTTCGATGACTGTTTTGCTTCTGCTGGAATGTTTGTTGGTAGCCTTTAGTTTTGCTCCTAACCGCCTTCCACCATCCCCCCAGCCCCACCGCCCCGCCATAGCTCCTTCACTACTTAGCAGCTGCACAAGAAGACCTCCCTCCTAGGCTCCACTCAGTTCCCAAGAAGAGCAATTCTTACTGCTCTAGGATTAAATTTATGCTACTGCTATTAACATTTTAGGATATCTATAGTGTTAAATCAAGTTCAGCCTAAAGCTGCCTCCCTACATATTTTGAGTTTGGCCTAAAAGTTTCTCTGTACATTGTGAACTACAACCTAAATGCAGTTGTTAACGGACTGAAGCCTACTTTTGTGCCAGTCACCGAGTTTTGGCCAATGAAAGGTGGCCAACTGTTCAAACCATGTTCAAATAAGGCAAACGTTGAACTGTGACGAATCCGGCTGTTTTTGTACCTCACTTCCATTTTCTGTGCATCACTTTTCTTTTTCTGTCCATAAATCTTCCACCACTTGGCTGTGCTGGAGTCTCTGAGCCTACTCTGGCTTGGGAGGCTGCCCAATTCATGAATAATTGTTTGCTCAGCTAAACTCTGTTAAACTTAATTTGGCTAAGGTTTTTCTTTTAACAATAGTCATATAGTACACTAATCTGTGGTGTTTCTTTATTGAACTATGGTGACATTACCAGAGCTAGTCTCAACTTTCCATAAAAAATCCCTCCTTTGGCTGGGCACAGTGGCTCACGTCTGTAATCCCAGCACTTTGGGAGGCCGAGGCAGGCAGATCACCTGAGGTCAGGAGTTCAAGACCAGCCTGGCCAACATGGTGAAACCCCGTCTCTACTAGAAATACAAAAATTAGCTGGGCATGGTGGCAGGCACCTATAATCCCAGCTACTCGGGAGGCTGAGGCAGGAGAATCACTTGAACCCAGGAGGCAGAAGTTGCAATGAGCTGAGATCTCGACACTGCACTCCAGCCTGGGCAAGAAGAGTTAAACTCCATCTCCAAAAAAAAAAAGTGGTGTAATTTGTGTATTTACTATCACTGATAGTTCCAATGGTTTTTTTTTTTTTTTTTTTTTGAGACGGAGTCTCACTCTGTGGCCCAGGCTGGAGTGCAGTGGCTCGATCTCAGCTCACTGCAACCTCCGCTTCCTGGGGGGTTCAAGAGATTCTCCTGCCTCAGCCTCCTGAGTAGGATTACAGGCACGTACCACCACTCCTGGCTAATTTTTGTATTTTTAGTAGAGATGGAGTTTCACCATATTGGCCAGGCTGGTCTCGAACTCCTGACCTCAAGTGATTCGCCCACCTCAGCCTCCCAAAGTGCTGGGATTACAGGCGTGAGCCACCACACCCAGCCTGATAGTTCCAATGGTTAATTCAAAAACAAGGCACAGTCCAGGAGTGGTGGCTCACGCCTATAATCCTAGTGCTTTGGGAGGCCGAGGCGGGTGGATCACCTGAGGTCAGGAGTTCAAGACCAGCCTGGCCAACTTGGCAAAATCCCGTCTCTACTAAAAAAATACAAAAAATTAGGCGGGCATGGTGGTGGGTGCCTGTAACCCCAGTGACTTGGGAGGCGGAGGAACAAGAATCAGTTGAACCCAGGAGGCGGAGGTTGCAGTGAGCCAAGATGGTGCCACTGCAGTCCAGCCTGGGCAACAGAAAGAGGCTCTGTCTCAAAAAAAAAAAAAAAGTCACAGCTGGGTGTGGTGGCTCACGCCTGTAATCCGAGCACTTTGGGAGGCTGAGGCGGGTGGATTACTTGAGCCCAGGAGTTTAAAACCAATGTAAGCAACATGGCAAAATCAAATATACAAAATTTAGCTGGGTGAGGTGGCGCTCGCCTGTAGTCCCAGCTACTTGGGAGACTGAGGTGGGAGGATCTCTGGAGCCCGGGAGGTCGAGGCTGCAGTGAGCTGTGATTGCACCACTGAACTCCAGCCTAGGTGACAGAGGGAGACCCTGTCTCAAAAAAACACGAACAACAACAACAAAAAAACAAAAACAAGGCATGTCAAAGAATCTTCCTTTCTAATTCTCCTGCCTGCTCTTGCTACTGTCACTGACTTATGCCATCCCAGGCTGATGCTGGACTTCATGGCAGTGGCCTGTTTCGTAGTGTTAGGTTCCACTGCACACCAGAGGGAGGCAGCAAGTGGAATTGGGTGAAACTGGACCCCAGACTGGCCTTGTCACTCACTAGCTCTCTGAGTTTGGACAAATGTCTCATCCTCTTTAGTAATCTCATCAAGGCAGTGAGAATTTTAATATCTATCTTATAGAGTTTGTTGTAATGGTTAAATTAGTCACATAAGCATATGCAGCACAATGTCTGATGTACAGTAAGTGCTTAATAAAAGTAGCTTTTAGTATACTTTCCCTGTTACACTGAATAAAATGCTAGCAACACTACTCTAACACCAACTAAAACAATGGCTACTTCCATCTGGGTGTGATGGCTCATGCTTACAATCTCAGCACTTTGTGAAGCCAAGGTAGTGGGGACCACTGGAGCCCAGGAGTCAAGACCAGCCTGGGCAACATAGCAAGACTCTATTTCTACAAAAAATACAAATTAAAAAAAATGGCTACTCTCAAATGTCCTTCAAAAAGTGTTACTGCTTTGTGGTTTACATTATATCACCTTTCACAAATTGTGTTTTACTTCTTGTTTGCTTGTTTTTGTTTTGTTTTGTTTTGTTTTGAGACGGAGTCTTGCTCTGTTGCCCAGGCTGGAGTGTAGTCTTGCGATCTTGGCTCACTGCAAGCTCCACCTCCCGGGTTCACGCCATTCTCCTGCCTCAGCCTCCCGAGTAGCTGGGACTACAGGTGCCAGCCACCACGCATGGCTGATTTTTTGTATTTTTAGTAGAGACGGGGTTTTACTGTGTTAGCCAGGATGGTCTCGATCTTCTGACCTTGTGATCCGCCCGCCTCGACCTCCCAAAGTGCTGGGATTACAGGCATGAGCTTCCGCGCCCGGCCTGCTTGTTTTTACTACTACTATTTATTTGGTGCCTACCATATCCTAGGTTGCACTACATACTAGGGAATATTGAAAATATGAAGATAAATCAGCAGGTCAGTCTCAGAGAGGCTAAACATAATGAGAATATAAATTTATACTCTGTCGGTTCAAAGTGTGAGCAGAGTTCAGTGGAAATACTGAGATGGAGCAATTAACTCTGGGTAAGTAAAGAAAAGAAAATACCGCCGGGCGGGGTGGCTCTATGCCTGTAGTCCCATCACTTTGGGAGGCCCAGGAGTTCAAGACCAGCCTGTGCAACATATTGAGACCTTGTCTTTACTAAAATTTTTTAAAAATTAGCCAGGAGGGGTGGTGCGTTCCTGTAGTCCCAGTTACTTGGGAAGCTTAAGGGAGAAGGATTGCTTGAGCCCAGGGATCAAGGCTGTAGTGAGCCATGATTGTGCCGCTGCACTCCAGCATGGGTGACAGAGTGAGACCCTGCCTCAAAAAAAAAAAAAAAAAAAAAATAGGTTGGGGGAGAAAAAAAGAAAATCCAAGAAAGTAAATTAGGAGGGTCTTGAAGGCTGAATAAGAAACGAGCAAGTGCTAGTCCTGGCCTCCCTGGTGCAGCGCACTCCCTGCCTGCTGCAGCCTGACTCGGCCCCCCAGTCTCCCAAGGCCACTCCCCCAGGTATGGCACAGGGCCTCGCCTCACTAAGGCAGCAGCACAGCACACTTGACTTCATGCTTGGCACCAAAGCTGATGGTGAGACCATTCTAAAAGGCCTCCAGTCCATTTTCCAGGATCAGGGGATGGTGGAGTTGGTGCACACCTGGAAGGACCATGGCTATTTAGCAACATGCACAAACAAGAACGGCAGCTTTGCCAATTTGAGAATTTACCCACATGGATTGTGTTGCTGGATCTTCAGAGTTACAATGGTGATGCACAAGGCAAAGAAGAGATCGACGGTATTTTGAACAAAGCGGAATTGAGTCAGGACAGTACTGGGCGGGTAAAACAATTACCACCTAAGTTCGAGGAGGAGCCATCAACAGATATTGGCCCATTACCTATGGGCGCCTGGTTGAATATGACATAGATTGAGGTGGTGTATGATGAAGATTCATCTTATCAAAATATAAAAATTCTACACTCGAAGCAGTTTGGAAATATTCTCATCCTGAGTGGGGATGTTAATTTGGCAGAGAGTGATTTGGCATATACCTGGGACATCATGGGAAGTGGCAAAGATTACACTGGCAAAGATGTACTCATTCTGGGAGAGAGAGATGGGGGCATATTGTGTGAAATAGTCAAACTAAAACCAAAGATGGTCACTATGGTAGAGCTTGACCAAATGGTGATCAATAGATGAAAGAAATATATGCGAAAAACGTGTGGCGATGTCTTAGACAATCTTAAAGGAGACTGCTATCAGGTTCTAATAGAAGACTGTATTCCGGTACTGAAGAGGTACACCAAAGAAGGGAGATAATTTTATTATGTGATTAATGATTTAACAGCTGTTCCAATCTCCATGTCTCCAGAAGAAGATTCCACATGGGAGTTTCTCAGACTGAATCTTGACCTCTCAATGAAAGTATTGAAACAGGATGGGAAATACTTTACACAGGGGAACTGTGTCAATCTGACGGAAGCGCTGTTGCTCTATGAAGAACAGCTGGAGAATTCTTCATAGAACAGTTGCTCTATGAAGAATTGTTCTGCGGAATTCTCAAAGGAGATCGTCTGTGTCCCTTCATACTTGGAATTGTGGGTATTGTACACTCTTTGGAAGAAAGCTAAACCTTAAAGATGAATAGCCCCTAACCACATGTGTTGCAAATAGCCTTCCTGACCTCCATATGCTGTACATGACATCAGAATGAGTCAGGCAATTGATTGTGAATTCCTCAAAGTTTTCCTTTTTTTAAACTATTATTTTTAATTTTAAAAAGCAAATGGAAAATCTGTATTTTGATGAGCTTATGGTGTTATTTTTTTGAAAGTCAGCTGAAGGATGGTTAGACAGCACAGCGAAGACTGCTGAATGCACTGACCCCCCCTGGAATGTGATTTTTGTTCCTTTTTATTTCAATGTGGGCTTTTGTTTTTGTTTTTGTTTTGGTAGATCTTCAGTTTGAATGTTTGGAGGAATGAACATCGTTGTTTTGTGCTGAAGGAAAGATCTTGATGGTGTTTCTTTCCCCAATAATTGACTTAGATATTAAAATTTGGTGCTTTCAAGAGAGAGTTAAAAAAATGAATAGGAATTGCTTCAATTAAATTACAAAAGAGAGAAAAAAAAAGAAAAAAGCAAGTGTGGTTGTGTGCAGTGGCTCATGCCTGTAATCCCAACACTTTGGGAGGCCGACGCGGGCAGATCACAAGGTCAGGAGTTCGAGAACAGCCTGACCAATATGGTGAAACCCTGTCTCTATTAAAAATACAAAAATTAGCCGGGCGTGGTGGCAGACACCTGTAGTCCCAGCTACTCGGGAGGCTGAGGCAGGAGAATCGCTTGAACCAGGAAGTGGAGGTTGCAGTGAGCCGAGATCACGCCACTGCATTCCAGCCTGGGCGACAGGGCAGGACTCTGTCTCAAAAAAAAGAAAAAAAAAAGAAAAAAGAAAAGAGCAAATGTGTTCCAGTTAGGGGAAACTGGGTATGTAGAGCCACATGGGCATGAAAGGACATGTTATGATAGGGGAAATAAAACTTAAGGAATAAATGGTATAATTGAAGCAGATCTCAGAACTTTCCTTGAGGCTGGATATTTAACTGCAAGTCTTTGATCTTTGGGGGAAAGGGACTAGAGATGGTTGGAATCCTGGGTAAACACTGACCTTTTAGTATTCTAGAGGTGAGATTTAATTCACTGCTAATTAGTGTTGGTTTTGGCTCCCCTAGGGAAGTGTAAACATAAAGAAGGCAAGGAGCAGGAACTCGGGCAAAGGCAAGTCCATGGGTGTGTACATTTCCAGAACTACTTGGAGAAATTGAGAAGTGCAAAGAAGGTCTTGAAAATAGAACAGGAATTATGTCTCATGCTTTAAAATAAAGTAAATTCTGCTGGAAGCGACTAACACATCACACCCTAAAAATAAAAACAGAGGGAAAATGGAGCCTCTTTTACTGTTGGTGTGATCATTTTAACCTCAGCAGCCTTCCAAGGGAAAACCATAATCAGGTTGTTTTTATTGTCTGCAGGCTGGAGCAAATGCTGGTTTGTAAACATTGTAATGCCTCCAACTCAATAGCCTTAAGAATGTCTACCCGCATTTGAGGTATGCTTCACTGGGAGCCGTAAGAGTGTTGTGCAAAAGCAATGGGGCAGCTCATCAAACCCGCAGTGTTTCAGAAATTTTCCAGCTAGAGAGGTGCTCTGGTTTAGGGGCACATTGAACAAACTTGCCTTTGTTTCAGGAGAAAACACTGGAAAGGGTTTTGCTTTTTTTGTTTGGTTGCTTTTAAATTTTTGCCTTTTATTTTTCTTCATAGAACAGTTGTTTGTGGTGATTTTTTTTTTCAACCAAAAAAGGATGTTTATGAGAGAAGTATCTATTTCTGTATCTTCTGGTATCCATGCTACCTTTATTTATTTATTTTAATTTTATTTTATTTCTTTTGTTTTTTGAGACACAGAGTCTCGCTCTGTTGCCCAGGCTGGAGTGCAGTGGCGTGATGTCAGCTCACTGCAAACTCCACCTCCCAGGTCCAAGTGATCCTCCCACCAAAGCCTCCAGAGTAGCTGGGATTATAGGCGCCACCACGCCCAGCTAATTTTTGTATTTTTAATAGAGATGGGGTTTCACCACGTTAGCCAGGCTGGGCTCGAACTCTTGACATCAAGTGATCCATCCACCTGGGCCTCCCAAAGTGCTGGGATTACAGGCATAAGTCACCACACCCGGCCCCGTGCTACCTTTAAAAACATCTGAACAATTCAAATCAATTCAGCCAGTGGTTACAGACTCTTCCCTGGTGCCCAGAATCTGAAATGAGTAAGATTGAGGACTTGCCCCACAGAAACGCACATTACAGTGGGGAGGACAAGTATGTACACAGTAACTGAAACACCAGACAGGATTTGAAGATGTTGGAAATACCAGAGGAAAAGCTGAATTCCGCTTAGGGTATTAGAAAGAGAAGAGAACCAGAGGGGAGGGGAAGGGAGGAGAGAGGAAGGGAGGAGAGGGGAGGGGAGGAGAGGGGAAAATTTAAGCTGAATTTGAATAATAGGTAGAATTTCAACCATTAGATCGTTGTGGTAAGAAAAGGAATAAAATTAATCTCTTGTAAAACAAGAATTTAAAACAAATTTTGTGCTCAGTAACAAAGTAAAACCAGTTTTTATTATTTATTTATCCATTCCATAAACATATATTGAGTATCTATGAGGTGCCAGGCACTGTTTAGAGATAGAGATGCATAAAATATCTTCCCTGCCCTCAGGTGAAGAGAGATGTGCACATAAAAACTTATACTACAGAGAGTCAATTATCAACAGAGGGGTGCATAAAATACTCTGGGGCACCACGGACTGGAGGGAGTCAGAGACTTCACAGAGGGACAGAGACTTGGAGGTTCAGCGGGGTATGGGTTGAGGAAAACATTATATGCAGGGGGAATGTCATGCATTGTCATGTACAAAGACATAGAAGCATGAAACTGCATGGGATTGTAGGCGAGCCAAGGGGAAATTTCCCTTCACCCTCTGCAGGTTCACTGAAAAGTCACTGACATGAAGCAGATTAATAGGAGAAAAGGCATGCAAATTTGTTTAACATGTATGCACGGAGGCTTCAGAATTAAGACCCAACCCCCCAGTGAGGTACAGAAGCTTATCTACCATCACATCTTGATGTTACAGAAAGAATGGGGACTTGGAGCTGGGTGTGGTAGCTCACGCCTGTAATCCCAGCACTTTGGGAGGCCAAGGCAGGCGGATCACTTGAGGTCGGGAGTTGGAGACCAGCCTGGCTAACATGGTGAAACCCCCATCTCTACACAAAATACAAAAATTAGCCAGGCATGATGGCAGGTGCCTGTAATCCCAGCTACTCAGGAGGCTGAGGCAGGAGAATCACTTGAACCCAGGAGGCAAAGGTTGCAGTGAGCCGAGATTGCGCCACTGTACTCTGGACTGGGTGATAGAGCGAGAACCTTTCTCAAAAAAGAAAAAGAAAAGAAAGAGGAAAGAAAGAAAGAAGACTTGGATCCTGGCAAAAGAGATTATGGGAGGGGGGTGGAAAGGAATTCTGTTAAGGGGCAATGAACCAATAGGGAACAGAGATTAACTTGTAAATAGGTCTCTTTGACAGTGAAAGGTTCTGGTCTGCTCAGTTGTGGTTACATTCTTACTCTTGTAGTGGGGAAGAAAAAACAGTTGTTTTCCTTGGGTCTGCATCTTAGGCAGATAGGAACTTCAGCTTTCCCAAAGAAGTTGTCTGTCTAAGATCCACACCCACCAAGGTCTTTGGGAACGACCATGGGGACTGGGGGGAATGTCAGTGAGACCTTGCGGTTTCTTCAGTTCAGCATGTCAATATATCATATTCTGGAATATTGGCTGCTAAGCCCCAACAGGATGTTTGTGAGACCTCAAGTACTTGGAGACATCTCAAATATAGGGCATATGGAGGGGGGTAAGTGGGAACAGGGGAGATGAGAAATGAAGCTAGAAATAAAGCCAAGAACTAGATCTTGAGGAGCTTTCTAGACCATGCAATGGAAATCTAATTTTATCCTACAGACATTTTAATGAAGGATTTTAAGCAGGACAGTACTGTGGTAAAATCTACATTTTGGAATAATCACACAAGTGGTTTGCTGGAGAATAAAATTGAGCTGGGAATAAAATTAAGATGGGAAGTAGGGAAGCCTGCTAGAAGGTTCTTAAAGCCACCTAGGCACAGAATGGGATTAAGACCCTTCATCAAACCACACATGCAACTCAAAATTCAAGCAAAGCTAACCATATAAGACTAACAAAAACAAAATTCGGATTTTTCTTAGGATGATTACCTAGATGCATTGAGAAATATATATATTGAATATAAAAGTATTTTAAGACTTTTATTTCCGCCTCTCTTGGATGCGCCTGGTCTGCTGGTGCCTTAAAGCATGTGCATCTCTACCTACTGTGGGATCCCAGGATGGAAATGTAAAAGGATTGGGGTGGTGTGGAAGTGGGAGGATCAACAGGATTGGGTGAGGGGAAGGTAGAGGACAGGAATGGCACCTAGGTTTCCTGCTTGGCCAACGGATCGCACATCATTTCTGGGTTTCTGTTCCTTATCCTTCCCAACACATGGCAGAGGTCTCCTCCCAGACAGGAATGGTCCCAACCTGTTCCTGTTGCAGAGGCCCTCTATCCTTTGAGCTTAGTCCAGGCTCCAATAGGGATTTTTAAATACTCTCACGTGAGGACCAAAAATAAATCCCTCCACAGTCTTTAAAATGCTCAGGACCAGAGTCAGCCTGTAACATACCATGGTTTCAGCACCGTCGTCATGAGGCTCCAGAAGCAACCCTGGGGCTCAGGAGAGGAGGGCTCAGCAGGACTCCCTCATTCCTTCCTCCCATCTCTAGTCCTCCTCCTTTTAGTGGCTCCTGTGTACAAAGATAACTCAGTCCCCTCAGTCACTCTGGGACTGTGGCTCAGTGACAAAAGCAGAAGATGCAGCCTGATAGAGACACCAACTCTAAACGTCTGGGAACAAGGCCCCAGGCAGCAGCTAAATATATCACTGCGATTGCTCCTGAATGTTCTAGAGCACCAAAGACTCTGTTAGGAAGCATATTCTCACCATGCACTTGGGTCTAGTGTTCATTGCACTGTTTCCTTTCAAGAGCCTCAAAGCCCTAACTTCAAGAGCAAACAAAAGCAAATTTAGAATGTGTACCAGATATATTCTCAATTATAGCTTCAGCTTCCCCTCTGTGTTCGCCCAGGTGCAGAGTAGAATATGGGCTCCCATATGTGCCATTTACTGTTTTTCATCAATATTTAAGCATCCACCTTTGCCAGAGGGTGTATTCAGGCAACTGGTAACTATGCCACCATTTCAACCACTTATTTGGTGCCTGATATCATTTTTTCTAAGTCCTCCTATTTCTGGATTCAAAACTTTGAAAAAAATCTCCATTTTCTTTCTTTCTTTTTTTCTTTCTTTCTTTCTTTCTTTCTTTCTTTCTTTCTTTCTTTCTTTCTTTCTTTCTTTCCTTCTTTTCTTCCTTTCTTTCTTTCTTGTTCTTTCTTGTTTCTTTTTCTTTCTTGTTTCCTTTCCTTTTCTTTTCTTTTCTTTTCTTTTCTTTTCTTTTCTTTTCTTTTCTTTTCTTTTCTAGTTGGAGTCTCATTCATTGTCACCCAGGCTGGAGCGCAGCGGCACGATCTTGGCTCGCTGCAACCTCCACCTCCCAGGTTCAAGTGATTCTCGTGCCTCAGCCTCCCAAGTAGCTGGGATTACCGGCATGCACCACCACATCTGGCTATTTTTTTTTTCTTTTTGAGACGGAGTCTCGCTCTGTCACCCAGGCTGGAGTGCCGTGGCACATTCTCTGCTCACTGTAACCTCCACTTCCCAGGTTCAAGTGATTCTCCTGCCTCAGCCTCCAGAGTAGCTGGGATTACAGGTGCCTGCCACCACGCCCGGCTTATTTTTGTATTTTTTTAGTAGAGCTTGGGTTTTGCCATATTGGCCAGGCTGGTCTTGAACTCCTGGCCTCAGGTGATCCACCCAGCTTGGCCTCCCAAAGTGCTGGGATTACAGGTGTGAGCCACTGCCCCGGCCAATTTTTGTATTTCTAGAAGAGATGGGTTTCACCATGTTGGCCAGGCTGGTCTCAAACTCCTGATCTCAAGTGATCTGCCTAACTCAGCCTCCTAAAGTGCTGAGATTACAGGCTGGAGCCACCATGCCTAGCTCTTTCTCTCTTTCTTTCTTTCTTTTTTCTTTCTCCTTCCTTCTTCTCTTTCTTTCTTTTTTTTTTTTTGTCTTACCTTTTTACCCAGGCTGGTCTTGAACACCTGGCCTTAAGCAATCCTCCCACCTCGGCCTCCCAAAGTGCTGGCATTACAGGCATGAGCCACCACACCCAGCCAAAAATATCTCAGTTTTGGAATGCTGGACTCGACCATCCCAGGCATCTGAGCCAGTTGACTGTATCAGGGAGGATTCACTCACTTTTACACACATGGTTATCAGAGACAGGCCACATTCCCAGATCACAGTAGAGATATATGCATATTTTTAGCCCTTAAACCAAGAAAATCTCTGTTGTAATTATAAGTAGGCAAAACAATATCATCATCAACAATAAAAACACACCCAGAAGTATACATGGTAAACTTGAAAGAACTTGAATTCCCCACTTCTACCCCAATTTCATTTCCCTCCTTCCTGGCAACAACTGGGCCTTCATTTGTGCAGAACTTTCCTTGAACTTTGCAAATATCTTTCCTTATTTATGAATAGATGTCCAATTACATGAATAGTGACTATCATGAAGCTCTCAGAAATGTGCCCATTTTGCCGGGCGCGGTGGCTTACGCCTGTAATCCTAGCACTTTGGGAGGCCGAAGCGGGCGGATCACGAGGTCAGGAAATCGAGACCATCCTGGCTAACACAGTGAAACCCCATCTCTACTAAAAATACAAAAAAATTAGCTGGGCATGGTAGCGGGTGCCTGTAGTCCCAGCTACTCGGGAGGCTGAGGCAGGAGAATGGCGTGAACCCAGGAGGCGGAGCTTGCAGTGAGCCGAGATCGCGCCACTGCACTCCAGCCTGGGCTAGAGCAAGACTCCGTCTCAAAAAAAAAAAAAAAAAACAAAAAAGAAAAAAGAAATGTGCCCATTTTGTGGACTTCATGGTTATTTAACTTACACCCTCCTTATCTTCACACTTATAATTAATTATTAAATTTCAAGCTAAAGTTGTACAGAGGTGGGGGTAGATGTGAACTGAGAATCAGAAACCTTCTCCATGCATACTTCTGAATATTTTTATGTTCAGGCTGTGATCTTTTTGTAGTTTTCTGCATTTAAATAATGTCCAGTCTCTAGAGCTCAAGCTTTGCTCATGAGCTGCCCTGTGAGATGACAGGTCCTCATTATCTGCTTTCACTTACCTCCTTGGGGAAATGTTTTCAGCCAAAAATACCGGGTCAATTAGCAAGTACTATGGAACAGTGTGTAATTCTCAGAAGTGGCTCCCAAAGCCCTCTGGCTCCCTGGTGAGCAACACTTAAATGCCTCTCCAACATTGTGTAATCACTTCTTCAATCAGCCGCACATCAGTTCCTGCTCTGGGGAGGGAAGTGTGCCTAATTACATTTGCCTTTCTCTTCATCACTCATGAAGGATGAAGGTCTTCTGTGCCTCCTGGGCCCAGCAGTTCTTGGAGTAGTAAAGGCTTAGCCAGCAAAAGGCCCATCTTTTTTTCTTTTTTCGAGATGGAATCTGGCTCTGTTGCCCAGGCTGGAGTGTAGTGGCGCAATCTCGGCTCACGCAGTCCCCGCCTCCTGGGCTCAGGTGATTCTCCTGCCTCATCATCCTGAGTAGCTGGAATCATAGGCGTGCGCCACCACGCCCAGCTAATTTTTGTATGTTTAGTAGAGACGATGTTTTGCCATGTTGGCCTGGCTAGTCCCCAGTCCCTGACCGCAAGTGATCTGCCCACCTGGGCCTCCCAAAGTGCTGGGATTACAGGCATGAGCCACCATGCCTGGTCCCATCTTTTCCTTTTAACAAGCAGTTTACTTTGCTTTCCCAAGCCAAGTAGACCTGCATGAGCTTTGACTTCATGATTCTTGTTCTTTAGTGGATTTACGTTATTACTTACTACGCTCCCTTCAGTAATCCCTACGTTATTACTTACTACGCCAGTTTGGATTTGACATATTTTCTCTTCCAGAATGCAGTCCAGAATGACTGCAGATACCTACATAATTTATGGTTTTCCTGGCTCCCCAGGAAATACATCACTGGGGATGCAGGCACTCCCCGGAGGCTTTTCTGTTTCCTATCATGATGAATATTTATTTGATTTGAAAAAACCAACTCATTCTTTTGATCTTGGTGTACATATAGGTATATACCTATAAAGAAATGTAAATACCCTTTATTGCCATTTTATTTCCTGAGTAGCATTTTAAAATGTAGTATTGTTTTGTATGGACTAAATAAGGCTTTTTCTGAAGACCCCAGGCATGGTTTTCTGTGAAGTGAGTTGAGGAAATGGAAACTGGTGAGTCTGACTCTGTGTTTGCTCAGGGCTGGTACTAAGTGAGCCCCCTATGAATTTTGAACTGTCATTCATGATAATTGAGGAAAGAAAAGCTGTATCAGGAGAGAAATCAGATGCGATGACCATGAACACAAAAAGCTGCCTTTTTTCTCTGAGATGCAGGATGTGCATTTAAATATTAATCTCTTGAGATGAGTGCGTTTCATATCTTTTGGTAGTGCAATAAAGAAAGGTATCAGAGCTTGAGTAAAAAGATACAGAAATATTGGCACTTAGTGCATGAAGGCTTTTTGGAAGAGGTGAGCAAGAAGTATTTTGGTAACTGCGGACAAGTCATGTAAACTTTTTGTCCTTTGTCTCCTAATCCACAAAGTGAGGAGGTAGGAGGAGAGAAGCACTGAGGTGTCTTCAATTTCTTGCCTTCCCCGATTGTATAAGTCTTTATATTTTGGACAGTTTGAGCAAAGACCAGTAGGCAGGATCTAAATAAAAGTGTGAAAATGGAGATAGTTGTTGAGAATGTAAGCTGGCTGGAAAATGTGGGCAGAGATGGGAATGACAGAAAGAGAACATAAATGGTCTGGAATCAGAAAGTTATATTTAATCCAAAAATGTGGTCAAGGTAGGAAAAGGATTTTGGGAGCCGCTGGATGGATGGTTTGCATGAAGTGAATATTTTCTAGTGTGACATTTTAATTCCTTTAGTTATTTTAACAGCTTTATTGAGATATAATTCAGATACCATACAATTCACTCATTTAAAGTATACAACTCAATGGTTTTACATATTCAGAGAGTTGTGCATACACCACTACTATCAATTTTAGAACATTTTCATTACCCTAAAAAGAAACCCTGCTTTGCTTAGCCAGCTTTACCAATCTCTCCCCTCATACTCCAGTCAACCATGAATCTACTTTCTGTCTTTATAAATTTGCCTCTTCAGAACGTTTCATGTAAATGGAATCATAAAATGTGGTCCTTTGTGACTGGTTTCTTTCACTTAATGTAATGTTTTCAAGAGTCATTCATGTTGTAGCATGTATCGGTGCTTCATTTCTATTTATTACTGAATAGTATTCCATTGTATGGATATACTACATGTATTTATCCATTCATCAGTTGATGAATATTGGATTGTTTCCACTTTTTGGCTACTATAAATAAAGCTGCTGTGAGCACTCATATACAAGTTTTTGTGTGGACATGCAAAAAAAAAAAAAAAAAAAAAGTCCTGCACCATATTACGTTCCAACCAGCAGCATATTATGGTTCCAGTTTCTCCACACCCTTGCCAACACTTGTTACTAATTATCTTTTTTATTCTAGCAGGTATGAAGTGGTATCTGATTGTGGTTTTGCATTACCTGACGGATAATGATGCTGAACATCCTTTAATGTGCTTATTGGCCATTTGTATATCTTCTTTGGAGAAATGTCTATTCAGATCCTCTGTCTATTTTTTTTTTTTTTTTTTTTTTTTGAGATGGAGTTTTGCTCTGTCACCCAGGCTGGAGTTCAGTGGCACTATCTTGGCTCACTGCAACCTCCGCCTGAGTTCAAGAAATTCTCCTGCCTCAGCCTCCCGAGTACCTGGGATTACAGGTGTGTGCCACCATGACTGGCTAATTTTTGTATTTTTAGTGGAGACAGCATTTCACCATTTTGGCCAGGCTGGTCTTGAACTCCTCACCTCAGGTGATCCACCCACCTTGGCCTCCCAAAGTGCTGGGATTACAGGCGTGAGCCTCCGTGCCCAGACCTCTATTTTTCTTTTTTTGAGACTGAGTCTCAGTCTGTCGCCCAGGCTGGAGTGCAGTGGCTCCATCTGAGCTCACTGCAACCTCATCTCCTGGGTTCAAGTGATTCTCCTGTCTCAGCCTCCTGAGTAGCTGGGATTGTAGGCACCCACCACCATGCCCGGCTAATTTTTGTATTTTTAGTAGAGATAGGGTTTCACCATGTTGGTCAGACTGGTCCTGAACTCCTGACCTCAAGTGATCTGCCTGCCTCGGCCTCCCAAAGTGCTGGGATTACAGGCGTGAGCCACCGTGCCCGGCCTCCTCTGTCTATTTTTAATTGGGTGATATATTAGTATATTTTGCATTGCTATAAAGGAATACCTGAGACTGGATAATTTATAAACAGACCTATTTGGCTCACAATTCTGCCAGCTCTACAAGAAGCATGGTAACATCATCTGCTCAGCTTTTGGTGAGACCTCAGGAAGTTTGCATTCATGGTGGAAGGCAAGAGGAGCCAAGGTGGCACATGGTGAGAGAGGGAGTGAAAGAGAGAGGAGGAGGTGCCATGCTCTTTAAAACAACCAGCAATCCGTGAACTAACAGAGAGAACTCACTCACTAACACAGGGGACAACATGAAGCAATTCATGAGGGATCCTTCCCCATGATCCAAACATCTCTCATTAGGTCCCACCTCCTTCATAATTGAGGATCAAATTTTTCTTCTTTTCTTTTTTTTTTTTTTGTGAGTCTCATTCTGTCTCCCAGGCCCCAGTGCAGTGGCACAGTCACATTCACTGCAGCCTCAACTTCTCAACTCAAGAGATCCTGCCACCTCAGTGCCCCCACTCCACCCACCATGAGCTGAGATTGCAGGAATGATATGGTTTGGCTGTGTACCCACCCAAATCTCATCTTGAATTGTAGTTTCCATAATCCCCATGTGTCATGGGAGAGGCCAGGCAGAGATAATTGAATCATGGGGAAGGTTTCCCCATCGGTTCTTGTGATAGTGAGTGAGTTCTCATGCGATCTGACGCTTTTATAAGGGGCTTTTCCCGCTTTTGCTCAGCACTTCTCCTTGCTGCTATCATGTGAAGGAGGACATGTTCGCTTCCCCTTCTGCCATGATTGTAAGTTTCCTGAGGCCTCCCCAGCCCTGTGGAACCATGAATTATTAAACCTCTTTCCTTTATAAATTATTAAACCTCTTTCCTTTATAAATTTTCAGTTCGAGACCAGCTTGGCCAACATAATGAAACATATGAACATAATGAAACCTGAGCTGGGTGTGGTAGTGCATACCTGTAATTCCAACTACTCAGTAGTCTTTATTAGGAGTCTCAGGTATGTCTTTATTAGCAGCATGAGAAAGGACTAATACAAGGCATGAACCACCACACCTGTCTAATTCTAAAAATTTTATTTGTAGAGACAGTGTCTCACTATGGTGCACAGGCTGGTCTCAAACTCCTGGGCTCAAGTGATCCTCCCACCTCAGCCTCCCAAAGTGCTGGGATTGCTGATGTGAGCCACCATACCTGTCCTGGGGATCAAATTTCAACATGAGATTTGGAGGGGACAAATATCCAAATGATATCAGGTGATATTAAAACAATTATTGAGTTGTGTTACTTACAGATTCCATATACAAATACAAGTACCTTATTAGACACACAATTTGCAAAAACGTTTCCTGTTCTGTGAATTATCTTTACACTTTCTTGATTGTGTCTTTTTTTTTTGAGATGGAGTCTGGCTCTGTCGCCCACAGGCTGGAGTGCAATGGTGCAGTCTTAGCTCACTGCAACCTCCGCCCCCTGGGTTCAAGCGATTCTCCTGCCTCAGCCGCCCGAGTGAGTAGCTGGGACTACAGGCGTGTGCTACCAAACCCGGCTAATTTTTCTATTTTTAATAGAGACAGGGTTTCACTATGTTGGCCAGGCTGGTCTTGAACTCCTGACCTCGTGATCCGCCCACCTCGGCCTCCCAAAGTGTTGGGATTACAGGCGTGAGCCACCGTGCCCAGCCAATTGTGTCCTTTGATGCATACGATTTTTAAATTTTGATAATGCCCAGTTTATGTATTTTTTCTTTTATTGCTTATATTTTTGTATTTTTGGTTTCATATCTAAGAAACAATTGCCTAATCCAAGGTTGTGCAGATTTATGCCTATGTTTTCATCCAAGAGTTTTATATCTTTAGCTCTTACATTTAGGTCTTTAATGCATCTTGAATTAAATTTTGTTTATGGTCTAAGGTAAAGGTCTAACTTTATTCTTCTGCATGTGGGTATCTCTTTTTTTTTTTTTTTTTGGAGATGGAGTCTCACCCAGGCTATAGTGCGGTGGCACCATCTCAGCACACTGCAACCTTCACCTCCCAGGTTCAAGCGATTCTCCTGCCTTAGCATCCCGAGTAGCTGAGATTACAGGTGGGCACCACCACGACTGGCTAATTTTTGTATATTTAATAGAGACAGAGTTTCATTGGCCAGGCTGATCGCAAACTCCTGACCTCAGGTGATCCGCCCGCCTTGGCCTTCCAAAGTGCTGGGATTACAGGCGTGAGCTACTGCGCCTGGCCCACGGTGGCTCTCTTTAATTATTTTGTAGTTATATATTTTTATTTTCTTAACATTTGCTCTAAGGCATACAATATAAATTTTAACTTAATCAAAACCTAGTTTAGATTTATACTAACTTCATTTCAGTGGGATCCAGAAACTTTATTCCTTTGCAGCTCCATTTCCTCTTTTCCTTTGTTATGCCATTATTGTTATGTGTATTACATCTGTATATGTTAAAAATATGACACATAGTTATAATGATTACTTTATATAATGTTAAGTGCTTTGAAGAAGCCGAGAGAAGAAGGTAGTAAGCATAGGGGGGACATGAGAGAAGAAGGCAGTAAGCATAGGGCGGTCATGATAAGTCCCGAGAGTGCAGAGATGCCCTCTGCTCTGCCCTCATGACATCCCCTCTCCTGGAACAGTGTCTGCCACATATTGGTGCTCTCTTGATACACAAATGAATGAATGATGATCTCCATATAGACATTAATAAATGAACTCACAGCGAGTCCCAATAAGGTGTGGAGATAAATAAGAGATTAAGAGAATACTGTTAAGTGAGTTGTGGTGTTGATGGGGCAGAGAGAAGAGTGCCTTTCTGATTTGTCAAAAGAAAAACCTTAGGCTGGGTGCTGTGGCTCATGCCTGTAATCCCAGCACTTTCGGAGGCTGTGGTGGGCCGATCACTTGACGTCAGGAGTTCGAGACCAGCTTGGCCAACATAATGAAACCTGAGCTGGGTGTGGTAGTGCATACCTGTAATTCCAACTACTCAGGAGGCTGAGGCATGAGAATTGCTTGAACCTGGGAGGCAGAGGTTGCAGTAAGCCAAGACTGCGCCACTGCACTCCAGCCTGGGTGATGAGTGAGACTGTCTCAAAAAAAAAAAAAAAAAAAAAGAAAAGGAAAAAGATAGAAAAGAAAAGAAAAACCTTAGATGAATTAAATTTAAAGAGTTTAATTGAGCAAAGACCAATTCTCCAATTGGGCAGCCCCCGAATAAGAACAGGTTCAGAGAGGCTCCAGGGCAGCTGTGTGATCAAAGAAGATTTATGAATAGAAAAAGGAAAGTGATGCACAGAAAACGGAAGTGAGGTACAGAAACAGCCGGATTGGTTATACAGCGTTTGCCCTGTTTGAACACAGTTTGAACAGTTGGCTGCCTTTGATTGGTTGAAACTTGATGACTGGCACAAGGGTAGGTTGATCTATTTATGCATTTAGTTAGGTTACAGTTCACTATTACAGAGAAACCATTAGGCTGAACTTAGAATATTTAAGCAGGCAGCTTTAGGCTAATCTTAACCGATACAAGTAGCTCCTTGAGGACAGGAACTATGTCTTATGCATTTTATGCCCAGCACAGTGCTTAGCATGTAGTAGATGCTCAGTAAATGTTGAATAAACGGATGAAGCATTCTGTGGTTAGTGCAGATCTTGGAGGAGGAGGCATGAGAGTTTCAGTCCCTTTGCTTTCCAAGTGGACAGACACTACCTCTGGCTCACTCAGTGTCTATTATGGCTCTATACTGGTGCTGCTTCTGAGGTCCTGAGGCCATCTATTTTGTTTGTGAAAAAGTTCTGGCCTTGCCTTATGTCCCACATTCCCCAGGGGATTGTCAGCTCCCTTTGTGAATTCTGAGCAGGATGTCCAATCACTGAAGGGTGAGAAATACGATCTTATGGTTTAGGACAGAGCAGAGGAAAGACAGGATGAATTTATAATAATCAAATTGGTGGGTTGCTGGGTGGGCAGTGAGAAGAGAGAGAAGAAAACTATTAGTGATAGACTAAGGCAACTGAGAGAAAACCTGTGGTATTCCACATTTATTTACTCATTCATTCACCCCTGAAACATTTATCAAAAGCCTACTTTGGGCCAGGTGTGGTGGCTCACACCTGTAATCTTAGCACTTTGGGAGGCCGCAGTGGGAGGATTGCTTAAGCCCAAGAGTCAAAGTCAATACTGGGCAACACAGAGGGACCCCATCTATACAAAAAATGAAGAAAAAAAACTAGCCGAGCATGGTGGTGAATGCCTTTAGTCCCAGCTACTTGGGAGGCTGAGACTGAAGGATCACTTTAGCCCAGGAGTTCGAGGCTGCAGTGAACTATGATCTTGCTACTGTACTCCAACCTGGGCGACAGAGTGAGCCTGTCCCTTAAAAAAAAAAGAAAAAAGAAAAAAGAAAGCCTGCTTTGTAGCAGGCTAGAGACAGCATATATCAAAGTGTTCAGCTTACCTTATACCAAGTATTAAATCCTGGACATTAAAAAAATGTTAGATTGTGCTGGGCACAGTGGCTCACGCCTGTAATCCCAGAACTTTCGGAGGCCGAGGTGGGCAGATCACGAGGTCAGGAGTTTGAGACCAGCCTGACCAACACGGCGAAACCCCATCTCTACTAAAAATACAAAAATTAGCCTGGCGTGGTGGTGCATGCCTGTAATCCCAGCTACTCCGGAGGCTGAGGCAGGAGAATCGCTTGAACTTGGGAGGCAGAGGTTGCAGTGAACCGAGATCGTGCCACTGCACTCCAGCCGTGGCAACAGAGCGAGACTCCATCTCAAAAAAAAAAAAAAAAAAAAAAGTTAGGTTGTTATAAAAACATTCAGGAAATAACTATATAGCACACAGTGGTGCTTAAGAACCCTGAGGCTGGGGCCTCCCTGCCTGGGCTTGAATCCCAGCTGGGGAGAGTCACCTGATAGCATCTCCTTGTGCTGACTAAAGCTCCCTGTTCTGTAAACCTGATATATTAGCACCTACCTTCTAAAATTCTTGTAAGGATTAAATAGTTAATACACATACAGTATCTAGAATAATGCCTACCACATAAAATGTGTTATATAAGAGCTAACTGTTATTGACATAATTATTAAGGGCCAGAATAGTTCATTGAGATTATCCTCTAAATTTCAATAAAATTTTGGATATCTCATTTTCCACATTGCCTTACTACCTAGACATTTTCATAGTAACAGCCATGTACGTACATATCTATCATACAGCTTGAGCTATTAAGAACCAACAGCTCTCTTCTTATTAATGTTACTTTCCTTTTGTTAAATGATTACCATGGCAAAGAGCTGTTTTCTGCCTTTGAAAAATCAGCTTCACTCCAGAGGTTACCAGAACAGAGAAGAAAATCTGATAGGTGGGAAACCTTTGAGCCCCTAGATGGATAATTCAGAGGGCAGGAAAGCAGCTGCTTTTGTTTCAAATTAGGTTGATATAAATGAATTCCTGCCTGAGATTTCAGTGCTTTGGCAGATCAATGGGCTCAGGAATCAAAGGCATCAAAGGTGATGTTTCTAATGTGAATGTATGAGCCTTTTAAAACACTAATTAAAGACTGTCCCTCGTTTGTTTTATTGTGCAAAAATAGCAGCATCATGAAAGATTCTTTTTTGAGGGTTAAAAAAAAATCCATTGATTAGAAAGATACAGTAGAAAGGTTGAATACATTATTTTCACTTTTTTTTTGTCTTTTTGTTTTTTTTTTCCTTTTTCTGGAGAACGGGGTCTTGCTATATTGCCCAGGCAGGTCTCGAACTCCTGGGCTCAAGCTATCCTCCCCCCTCTTGCCTCCCTGAGAGCTGGGATTACAGGCGTGAGCCACCGCACCCGGCCTATTTTCATCACTGAATACAAGAACCTATGCGCTGTCCCCTCACCCCTAACACCCCCAGTCGAAGTGTCCCATAATCTACCTGCATTGCTTGGACCCCTGAAGTACAGTTCATTTGTACAATTAAGATTTGTTAGGCTGAGGCAGGAGAATCGCTTGAACCCGGGAGGCAGAGGTGGCAGTGAGCTGAGATTGTGCCATTGCACTCCAGCCTGGGCAACAAGAGCAAAAAACTCGTCTCAGAAAAAAAAAAAAAAGATTTGTTTTACTGTGGAACTATAAGGTCTGTTCCAGTCAATTTCCTTAGTAGAAACACAGATTGTACAGTTGTCCCTCAGTAACTGAGGGATTGGTTTTTTTACCTAAAAGGAAGAAGCTGAGACAAAATTAATATAAGTAGAGGGTTCATTTGGGTCAAGTTTAAGGATTACAACTCGAGAGCACATATTCAAGTTGCCCTGAAAATACATTCTGATTAACAGCAATAACAAGTGAATTTTTTTTTTTTTTTTTGAGACAGCTTCTCGCTCTGTCACCCAGGCTTGGGGGCAGTGGCGCGATCTCGGCTCACTGCAACCTCTGCCTCCTGCCTTCAAGCAATTCTCTGCCTCAGCCTCCCAAGTAGCTGCGATTACAGGCGTCCACCATCACACCCAGCTAATTTTTGTATTTTTAATAGAGATGGGATTTCACCATCTTGGCCAGGCTGATCTTGAACCCCTGACCTTGTGATCCACCTGCCTTGGCCTCCCAAAGTGCCGGGATTACAGGCCTAAGCCATTGCGCCTGGCCACAAGTGGATTTTTAAAAGGGGGACAGATACAAAAAGAGTGGGCTGATACAAAGTTGTTTTCCAGGAATTCTCATTCATTTACAGAAATAACATTGATTAGCGATTGACTATATATTCTTAAGCTACAGTGTCAGGGTTATAGTGGCCAGTGTGGAATTATTAGTTTAGTTTTTAGCTAATTGTGGCAATAGCAAGCAGTGTCAACAGATGATTGCATATTGCACCACTACACTCCAGCCTGGGCAACAGAAAGAGACCCTCTTTCCAAAAAAAAAAAAAAAAAAAAAAAAAAAAAAGATAACTACATAGCTCAAAAAGGTGTGATTACTGTCTTATTTTGATACCTCTCTCTGGACCTAACAATTAAAAGGACTTGCATTCCTCAGATAAAAGTTATTTTCTTTTTTTTTAAGTTGAACAATTTTAATTAAGTTACTCGTAAGCAGTAAAATTTTATGCAGTTTCATGAAAAGTCCCATGTTTCACATGCTTAAATTATGGTTCATTGTCTTTACTTGAAGGTTTTGAAGGTGGGACCTTCTTCTGAATCTTTCTAGTGGTTGAATAAAGTACATATTCTGGGGTGCTACTCACAGTGAATTTATGGCTTGTCCAAATAAATTTACTAGCAATAGGTGATTTTATAGGAGGATCTTCAGTCATACAGTGAAGCCAATGAAGCCACTCAAGAGGCACCAGGCTTCCATCCACATCCCAGGATGTGCTTCTGCCATTCATTTCAGTAGCGTATATAACCTCTCTGTGATGGCCAGAAAACTGCTTGTTATCTTCATAGTATTTGCTTCCTTATTTGTCTTCAAAGTCAAAAAGGGTCACCACCCTTAAGAAGCTGACAGCCTGACAAGAGAGACAGCCTGATATAAAAGTCATAACTGTACAAAGTTGTGGAGAAAACCACAATGTTAACTGCAGGTGTTGGAAGTACAAAAGAGAACTCTACATGGTTTATGGTGAGTGGGTCAGTGAGGGAAGCTTCCTGAAAGAAGTATCACTGAAATGAGTCTTAAAGGAGCAGTAGGAATTTGCAGAACGTAGGAGCATGACTGGTGCCTTCAAGTAAGAGTGGAGGAGACCAGCATGGCTGGAGTGTAGTTTCAAGGGTGTGATTGAGAATGACTTTAGGAAGGATGGGGACCATATTGGGCAGGGCCTTGAATGCCCTTTTAAGGGTTTTAGCTTTTACTCTAAGTGAGATGGGAAGCCATCAAAGGGTTTTGAGTAGAGAAGTGACATGATGTGATATTTTTAGAAGGATCTTTCTGGATGCTTTGTTAGAAACAAACCCTGTTAAAGGTGGGCAGGAGGCAGGGAAGGACAGAGGCTGTAACTGTAACAGGATCAAAAGCCAGTAGTGGCTTACACTTGATGGTAAATGACTGTGTTCTGGAAATATTTTGAAGGTAGAGCCAATGGGATTTGCTGACAGATTGGTGTATGAGAGAGAAAGAGGAGTGAGGATGTTTGGCTTCAGCTAGAAGGATGTCTTGCCATTTACCAATATGGGGAAAACCGTGAGAGGAACAAGTCTGGAGAAGAAAATCAGAAGTTTAGTTCTCATACTTTAAAGTAAATATGAGAGATTACTCCCCAAAGGACAGTAGTTTTTCCTAAAGAGGAACTAGATGGAGGACATGGTGAAGATAAAGTCATCTTCTGAGTGTCAAGTATAATGCACTCAGCATGATGCCTGTGATGGCAGGTAGAGTGGGTGGATGAACCCCTCAGTGCATGGACCCTGCTCTCAAGGACAGCTTGTGAGGAGGCTTAACTCACACAAATGAGCTAGAAAGATATGAAGTCAAGGACCAGATTATGGGATACAGATCTCAAGTGGCACAGGATAGTAGCAGAGGGAAATGTGAGTGTGGTAGTCAAAGTAGTCTGAAGTAGTCAAAGAAGGCCTCTAGAAGGCAGTGGGGGCAGGAGCCGTCCTCACAGTATGGGGATGACTTGGACAGAGTGGAAAAGGGTCAAGATTGTGAGAACAAGCAGGTTCCATTTGGGGCACAGATAATCCGTGCCTAGCTGGAAGAGTTGCTGGGAGGATTTTAAAAGAATTGGTTCACCGGGCGCAGTGGCTCATGCCTGTAATCCCAGCACTTTGAGAGGCCGAGGAAGGCGGATCACCTGAGGTCAGGAGTTCAAGACCAGCCTGACCAACATGGAGAAACCCTGTCTCTACTAAAAATACAAAATTAGCCCGGCATGGTGGCGCATGCTGGTAATCCCAGCTACTCGGGAGGCAGAGGCAGGAGAATCGCTTGAACCTGGGAGGCAGAGGTTGCGGTGAGCCGAGATTGCGCCATTGCACTCCAGCCTGGAGACAGAGCGAGACTCCGTTTCAAAAGAAAAAAATAATAAAATAAAAATAAAAAATAAAATAAAAGAATCGGTTCTTGGCACATAGTAAGCACTTGATAATAGATAGCTAACAATATTTCTTATACTAGAGGAATAGCTGGAGATAGAACTGTGTAAAACTCTCTTGAATCCAACCCGTCTTCCATATCCCTGTGTTTCCCACTCCTTTGCTACCCTTTGCCCTTTTTCCTCTCCTGGGTTGTCCTCTAACATTTCTAGTAGAGAACCTTCAAATATGACTTTCTAGGTTGTCTGAGGGGAGAAAGGGAATTGGGCTATGCTATTTCACAAGTCCATCTAGGGTTTATTATGAGTTTTTAAAAAATTTATTATTTATTATGGGCTTTTATTATTTTTATGGGTTTTATTAATCTCATCCATGTGGATACTACAAAGGTCCAGAAGGGGGCAATGTGACACTTGGACTTAAGGGTTTTTTTCACAAATGTTTTGGAATTCACCCCATATTGTCTAATCCAGGATCTCAGAAGGGCAGGGCTGGAATGATCTGTAAACATCATAGGTTCCAACATTCTCACTTGCCAGTAAAGATACTGAACCTAGAGAGTGGAAAAGACTGGCTCAAGGTCACAAAGACATTTCGTGGGAAAGCTGAGACTGTAACCATGTTCTGACCCTGAGTGTATATTATTCCATGACCTCACTTGGTTGTTTAATTTGGGGGAATCTCCCTCAGAAGCACAGTTTCTCAAAACTGTGTCATTTACTGATAACTTTTAAAGGAATTAAATTCTCATAACTCCTTGGTTGAGACCTTTTTTTTTTTTGACTTGGAGTCTCGCTCTGTCGCCCAGGCTGGAGTGCAGTGGCACAATCTTGGCTCACTGCAACCTCTGCCTCCTGGGTTCACGCCATTCTTCTGCCTCAGCCTCCCGAGTAGCTGGGACTACAGGTGCCCGCCACCACACCTGGCTAATTTTTTGTATTTTTAGTAGAGACAGGGTTTCACCGTGTTAGCCAGGATGGTCTCGATCTCCTGACCTCGTGATCCGCCCACCTCAGCCTCCCAAAGTCTTGGGATTACAGGCCTGAGCCACCGCACCCGGCCGAGACCTGTTTTATTGTAAATAAACATAAACAAAAATTTTACATTAAAGATACTGAAAATGTACAAATATAAAACTCCAGTTTAAATTTATTTTCCCAACCAGGTGCTGTGGCTCACTCCTGTAATCCCAGCGTTTTGGGAGGCTGAGGCAGGCAGATCGCTTGAACCCAGGAATTCAAGACCAGCCTGGCCAACATGGCAAAACCCTGTCTCTACAAAAAAAAAAACCCTAAAAATCAGCTAGGTGTGGCAGGGCACATCTGTGATCCCAGCTACTTGGGAGGCTGAGGTGGGAGGCTCTCTTGAGACCAGGAGGTGGAGGTTGCAGTGAACTGAGATCGTTCCACTGTACTCCAGCCTGGGTGACAGAATGAGACCGTGTCTCAAAAACAATTAATTAATTAATTAACTTTCTTTTCCTTAAAGCTCGTATACATATAAAGCAAAACGAATTTTACTGAGTTAAGCACACAAAAAAACCTTCAAACCAATGAAATTTAGATTAACAGTATTACATGAAAAATATAGATGATACTGTTTTGTCGAAATTAATTTGCTACTCACAAGTGAATATAGTACTTTTTAAAACAATAACACGCTTACTTGCTTCACCTTAGTTTCTTTAACATGACCAGTCCTCAATAAAGACTTTTGGGCCAGGTGTGGTGGCTCATGCCTGTAATTCCAGCACTTTGGGAGGCCAAGGCAGGTGGATCACATGAGGCTGACCTGAGTTCAGGGCTAGCCTGGGCAACATGGCAAAACCCCGTCTCTACTAAAAATACAAAAATTAGCCGGGCGTGGTGGCAGGAGCCTGTAATCGCAGGTACGCAGGAGGCTGAGGCAGGAGAATCGCTTGAACTGGGAGGTGGAGGTTGCAGTGAGCTGAGATCGCGCCATTGCACTCCAGCCTGGGCTACAAGAGCAAAACTCCATCTCAAAAAAAAAAAAAAAAAAAAGATTCTTTAATTTAATTTGCCTGAAGGTATAAATAATTGGAAATACCTTGATGTATCAGAAAACTAAAATCAGGAATCTCTGTCATTGGTCCACTGTACTTTATATCTACCTATCTAAACCTTTATAGGCTATACAGATAGATGTAGACAAGACAGATAAAATCTGTCTCTATTTATACATATTCATGAATATCAACCTATATCTGTATCTTTTTTTTCTTTTTTAAATTTTAGCCTTTTTTTTTTTTTTGAGATGGAGTCTGGCTCTGTTGCCCAGGCTGGAGTGCAGTGGCACCATCTCAGCTCACTGCAACTTCTGCCTCCTGAGTTCAAGTGATTCTTCTGCCTCAGCCTCCTGAGTAGCTGGGACTACAGGCTCATGCCACCATGCCCAACTAATTTTTGTATTTTTAGTAGAGATGGGGTTTCACTATGTTGGCCAGGGTCTCGAACTCCTGACCTCGTGATTTACCCACCTTGGCCTCCCAAAGTGCTGGGATTACAGGTGTGAGCCACCAAGCCCAGCCTAATTTTAGCCTCTTTTTTTTTTTCTTTAAGAGCGAAGACTTCCTTTGAAATATCTCTACCTTTACCTATAGATAAACAGATACCAATTACATATAAATTTCAAGTTATAAAACTAGTTATACATGTTATAAAACCTTCAAACAACCCAGAAACAAATGGAGTAAGAAATGAAAGCCCTCTTGCACAAACATTGGGTTGCCATAACAAAAGTTGAAACAATAAAGGCTTAAAGAAGATAGAATCTTATATCTCTCACATCATAATATACAAGGTAGCAATCCTGGGTTGATCTGGTGACTGTGTAGTGATGGGTTTAGGCTCCTTCTCGGTGGCTCTGCAATTCTCAGCACATGGCTTCCATCTTGGTCCAAGGTGGCTGTTTCCATTTACCCCACTGTGTCCACATTCTAGCTAGCAGGAAGATGGGAAGAAGGAAGAGGCGAGAGGTCATGCTTCTTTTTTTAAAGGTCACAACATGGCAGTCACGTATGTCACTTGTGCTCACAGCCCATGACTGGAACTCAGATACATGGCCAAACTAAACTATAGCCAAAACTGGGAAATACAGTCCTCAGTTGGATAGCAATGTGCCCAGCTAAAACTTCTCTGTTATAAAATAGTGGTTTTCAAGTTTGGCTGCACAACAGAATCACCTGGAAAACTTAAACAAATAGACACCTCCCACTCCACAGGCCAATTCAATCACAATATTTGGGGGGCAGGGCCTAGACTTCTGCATTTTTTGAATGCTCTCTGGTGATTTTCATGCAGGTTAAGGTTGAGAACCACTGCTATAGAAGAAAGAACAGATGAAGGGGGGATAACAACCCCCATCACCGTCATTTTCACTCCTCCCCAATTCTGTACCTCACACTCCTTCCCCATTTGTCACCCACTAGTTCAATCTGCATTTTACCAGAGCTTTTTTTTGTGCATGTACAAGTACGCACTACGTGCATATGCACATGGTCTGTCCTGACACCCAGTAGTGACTCCAGCATTTCTATATGGGTGTGTCTTGGAATAGTAATATTACTAGAAGAGGCATGAGCCTCTGTATTTGCATGGCACTTTACACTAATCAAAAAATATATTATTTTCTTGGCTGGATGCTGTGGCTCACACCTATAATCCCAGGATTTTGAGAGGCTGAGGCTGGGGGATCACTTGAGCTCAGGAGTTCAACACCAGCCTGGGCGACATAGTGAGACACCATCTCTACAAAAAATAAAAAATTAGCTGGGCATGTTGGCACAAGCTTGTTGTCGCAGCTACTCAGGAGACTGAGTTGGGTGGATTGCTTGGGTCCAGGAGATCGAGGCTGCAGTGAGCCATCCTCTCATTACTGCAGTCCAGCCTGAGTGACAGAGTGAAACTCTAGTTATCTCTTCCTCTATCTATATCTATATATCTATATTTATAAATGTATAATTTTCTTATGTGTGTCAAAGAATGAGGGCTAATGAAGAATTTGTGGTGGTGTGAAAGCTGAAGCCATCTCTTGGTTTAGCCCCTGCAAGCATCATAATATTGAATCGTTTACCTTTTCCCAGTGGTCTCAAATGCCACCTCTATTACATATTAAATCTCCATATATATGAAGATTTTTTAAAAGTATTATTTATTCTGTTAGTTCAGATTGTTACTACATATTTGTTCACTTTTAAAAAACATTTATTATTATTATTGTTTTTAAAACCCATCACAGAAATGGACAGTCTGGGTCTGCAAAAGCATTCATGTTTTAAAGCATAGGTCAGTAGTTGTATATTAGAGCATACACTGCTACATAAAAATTAACTGATCAGACCACAACTTTTCAATGTTTAAAACAGAATAAGCTTCCCTGTAAAAGCAGCACCTTTGTGACGTTTTCACTTTAGTATTCCTCTCTTTCTTCCTCACCTTCTCCTTCAACAGAATCCACACCAACCTCCTTATAATCCTTCTCAAGGGCAGTCATGTCCTCACTGGCCTCAGAAAACTCTCCTTCCTCCCTTCTCTCACCCACGTACCAGTGAACAAAAGCACTCTTGACATACATTCAAGTCAAACTTGTGGTCCAGGTGAGCCCAGGCCTCAGCAATGGCTGTGGTATTGCTCAGCATGCACACAGCTCTCTGTGTCTTGACCAGGTCTCCACCAGTCACCACAGTGGGAGGGCTGGCAGTTAATGCCAACCTTGAAGCCAGGGGGCACCAAACCACAAATTAGATGATACACTTGGTCTTGATTGATGGTGGCAATGGCAGCATTGACGTCTTTGAGAACCATGTCACCACGGTAAAACAGGCAGCAAGCCATGTATTTACCATGGCAAGGCTCACATTTCATCATCTGGTTGGCAGGCTGAAAGCAAGCACTGGCAGTCTCTGCTACAGAAAGCTGTTTCATGGTAGGCTTTCTCAGCAGAGATGACAGGGCATATGTGTCCAGACGGAAGTGGATGGGGGGATAGGCCACCAGCTTGGTCTGGAATTCTGTCAGATCAACATTCAGGACTCCATCAAATCTCAGGGAAGCAGTGATGGAGGACACAATTTGACCTATCAACCTATTCAGTTTAGTATAGGTTGGGCGTTCAGTATCAAGGTTCTATGCCAGATATCATAAGTGGCCTCATTGTCTACCATGAAGACACAATCAGAGTGCTCCAGGGTGGTGTGGGAGGTGAGGATGGAGTTGTAGGGCTCAACTACAGCTGTGGAAACCTGGGGTGGTGAGTAAATGGAGAACTGCAGCTTGGACTTCTTGCCGTAATCAACCGGGAGTTGTTCCATGAGCGGGGAGGTGAACCCAGAACCAATTCCTTCACCAAAGCTGTGGAAAAACAAGAAGCCTTGGCGATCCATGCACTGTTCAGCCAGTTTACAAATTTGGTCCAAAACGAGGTCAGTGATCTCCTGGCCAATGGTGTAGTGCCTTCAGGCATAGTTACTGGAAGCATCTTCCTTGCCTGTGATGAGCTGCTCAGGGTGGAAGAGCTGGTTGTAGGTGCCAGTGCAAACTTCATCATCAATTACCATGGGTTTCAGGTCTAGAAACACTGCCCTGGGCACATGCTTGCCGGAGCCCGTCTCACTGAAGAAGCTGTTGAAGGAGTCATCTCCTCCCCGAGTGGTCTTGTCACTTGGCATCTGGCCATTGGGCTGGATGCCATGTTCCAGGCAGTAGGGCTCCCAGCAGGCATTGCCAACCTGGACACCAGCCTGGCCAATGAGATGGAGATGCGGTCACGCATGATTACTGCTTCACGGCTGCCGAGGCGATGGTGGAGACAAGGAGAGATTGTTGCTTCTTACAGTGCGACTCTTAGGTGATTGATATAAGAGAACCTGCCTATTATTTTCTTTCCTTCTTCTAAGGCAAGAGTGACACTTAAAAAAAAAAAAAAACTTAACCTTCCTCTTGTCCCTAACAACTGCCACCTCTCACTTACCTCCAGTGCTGGGTAAATATTTAAAAATTATCAGATGGGTTGCTTATTCTGTGTGAAGGGATCACTTACCAGGTATGAGAGGCTCTTAATAAAGGTTTCAAATCCACTTGAACATTTTATGGTTTTATGGTGATAAAACTAGGAGCTTTTGTTCCACAACACTCTTTTCCTTATCCATAGCCATAGCCTTGCGGCCTGTTACCCTGATAGACTTTCTTGAGTTTTGCTCAAATAGAAAACGAGGTTTTTCTAACACCCACTAAGGGCATCCCTCAAGTGTTCTCTGCTTCTTAGTGAGCACGCTACATTAGAGCTGGAGAAAGTTACAAGGCAGCAAAAGAGCAGTTTCTGCTTTGACTTACAAATATTTTTAATTCCCTAAAAATAAACCATTAGCTGCAAACGGGTATGAGTGTTCCCGCACCGTTTCCTAAATTAGTTATTTCTGAGCAGATGAAGAATACATTTTGTTTTGCTGCTCAGGGCCACCTTCTTGTGATTCAATGCATGATTCCATTCAGTATCTTAATGCTATTCCTTTTGTTTGGAGGCAGGCATAGGTCCTCAGAGAAGATGGGAAGATTTGTGTTTTGGAAATGAATGATAAATGAGATGAAAATTTTCATTGCAGAAACTCGGGTTTCTATTGGGACATGACTTCATTCTCTACCTCAGATCTTTGAAATTCATGGTTTCACATGTTGTAATGTTTACTTAAATACACAGTTTTCACCTTCACAGAGCTAACAGTCAGGAAATCAAGGGCAACTGCCTTAACTTCAGATGGCCTTAGTTTTGGTTTTGGTTTTTGTATCTGTGAAAAGGGAATGACAATACCTCACTTTACAGAGTTGTCATGTCGTGTCATTCTTTCATTCATTCATTCATTCATTCATTCATTCAATGCATGCATTTAATGAGCACTGTTGCCTGTTGTAAAACGCCTAGCATCTTATTACAAATATTATATTTTTTGATGTGGCTAATTTTAACAATTATTTTAAAAATTGTATTATAAGCAATTTTAGATATACACAAAAATGGTGTATAGAACATTACAACTCTCCATGTACTCATCACCTAGCATAAAAAATTCCCAGCTCATGGCTAATCTTGTTTAATTTAAACTCCCATTGGCTGGGCATGGTACTTCATGCCTGTATTCCCAGCCCTTTGGGAAGCTGAGGTGGGCAGATCAACTGAGGTCAGGAGTTGAAGACCAGCCTGGCCAACATGCGGATGGGGACTTATTTTATAGTATTTTATTTATTTTGTATTATTTTGACACAGTCTTGCTCTGTTGCCCAGGTTGGAATGCAGTGGCGCGATCTTGGCTCACTGCAACCTCCACCTCCTGGGTTCAAACGATTCTCCTGCCTCAGCCTCCTGAGTAGCGGGGATTACAGGTGTCTGCCATCACACCCAGGTAATTTTTGTATTTTTGGTAGAGGCAGGGTTTCACCATATTGGCCAGGCTGGTCTCAAACTCCTGACCTCACATGATCTGCCCACCTTGGCCTCCCAAAGTGCTGGGATTATGGGCATGAGCCACCATGCCCGGCCTATTTTAAAGCAAATTCCAGACATTATTTTGTCTGACAACAATTTTTAAGGATTAATGTTTGATCCCATTCAAAGCTTAATGAAACCTTTTTAACCATTTTAAACTGCATTTATAATTTGTTTCATTTCCTTTTAAAAAACTTTATTTGATAACAAAAATGCTTCCAGAATACTAGTAATTCTTACAAATATAATGATTTAAACATATAGACAAGGGTGAACCTTAAGCTCTTTTAAATACATTTCATTCAGTGCTATTTTAAAACAATAAAAGTTCAACTTAAAATCACAAATCTAAATTAATTATCCAATTCTTCATTTTAAATTAGAGTCACAAAACTATTTTGTTATTTATTATGCCAAATTATCTTCACATAACAAGTACATTGAAATACCAATTTCATACAAGTTCATAAGACAAAAATATTAATACTGGAGGGTTTGAGTCTCTTAAGCATTTTTGTTTTTAACACTAAATCTTCTCAAGGTTAAGAGATACTCAATTGTCAAGCTACTACTGTGTCATTCCAGACCCCACAGATGGGTAGCTCCCACCTCATCTGCTGCATTGGTGGATTAAACTCAACTATCTATTTTCTGTTTCATTCTATACTGAATTGTTTTCATAATCTTCCTGTTGGGACCTAAATTCTTACAGATATTTGACAGCTTTGTCCACCTCTGAGGTTAGAGTCATAAGGAAAATGTCAATGACAAAAATGTATTCAGTAAGGATGAATTAGATGGTTAAATAAACTTGGGGACCACTGAATTAAACAGACATTTGTTTGTGCGTGTGGTTTTAAAACTACAAGACTGTAAGGTACTAACGCAAATATCTAAGAGGGGTATAATGTGCAGCAGTTCCAGATGTATTTGACTACGGACCTATGAACTATTCCCTCCCCATCTTTTTTTTTTTTTTGGATGATTCTCCCATGAAACCTAGAACAGAGCCTGGAAATGGCCAACCTGGAGGCCAAATCCAGCCTGACACTTCAGTTTCACTTCGCCAGTGTTTTAAAAGGAGTTAATCTATACTTTAAAAATTGAGAGTTGACAGGCATGGTTGTTCACGCCTGTAATCACAGCCACTTTGGGAGGCCAAGGAGGGTGGATTACTCGAGACCGGGAGTTGCAGATCAGCCTGGACAACATGGCAAAACCCTGTCTTTACAAAAAATAACCAGGCATGGTGGTGTGTACCAGTAGTCCCAGCTACTCAGGAGGCTGAGGTGGGAGAAACACCTGAGCAATGGGATATCAAGGCTGCAGTGAGCTGTGATTGCACCACTGCACTCCAGCTTGGGTGAGAGTGAGATCCTGTGTCAAACAAAAAACAAAACAAAATTTAAAAACCACCAAAAAAACATAAACATTAAAAAAAAAATGGAGTCGCCAGACTTGGTGGGTGGATTGCACCTGTAATCCTAGCTACAAGGAGGCTGAGGCAGAAGGATTTCTTGAGGCCAAGAGTTCAAGACCAGCCTGGACAACGTAGTGAGACCCTGCCTCTAAATAAAAAAAAACTAAAAAATAAAAAATTGACAGAGTTTACCAAAAAATTCTTAATTGCCAGTTTCTTTTCAAGAATTATAAGATCTGGCGAAAGTAAACCTGCATTCTGGCATGGCTGCCCTGGCTGGAGCTGAGCAAGGGCTGCCTCACCACGCCAGGCATAGGCACTGCACTTGGTCACTGACGTAGAACTCCTGCACTGTTCTAGGCGTTTGAGTCTGTGGCATTGATGGCAAAGGGAACCTCAAGTGTTGTAGAAGTAATATATGGGAAGAGCTGATGTAAACCCATCAGACTGGATGGACTGTCCCTGGATGCTGGGTGTGAACTGGATGAGGGTAGACCTGGGCTGAGTAGCCCCGCTCTGAGACCAAGTAGGGGAGAGGTGGTGTCACAGAGCAGAACTGCTGTCCTAGAAACCAGCGCATACTGACTGCTTTTCTATTTGCTTTGGAATTTCCCCCATTGCACTGCATGGGGATCTTGACATGTGTGCTGAGAAATAAAGAGCTGAGCTAAAAGCAAAGATGACGCAAATGATTTCAAAATGGTAAAATATACTTTCAAATGAGATGAATTTGCTAATTATTCTCCCTGAGGGTGCACCTGCCTGAGAAGGATTATAACTGAGGACTAGCTGTCTTGAACCTTGTTGCCACACACAGAGAATACTCAGCTTTTCTTTTAAGGAAACCAATGCCTGGCCTTGCCAACCAATGAAAAGGTTGCCTAAGAGCCTCGCCCAGAAGTTTTGTAAGTTAAACTCAGAGAGAACAAAGGTGAGATGGTTTTCATTGATATTATTTTCACAGTGGGTTATAAGTCAAGAAAATGAATTACCAAGTAAGCTCTGTTTTCTTTCATCTTATTTAATGCATTGCTATATAGCAACAGCAAGCTAATAATTAAGGACCATTCTACCTGCTCCAGAGGCTTTGATCTGCAGTGATGTGACTCCATAATTTTGTCTGGTTGAGTTTCTAAGCTCTCATTAATGTCCATAAAAATTGATCAAAATCTAAAGGGCAAAGGCAAAAGAACAACAACAAAAAACTCACTTACATCTGAAATTTTGTTTTTAATTAGGTATGTGATCACTTCCGTTATTTGCTTAGCTTTCAACATTATGAAGCTTGATGTTTTGGACTCTACTAGAAAGTAGTCAAAAATATATACTATTTAGAGCAACCCCACAACCTGTGCTTCAGAACTCCTATTTCTAGATTTCTAAGGAAAATTTCTGGGAAAAAATTATGCAAAATAAAAATGAATATTTAAATACCCATAGATACACACACCCAAACAGGATTTACCTTTTCTTTTAGATTTTTTCCTTCTACTTTTTTATTCCACTAGAATGTGTAAGAATTCAGAGTTTTTTCTCACTGTACTGTTTTTTAAATTTCTGAGATTTGCTGGCAATTCAGGTAAAACAGAAACCATATGTTTTACTTTATTGGGAGCATAATAGTGTAACGGGAAATTCTAATAATTAGATGTTGGACTTTCTGAATTGATTACCCAGTTTTCGTGTCTTCTATATTGCTTATCTCTTCTCGATTTTTCTTTCACAATTCTTCAATTTAATTTTTTTTTTTTTTTTTTTTTGAGATGGAGTCTCGCTCTGTCGCCCAGGCTGGAGTGCAGTGGCACGATCTTGGCTCACTGCAAACTCTGCCTCACGGGTTCACGCCATTCTCCTGCCTCAGCCTCCCTAGTAGCTGGAACTACAGGCGCCCGCCACCACGCCCGGCTAATTTTTTGTATTTTTAGTAGAGATGGGGTTTCACTGTGTTAGCCAGGATGGTCTTGATCTCCTGACCTTGTGATCTGCCCGCCTTCAGCCTCCCAAAGTGCTGGGATTACAGGCGTGAGCCACTGCGCCCGGCCAATTTAATTCTTTAATTTCCAAGACAGCTCTTTCTTGTTGTCTGAATTGTCTTTGAATTTTTTTTTTGTTTTTAGCATTTGTTCTGGTTTTATGGATCCAATACCTTATCTTTTATCTTCTGCTTCTTCATGGCTCTACATTTCCTTCAAGTTCCTTTTTGTTGTAGAGATTGTTTTTTAGGTTGAGCATGGTTTCTTTCTTTCATTTTGGAGCCTTTCCTCAGATGTCTCATGCCTCTTGACTGAACATTTATTCAGTCATTCATTCTAAGCAGAATGCACTGAAACTTGGTTGGAAGCTCCCTGCGTGTGCATGAAACTGGCACTTGGAGGATTGTGCGGTAGATGGCTATGTGGCTTTCTTGATGGAGAACTTTCAAACGTAGGTTTCAGAAAGTCTTTTCTCTTGAGTTAGTCTATCCAAAAGAGGAGTAGCCAACCTCGAGGTTTTTATGTTTATTTTCCTCCATTCTGGGAACCAAGAGTGCAAGGAGAAGAGAATGAGGGATTCTACAACACAGACTTTTACCTAATCCTCCGTCCTGTGCCTTGTGTTCCTGAGCTGGGATGGGGTAGAGAAAGTAACAACCTATCTTTGAGGAGGGAAAGGCTGGCGGGGGCGGGGGGTGGGGTCTCACTGCTCTAACTTCAAACAGTTTCCATGATTTTGATCCTGCTTTATTCCTCTAACCTTTGAGGTACTTGGTATCTTATAGTTTGAAGCCTTTTTGAGCACTCAGAAAGGTGAATCTCATTGGCATGCCCTTATGTAGGAATTTAGGTTGCAGTTTTCTTCCTTGTCTGCAAAGTTGCTTATCACTAATTTTCTTGCCATCTCTCCATCTCCCCAAAAATGTATTGACATTTCTCTGCTGCTATCTCCTCTCTTATTTTTATTTATTTATTTTTTTAAGTTGGAGTTTCACTCTTGTTGCCCAGGCTGGAGTGCAATGGCACAATCTTGGCTCACTTGCAACCTCAGCTTCCCGGGTTCAAGCGATTCTCCTGCCTCAGCCTTCTGAGTAGCTAGAATTACAGGTGCCCGCCACCATGCCGGGTTAATTTTTTTGTATTTTTAGTAGAGTCTGGGTTTCACTATGTTGGCCAGGCTGGTCTCGAACTCCTGACCTCATGATCCGCCTGCCTTGGCCTCCCAAAGTGTTGGGATTATAGGCGTGAGCCACCGCGCCTGCTTTTTTTTGAGATGGAATTTCACTCTTGTTTCCCAGGCTGGAGTACAATGGCGCAATCTTGGCTCACTACAACCTCCGCCTCCCAGGTTCAAGTGATTCTCCTGCCTTAGCCTCCCAAGTAGCTGGGATTACAGGCATGCACCACATGCTTGGCTAATTTTTTGTATTTTTAGTAGAGACGGGGTTTCACCATGTTGGCCAGGCTGGTCTCAAACTCCTGACCTCAGGTGATGCAGCATGCCTGGCCTCCACTCTTATTCTTTTTATCCTCATGGGTTTGTAACTTTCCTCCTCTTATTTTGCCATTTTGAGGTTTTTTGTTTTTTGGAATAAAGTAGAAATAAATGAGATCATTAAATTCTCCATGTTTCACCAGAAGTCCTGAATTATCTTTTTATTTTAAAAGCAATCCATTAGATATTAGAGAATCAGGTATGATAATTTCCCTGTGTAACCAAAAGTAAAGCAAACTTATCGTACACCAACTATGTAAGGTGGCAACACATTAAATATTTTTAATTGTTTCCTTTTTCTTTTCTTTTTTTCTTTCTTCTTTGAGACAGAGTCTCGCTCTGTTGCCTAGGCTGAAGTGCAGTGGGGTGATCTTGGCTCATTGCAGCCTTGACTTCCCAGGTTCAAGTGATTCTCCCACTTTGGCTTCCTGAGTAGCTGGGACTACAGGTGTGCGCCACCCAGCTAATTTTTTTTATTTTTTATTTTGTAGAGATGGGGTCTCACTGTGTTGCCTAGGCTGGTCTTGAGCTCCTGGACTCAAACCATCCACCCGTCTCGGTCTCCCAAAGTGCTGGGATTATAGGTGTGAGCCACCACAACCAGCCTATTTTCTTTTTAAAGGTAAGTATACGCACATTAAAAAAATGTAAATCATATGAAAAAGTAAGCAGTAAAAAGTAAACCTTTTTTTCCACTCCATTCCCCTGTCCAACAAGTCCCTTCACCAGATGCAATAACTCTACCTATTTTTAGGGATTCCCTCCTCTTTCTTACACTTTTTTTTTTTTTTTTGAGATGCATTCTCTTTCTGTTGCCCAGGCTGGAGTGCAGTGGCATGATCTTGGCTCACGGCAACCTCCGCCTCCTGGGCTCAAGCGATTCTCCTGCCTCAGTAGCTGGGATTACAGGTGTGTGCCGCCATGCCTGGCTAATTTCTTTGTATTTTTAGTAGAAACGGGGTTTCACCATGTTGGTCAGGCTGGTCTCGAACTCCTGACCTCAAATGATCCACCCACCTCAGCCTCCCAAAGTGCTGGTATTACAGCCGTGAGCCACCACAATCGGCCCTTTCTTACACTCCTGATTATCACTTTATAAACACTCTTCCCACCTCTTAACAGTATATCTTGGATACTGTAACTCATTCTTTTTCACATCCATCTTTATGTCAGAAATACACATCTTTGCACATGTGTGCAAAGAGAAATTCTAGAAGTAGAATTGTTGAAGCAAAGAACACATACACTTGTAATTAATAGTTACAGCCAAATTACCTTCCAAGCAATTGTACCGATTTATACTTCAGTAACAATGAATGAGAATTCCTGTTTCCCCATACTATCTCTCACCATTGCACTATCAAAATTTTTTTTTTGCAGCTTTCAAATTTAATATGTGAAAAATCTAATTTTAGTGTAGTTTATGGGTATTTCTTTAATTATAAGTAAGGTTGAGTACATTTTTGTATATTATGGAGTCATTTGTATTTTCTGTGAAATGTCTGCTCATGTTCTTCATCATTTTTCTTTTTTGGGAGGATATTGGTATTTTTCTTTTCTTTTTCTTTTTTTTTTTTTTTGAGACGGAGTCTCGCTCTGCCTTTAGGCTGGAGTGCAGTTGTGCTATCTCGGCACTCGGCACTGGGTTCTCGCCTCCGCCTCCTGGGTTCAAGTGATTCTCTTGCCTCAGCCTCCTGAGTAGCTGGGACTACAGGTGTGCACCACCACGCCCAGCTAATATTTTGTATTTTCAGTAGAGACGAGGTTTCACCATGTTGGCCAGGAGGATATCGATCTCTTGACCTCGTGATCCCCCACCTCAGCCTCCCAAAGTGCTGGGATTACAGGAGTGAGCCACCGTGCCTGGCTGGATATTGGTATTTTTAAAATCAATTTGTAAAATTCTTTACTTAGAAAATTGTTTATTTTTTATTTGTTTATTATATTTGTTGGAAAGTTTTCCCTATCAGGTTATCATTTGATTTTTGCCTGTCTGTTTATGATACTTTTGGGCAAACAGAAAATTACAATTTTATGTAGTCAAATTCAATGTTTTCTTTAATGGCTTTCGCTGAGATCATAAAAAAATTTCTGATTCTTTTCTAGTATTTCATGATTTTGTTTATTTTACATTTACTTAGATGATTTATTTGGCACTTATTTTGAAGTAGGAGTGAGATAGGGGTTTGGCTTTTTCCCCAGTTGACTTGCTGGCTGTCCCAAGTTGCAATTCATCCTCAATGCAAACCACAGCAACATTTGTAAAAGTGTAACAAAAACACTTTATCTGATCTAAATGGAAGATTAACTGTCTCCTCGACCACTAAGGCAAGACAATTGGTTCAAGACCGTTTTGCAAGAAGTTTCATTTGTAGGTGTTAGGGTACGTAATTCAAGACAGAGACTGATCATATTTGGCAATTGTACCTGTGCCCTCCCTCTCTGTTGAATTGGGAAGGGAGGGAGAGGAATTCCTGGGAGGCACCTGAAGTCTCAAACTCTACTGTAAATCCCAGGGCCTGAATAGAGCTCAGGATATAGACCCCAAATCAGGAGAGTTGGGGAACAGGAAAGCAGAGAACAAGCCCTGAAGCAGCAGCTGGGCAGGAGATGGAGGGGAGCAGGTGCAGAGAGAGGCAGGAGGCCTGGTGCCTGTGGGGAGCTGATTCTTTCAAAGGGGCAGGGATGGGGGAGACTTGCATTTCGAAGCAGTTCTGTCACAGTTCTCAGGGGGATGATGGACTTTGGACTAAGCTTTTACCTCCACAAGAAGATGGGGCCAGGAATTCTAATAGCTAGTAAAGGGAGCCCAAATCTTAAAAATGTGGACTGAAATAAACTGAGATAGTTAAATTCTAGGATAGTGTTAGTAGTTAAAAAACAAAAATATTTACCTCTACTAAATCTTACCTAATTGTAATGGTGGATTAATTGGTAAATTAGTTCATTCCTTCTTCAACAAACTTTTATCAACTACTGTGCAGAACTCCCAGAGACAGAGGGAAGAGTAAAGCACAAGTTCCTGCCCACCTGGTGCTTTTTTTTTTTTTCAGATGGCGTTTCACTCTTGTCGCCCACGCTGGAGTGCAATGGCATGATCTCAGCTCACTGCACCCTCTGCCTCCTGGGTTCAAACAATTCTCCTGCCTCAGCCTCCCAAGTAGCTGGGATTACAGGTGTGCGCCACCATGCTTGGCTAATTTTTGTATTTTTAGTAGAGATGGAGTTTCACCATGTTGGCCAGGCTGGTCTCAAACTCCTAACCTCAGGTGATCCACCCACCTCAGCCTCCCAAAGTGTTGGGATTACAGGCTTGAGCCACTGTGCCCGGCGCCCTCCTAGTGCTGATGTAGTTGTGGCCCAAGTACATTAGTGACAAGGACAGCACAGTAATGAGGACACAGAGCCAGTAAGTTCTTCAGAGAGTCTGTTAGAACACAAAGTGATCAAAGTGATCAAAAGTACTGCATTCTATGGAAAATCTATATTTTTCTTTTTCCTTAGGTTAAGCTAAAGTTTCTTGCAGAATTACTACTTCATTCTAGTCTGTCATAAGCTGCATGGTGTTTTTCTGCCAGGAATCTGGGGAGATCTAGTGCCACTTGACCTTCACAGAGATTCTTAACCTGATGGGTTTCAGAATGTCATCTTAAAATTGGATGCAAATTGTATGGGTGAGGGTTTTTTTTTTTTTCCTCCTGGGGATAAAGTCATAGGTTTTGTTAGCATCTCAAAGGAGTCTGTGAGCCCAGGATGATTAAGAATCAGTGATTTTGGCTGAGTACAGTGGTTCACACCTGTAATTCCAGCACTTTGGGAGGTAGAGGTGGGTAAAGAAAAGGAAGAAGAATCAGTGACTTAGATTTTCTTCACTCTAATTAAGGACCTTTACCTTTTTTGTTTGTTTGCTTTGCTTTGTTTTTTTGAGACAGGGTCCGGCATTGTCACCCAGGCTGGAGTACAGTGGCTTGATCTCAGCTCACTGCAACCTCCACTTCCTGGGCTCAAGCCATCCTCCCACCTCAGTCTGTAGGTGTAGCTGAGACTACAGGTGCACACCCTGCTAAGGGGTACACCACCACACCCTGCTAGGAGGTACAACACCACACCCTGCTAAGGGGAACTTTATCTTAAAAATGTTTTTAAAAAACATCCTAATTGGTCTCTAACCTAGAGATGTGCTTAGTTACTGATACCTGGTCCCTTTTAAGCCTGTGTTCATCATCCTTCTTCCAGATTCCTTTCTCTCTATCCAGAAATAGGAGCAGTACTGGGCATCAACCTCCTCTTTACTTCCCTTATTTATGTTTATTTGGCAACCCCATACTTAACCTTAAGTATAAGCTTAGGAAGCCTTATTTATACTTAATTGTAATAATGTGATATTATTGAGCAGAGTTGGAAATCCATACTTCCAAGGCAGTCTCTCATGTTTTCAGTCAAATTTTTGGTTTGGAATGCTCAAGTCCAAAAATCAAGTTTAACACATATTTACTTAGTAAACACTTTCTATATGTAAGAACTTATACTCCATTTTGAAGGAGAGAGGAGGTGAGCAGGACATACCTACAAGTCAAAACCAGTTCCCACCTTCACTGAGATGGGACATTTTGGAAAATGCACGAAGTGCTGTGGGAATTCAGAGAGGAAGAGAGTATTTCCTGCTGGAGAGTGCAGAAAAAAAACATCCCGATGACATCGTAGGTGGGCAGCATTTCTTGTCACTGGCAATGCTGTAAACCCTCCTTTTCCACATCTTCAAAATAAGGTGCTGGGCCTAGAAACTGACACCTGCTCAGAAAAATTCAAAAAGTGAATGTAGGAGGAAAAATCAGCCTTTGTCATAAAATGACATAGGAAGAAAGAGTGGAAGCAACTAGTATAGGACAAGTTGTGCAAGAACATGAAGTAGTAAAGGAGATAAAATATTATTATTTGAATAAATATGAGAAATTTTGAAAACCATTAGTAATCCAGAATCTTTCATCTTTGCTATCATATTATTTTTAAAATTTGGTTTTAAAGCAACACAAGGCAATGTGCATATTTTCTTAAACTTTAAGAAATAGAAAAATTGTTTTGCTAGAAATATGTACGGACCTTAGGGGCTTTTCTAAAATGTAGGTTGAGAGGTGTGTGTATATGCTCTTTTCTTCTTACTAGATCACATGTAATCAAGCATCTACTACTGATATGAGTCATAAATTTGTGGGGTACTTTTAGATCAATGCTTACAAAGCAGTTGCACATTCATTACAAATCCTGTACAGTACATTAGCATAGGCTAATAAATTTCTTACTCTCTATTCTTAGGTTGAACCAGCCAAATTTTCGAGACAGCTCACGGCTTAGAGGAAGGTTCATCTAAATAAAGGCCGGCTAAAGTGACATTGCAGGGATTAAATCCTTCTTTGGCTGCCTGTGTGACCAGAAGGCTTATTTGCAAGTTTCTTCTTTCCTGGGGTCCAGATTATTAGGTCTCCAGCGCCCTGCAGCTTGACAGAAAGAGAAGCATGAAATGAAGGTCAGAGATGAGATCCCGCAGCAGGGACGTGGGGGCCTCCCAGGGGCATTTACGCACCAGAGTGCAAGATTCTCTGGCCATCAAGGGAAATAGCAAACAGAAGCCTTTGTCCTGGGGCACAGCCACCTACCACAAAGCATCAGACTCCACGTCTGGCCAGAAAGTTCCTGGAGTCCCATCAGGCCAGTGGGTATGTAACATGTGCCTAATTGTACAGCTAGAGCCTGCAAGTTCAACGTGAGGGAAGGTGGGAAATGTCTTGAGTGAGGCGAGCAGCTCCTGGCTGGGCTGGGCAGACTCAGCTACCACGTTCACTGCCTTCCTCTCACTAAAGCCGAGAGGGAGGCTGCTCAGCTCTCAGGAAAACTCTTTTGAACCCTGGGCACCTGCTGTCCTCAGTTGGCATCTCCCACCCTCTGAGCCTCTTCTGCTCCTGCACAACCTGCCTCTTCGCTGAGATGGAGACGTGAGCCCCCGTGGACGATGACTGCAGTGTATATGAATGGAGGTGGCCTGGTGAACCCCCACTATGCCCGGTGGGATCGGCGCGACAGTGTAGAAAGTGGCTGTCAGACCGAGAGTAGCAAGGAGGGTGAGGAGGGACAGCCCCGCCAGCTGACGCCCTTCGAGAAACTGACACAGGACATGTCCCAGGATGAGAAGGTGGTGAGGGAGATCACGCTGGGGAAACGGATAGGCTTCTACCGAATTCGAGGGGAAATCGGAAGTGGAAACTTCTCCCAAGTGAAGCTTGGGATTCACTCCCTAACCAAAGGTAGGATCCGACTTCCCAAGGGTCATCCCTGGCAGTATTGGGACCTAGTGTAGGAAAGGGGTTAGGTGGCCAGGGCCAAGGAAGCAAGTAAAGTGACCTCAGCAGAGCCCCTGCAAGGCCCACATCCTGTGCCAGCCGCCTTCTGTGGTCTTCTCAGTTAATTTTCACAGTAACCATGTGAGGTCAATATTTTTTTCCATTTTGCAGATAAAGAAACTGAGATCCAAAGAAGGCAAATGTGTCTTCAGTTCCATCTTAGAGGTTTTTGACTCCAAAAACCCTTCCACCATACCATGCAGATAAACCCACTCAAACATGAGAAGAATCTGTCCTCTCCGGTGAGGCCCTTGAGAAGTGGAGTGGAGCGTGGCTTGGAACCAAGCCACCTCATCTCCCAAGCCACCTCATCTCCCAAGCCCATATTTATAGTTTCCATTTACATTTGTGTCTCAGTAACAATGGCACAGTGCGGCACAGGAGATCCCCCCGATGGGCGCTGTCTCTGGATAGCAGTGTCCAGTTTCCCTTCCATCCAGAGGCTGCGACTTCTGTCATATTTGAGAAAAAGGGATTTGATCTCAGAACCTTTTCTGTTCAGTCCACCCTGCCCTAGCTCTCATTGTTTGGCTCCTCACTCCCCATTTGCTTGGCTACTGGAAACTTTGAGATTCTGGACTAGCAGCGCCCAGCACTTTGGCCTCAGGGAGAAACCATATGGAGAGCCCAGCACCCTTCTGCTGCTCTGACCCCACTGTGGGCACTTCCCCAAGGTACCTGTAACTTAGCAGAAGTCTGGGGATTATCATAAGGGACTTACAAGACAGAAAAAGAACACTTTACAGCTCGGCATAATTTACTCAGTCCTAAAACCCATGGACTCTACCGTCTCCCTAGAGTCCCTGATTGACATTTTCTCTGCTTGGACTCAGCCAGCCACCATGTCTCCAAGGCCCCTCTTTTCTTATATTAGAGTTGTCTTTTGCTTCCTTTTCTTCTCCAACCCCCAATCCCATGCCCCTCCAATCCCTGTTGTTGGCCTTTATAGAAAAAGCTCCACATACATGTTTGCATACATGTACCTCCCCACCGCAACTGACCCACACACTCCCAAGTCACCGGAGTTTCACGTCTTCTATACTCTTGCTCTGAAGCCTGTGTATCTGGGTTCATGTCTTCACATCTTGGCTACTCTGCTTACTCATCTGGGTAAATTACAATACTTGTCTGAGCCTTAGATACTTCATTTATAAAATGCAGCCAATAACAGTGCTTACTTCATACGGTATCATAAGGATTAATAAGTGCTCAACAAATGTTAGTTAGTTGCTTAATAAGCCTTGCCTTGCCTTGCCTCTGTGCAACCAAAGATCAACTAAAGTATCTTTATCAGAAGTTCATTCCTGCCCATCCCAATACACAAACTGAGATCAATGCAGCTGCCATGCCCTACAGCCATAGTTTTCAACTGACTGCACATTAGAATTACCTGGGAAGGTTTAAAAGAGAATTAGTGCCTAGAACCCACCTTCAGAGCTTCTGATGTGATTGGTCTAGAGTGGGACTGGGCATGGGTAGTATTTGAAAACTCTCCAGGTGATTCTAACTAACAACATGTAACACTAAGAAATACTTGCCTACAGCAACTTGCACATACTGCAGACAGCTTTTAAAATAGTACTTTTTTGGTAGTTGCCACAAATGGGTAATCTAAGTATTATTTGTATTTTAAAATCAATTATGAGGTATTGTGTCAGGTTTCCATGCTACGTTTAACTTTCAAATTTCATTTCACTTGAGAGAATATTCATTTATTATTCATTTAGGTGAACAACAGAAGCACTATATTAGGCCTTGGGGGATATAAAGATGAAATAGATACAACCTTCATCCTCAAGGATAAGGGAAGAGAAGTTGTGTACAAATAAATATAATACAAACCAGAATTTGAAAAACATAGAAGAGAAAAGCTATGAGCTTAAAGGAAGGAAAGAGACTCTTCCACCTTAGGACTACGGTGAAAGGCTTTAAGTGAAGGTCAAATTTGAGCTACACCTCAAGGAAGGATAAGATTTTGGATAGGCAGTGATTATAGGACAGAGGAGGGTTAGGGGGTTAGTTAGAGGAGAATGTGAACAAACGCATTAATGTGGGGAAATGACATATAGTACAGTTACCCTAACAGTAGGGGAAGTAGGGTAAAGGGTTGGAAAACTTAGCTGTGGCTGAATCATAGGGGACTTTGAACGTTATCCAAGGATTTTGGATTGTTTTTCTTACAATGAAGACTTTAAAATTTTTGTGATTAGAATTGGGCTTTTGGAAGGTTAACCATATAGTGATGAGAATGAAGGTTGAAAAGCAAGAGATGCAGGAGACAGGGAGCTATCAGGAATCTATGGTGATGGTTCAGCCATAGGGAAGAATATCCTGAGCTAGGTGGATGTCAGTCAAAATAGAAAAGAGGAGGGAGCTGGTGATGCCAAAGAGAAGAATCTGGAGGATTGGTGTGTTAGTGTTTTCCAGAGAAACGGCACCAATAGAAAAGAGAGAGAGGGAGAGAGAGAGACACTTACAAGGAATTGGCTCACACAATTATGGAGACTGCCCCCAAGATCCACAGTCAGCAAGCTGGAGGCCCAGGAGAGCCAGAGGTATAAGTTCCAGTCTGAAAGCCAACAGACTCAAGACCCAGGAAGAGCCACGTTCAGCTTGAGTCTGAAGGCCAAAAAGACCAATGTCCCAGGTAAAGGCAGTCAGGCAGAAGCAGTTCCCACTTGCTCAGTCTTTTTTTTTTTTAAATTAATTTTAATTAATTAATTATTTTTGAGATGGAGTCTCACCTTGTCACCGAGGCTGGAGTGCAATGGCGTGATCTCAGCTCACCTCAACCTCCGCCTCCCAGGTTCAAGTGATTCTCCTGCCTCATCCCGAGTAGCTGGGATTACAGACATGTGCCACCTTGCCCGGCTAGTTTATTTTTATTTATTTATTTATTTATTTATTTATTTATTTATTTATTTGAGACAGAGTCTCGCTCTGTTGCCCAGGCTGGAGTGCAGTGGCAAGATCTAGGCTCACTGCAAGCTCCGCCTCCCAGGTTCATGCCATTCTCCTGCCTCAGCTTCCCGAGTAGCTGGGACTACAGGTGCCCGCCACCACGCCCGGCTAATTTTTTGTATTTTTAGTAGAGACGGGGTTTCACCATGTTAGCTGGGATGGTCTCGATTTCCTGACCTCGTGATCCGCTACCTCGGCCTCCCAAAGTGCTGGGATTACAGGCCTGAGCCACCGTGCCCGGCCCTTACTCAGTCTTTTTGTTCTATTCAGGTCTTCAACTGAGAAAACACCTGCACGACACACCCATAATAATGTTTAATGAAATGTCTGGGCACTACGTGGTTCAGTCAATTTGACACATAAAATAAACCATCAGAGTTGGTAACTGATTGGATGTAGAACTGAAGATGGAAGGATGGACGAAGGCAATGACCTTGCTTTAGTTGACTATGTGAACCAAAACAGGTGATGCCTTTAATAGGAATAGGAGAAAGAGCAAATTTGGGAGGGAAAAAGTTGAGTGAAAACACTGACATCCAGAAGGAGCTGTCTACTGGGCATGCTCCAGTCATGGACAAGGGCATGAGGTCAGACCAGGATTTGCATTGAGAAGATTGTAGAAATGGATGCAGTCACTGAAGGAGACTGTGGAGAAGGGTGATGAGCAACCTTTTTACACTTAGTAACTAGTTCTACATCCTAGTTGACATTTTATGTATGGATTAGTTTTTTTTTTTTTTTTTTTTGAGATGGAGTCTCGCTCTGTTGCCCACGCTGGAGTGTAGTGGTGTGATCTTGGCTCACTGCAAGCTCTGCCTCCTGGGTTCATGCCGTTCTCCTGCCTCAACCTCCCGAGGAGCTGGGACTACAGACACCCACCACCACGCCTGGCTAATTTTTTGTATTTTTAGTAGAGACGGGGTTTCACCATGTTAGCCAGGATGGTCTCGATCTCCTGACCTCGTGATCTGCCCGCCTCGGCCTCCCAAAGTGCTGGGATTACAGGCATGAGCCACCGCGCCTGGCCGGATTAGTTTTAAATATGCTAATGGAATCATTCACTGTTGCTCCATGAACACTATGATTTTTCAATGTCATTAAATATAGATTTTTAAAATATATTTATGTGTATATATTATCTATATATGTGTATTTATTATCTATACTCTCATCTTTTAAAGAGGACATATTGTTTCACATATAGCTGTGGCATAAATTCTTTAACTTAGCCACTATTGGTTAACATTTGGATCATTTCTAAAGTTTTGCTCTTAATTATAATGCTACAGAGATTATTCTTTTCCATACTTCTTTGCATATACGTATGATTTCTCTCAGCATACATTCCTAGAAGTTAGCTGTCTTGGTCAGAGGGCATGCATTGAAAAATTTTAACACACAGCACCAAAAGAGCAGCTTTTGAATCCTTACTCATAGAGTACATCTATCTGTAACTCAAATCTCACAGGGACTAATGTTGCTTTTCAATAGTCTAGAGCCAGCATGAAAGACAAAAGATGAAACACATAGAGCGATGAAAGGCCAAAAATCGAGACAGAAGATGTGATTTGGAAGGTTACAAGAGAAGTTGGATAAAGCCAAACAAGGAAAGGAATTTAGAAAAAAGTGTCCAATGCTGCAGAAGGGTCACAGAGCTACAGTCTGAGCAAAGGCTACTGCATAAGGCCAACTTTGAGAAGTTTCATACAAGTGTGGGTTCAGATGTTAGATTCCAATAGAAAGGAAGCAGGATGGGACAGTAGGAAAAGCGTGGACTTGGGGACCAGACAAATTTATCTGAAATACTCATTCAGTAACTTACTAGGCTTCTGACTTTAGGCATATTAATCTCTTTGGTCCTCAGTTGCCTCAGCTGTAAAATAGAGATAATGATTTTTAGAATTGTTGGGGAAATTGGAAATAATATATGTGAAGTACATGACATATAGTAACCACTCAAAATGGTAGCTGCCATTGCTATAACTTTACTTTTTAATTAATCTTATTTCAAAAAGGTATTTAATGTTATTACAACAATAAAAACCAGTATCACTTACTATGAATAGAAGGTGATGGTAAAAATAAGTACAATGCAAACAAATTAAAAAGCATTAAAGGAAAATTACAAGTAACAAAGTAATTTTTAAAACATGCTAACAATCAATCTCAGACTTTCTCTTTGCCTTAATTAGGAGAATTAAAGGAGAGCTGAAATGGGAATCATGTTTTTACGCTGTGATTCAGTGCTATTTAAGGCTGTTTCCACGCCCTAAAATCATTTCAACCTCATGAGTCTTAAAGGTTCCACTTTGGGAAGCACTGACATCATCTAGTCCTTCCATGTTTTACAAACGAGGAGATGGAGGCTCAGAAGAGGCTGTCCCAAGGTTTAGAACCTGTTTACAGGAATTCACATGGAATTGAGTACTCACATGTATTGAGTACAGGGGAATTCTATGGACCCACAGCAGGGAAGTAGGGCCGGGTCTTAAGATGATATTCTTTTGATCTTCACTTTCTCTGGGGCTGTGTGCTTTCTCATTTCTACTTTTCTTGATGAATTTGTTCCATCTTTATACCTCTTTCTGCAAAAAGGTTTTCCACACTTAATTATCAGAAGGTATATCATGGCCAAAAATGGTTGTTGCCAGTCCCACATCTACATAAACTCTCAATGTTATTGACCGCCTCCATCCCATGTGTTTCATTCTGTTTCAGTTCAAATTTTAAAAAGAAAGAATATACTTAATTACTAGCCAGCTGAAAATGAACTACCTTTGAGTCAAGGGCATGCCCGTGTCAGTGAGCTGTAACCCTTTGAGTCACGTGGGCCACTACTGTCTCAGCAGAGCCAAAGGTCCAAAGAAGTCTCTGGGAAGGGAGAAAATTGACAGACATATCCACCATAGAGACATTAGCTAGCTAAGCCGAGAAGTTTCTACAAGCCGGGAGCAAGACAGTGCCCAATTCTGTAGACAGGATATTATGTGAAAGGACAAAAAAAAAAGGTGGAATAATAATTAGTGTTTATATACTGACTTACTTCTCGGGTTCCAAAGACTTCTTGTCTGTTGTATTACAAAATTAACTTCAAACTTGTCCCCATGAGTTTCAGAGAGCATGGCATTTTCCCACTGTGTGGGTGTGGGTGGGTGCCTTGTGTGGCCTCACTGACATGCCCTCCTTATACCTAACCTGCTACAAAGTAGCTCTATTGTCAAAGAAACAGTCTCACCCGCTGGTTCTGGGACAGTATGTGCAAAAAGGGACAGGAAAATAAATAGCAGTTTGTACAAATATGGCCCCCACACCAAACCAACTTGCCCAGAATTGTCATCCGGTTTTCTAGGAATATAAGGACAGTTTGAATAAGATAATAGAGGAGATTCCCAGGAAAGCAGAGAGTTTCAGTGCCAGGAGCAGCTCCCAGGACAGTAGTCTAAAAAATTGAAAAAAAAAAAAAATAAAGAAATACAAAGCACCAAGTGCTCTGGATCTCTACAAAGGAGGCTCCAATATGGGTCCCTGCTGGCTGGGGTTTATTTTTATAGCTCACAGTTTGGAATTCCCTTGGGCTCTCCAAGCTGATAGTGAAGGTTGACAGTCATCATGAGCCCCCTTTTAGGCTGATTAGAAATTTCTCATAAGAGATGATACACTTAGCTTCTGAATATTTTATGTCCCATCTGTTGTCACAAACAAAAGAAGTGGCAGCGAATGTGGGTGTTTTTTTCTGTTGCTGCCCTTCTGACTTCTTCCTTCTGCTACTCTAGTCTCATGTTTCTAGGATCCTTTCTTCCTCCCACTTTATTTATCTATTTATCTATTAATTCATTCTTTCCTTCCTTCCTTTTTTTTTTTTTTATCTTTTGAGGAAGAGTTTTGCTTCATTGCCCAGGCTGGAGTGCAGTGATGCGATCAAAGCTCACTGCTGCCTTGGACTCCTGGGCTCAAGTGATTCACCCACCTCAGCCTCCCAAAGCACTGGGATTACAGGTGTGAGACACCATGACTGGCCTTCATTCCTTTATATATATATATAATATAATATATAATGTAATATATAATATAATATATAATATAATATATGTGTGTGTGTGTGTGTGTGTGTGTGTGTGTGTGTGTGTGTGTAAGCACATGCCTGATAAGGAACTTACAGCAGTTTAACAGAGGCAGACAGGAAAAAATTGATGAGTGCTGTCCAGAGTAAGGCAGCAAGAATGTGCTTACCTGTGCCCCGTGGATCCAGGAAGGGTCTATTGAGCAGGAAAAGCTTGCAATGGGTCTTGAGGTCTGAGGAGCAATTTCACAGGAGAAGGAGGAAAGAGAACTCCAGAAAGAGAGATAGGATATAAAGTACATGGAAGCATGAACCAGTGTGGGGAGTATTTGGAGATTTAAAAGTAATTCAGCAAAGCTAGAGCATGAGGTGCACCCACAGAGTCATGGGAAAGAGATAAGGTGGATGGGGCTTGATCATGGAAAATCTTCTTGCATATCTGGATTTTGTCATTTAGGTATTGGAAAGCTACTGAAGAGTTTTTTTTTTTTTTGAGACGGAGTCTTGCCCTGTCACCCAGCCTGGAGTACAATGGTGTGATCTCTGTTCATTGAAACCTCTGCCTCCTGGGTTCAAGTGATTCTCCTGCCTCAGTCTCCTGAGTAGCTGGGATTACAGGCACACGCCACCATGCTCGGCAATTTTTTTTTGTATCTTTAGTAGAGATGGGGTTTCACCATCTTGGCCAGGCTGGTCTCGAATTCCTGACCTCGTGATCCGCCCGCCTCAGCCTCCCAAAGTGCTGGGATTACAGGCATGAGCCACTGCGCTCAGTCGTTTAGGAGCTTTAAGCAAGCCATTAATGCAAGTGATTAATATGATCTTATTTCAGTGCGGAATGTGAATTGAAGTTGGAAAGTAAGGAGAGTCAAGGAAGTCAGAAAAAAATGTTAGTCAAATGGTCCAGATGGATGATGTTGTTCATCTCAACTAAGGAGAAGTGGCAGTGAGAATGGAGAGAAGAGCATGTATTTGAAAAATGTCTTAGGATATTGAAAAACCTTGTGATCAATGGTATGGGTGAGAGCAGGACGGGACATGGGAGAGGAAGAATTGACGATGACTCCCAGTTTCCAGTTTTAATGCCTTACCAGTAAATAATTACAGGAGAAGTGGATTTGAGAGTAAATATATGGAAGCACTGACTTGGAGGTATATGGAATTCATGAAATGAATGGGTCTAGCAGCTTTCTTGGAGCCCAAGAGAAAGTATGATACATAAAGATTTGAGGCTTAACAAACTCTGGGATGTAGTGACATCTTGGGAGTCCTAGTTACAAGCTCCTTGGTGTCAGATACTATATCACATTGATCCTTAAAGTTCCTCCATGTGTGTTATAAATAATAAACACTCGACAAATATTTGGTGAGTTAAGTTAGTATAACTTCTCATGAAAATCCAGGAGTGGTGGAGGAAGAAATATTCGAGGGAGCAATGCATAGCAGCACCTTCTGGTAGGTGCTGTATGCTGTGATCTCCCTGGAGGACAGGGCTAGAGCACGAACTCAGTCTGTAGCAGAGCTTCATAAAGATAGCCCAATGGTTTTGTCGTTTTGCTTTTTCTAGAGATGAAGTCTCAACTATGGTTATCCAGGCCGTTCAAGAACTTCTGGGCTCAAGCAATCCTCCTGCCTCAGTTTCCTAAGTAGCATGGGGGACAGCTATGCACCACTGCACCTGACTGCCCACTGGTTTTAAAAATTGATTCCCCCCTCTTGAATACATTCATTAAAATAGCAATTCAAAATTGTATTTTCTTACTTTAAAAATGGTTAGTTAGTGATTTAGGGAATTCACCCTAAAAATAAATCATATATTGGAAATACTACAACCAAAAAAATGTTCATTGTCGTGTTATTTATAGTGTCGAGAACTAGTAATAACTTATGGGATCCAATGATATAGGAATGGTCAGGTAAAGCATATACACTGGGCAGAAGATTCCATAGCCATGAGAAATCATGATTATGAAGACTCTGTGGTAACATGGAAGATGGGCAGGACATGAGTGTAAGTGAAAAGCCAGGTGCAAATGGAGCGCACACTATTATGATAATACTTACTCCAGGTTCTTCAGTGAGATTATTCACTCAGCAAATACTTGTTGAGCACCTACTATGCAATAGCCACTATTCTAGAGACTGGTGATACAGCAGTGAACAAAATAGACAGCAATCTCTGTCCTTATGGAACTTACACTCTAGTGAGAGGGAAGCCAGACAAAAATAAATGTGTAAAATATTCATTGTATTATGTAGCGATAAGTGATAAGAAAGAAAAGAGGGCCGGGCGCGGTCGGTCACGCCTGTAATCCCAGCACTTTGGGAGGCCAAGGTGGGTGGATTATGAGATCAAGAGATGGAGGCCATCCTGGCCGACATGGTGAAACCACAATTCTACTAAAAATACAAAAATTAGCTGGGCATGGTGGTGTGCACCTTTAGTCTCAGCTACTCAGGAGACTGAGGCAGGAAAATCGCTTGAACCCAGGAGGGGGAGGTGGCAGTGAGCCAAGATCGTGCCACTGTACTCCAGCCTGGTGACAGAGCCAGACTCTGTCTCAAAAAAAAAAGAAAGAAAGAAAGAAAGAAAGAGCAGGAGGGGAGATAGAAAGCATTGAGGATGACAGTTTTTAGATAAGTTGGCCAGGACAGCCTTACTGAGGAGGTAATAATTAAACTGAAAGAAATGAGGGAAATGGCTATACATGGGGGAACTCCATCAAGCAGAAGGCGTAGCAGGCGTAAGAGTGTCCAGATGGGAGATGCCTGCAGTACTCTTGAAACAGCTGAGGGGAAAGGGCAGAGAGTAACAGGGAACAGATTGTGGAGGACCAAGTTTGTCAAAGTAAGAAGTTTGGCTTTTCCTGGGATTTTACAGGAGCCATCAGAAGGAACTGGGGATTTCACAAAGGGAACCAGGGATTTCCTGGGATTTCACAGGAGCCATCAGAGGGAACTGGGGAGTGACATGATCTGGCTTATGCTTTAACAGTATCACTCTGGCAGCTTTGTTGAAAATAGACGCAGAAGGCAAAAAAAGAGAGATCAGTTAGGAGCCTGTTGTATTAATCCAGGCAAGAGATGAAGGTGGTTTGGACTAGGAAGGTAGTAGTGGAATGCTGAGAAGTGGCTGGAGCTTGGCGGTATTTAAAAGGCTAAAGATAGTAAGATTTGCTAACAGATTGAAAGTGGAATATTAAAGAGAAGAGTCAAATACTCAAAAGGTTAGGTAAACACAAGAACAGTTTACACTGACTGAAATGGGGAAGATTGTAGGAGAAGCAGGTTTGGGTCAGGAGAAATCAAGAGCTCAGTCTTGAACATGTTATGTTTGACATGCCTATTACACATTTATGACACTACAGAGCAGACGTTGTGAGTGCCTCCCCCATTCCCCCTTGGGCCTTACCATTTCAGTGCTTGCAGGACTGACCTTCAATGGCTAGTCTCTCTGTCTCTCTGCCTCTGGGCTTTCTCTAGCCATTGGAGCCTCCTCTGCATGCATGGTAGCCCAGAAGTACAGAATGCACTTCCTGGTGGAGTGGCCAGCAACCACTGACTGGTAGAAGTTAATGTATAAATACTCCAGTTCTCTCACTCTCCTAATAATGAAATTCAGGCATAACTCTTAGCAGGATTCACTGGACACTTGTTTAATAACACTGTCTATGGGCTGCCTTTCTTGTCTCACTTCCCCATTCTTCTACTAGGGTTTTCTAGGATCACCTCCCTCATAAACTGCTTGCACTTGAACCTCTGCCTCAGAGTCTGGCTCTGTCCGAACCCAAACTAAGACGACACCCAAGTGAGCAGGGTATTTATGCATATGGAATCACCAAGGAGGTGATTGTAGAGAAGAGGTCTAAGAACTAAGCCTTCAGGTATCCAGCATTGAAAAGGAGGCTAGGGAGGTGAAAAGGAGGCTAGGGAGATGAACACAGCTAAGGAGTCTTAAATGAAGTGACGAGAAGTAGGAGGAAAGCCAGGAGTGTGGGTTGTCCTAGAAACCAAGTGAAAAAGGTATTTTTAAGAGGAAGATTGAAGCCTGAGAACTGCCCACTGATTTTAGCAATTTGGAGGTCATTGGTGACCCTGAGGAGGGCATTTTTAGTTGCATTATCTCTTGGGTTCAAGAGAGGATAATGAGGGGAGAATTAAAGACAGTAAAGTGACTCTTTTTTTTTTTTTTTTTTTTTTTGAGATGGAGTCTCGCTCTGTCACCCAGGCTGGGGTGCAGTGGCATGATCTCGGCTCACTGCAACCTCTGCCTTCTGGGTTCAAGCAATTCTCCTGCCTCAGCCTCCTGAGTAGCTAGGACTACAGGTGTGTGCCACCATGCCTGGCTAAAGAGACGGGGGTTTCACCATGTTAGCCAGGGTAGTCTCGATCTCCTGACCTCATCATCCACCCGCCCTGGCCTCCCAAAGTGTTGGTATTACAGGCGTGAGCCACTGCGCCCAGTTTTGACCAACTCTTTAAAGGGGTTTTACTATAAAGAGAATGAGAGAAAGAGGTCTAATGCTAGAGAGGGAAGTGGAGTCAAGAGAGGCTTTTTTGTGATGTTTTTTATAACTTTTTTTTTTTTTTTAAGCCTCTCATGGTGGCACATGCCTATAGTCCACAGCTACTTGGGAGACTGAGCTGGGAGGACTGCTTGAGCCTAGGAGTTCAAATCTAGCTTGGGCAACATAGCAAGACCCTGTCTTTAAAACCAAAACCAAAACCAAAAAAACCACACACATATAACCTTTTTATGTTTAACGCATATCAATACCAAAAAAGTTTAAAAATCATGAGTATTCATTTTGATGAATTTTCCAAACTGAAAAGACCCATGGAAGCACCACCAACATCAAGACACAGAACACTTCTGGTACTCAGAGCGCTGCCCTCCACCTGCTCGTCATCCTCCATTCTATTCTCTACATCCTGAAGTGTAACCACTATTCTGACTTCTAATACCATAGATTGCTTTTGACTGTTTTAAACTTTACATAAATGGCATCATCCAATGTGTATTCTTTTGTCTTACTTCAATTGTCCAATTTTGAGTTTGTGACTACCATCCATACTGTTTTATGTAGTTCAGATGTTTCATGCTCATTGCCATATATACAGTAATTCATTGTATGAATGTAGTACCACAATTTATTTATCCATTCAACTGTTGATGATGTGACTAGTTTCTAGTTTCCAGTTTGGGGCTATTATGAATAACATTGATGTGAACATTCTAGTACAAGCGTTTTTGGTAAACTTTTTTTTTTTTTTTGAGGCAGGGTTTTGCTTTGTCACCCAGGCTGGAATGTGGTGGCACAATCACAGCTCACTGCAACCTTGACTTTCTGTATTTGAGTGATCCTCCAACCTCAGCCTCTGGAGTAGCTGGAACCACAGGGGCATGCCATCATGCCTGGCTAATTTTTTAAATGTTTTGTAGATATGGGGTCCTGCTATGTTGCCCAGACTGGTCTCAAACTCCAGGGCTCGAGTAATCCTCTTGCCTTGGCCTCCCAGAGTGTTGGTATTACAGATGTGAGCCACTGAGTCTGGCTCGTATGCATTTTTATTGGGGACATTTTTACTTATAAATTTTTTTTCAATGACTTTTGGGGTACAAGTGGTTTTTGGTTACAATGATGAACTGTATACTGGTGAAATCTTAGATTTTAGTGCACCTATCACCTGAGTAGTGTACATTGTACCCAATACGTAGTTTTTAATCCCTCACCCCCTCCCACCCTACCCCTTCTAAGTCTCCAAAGCCCATGCCTTTTCATACCCATAGCTAAACTCTCATTTCTAAGTAAGAACATACAGTATTTGATTTTCCATTCCTGAGTTACTTCACTTGGAACAATGGCCTCCAGCTCCATCCAAGTTGCTGCAAAATACATTATTTTATTCTTTTTCATAGCTGAGTAGTATTCTATGGTATATACACCACGTTTTCTTTACCCACTCATTGGTTGGTTGACACTTAGGTTGGTTCCAGATCTTTGCAATTGTGAATTGTGCTGCCATAAACATGCATGCAGGTGTTTTTTGATATAAGGACTTCTTTTCCTTTGGGGAGATACCCAGTAGGGGATTGTTGGATCAAATGGTAGATCTACTCTCAGATTTAGATTTTAATTTACTTTTAGATTTTAGATTTAGAAATCTCCATTCTGTTTTCCATAGAGGCTGTACTAATTTACATTCCCACCAGCAGTGTATAAATGTTACCTTTTCACCACATTCATGCCAACATCTACTGTTTTTTGACTTTTTAATAATGACCATTCTGGCTGGGGTAAAGCGGTATCTCACTGTGGTTTTAATTTGGATTTTTGTGATGATTAGTGATGTAGAGTGTTTTTCCATATGTTTGTTGGCCATTTGTATGTCTTCTTTTGAGAAATATTTATTCATATCATTTGCCCACTTTTTAATGAGATCTTTTTTTGTTTTTTGTTTGCTAATTTGTTTGAGTTCCCTGTAAATTCTGGATATTAGTTCTTTGTCAGATACATAGTTTGCAAATATTTTCTCCCATTCTGTGGATTGCCTGTTTGCTTTGATGATTATTTTTTCTGTTGTGCAGAAGCTTTTCAGTTTAATGAGGTCCCATTTATTTATTTTTGTTTTTGTTGCATTTACTTTTGGGGTCTTAGTCACAAATTCTTTATCTAAGTCAATGTCCAGTAGAGTTTTTCCTGTTTTCTTCTATAATTTTTGTGGTTTCAGGTCTTAGATTTAAGTCTTTAATCATATTGAGTTGATTTTTGTATAAGGTGAGTGGGATCCAGTTTTATTCTCCTACATGGGGCTATCCAGTTTTCCCAGCAACATTTACTAAATAGGGTGTCCTTTCCCTAATTTATGTTTTTGTATGCTTTGTTGAAGATCAGTTGGTTGTTAGTTTTAAAAAAAGAGAAAAATCTACGAGTCTTTTGAAGGAATCTTTAGGGTTTTCTAGGTATATGATCATATCATCAGCAAACAGAGATGGTTTGACTTTCCCTTTTCCACTTTAGATGTCCTTTATTTCTTTCTCTTGCCTGATTGCTCTGGCTAGGACTTCCAGTACTATGTTGAACAGAAGTGATGAAAGTGGGCATTCTTGTCTTGTTCCAGCTCTCAGGGGGAATGCTTTCAACTTTTCCCCATTTGGTATGATGTTGGCTTTCGGTTTGTGATATATGGCTTTTGTTATTTTGAGTTATGTTCCTTCTATGCCTAGTTTGTTGTCATTGTTTTTGTCATAAAGCAATGCTGGGTTTTGTCATGACATTGTTTTTGTCATAGAGCAATGCTGGATTTTACTTAATGCTCTTTCTGCATCTATTAAGATGATCATATGGTTTTGTTTTTAATTCTGTTTATGTGATTTATCATATTTATTGACTTGCATATATATATAGAGAGAGAGAGAGAGCACAGATTTTTTTATTATTATACTTTAAGTTCTGCAGTACATGTGCACAATGTGCAGGTTTGTTACATATGTATACATGTGCCATATTGGTGTGCTGTACCCATTAACTGATCATTTACATTAGGTATATCTCCTAATGCTATCCCTCCCCCCTTCCCCCACCCGACGACAGGCCCGGATGTGTGATGTTCCCCACCCTGTGTCCAGGTGTTCTCATTGTTCAATTCCCACCTATGAGTGAGAACATTCGGTGTTTGGTTTTCTGTCCTTGCGATAGTTTGCTCAGAATGATGGTTTCCAGCTTCATCCATGTCCCTGCAAAGGACATGAACTCATCCTTTTTTATGACTGCATAGTATTCCATGGTGTATATATGCCACATTTTCTTAATCCAGTCTATCATTGGTGGACATTTGGGTTGGTTCCAAGTCTTTGCTATTGTGAATAGTGCCACAATAAACATACGTGTGCATGTGTCTTTATAGCAGCATGATTTATAATCCTTTGGGTATATACCCAGTAATGGGATGGCTGGGTCAAATGGTATTTCTAGTTCTAGATCCTTGAGGAAGTGCCACATTGACTTCCTCAATGGTTGAACTAGTTTACAGTCCCACCAACAGTGTAAAAGTGTTCCTATTTATCCACATCCTCTCTAGCACCTGTTGTTTCCTGACTTTTTAATGATTGCCATAACTAGTATGAGATGGTATTTCATTGTGGTTTTGATTTGCATTTCTCTGATGGCCAGTGATGATGAGCATTTTTTCATGTGTCTGTTGGCTGCATAAATGTCTTCTTTTGAGAAGTGTCTGTTTATATCCTTTGCCCACTTTTTGATGCGGTTGCTTGTTTTTTTTCTTGTAAATTTGTTTGAGTTCTTTGTAGATTCTGGATATTAGCCCTTTGTCAGGTGGGTAGATTGCAAAAATTTTCTCCCATTCTGTAGGTTGCCTGTTCATTCTGATGGTAGTTTCTTTTGCTGTGCAGAAGCTCTTGAATTTAATTAGATCCCATTTGTCAATTTTGGCTTTTGTTGCCATTGCTTTTGGTGTTTTAGACATGAAGTCCTTGCCCATGCCTATGTCCTGAATGGTATTGCCTAGGTTTTCTTCTAGGGTTTTTATAGTTTTAGGTCTAACATTTAAGTCTTTAATTCATCTTGAATTAATTTTTGTATAAGGTGTAAGGAAGGGATCCAGTTTCCACTTTCTACATATGGCCAGCCAGTTTTCCCAGCACCACTTATTAAATAGGAATCCTTTCCCCATTTCTTGTTTTTGTCAGCTTTGTCAAAGATCAGATGGTTGTAGACGTGTGGTATTATTTCAGAGGGCTCCGTTCTGTTCCATTGGTCTATCTCTCTGTTTTTGTACCAGTACCATGCTGTTTTGGTTACTGTAGCCTTGTAGTATAGTTTGAAGTCAGGTAGTGTGATGCCTCCTGCTTTGTTCTTTTGGCTTACAATTTTCTTGGCAATGTGGGCTCTTTTTTGGTTCCATATGAACTTTAAAGTAGTTTTTTCCACTTCTGTGAAGAAAGTCATTGGTAACTTGATGGGGATGGCATTGAATCTATAAATTACCTTGGGCAGAATGACCATTTTCACGATATTGATTCTTCCTATCCATGAGCATGGAATGTTCTTCCATTTGTTTGTGTCCTCTTTTATTTCATTGAGCAGTGCTTTGTAGTTCTCCTTGAAGAGGTCCTTCACATCCCTTGTAAGTTGGATTCCTAGGTATTTTATTCTCTTTGAAGCAATTGTGAATGGGATTTCACTCATGATTTGGCTCTCTCTTTGTCTGTTATTGGTAGAGGAATGCTTGTGATTTTTGCACACTGATTTTGTATCCTGAGACTTTGCTGAAGTTCTTTATCAGCTTAAGGAGATTTGCGGCTGAGACGATGGGGTTTTCTAGATATACAATCATGTCATTTGCAAACAGGGACAATTTGACTTCCTCTTTTCCTAATTGAATAGCCTTTATTTCTTTCTCCTGCTTGATTGCCCTGGCCAGAACTTCCAACACTATGTTGAATAGGAGTGGTGAGAGAGGGCATCCCTGTCTTGTGTCAGTTTTCAAAGGGAATGCTTCCAGTTTTTGCCCATTCCATATGATATTGGCTGTGGGTTTATCATAAATAGCTCTTACTATTTTGTGATGCATTCCATCAGTACCTATTTTATTGAGAATTTTTAGCATGAAGGGTTGTTGAATTTTGTCAAAGACCTTTTCTGCATCTATTGAGATAATCATGTGGTTTTTGTCTTTGGTTCTGTTTGTATAATGATGGATTACGTTTATTGATTTGCGTATGTTGAATGAGCCTTGCACCCTAGGGATGAAGCCAACTTGATCGTGGTGGATAAGCTTTTTGATGTGCTGCTGGATTCAGTTTGCCAGTATTTTATTGAGGATTTTTGCATCAATGTTCATCAGGGATATTGGTGAAAATTCTCTTTTTTTGTTGTGTCTCTTCCAGGTTTTGGTATTAGGATGTTGCTGGCCTCATAAAATGAGTTAGGGAGGATTCCCTCTTTTTCTATTGATTGGAATAGTTTCAGAAGGAATGGTACCAGCTCCTTTTGTACCTCTGGTAGAATTCAGCTGTGAATCTGTCTGCTTCTGAACTTTTTTTGGTTGGTAGGCTATTAATTATTGCCTCAATTTCAGAACCTGTTACTGGTCTATTCAGGGATTCAACTTCTTCCTGGTTTAGTCTTGGGAGGGTGTATGTGTCCAGGAATTTATCCATTTCTTCTAGATTTTCTAGTTTATTTGCAGAGTGGTATTTATAGTTTTCTCTGATGGTAGTTTGTATTTCTGTGGGATCGGTGGTGATATCCCCTTTATCATTTTTTATTGCCTCTATTTGATTCTTCTCTCTTTTCTTCTTTATTAGTCTTGCTAGCAGTCTATCAATTTTGTTGATCTTTTCAAAAAAAAAACAGCTCTTGGATTCATTGATTTTTTTATTTTTTTAAGGGTTTTTGGTGTCTCCATCTCCTTCAGTTCTGCTCTGATCTTAGTCATTTCTTGCTTTCTGCTAGCTTTTGAATGTGCTTGCTCTTGCTTCTCTAGTTCTTTTAATTGTGATGTTAGGGTGTCAATTTTAGATCTTTCCTGCTTTCTCTTGTGAGCATTTAATGCTATAAATTTCCCTCTACACACTGCTTTACATGTATCCCAGAGATTCTGGTACGTTGTGTCTGTGTTCTTATTGGTTTCAAAGGACATCTTTATTTCTGCCTTCATTTTGTTATGTATCCAGTAGTCATTCAGGAGCAGGTTGTTCAGTTTCCATGTAGTTGAGTGGTTTTGAGTGAGTTTCTTAATCCTGAGTTCTAGTTTGATTGCACTGTGGTCTGAGAGACAGTTTGTTATAATTTCTGTTCTTTTACATTTGCTGAGGAGTGCTTTACTTCCAACTATGTAGTCAATTTTGGAATAAGTGTGATGTAGTGCTGAGAAGAATGTATATTCTGTTGATTTGGGGTCGAGAGTTCTGTAGACGTCTGTTAGGTCTGCGTGGTGCAGAGCTGAGTTCAAGTCCTGGATATCCTTGTTAACTTTCTGTCTCATTGATCTGTCTAATGTTGACAGTGGGGTGTCAAAGCCTCCCATTATTATTGTTTGGGAGTCTAAGTCTCTTTGTAGGTCTCTATGGACTTGTTTTATGAATCTGGGTGCTCTTTTATTGGATGCGTATATGTTTAGGATAGTTAGCTCTTCTTGTTGCATTGATCCCTTTACCATTATGTAATGGCCTTCTTTGTCTCTTTTGATCTTTGTTAGTTTAAAGTCTGTTTTATCAGAGACTAGGATTGTAACCCCTGCCTTTTTCTGTTTTCCATTTGCTTGGTAGATCTTCCTCCATGCCTTTATTTTGAGCCTATGTGTGTCTCTGCATGTGAGATGGGTCTCCTGAATACAGCACACTGATGCGTCTTGACTCTATCCAATTTGCCAGTCTATGTCTTTTAATTGGAGGATTTAGCCTATTTACATTTAAGGTTAATATTGTTTTGTGTGAATTTGATCCTGTCAGTATGATGTTAGCTGGTTATTTTGCTTGTTAGTTGATGCAGTTTTCTCCCTAGCATCGATGGTCTTTACAATTTGGCATGTTTTTGCAGTGGCTGGTACTGGTTGTTCCTTTCCATGTTTAGTGCTTCCTTCAGGAGCTCTTGAAGGCAGGCCTGGTGGTGACAAAATCTCTCAGCATTTTTTGTCTGTAAAGGATTTTATTTCTTCTTCACTTATGAAGCTTAGTTTGACTGGCTATGGAATTCTGGATGGAAAATTCTTTTCTTTAAGAATGTTGAATATTGGCCCCCACTCTCTTCTGGCTTGTAGAGTTTCTGCCGAGAGATCTGCTGTTAGTCTGATGGGCTTCCCTTTGCAGGTAACCCAACCTGTCTCTCTGGCTGCCCTTAACATTTTTGCCTTCATTTCAACTTTGGTGAATCTGACAATTGTGTCTTGGAATTGCTCTTTTCGAGGAGTATCTTTGTGATGTTCTCTGCACTTCCTGAATTTGAATGTTGGCCTGCCTTGCTAGGTTGGGGAAGTTCTCCTGGATAATATCCTGCAGAGTGTTTTCCAACTTGGTTCCATTCTCTCCGTCACTTTCAGGTACACCAATCAGACGTAGATTTGGTCTTTTCATATAGTCCCATATTTCTTGGAGGCTTTGTTTATTTCTTTTTACTCTTTTTTCTCTAAAATTCTCTTCTCACTTCATTTCATTCATTTGATCTTCAATCACTGATACCTTTTCTTCCATTTGATCGAATTGGCTACTGAAGCTTGTGCATGCATCACATAGTTCTTGTGCCATGGTTTTCAGCTCCATCAGGTCATTTAAGGTCTTCTCTATGCTTTTTATTCTAGTTAGCCATTTGTCTAATCCTTTTTCAAGGTTTTTAGCTTCTTTGAGATGGGTTCGAACATCCTCCTTTAGCTTGGAGAAGTTTGTTATTACCAATTGTCTGGAGCCTTCTTCTCTCAACTCATCAAATTCATTCTCCGTCCAGCTTTGTTCTATGGCTGGCAAGGAGCTGCATTCCTTTGGAGGAGAAGAGGCACTCTGATTCTTAGAATTTTCAGCTTTTCTGCTCTGGTTTCTCCCCATCTTTGTGGTTTTATCTACCTTTGGTCTTTGATGATGGTGACCTACAGATGGGATTTTGGTGTGGATGTCCTTTCTGTTTGTTAGTTTTCCTTCTAACAGACAGGACCCTCAGCTGCAGGTCTGTTGGAGTTTGCTGGAGGTCCACTTCAGACCTGTTTGCCTGGGTATCACCAGCAGAGGCTGCAAAACAGCAAATATTGCAGAATAGCAAATGTTGCTGCCTGATCCTTCCTCTGGAAGCTTCATCTCAGAGGGTCACCCAGCTGTGTGAGGCATCAGTCGGCCCCTACTGGGAGGTGCCGCTCAGGCTACTCAGGGGTCAGGGACCCACTTGAGGAGGAAGTCTGTCCGTTCTCAGATCTCACACTCTGTGCTGGGAGAACCACTACTCTCTTCAAAGCTGTCAGACAGGGATGTTTAAGTCTGCAGAATTTTCTGCTGCCTTTTGTTCAGCTATGCCCTGCCCCTAGAGGTGGAGTCTACAGAGGCAGGCTGGCCTCCTTGAGCTGTGGGGGGCTCCACCCAGTTTGAGCTTCCCAGCTGCTTTGTTTACCTACTCAAGCCTCAGCAATGGCGGATGTCCCTCCACCAGCCTCATTGCCACCTTGCAGTTCAATCTCAGACTGCTGTGCTAGCAGTGAGTGAGGCTCCATGGGCGTGGGACCCTCTGAGCCAGGTGCGGGATATGATCTCCTGGTGTGCCATTTGCTAGGACTGTTGGAAGAGCACAGTATTAGGGTGGGAGTGTCCCGATTTTCCAGGTACCTTCTGTCATCACTTCCCTTGGCTAAGAAAGGGGATTCCCTGACCCCTTGCACTTCCTGGGTGAGGCGATGCCCTGCCCTAGTTCAGCTCACACTTCGTGGGCTGCACCCACTGTCCAACAAGCCCCAGTGCGATGAACGCGGTACCTCAGTTGGAAATGCAGAAATCACCTGTCTTCTGCGTTGCTCATGCTGGGAGCTGTAGACTGGAGCTGTTCCTATTTGGCCATCTTTGAACCTCCCCCCTGACTTGCGTATGTTAAATCTTCCCTCTATCTCTGGGACAAAGCCCATTTGATCATGATGTATTATGTTTTTGATTTGCTATTGGATTCTGTTTGCTGGTATTTTGTTGAGGACTTTTGCATCTATGTTCATCAGGAATATTGATCTGTAGTTTTCTTTTTTGTTATGTCATTTCCTGGGTTTGACACAGGGTGATACTGGCTTCATAGAATGAGTTTGGGAGGATTTTCTCTTTCTCAATCTTTTTGAATAATCTCAATAGTATTGCTTCCAATTCTTCTTTGACTGTCTGGTAGAATTCAGCTATGAATCCATCTGGCCCTAGGCTTTTTTGTTGCTGGCAATTTCAATCAGTAAATTTTACTTAGTCAGTCTCACTGCTTGTTATCTGGTCTGCTCAGGATTTCTATTTCTTCCTGATTTAATCTGGGATGGTTGTAAATTTCCAGGAATTTATCCATTTCTTCTATGTTTTTTAGTTTGTGTGAATAGAGATGTTCATAGTAATCTCAACTGATCTTTTGTATTTCTGTTTCATTGGTTGTAGTGTCTCTATTTTCATTTCTAATTGAACTTATTCAAAACTTCTCTCCTCTTAGTTAATCTAGTTAATGGTCTATCAATTTTGTTTATCTTTTCAAAGAACCAACTTTTTGTTTTACTAACCTTGTGTAATATTTTTGTTTCAATTTCATTTATTTCTGCTCTGGTCTTTGTTGTTTCTTTTCTTCTCTAGCTTTGGGTTCCTTTGTTCCTGTTTCTTTAGCTCCTTGAGGTGCGATGTTAGGGTGTCAAGTTGTGATCTTTCAGACTTTTTGATGTAGGCATTTAGTGCTATAAACTTTCCTCTTAGCACCACTTTTGCTGTATCTCAGAAGTTTTGACAACTGTGTCATATTATCATTCATTTCAAGTAATTTTTAAATGTTCATCTTTATTTCATTGTTAACCCAAAATTTATACAGGAGCAGATTTTTTAATTTCCATGTATTTGTATAGTTTTGAGAATTCCTTTTGGAGTTGGTTTCTAGTTTTTTCCTACTGTGGTCTGAGAAGATGCTTGATATGATTTTGATTTTTAAAAATTATTGATACTTGTTTTGTAGCCAATCTTATGGCCTATGTTGGAATATATTCCATGTGCTGATGAGAAGAAAGTATATTCTATAGTTTTTGGGTAGGATGTTCTGTAAATATCTGTTAGGTCTACTTGTTTTAGAGTATTGTTTAAGTCATTGTTTCTTTGTTGACTTTCTGCCTCGATGATCTGTCTAGTGCTGTCAGTGGGGTGTTGAAGTATCCCACTATTATTGGGTTGCTCATTATCTCTTTCCTTAGGTCTAGCAGTAATTGTTTTATGAATTTTGGAGCTCCATAGTTAGGTACACATATATTTTGGATTATAATATTCTCTTGTCAGATTAATCCTTTTATCATTATATAATTGTAACCACCTAACAGGTTATTTCTGCCCACTGCACAAGCAAAATCAATTCATGGCATTGTGGTGAAGAAAGTGTTTAATTGATGCAAGGCCAGTCATGCCATGTGGTCAAACTAGGATGGAGATATTACTCAAATCAATCTCATCAAAGGCTTGTTGGTTAGGGGTTTTTCAAAGGCAGTTTTGGGGAAGGGATTGGGCTGACCAGACCAGGTGCTTGCTGCTGATTGTTTGGGTTGGAGATGAAATCATATGGAGTTGAAGCTGTCCTCTTGTGCTGAGTCACTTCTGTGGGGCCACAGGAGTGGTTGGTGGGTCCATATGGGTCCAAGTGAAGCCATCGGTGTCAGACATGCAAAAAACCTGAAAAGATATCTCAAAAGGCTAATCTTAGGTTCTACAATAGTGATGTTATCTGCATGAGTAATTGGGGGAGTTGCATATCTGTGACCTCTGGAATAATGGCTGTCAATCATTTATATCCACACCTTAGCAGAATTCAGGCTCTTCTCCTCCTCCTAAGTCTGGTGGTTTCTCATTAGCTTTACAAAGGTGACTGAGTTTTGGGAAAGATTATTATCATTTAAACTACAAACTAAATGTCTCCCAAAGCTAGCCAAGACTAAGCCCAGGAATAATTAAGGCAGCTTGAAGGCTAAAGGCAAGAGGGAGGTTGGCTAGATCAGATGTCCCCCACTGCCATAATTGTCTCAGTGATATAATTTTTGCAAAGGTGGTTTTATAATGACCTTCTTTGTCTTTTTCTTTTTTTTAACTGTTGTTGCTTTAAAGTCTGTTTTATTTAATATAAGAATAGCCACTCCTACCCGGGCACGGTGGCTCACACCTGTAAATCCCAGCACTTTGGGAGGCTGAGGCAGGTATATCACCTGAGGTCAGGAGTTCAAGACCAGCCAGACAGAGATGGTGAAACTCCATCTCTACTAAATTTACAAAAACATTAGCCAGGCATGGTGGGGGCACCTGTAATCCCAGCTACTCAGGAGGCTGAGGCAGGAGAATTGCTTGTACCCGGGAGGCAGAGGTTGCAGTGAGCCAAGATTGCGCCTTGCTCTCCAGCCTGGGCAACAAAGTGAGACTTCATCTCAAAAAAAAAAAGAAAAAAAAAAAAGAATAGCTACTCCTGCTAGCCTTTGGTTTCCATATACACAGAACATCTTTTCCCACCCCTTTACCTTGTGCTTGTGTGAATCCTTATGCATTAGATGAGTCTCTTGAAGACAGCAGATATTTGGTTTGTGATATTTTATCCATTCTGCCAATCTGTATGTTTTCAGTGGAGCATTTATGCCATTTATGTTTAATATTAACATTGAGATGTAAGGTACGATTCTCCTCATCATGTTGATTATTACCTGGATCCTTTTGTGTGTGTGTGTGTGTTATTGTTTTTATTTTTTTATTTTAATTTTTTTGAGACAGAGTCTTGCTCTGTCACCCAGGCTGGAGTGCAGTGGCGAGATCTCTGCTCACTGCAAGCTCCGCCTCCTGGGTTCATGCCATTCTCCTGCCTCAGCCTCCCGAGTAGCTGGGACTACAGACACCCGCCACTACGCCTGGCTAATTTTTTGTATTTTTAGTAGAGACGGGGTTTCACCATGTTAGCCAGGATGGTCTCGATCTCCTGACCTCGTGATCCACCCCCCTTGGCCTCCCAAAGTGCTGGGATTACAGGTGTGAGCCACCGTGCCCGGCCATGTGTGTGTGTTATTGTTTTATAGGCCCTGTGAGTTTTATGCTTTCAAGAGGTTTTATTCTGATGCATGTCAACTTTTGGTTTCAAGATTTAGAAGTCCTTTTAGAATTTTGTGTATGGCTGGTCTGGTAGTTACAAATTCCTTCATCATTTGCTTGTCTGGAAAAGACTTTATTTCTCTTTCATTTATGAAACTTAGTTTTGCTGGACACAAAATTCTTGACTGACACTTATTCTGTTTAAGGAGGCTAAAGATTGGACCCCAATCCCTTCTGGCTTGTAAGGTTTCTGCTGAGGGGAAGATTTTTATCAATGACATAAATGTGTGATGATGGAAACAATCCAGTGGGAAGAGAAAATTGATGCAGGAGAGAAGAAAGAAAGCTTTTTTGGAGGGCTGCTCTTTAGTATATGAGAGTAGATGGAATCTATTCAACATGTAAAGGAGTCTTAGCTAGGCCTTAGATAGGAGTAGGAATTGTTTATCCAAAGTAAAATGAAGGAAGAGAGATTCCAGTAGGTTGGAAGACATGGTGGGAAGGACTTGAGGAAATTCTCCTCTATTGCTTATTTTACTCAATAAAGTAGGAAGCAAGGTTACCAGCTGTGAATGAGGAGTGGAAGAAGGCATTAGAGACTTGATGAGAGAAAAGAAGCCATGAAAGAGTTATACAAAAGTGTATGAGGTTTATTGGACTAGGGAAAGTATGTCTGCCAGGCGCTTTAAAGGGCCAACTGAAGTTAGTGACCAGAAATTCAAAGTGAGACAAGCCATTATGTCCAACAGCATGGGTGCAGGCAGAGAGTAGTGGGAAGCTGGATTTAACCAGAGTCATGGTTTAGCAAAGTGAACTCAACAACCTGGGAGAGAGACAGGGGAACTTAGGGAGTGCCCGAAGGCATGATAACATTAATAGAGATCCTCCTCCAGTGAATGTCACCAGCCTCCCAGTTGCTCAACTGAGAAACCTTGACCTTTTCCTCAACCCCTAACACCCAAACACCAAGTGGTATTGATTTCACTTCCTAAATATCTCCTCCTTTCCTCATTGGATTAAGCTACTGTAATTTGTCTTCATGTTTATATCATTTCCCCCATAGCAGCCAGAGGTGATGTTTTAGAAATTACAAGCCTGATCATGTAACTACCTACTTACAAGCTTCCAGCAGCTTCTTTTTTTTTTTCAAGTGGCAGTTTTAAGTTTGTGGGTTTTTAATTTATATATGTGAAATACCTTTTTATAGGCAAAAATAATAATAGCATGCTTCTTACTGCCCTTAATGTGAAATGACTCACAAGACCTTGGTGTGGCCAACTCTCCAGCCTCTTTTTTGGCTTATATTTTTCCTTCTTCCCCGTATGCCAGCCCTACTTTCTTCTTTCAATTCTTCAAAGTCAGTCATCTCTGAGGGTGCATATACCCCCAGAGAATGCCCAAGATGATTCACTGGGATGAGGAAAAAAAATACTAGAACTTCCTTTTATATTTATTTGTGATTATATATTTTTAATTTCTGTGATTATATATATTGAAAATGTGTAAATCAGTAGTACATGGATACACTTTATAAATACGTATACATATATTAGAGTAGTGCTCAAAAATGTTTTATTATGCACATGCAGTTGTAAGAATATGTACAGAGACCACATGTACCATTTACCCAGTTTCACACAAACTTGCATCTTGCAAAACTATAGTCATAACCTTGATATTAATATTGATCTAATTCACTGATCTTATTAAGATTTTCCCAGTTCTTGTATTCATGCATGTGTATGTATTTTAACTCTATGGAATGTTATCACATAAATAGGTTGTTATATTCCCCACCACAGTAAAGATACAGGACAAGTCCATTATCACAAGGGCCCTTCAAGTGGCTCTTCTGTAGCCACCTCCTAACCCCCTATACCCTGTCCCTGACTCCTGCCAGCCACTAATCCGTTCTCCATTTCTATAATTTTGTCATTCCAAGAAAATTATATACAAGAAATCATACAGTAGTAACCTTTTAGGATTGGCATTTTTCACTCACCATACTTCTCGGGCAATTCATCTAAACTGTTGTATCAATAGTTGGTTCATTTTTATTGCTGAGTGGTATTCCACGTATGAAGGTACCACAATTTGTTTAACCATTCACCAGCTGAGGACATGTAGATTCTTTGCAGTTAGGAGCTATTATCAATAAAGCAACTAATGATGTTGAATATTAAAAAAATGCTTTATTGACAAAGGAAGCCAATCAAAAAAGCTTGTAGACCATAACCCTAATGTTTCAGGTCTTTCCTACCTCAAGATCTTCTGTCCTACCCATCCCTACTTTTAGAACCTCTCCCTACTTTTCTCTAGCTAACTCTTGGACTCCAGAGAAAGTGTTAAAAGTCTTCCCTAACCCCCAGACCAGGAGTACATCCCCCTGTTTTATGCTCCTAATGCTCCTGGCACTTTTCCCCCTAAGCCCACTGTACCTGATATTTTCTATCTGCCCCTCCAGATCTACTCTCCACCCTTCTTCATTCTGCTCTCAGCCCAGGACTACATCAAATCTCCTTAGTCCTCTGGGTTCCAGTTGACTTTGATCTCTAGGGAGCCCTTGCAGGGGAAGGAAGGAGAAGGAGGGCCTGATTTTATTCCCCCAGCCCCTCACGGTAAGGCTGACTCAGGCAACTTTTGTGTCTAGAAGGAAAGCCTCAGCTTCTCTCTACACAAAACTATCTTCCTAGGTTTTAATATCTGCTCCCTTCCCTTTGTCCCCTTGGTCCTGTAGACGTATTTTGCTTGGTCTAATCTAGGTTTTAAAATTTGAATTAGTTGTTGATACTTAATAATTGGAAGATTTTGCATAAAGTTTCAGATGTCTGGCTTCTCTTGAAAAAAAATCAGAAGGTTTGACAACACTGAGCCTCCATTCCAAATAGTAACCATTGTGTGGCCTTGAGTAGAGCCACCCCTTCCACTGGGGCAGCTACTCTTAAGGATTCACCATCCCCACTAACTCCCTGTTCCATACAATAACCTTGCTTTGCTATTACCACCCTGGCACTAGGAGTCCTGGTTTAAAGAATGTGTTGCCCGCTAGGTGGGACCTGTGTCAGACTTCTCATCAGATTTGGAGAAAGGGCATGCTGGCCTCTCCCATCTGTCTACTTCTCTCTGTCTCCCCTTGCACCACATAGAGCACCCTTTCTCTGGGGTTTCTATCATCCCCTCCTAGACTCCCACTTGCTCCCAGGCTTGCTGCTCCTCTCTGCACTTCTCACATCTTGCCAGAGTGCTTTTTTTTTTTTCTTTTTTTTGAGGTGGAGTCTCACTCTGTCACCTAGGCTGGAGTGCAGTGGTGTGATCTTGG